>NC_000009.12:122595552-123220552 GCF_000001405.40 Homo sapiens | reverse complement strand
TGTATACATTTAAGCCCACAAGTTTAGTCATTCACCGCACAATGAAGTTTCAATGACAGACTGCTTGTACAATGTACAGTGGTCCCATGAGATTATATCATATTTTTACTGTACTTTTTCTGTGTGTGGATACATTTAGATTGTGTTACAGTTGCCTACAACCGTATTTGGTAGAATAACTTGCTGTACAGGTTTGTAGCCTAGAAGCAATAGGCTATAATAACCTAGGTGTATAGAAGGCCATAACATCTAGGTTTGTGTAAGTACACTTTATGATGTCACACAATGATGAAATTGCCTAGTGACACATTTCTTAGGTTGTATCACTTTTGTTAAGAAATGCATCACTGTATTAAATAATATTTGTCATTTTAAAAATAATGTTATAACTGTTCATATTCACTTAGATTTACCCATATGCTTACCTCTTTATTTGCTCTTTTTCCATCTGAATCTCTAATTTTTTATCTGTAATAATTTTCTTTCTGCCTGAAGAATACCCTTTAGAATTTCTTTTAATACAGGTTTACCTGTGGCATACTCTGTTTTTGTTTATCAGAAAGTTCATTTGTTTGCATTCATTCCTGAAGGCTGTGTATTTACTAGATATAGAATTGTGTATTGGCAGTTATTTTCTTTAAGCACGGGGAAGCTCCCATTCTGGATCCATTGTTAATATTGAGAGCTGGCAGTGTGTCCCTCCTTTGAAGGTAATTGTCTTTTTTCTCTCATTTAAATTTTGTAGCAACTCTGTGAAATACAGGTTTTATTGTTGTTAGTACAGATGAGAATAAAAACTCTGGATAACTTGTCCCTTTCACACAGCTAGAAAATAGTGGATTTAAATCCAAGTCTGTGAGACATCAAAGCCTATACTTTCCCCACTTTGCCTTACTGCGTCTCGCTAAATAAAAGTACACGTTCATCAATTTAACAGTATTTATTGAGCTTCTCTTATATGTATAACTTTGCTATGAACTGAGGTGGATACTGGATTTTGGGACATAATTCTGGCCTTCAATTTATAGTTTGGAGAAAAGCATGTTGAAAACATTCAATTTGTAATATGAGGCAGTATGTGATTAATAGCTAAAATGGTGATAGCCTGTGGTAATTACTAAAAGAGTTTAATGCAAAGAGAATTTTACAATTGGCTGGATATGTCAGAGAATATCCTGTGAAGGAGGTGTGACTTGGTCTGAACCCCAGGCAGAGTTTGTGGGGGGTTGAAATCGTAGAGACTCTTTGGGTCGGGGGAAGTTACGTGAATAAAGGCATGGGGACTGAATGATGGATTTGGGGAATGGCAGCAAGGTTGATTTGGTTCTAGCTGAAGATTATAAATATTGTTGAAGATAAGGTTGTATGTGAGGTGGTGTGTCATTATGGAGATTGCAAACTCCTGTTCTCTGTCTTTTAGGGCATAGGGAGCCCTTGTAGAATGGTTTAGGGACGGGGTGATACAGTGATTATTTACAGGGCAAGAGCTTGGCTTGATTTTATCTTCCAACCTAAATCTCAATTATGACTTTGTCACTTCCTCATTTATATTGTGGGTTAGTTAAATTTTTCAGGCCTCTATTTCCTCATCCGTGAATTGGAAATAATAGTACTTCTTTTATAGGGTTGTTGCAAGGATAAATGAAATGATATATGCAGTGTACTTAGAACAGTAAGCGCTATGTAAATGTGAGGCATCATTTTATTATTATTGTTAGTGTTATTAAATTAGATTATGTATGTTAGTATTCACCCTGATGCCTGGCACATGGTTAATCATAATTCCAGTCACTAATAGAATATATATGGGATAATTAACCAAATTATATTTTCCCACCCCTGCACCTTATATAGGAAATTTATGTCCTTTAAAAGTCATATTTAGGCCGGGCGCGGTGGCTCACGCCTGTAATCCCAGCACTTTGGGAGGCCGAGGCGGGTGGATCATGAGGTCAGGAGATCGAGACCATCCTGGCTAACAAGGTGAAACCCCGTCTCTACTAAAAATACAAAAAATTAGCCGGGCGCGGTGGCGGGCGCCTGTAGTCCCAGCTACTCGGGAGGCTGAGGCAGGAGAATGGCGTGAACCCGGGAGGCGGAGCTTGCAGTGAGCCGAGATTGCGCCACTGCAGTCCGCAGTCCGGCCTGGGCGACAGAGCGAGACTCCGTCTCAAAAAAAAAAAAAAAAAAAAAAAAAGTCATATTTAATGTATAAATAAGCTGTATAATTCATTTAGGTTATTTCCTCATTGCATTGTTTTTGATTACATGTTACATATCATTCCCAGTCCACTCCTCAGCTAACTCATTATAGTTATAAAAATAATGGTGAAGAACAGTGAAGAAAACATTCTATGCTAAGAATGTGTAGTAAGAAGAGAGAGAAGGAGGTAATATTAGTTAAATCTGTGATAAGACAGTATATCATAGACAGAAGCTGTGAAGATGCCATAGGAAAGATGTAGGAATTGTGCTGGGTCCTGAATTTAGAAACATTATCTATGGGCATTGTTTAATTTGATTTCTTTAGGAATTGTTTGTAGTGTGAGGATGCTAACTAAGCTTCCACCGTAACTATAAAGAATAAAAAACTGCCTTGTCTGTTAAAATTTTATTTGAAGAGAAATTGTATAAAGCCATTGAAATATCTGGACTGACAAGCTAGAAATGCATTTAAGTGAAGGCTCATTAATCTTTAAGAAGTTGAAAAGCAAACGTATGTGGCAGAGAAGCCAGTGTGGATTTGCAATACTGAATGCCAGCATCTTCAAATATTGTCAGTAAAGGACAGTGGGAAATAAGAATGGACACCACTTATATGTTTAAGTTTAAAATAGTTCAGCATTATATCAAATGCCTTTATTGAAAATAACCTAACTAGTAGCTAATTATAGTTTTAAGGGAGGTTTAACTTTATCTGGTGACTGTTTGCATTGATTAGAATGATTTCACAAGAGAATATGCCTTTAAGTGGACATGCTTTTAATTTCGGAGGAAGTAAACACATGGTGCTGTTCTTAGGTTGTATTTCAGATCTTCTGTGGTCTAATTGGCAATGATTTTTACCTTGTTTTCACTGACAACTTAGAAAAGACATTCTTTAAATACTGTCTCATTATTTTTCCCATTTCTTTTTCACATTCTTTGTGTTTCTTATAAATTGGCAAGGGAGTATCTTTGCATATGGTTTGTTATTCTTGGAATAAGATGCTTTTTTTTCTTTCTGGTCTTGTTTTCCTAACCTTTAACCATCCTGTTAACAGATGGTTAGATTATCCTTCTACTCTATCATTTTGAGTAACTTTGTTTTGAAAAAGCCCAACTTCTAACAGTGACTTAAATTTTTACAAGATAGTATCAGTAACTCATTCATTATGGCAGCTTTGATTCTTGAGGTTCCTTTTATCTTTCGGGTTGAGTTTGTATTTATATGTAATACTAAATGGGAAGCCTGACTTTAAGTTATTGGGTGATTATTTCTTCCTGACATCGGAACTCAATTTTTAGTTGATTCATAGCACCTTGAGAAGCAGATAAGGCAGGTATCTTTTACTTGAGGGCACTTAAAATTGTAGAGAACCATAGGTTTTGGCACCTAACAGACTTGGATTTAAATTGTAGATTTTCCCTTGTGTACCTTTGGACAAGTGACTTAACTGAGTTTCAGTTTGTAAACCTTAAAATAGAGACTGATTGTATCACATTTACCTTGTAGAGTTGATGTGAATATTAACTGAGGTAATTAATGCAAAGTGTCCTGTACACTCTATGGAACATGGGAGATAAAAAATGAAGGCTCACTTGCCAAGGTAATCAGTTTTACAAGATGGGACATGTAATTGTACATGATATCGTAGCAGTGTTTGCTATTTATATGGGTAGTTCCCTTTATCTGAGAATAAAGCATCTTTAGAATGAATCGTGGTCAGGACCTCAGTTCAAGTACACTCTGATAAGCTTGGATTTGCTTCTCAGTGACTAAAGGGTAGTAAGCACAGCAGCTGTGGTCACGACATATATTTGCATGGAGCATGATAGACATTTCTATGGCAAGACTGTCTGTTGTAAATTATGAGCCTAGCTGTGCTCCAACTATAAAGAATGATGAGGAGTTGCACGTATTCCCACCCTGAAGTACCAGGAATTATAATTGAGTCATCAATCATTTATTCATTTGATTATTCGCTTGACAACTATTTGAGAGCTTACTATCTAGGCATTGTGATATATACTAGGGGTATACAGCCAAGAGCAAAACACAGTATCTGCCTTCTAGGAACATGTAGTTACAGAGCTGGTAAGTGGTAAAACATAGGGCAAAACTAGTGCAGTGTGAGATATGGGAGGTCTTCTTCATTCAGTCCATGCCAGGCAAAGGATTAGGAAGGGGGTAGCGGTACAGGTCAAGATGAGAGGACGCTTCCTGTGGGAGAAGGCACTGTCTTAAGTTGAATGCAGAATAAGGGTGGAGGGTTTAAGATGTTAAGGATGGTATTTTGAAAAATTTCATTCCAAGGGTTAAACATCTTATTTCTGTGAGTAGGTTACAGAGTAAGCATGGTTGAGTCTAATTTTCAGCAGAGGAGTGGGAAATGAGATGTCCGAAATCTTTCTTTCACTGTTATCAGACATTAGGAGTAGACCTAACTTTGTGCTTTGGAAATATAAGAATCCAGAATCGAACTTGGAAGCTGAGGGCCTTCTTGTTCGTAGAATTTTAGAATGTTACCAACACTGTATTTATTGAATTTATTTATTTTATTTTTTTGAGATGGAGTTTCGCTCTTGTCTCCCAGGCTGGAGTGCAATGGCACGATCTCAGCTCACTGCAACTCCGCCTCCTGGGTTCAAACGATTCTCCTGCCTCTGCCTCCCCTGTATCTAGGATTATAGGCACGCATCACCACACCCGGCTAATTTTTATATTTTTAGTAGAGACAGGGTTTCACCATGTTGGCCAGGCTGGTCTCAAACTCCTGACCTCAGGTAATTTGGCCTCCCAAATTTTTGGGATTACAGGCATGAGCCACCATGCCTGGCCTTATTGAATTTTTATAATTTGTATACAATAAATATTTGTTAACTGAATAGTAAATGAGATTGGCATGGCTCTGGTTCTTACCCTAACCCCAGCTTTAAGAATTAAGATCAGAGTGGCTGTAATGATTGGGTGAGCTATGTAAGTAATGGGCTTCAGGCTGGGCACAGTGGCTCATGCCTATAATCCCAGAGCTTTGGGAGGCTGAGGCTGGAGAATCGCTTGAGCCCAGGAGTTGGAAACCAGCCTGGGCAACATAGCAAGAACGTGTCTCTACAATAAAACAGTTAGCCAGTGGTGCATGCCTGTAGTCTTAGCTACTTGGGAGGCTGAGGTGGGAGGATCGCTTGAGCCCAGGAGTTCGAGGTCGCAGTGAGCTATAATTGTGCCACTGCACTCCAACCTGGGTGACAGAGTAAGAGCCCATCTCTTTAAGAAAAAAAAAAAGAAAGAAATTGGGCTTTGGCATCAGGCACCTCCACTGACTTAGTTACATGCTTGCCTAAGACCATAACCCAGGAACAGTGGACTCACTATCCATACCAAGTGATTATTAACAAGAGGAGCAAAAATGTGGACACCAGAAACTATAATGCGAAGCAATCTATATGCCCAGAGACTAAAGTAAAATTTTGTTTTAAAAAATCAGCCAGGATTTTGTACATATATATACACCCACACACATATAAACACGTGCATAAATGTCAAGATTCATAATACTGAGATTTTCATATTTGTTCATTCATATCTGTATGAATATAGTATAGGTAGGTACAGTTGTCTGAGAGGAAATAAAACTTGTTTTGAGAACAAAGAGGAGGGAGAATTAATGTTACACTTGGGATGGGATGAGGGAAGGCTTTCTGGAGAGGTAGCATTTGACCTGACTCTTTCAAGAGAGGGATGGTCTGTTTTGCAGAACCTTTATTAGCATAATGAGTCATGAGGAGTCCCAGCTCTGTAGACAGGTGGTCTGATTCTTTCTTTTATTTTCTTAATTTTTAATAAAAAATTTTTATTTCCATAGGTTTTTGGGGAACAGGTGGTATTTGGATATATGAGTAAATTCTTTACCTGTGATTTGTGAGATTTTGGTGCACCCATCACCCAAGCAGTGTACACTGAACCTGATTTATAGTCTTTTATCCCTCACCACCCATCATTCTTATGCCTTTGCATCCCCATAGCTTAGCTCCCTCTTATTAGTGAGAACATACGATGTTTGGTTTTCCATTCCTGAGTTACTTCACTTAGAATAATGGTCTCCAGTACCATCCAGGTTGTTGAGAATGTCATTCATTCCTTTTTGGGGCTGAGTACTGTTCCATTTTGTGTGTGTGTGTGTGTGTGTGTGTGTGTGTGTGTGTGTATACATATATATATATATACACCACACTTTATCCACTCATTGATTGATGGGCATTTGGGCTGGTACACATTTTTGCAATTTTGTGAATTGTGCTGCTGTAAACATGCATGTACAAGTATCTTTTTCATATAATGACTTCTTTTCCTCTGGGTTGATACCCAGTAGTACGATTGTTGGATCAAACGGTAGTTCTACTTTTAGTGATTCTTTTTTTTTTTTTTTTTGAGATGGAGTCTCGCTTTGTCACGCTGGCTGGAGTACAGTGGCGCAATCTCGGCTCACTGCAATCTCCGCCTCCCAGGTTCAAGCAATTCTGCCTCGGCTTCCTGAGTAGCTGGGACTACAGGTGCGCACCACCATGCCTGGCTAATTTTTGTATTTTTAGTAGCGTCGGGGTTTCACCATGTTGGCCAGGCTGGTCTCGAACTCCTGACCTCAGGTGATCCACCCGCCTTGGCTCCTAAAGTGCTGGAATTACAGGTATGAGCCACTGTGACTGGCCGCAGGTGGTCTGATTCTAGTCCTGGCTCTGTCGCAGACTAGCTGCTTGATCTCAGGTAAGTCACTTCATTCCTCTAAACTATTGTTTCCTCTGTCCAGTTGGTATAATCATATTCTCCACAGATGGTTTTTGAGGATTAAATGAAGTAATTCATGTAAAAGATGTAGCTGAGTATTTGGGCATTATTACTGTTAGGGTTTTGTGGGTAGGCTTTTTGAAGCTGAATTTAGTCGATTCTGTTCTCCTGCCTTAATAAAGTTATCAAGTTTCGAAAAACGAACCTGGTGGCTGTACTTTTCCATTTATCAGTTACACATTCTGAATAACTGAGATTTTGTCAGGATTCTTCTTGAATTGGAGAATTTGTTGCATACTGAGAAAACACCAGTCACAAGTTCATGGCGTTATATTGCTGTCCCTTGAGTTTCAGTACGCTGATTAGGTTGGAAGGGTAATCTTCCCTGCTTATATAAGACTGTGCTTTTCAAACTACTACCATGACTGTTAGTAAATGAACCTTCATTGCGGCCTTGGGAGCACATAGGTGGGTGATGATTATTTTTCAGGAAACAGAATTTACAGAGCCAGGGAAAAGCCTTTATGGCTGAGTGGCCATTTCAACACTATAGCCCTGGTCTCCTGACATAGTTCTATTTTTTTATTTAATTTTCTTTGAAGTCTAGTCATCAGACCTGAATTTGCACTTAATCTCTGCCATTTACTAGTTGCATGATCTTGTGAGAGTTTTAAAATTTATGAGTCTGGCCCTTTTATCTGTGAAATACTGAGATTTTGAACCACACAGGAATGTCTGTGATGCAGAATTTACTTTGCTTAATTTTTAATAAGAATTGCTTTGTATAACGCTGTATGGGAATGCGTATTTGTGTATTTAAGACTCAAATTTATTCACTTATTGGTGTCTTGCCTGGTAGGAAATGTCTCTATTTCTAGATTGTCTTCAATGTTCTTATCCTGCTTATCTGTGGATAATATTCTTGATAGTCATGTGAAGGATCTATCTTGGGAAAGCCAAGGACATCTGGGAATGTTTGACAGGTGAATAACAACTAAATAACTGAATCGACTTCTCACATCATTGCTGGCGTTGCTTGTTCTTTCCTCCTTTTCTGTCTCTTTTTTGGCTAGGGAGGGGCGTTGGGGGTGTCAGTATTATCCAAATAGTTGGATAGTTTAAAACCTTGCAGCTAATAAATATACGAATTTTAGTAGTTTGAAGTTTGTTTTCCACTGGAAATTCAGGCAAGAGATCCATTTTACATATGAAAATCATTCGACAAATGCTTATCAATTATTAATATATACTGTTTTCCTCATGAACCCGTGTCAGAGGTAGGTGAATATAAAGTTCTGTGAGTACCGTATTGGAAATGACAAAATGCGGTAATTGAAACTCACTAGAACAAATTCTTTTTATAGTCTTACCTTCCCCTGAAGTGTTAAATGTATACACGTGCATTTATTTATTAAGTGGCTGAGTTGTTAGGAAAATCCTAATGTTGAGTTTTCTAATAACTGAAAAAAATCCGTATTAAGGAAGAAGTTTTGCATTTTACTTTTCTTATTCAGAGCAAAAGGTTGGGAAAAATACTAAGGTTGACTTGAAAGTGTCATTCAGGAGTAAGAAGGTTCTTTTTGAGTTAGTGTCTATATTTTAGGGGTTAGGTGAGAAGTCATCTTGTAAAAAGCAAGATTATTTTCTATAGATTATGGAAGTTTTTGTTCTCTTTCTAGTATGTAGCAAACTGAGTACTTACTCAGTTGCAGTTTTATTAATACTGTTATATTGGATATACCATGAGTCAAATTATAGTCTGTGAATTATACTCATATGTGATAAGTTAGGAGGACACTATATTAGCAATTCAATATTTTAAAGTTATCCATATTAGGAAAATAGTATAACAACTCTTTATAGTTGAACCGATTTGGCCTAAATTTAAAAAATTATACTTCAGTCAGGAAGACCAAAACTTAATTTAGTAAAAATTTAATATAGGCTGAGAAGCTTTTTAAAGAATTGGTTATAATGTGCACAGAATTAGATAATGGATTAGTCATAGTCCTTGTTTATGACATAGTTTCATTGGCCTGCAATAAGCACTTGTTTATCCACCATTGGGGAAAAAAAAGGTAGGTACTTATTATAATAACCTATATGTGACTTCCAGGTTTCCCCAACCATCCTATCCCCATGGCTTCCTCGACAGAATTCAAACCTGAATTTTGTATTCACCCTCTTTCTGTTTTTATTTGTCTTTATCACATCTTTATGGATTCTTAGAAGGAATACTTTTTTATTTTGGTTTATTTTTTATAAAAAGGTTATTCTATGATGTAATCATTTGGAACTTATTGTTTTTACTTAATGTAATGCTAAAATTTATTCATAATGTTGCATGTCATTGTAGTTCATTCACTTTGTCGAATAATCTATTATCTTAATGTACATAGTTTAATTCATTTACCTGTGAATGGACGTTTTGCATGTTTTCCAGGTTTTTGCTGTTGTGAACAGTCTTGCTATGAACATTCTAATATGTGTCTGTTGTTTGTACATGTGTGAGTTTCTCTTAGTGTATACCTAGGAGTAAAATCCCTGCATAATAGGTTATGGGACTTCAATTTGTGGAAGACTGAACATTTTTTCCTACCATCAATACATAAAAAGCCATTGTGGGTCCACATTTTTTCCAGTTCTTGGTATTTTTAGATTTCTGGTGTTTTTGGAGCTTGAATAGATGTAAAATGGTATTTCATTTTTATTGCATTTGGTTGATCTTTTTTTTTTTTTGAAACGGATTCTTGCTCTGTTGCCCAGGCTAGAGTGCAGTGGCACGATCTTGGCTCACTGCAGCCTCCGTCTCCCAGGTTCAAGCGATTCTCATACCTCAGCCTACTGAGTAGCTGGGATTACAGGCGACTGCCACCGCACCCAGCTAATTTTTGTGTATTTTTAGTAGAGACGGGGTTTCACCATCTTGGTCAGGCTGGTCTTGAACTCCTGACCTCGTGATCCACCTCAGCCTCCCAAAGTGCTGGGATTACAGGCGTGAGCCACTGCGCCCGGCCTGCTTGATCATTTTTTATAATAATGTTTCTTCTATTTTTATTGGTTTTGTGTTTTACCTTCTGTGAAATGCTTGTTCTTGCCTTTTTTTTCTGTTTTTTTCTTATCCTACTCCTGGATTTTTTTTTTCTTTTCTTTTGGAATATAAAAAGACTTCTTTTTGTATTCTTGATGTTTATCTTTTGTTGGGTGTATGTATTCCAAAAATCTTGTTTGTAACTTGTCTTTTTACCATCTTTAGGGTGTTTTTTGATGACCAAAAGTTCTTGATTTTAATACTCAGATTTATTTTATGGTTATACTTTTGTGTCTTTAAGAAATAATTGACTTTTGTTTTTCTCATTTTCGATGCCCATATCTGTTAACTCTATAGTTGACACTTATTTAAAGGCTTGAGATTGCAGTGGTAGAATAGATGAAGAAGATAGTTTAAGAAAATGAAAGAACAGGAAGCATTTTCGAATATACCAATATATATAACTACAAATTGCTCATTCCCAACCACTGAATAGAAAATAAGCCTCTCTTAAAAGCTAGATTCACATTTGTTTTTTGAATACAAGTATCTGAATAAGGTTCACTGGTCTGCTACCATGACTTTTCCCTAAATTCTCAGCAGCCTATATGTTTCTTGAATGATTTACCCTTTCTCTGAACCTTGTTTATATATATGAATAAATTTGTGTGTGTGTGTATGGCAACCATTGATGAGAAAATGAGTATGACCAGTGTAATTTATCGAGACAAACTTATTATTTATTTTGAAAATTATTTTTATTACTGAGCTTGAAAATATTTCATTCTGCTTATCAACATTGTATGGTAAATACCTGTATCTCCTGTCACTTCCATGTATGCACTCTGTTCTCTAGCAGATTTGAAATCTGGAAACCTCCCTCATCAGCACACATGTGCACACATACATGCATACATACACCCCATACTCTTTTAGAGCCATCCTCTTTACATGTTGTTTCTGCGTTGGGAAAGTGTACATGGTGAACTTCTTGTGGTTTACTAAGAAGAATATGATTGTAGGCATCACAAAAATAACATATTGTGTAGTACTTTATCAAATGCTTTTACATTTTTACATTTAATTCTTACCACAAATCTATGTGATTAGGTGGGCAGGTTATCATCCCACTTTAGAGTGTATTGTTAATACTGAAGCCTTGAAGACATAAAGTCAAGTGCTTTCCTGGTATTTGTAGATGCTTAGTAAGTATTTGTTGGTTAGATGGATGAATAAATGGCTAGTTATGCTCACCCTGATGTTCTTTCGATTATACCATAGCATCATATTTAACTGTGCCCCAGCTGAGGTCTTGATATATAGTAGAAACTAGAATGTTTATTGACTAAGACTTCTAAGTATTATGGGTAACTAGTTCTAGACTAGCCTTCTTGCCATAAACAATTATGAAACTTAACAGAATATATGTGGGAAGATTTTCAGGCTTTGGGCAACAGGCTGCACAGGATTGTGATCTTGACATTTATGAGGAGAGCTCAGTGATTACTCCTGTTCTCTGCCTGAGGACAGTTTGCTGAGCTGGAATGCAAGCAGAGCATGTCACCTAACCATGTTGAGGAGGCAGAGGTTGGAGTTTGGTACACTTGAGACAGCTAAAGTGTTCGGGGAAGGGAACCAGACAAGAAGAAGCTGTACAAGAGAGGTTCCCAAATGTTTGTTTGTGAGTCTCTTGTGAATTCTTGTCAGAGTGTTGGGCTGTCCATGATGGGGAAAGACTGGAGGGTTTATCAGGTGGCTGCCACAGGATTGGCAGTGGAACAAATACTAGAAGTATGTGGCTAGGGGATGTTAAAACTTTGTCCCAGCCACAATTGAGAGACCTCCCAGGCATCTGGATGAAATGCAAGAAAGACCATGTGGTAAAGCTGGGGTAAGCAATACTGTTAAATCATAGCCATACTTATTCATGTATATGTTGTTTATGGATGCTTTTATACTACAATGGCAAATGTCAGCAGTTGCCACAGAGACTGTGTGGCCCACCAGTCTACAATATTTACTATTTTGCCCCTCCCCTTAAGAAAAAGTTTGCTGACTCCTGCACTAGAGTAAGTCCTACTCTAGGACCCTCTTAACAACAAACTGTGCGCTAGCTAAGGTCTGTAAGCAAATCCTGATGAAATCTGCGGAGAAAGCAGAACTTGGAGGCTGAGTTCTGCCAGGTTACAGGACTTGGGAAACATCCTGGGCTTTCCATAGATCTGTCCTAACAAAAGTATTACTGGAGTTAAAATTAGAATGTTTTGGGGCAGTATTACCTTCTTTGGTGCTTTTTGTAACCTTCGTTATAGTGACAGTGACTTTAGCCAGCACCCTCGAATACTTTGAATGTCTTGTTTACTCCCCTAGATAATTCTATGTTGGAATATGTCTCATTCCACTTAAAAAAAAAAAAAAAACTTACAGTCTTCTTTGATGGAGAACTTTCTTGTACCTTCTACTCAATATCAATATTTAGTTTACATTGAATACTTATTTTGCTAGTACCGGAAGGCTAAAACCAAAGCTAAAGTAGCTTCTTGCTAAAGAGGATCAAAGTTCCTTTTGTTTCTACGTATCTTACGTGTTCACATAATTTTAAAAATATTTTGAAATTAGAAATTGTTTAAAGCTTATAGACAAAAATAGAATATGATAAACAACTGTGTGTTCACCACAAATATCTCTCTCATATTCTAATGTTTTACCAAACTTGTTTCAGATTTTTTTCCTCTAAGAAATAGTAGCTCAGATATGTATTATGTGTATATCCCTCCCTGATGTGTTCTTTTTTTGAACTTTTTATTATACTTTAAGTTCTGGGATACATGTGCAGAACGTGCAGGTTTGTGAATAGGTATACACATGCCTTGGTGGTTTGCTGCACCCATCGACCCGTCATGTACATTAGGTATTTCTCCGAATGCTATCCCTCCCCTAGCCCCCGACCCCGCTTTCCTGATGTGTTCTAATCCTACTTTTCCCAAAGGTAACCACTCTCCTGAATTTTTTGTCATTACTTTGAATGTTTTTTATACTAAAAAAGTATGTCTGTATCTCTCTCCATAAATGATATGTAACATTATCTTATGTTTTTTCAAGCTTATATTCAGGGCATCACTTTGTTCATGCTATTCTGCAACTAGCTTTTTCCTCCAACTTTGTTTTTGACTTTAGACATGATGAAGTGGATCACTGTCATTCATAAACTGTGCAGTGTATATCTTTATTCTCTTGTTGATGGACATTTAGATTGCCAGTATTTTGTGATAATGCACAAAATCAGTGCTACAGTAAATGTTGGTGTTGTCTGTCTTATTGGGTTTCTGTGTTGAAGTTACTCTAGGTGCTGTAAATAGAAGTGGTATCATTGCTTATAGGGTATCCGCATCTTTGACGTTATCAGTTACTATTAAATTGCTCCTCGAGCTGTTTTTTTTATTCTTTTATAGTTTCACCTGCTTTGGTTTTATGCAATTAGACATAATGGACTTTCCAAAGCAGAAAATATGACATGAAAATCTCATTTTACCACAGAAAAACGGAAAGTTGGTTGATTAGATTCTTGATAAATTTGTTCATATTTAAAAAATCTTCTTGGCTGGGCGCGGTGGCTCATGCCTGTAATTCTAGCACTTTGGGAGGCCAAGGTGGGCGGATCACCTGAGGTCAGTAGTTCGAGACCAGCCTGACCAACATGGCGAAACCCCGTCTCTACTAAAAATACAAAATTAGCTGAGCGTGGTGGCGGGTGCCTGTAATTCCAGCTACTCAGGAGGCTGAGGCAGGAGAGTCACTTGGACCCGGGAGGCGGAGGTTGTGATGAGCCGAGATTGCGCTATTGCACTCCAGCCTGGGCAACCAGAGTGAAACCCGTGTCAAAAATAAAAAAAATAAAGAAAAAAAGAAAAAAAAATCTTATTATGGAAATGTTCAGACATAAACAAGTAGCAAGAACCCCAGTGAACCATAAAGAACCCCCTGTCATTCATTTTCAATACCTATCAACATATGGCCAATTGTATTTTACTTCCTTGCCCCTGCAACTGGATTATTTTTTTAAAATCCCAGATATCCACATTCATACATTCATCTGTAAGTAGTTTGGTATGTATCTCTAAAAGGTATGACTCCCCCATTCCAAAATGAAACTCACATAATGCCATTATTACACTCCAGAAGTAATCCCCAAATGTCAAATATTCAGTGTCCGAATTTCCCCAATTGTCTGTTTTTTAGCTTTATCTACGGTATTTAAAATATGATTACATTGCAAAACATACACTTTTAAGGAATAGTTTTAACTGATCTCATAGGAATGTACTTGCAGATTTCTCGTGTATCATAGAATCATATTCAGGTAGACTTAAAAAAGTAAAAAGTAATCTAGGTATAGTTCACCCCATTTCCTTATAAGCGATGGAATTGAGGCTCAGAATTGAGGTTTGTTCACAATTGGCGAACACGTTAGGAGTCGAGCCGGAACTGTAATACAGATCTTTTGACCCCAATCTATTGCTTTTATACCAATTACATTGGATGGCCTGTCTTAGATTCTTCTTTTGTCCGTTATCTCCAAATTACTTTTTCCAGTGGTTTTTCATAAATATCAGTAGTACTAATCTTGTGATTTACGTCAGGTTTTAAAAGGAGTTTGTGAAAGGGTTGAATTATAATATCAACACCTGAGCCAAAGATATTGAATTGTTCTGAAAAGCTACTTGTCTTTTCTGACCTAGATACACAGTTTCCAACTGTGGCAGAGGATGCCAGAAAGAGAAGAATGAATAGTAGCAAGAGCCTGGAAATTAAATTACTATATTACTGAAGGATCTAATGTACTTATTAATTTTTAGCACTTTTAAGTAGTATAAGATAATTTTCTTGTATGGACACAATATTGGTGAATCTATGTATTTCTTTTTGTAGGTTAAAACCTATTTATTTTGCTAAGCTGAATATTATTATTTTTGCTTGTTTCAAAATTGGTAATTTGTTAACATTACTGCTTGCTTATAACTGGATTGCAGATTCTAAGTTCGTTTTGCAAACTTACCTCATTAAGAGAAATAATCGTGTCCATTCTGTCTCCAGATATGGGTTTTGTTTTGTTTTGCCATGCTCTGTGGTACAGAATGGCAACAGAAGGTCTTTTGAGAATCAAAGACACTGTTTTAAGCTTGTTTACCAAGGTATTGGTTTACCCTTCAGTGTTAAGTGTGCTTCAGCAGACAGAGGAGGACAGAGAATATTTGAATTCTTTTTGTTTTTGAGACAGAGTTTTGCTCTTGTTGCCCAGCTGGAGTGCAGTGGTGCAAACTCGGCTCACTGCAACCTCTGCCTCCTAGGTTCAAACAATTCTCTTGCCTCAGCCTCTCAAGTAGCTGGGATTACAGGTGCCCGCCACCACACCCAGCTAATTTTTGTATTTTTAGTAGAGACGGAGTTTTGCCATGTTGGCCAGGCTGGTCTTGAACTCCTGACCTCGGGTGATCTGCCCACTTCGGCCTCCCAAAGTGCTGGGATTACAGGCGTGTGAGCTACCGTGCCTGGCCGAATATTTGAATTCTTTTTTTTTTTTCCTTTCTTTCTTTCTTTTTTTTTTTTTTTTTTGAGATGGAGTCCTGTTCTGTTGCCCAGGCTAGAGTGCAGTGGCGCAGTCTCGGCTCACTGCAACCTCTGCCTTCCGGGTTCACATCATTTTCCTGCCTCAGCCTCCCGAGTAGCTGGGACTACAGGCATCCGCCACCATGCCTGGCTAATTTTTTTTTTTCTGTATTTTTAGTAGAGACGGGGTTTTACTGTGTTAGCCAGGATGGTCTCGATCTCCTGACCTTGTGATCCACCCACTTCGGCCTCCCAAAGTGCTGGGATTACAGGTGTGAGCCACCATGCACAGCATATTTGAATTCTTAACTGTTTCTTGGCACATTACCCCTTTTTCCTTTTAGTCAGAATTGTCACAAAATCGGTAAATTCTAAAAATAGTCTGATGACCTCTATTACTCCCTTTTAGTTAGAAGAAAATAAATAGCTACGGAGTCATGTACTATTCTGGTGCTATTTCATGTTTGATCGTGGTTTAAAGGAATAGATGCCATCTTGAGCTTTTTAAAGATCACTGTGTGAAATCAAATATACACCTGCTCTTTGATTTGTTTGTGGAGACAGTGATGTGAATTGGAAAAGATGTTGGGGACCCCAATTCTAGGGTTAGTTCTGCAGTTACTTCACTGTGTGATCATAGACAAATCATTTAACATCTTTGTATATTTGTGCTTTCACAATTTAAAAGATTATTAAAAAATTTATCTGTTCTTTACTGCTTTTCAGGATCATGTGAGCATTGAATGTGATCCTGTATGAGAAAATATTTTGAGAAATTCGTTTGTGTTTCTCTTTTGTGCCAGACATTGTTTTAGGTGTGCAATGCAGAGTAAACAAAGACACCATCTGCCAATGGTAAATCCTATGCAGAAAAATAAAACAGATGTGCTTTGGGAGGGGCTGCTGTGAGAGAAGTTGCTTTTTTGTTTGTTTGTTTGTTTTGTTTTTTTGTTTTTTTGAGACAGAGTCTTGCTCTGTTGCCCAGGCTGGAGTGCAGTGGCGCGATCTTGGCTCACTGCAACCTCTGCCTCCTGGGTTCAAGCAGTTCTCCTGCCTCAGACTCCCGAGTAGCTAGGACTACAAGCGCCTGCCACCATGCCCGGCTAATTTTTGTAATTTTAGTAGAGACAGGGTTTCACCATATTGGTCAGGCTGGTCATGAACTCCTGACATCAGGTGATGCACCTGCCTCAGCCTCCCAAAGTGCTGGGATTACAGGTGTGAGCCACCGCGCCTGGCCGAGGTCGCTATTTTACATAGGGTGGTCAGAGATAGGCTCATAAGATGACATTTGAGCAGACACCTAAGAAGTGAGAGAAGGGGTGATGTGGATATTGGGGGCAAACTAGCAAGTGGAAAGGCTCTGAGGTGGGAACGTCAGCAAGGATACTATTGTGAGTAGAGCACAGTGAGTGAGGAATAGTGATAGAGGTTGAGGCCAAGAAGTTAACGGGAATCAGATTATTAGGGCCTTATAGCCTTAATTATTGTGAAGTATTTACTCAGAGACAGGAAACTATTAGAAGGTTTTGAGCAGAGGAATGCTGTTACGTAATTTAGATTCTTTTTTTTTTTTCTTTTTTAGGGATGGGATCTTGCTGTGTTACCCAGGCTGGCATGCAATGGAGTGATCATAGCTCACGGCAGCCTCAAACTTCCGGGCTCAAGTGATCCTCCTGCCTCAGCCTCCCAAGTAGTTAGGACTGAAGGCACACGCCACCATGCCTGCCTAAATTTTTTGTAGAGAGAGGGTCTTGTTATATTGCCCAGGCTGTCTTGAACTCCTGGCCTCAAGCAGTCCTCCCATCTTAGCCTCCCAAAGTATTAGGATTACAGGTGTGAGTCACCATGCCTGGATGCTAATGTAGATTAGCAGGAATACTCTGGATGCTGTTGCTGAGAATAAACTCTGGGGAAGGGTTTATTTTCAGGTGGGGAAGTAAGATAACTAGTTGGAAGGCAATGTATAATCCAAGTGAGAGATGGTGGTTGCTCTGACCAGGTTGGTTATGGTGGACGTGGTTAAAAGTCATCAGATTTTATTTTATTTTTATTTTTTAGATTTTTAAATTTTAATTTTCAGTTTTTTAAGGGTAGATAGTAGGTGTATATATTTATGGAGTAGGTGTGATGTTCTGATAGGCATACAATGGATAACAATCACATTAGGGTAAATGGGGCATCTATCACTTTAAGCATTTTTCATTTCTTTGTGTAACAGACATTCCAGTTATACTCTTTTATCTATTTTTAAATGTACAGTAAATTTTTGTTAACTGATGAAGGAAAGAATTCTAAAGCCAGTAAGACAAAAGCATCAGATAACCTACAAAGGAAAACCTATCAAAGTAACAGCAGACTTCTCAGCAGAAACCTTACAAGCCAAAAGAGATTAGGGTCCTGTCTTCAACCTCTTTAAACAGAACAACTGTCAGCCAAGAATTTTTTATCCCACAAAACTAAGTTTTGTAAATGAAGGAGAAATAAAGTCATTTTAAACAAATGCCAGGGGAATTTGTCCCTACCAAACCAGCACTACAAGAAATGCTAAAAGGAGTTATAAACCTTGAAACAAAAGCCTGATATACACCAAAGTGGAAAGCTTAAAACCCACAGGATCTGTAAAACAATTATACAATGAAAAAAGCAAACAAACAAACTAGGTAACAACATGAGGAAGAGAATGATACTTCACATCTCAATATTAGCATTGAATGTCAGTGGCCTAAACTAGCTCCACCTAACATACAGAATGGCAGAATGGATACAGAATCCAAATATCTGCTGTCTTCAAGAAACTCACCTAACAGAGAAGGAGTCCTGTAAACTCAGAAAAGTGGAAAAAGGTATTCTACATAAATGGAAACCAAAAGCAAACAGGAGTAGCTATTCTTAGACAAAACAAACTTCAACAACAGTAAAGGCAAATATAGTCACTATATAATAATAAAACAATCAATTCAACAAGATATTACAATTCTAAAGTTATACGCACCTAACACTGGAACTCCCAGATTTGTAAAACGATTACTGCTAGACCTAAGAAATGAGATAGACAGCAAAACAATAGCAGTGGTAGATTTCAGTACACCACTGACAGCACTAGACAGATCTTTGAGACTAAAAGTCAACTGAGAAACAGTGGACTTAAACGAAATGCTAGAACAAATGGACTGATATTTAGAGAACATTCTACCTAAGATCTGCAGAATATACATTTTTATCAGCACATGGAACATTGTCCAAGATAGATTATATGATAGGCCACAAAGCAAGTCTCAATAAATTTTAAAAAATCGAAATTATATCCAGTATCCCTGCAGACCACAGCGGCATAAAACTAGAAATCAACTCTAGTTTGTACTAGTCAAAGAAGTACTGTTCTGGAAGTACTAGTCAAAAAGGAACTCTCAAAACTGTACAAATACATGGAAATTAAATATTCTGCTCCTGAATGATATCTGGGTTAACAATGAAACCAAGATGGAAATTTTAAAATTCTTTGAAATGAATGATAATAATGAGACAAGTTATCAAAACCTTTGGGATACAGCAAAAGCAGTGCTGAGGGAAAGCTTATAGCACTAAATGCCTACATCAGAATTTCAGAGCACAAATTGACAACCTAATGTCACACCTCAAGGAACTGGAGAAACAGGAACAAAAAGCTAGAAGAAGAAGTAACAAAGATCAGAGCAGAACTAAATGAAATTCAAACACACACAAAAAAATACAAAAGATCAGTGAAATATGCTGTCGCTTCGAAAAAATAAAATTGATAGACCATGAGCTAGATTAATCAAGAAGAGAGAAGGCCCAAATAAGCTCAATTAGAAATGAAACTGGTGACATTGCACTTGACACCACAGAAATACAAAAGATCATTCCAGACTACTATTAACACCTTTATGTGCACAAACTAGAAAAGCCAGAGGAAATGGTCAAATTCCTGGAAACGTACAACCTTCCTAGATTAAATCAGGAAGAAATAAAACCTTGAACAGACCAATAACAAGCAGTGAGATTAAATCAGTAATTAAAAAATTGCCAGCCAGGCATGGTGGCTCATGCCTGTAATCCCAGCATGTTGGGAGGCCGAGGCGGGCGGCTCATGAGGTCAGGACATCGAGACCATCCTGGCTAACATGGTGAAACCTGGTCTCTACTAAAAAAAAAAAAAAAAAAAAAAAAAAAATTAGCGGGGTGTGTGGCGGGGCGCCTGTAGTCCCAGCTACTCGGGAGGCTGAGACAGGAGAATAGGGTGAACCCAGGAGGCGGAGCTTGCAGTGAGCCGAGTTCGCGCCACTGCACTCTAGCCTGGGTGACAGAGTGAGATTCCGTCTCAAAAAAAAAAAAAAAGACAAAAAAATTGCCAACAGAAAAAGCCCAGGATCAGATGAATTCACAGCTGAATTCTACCAGACATTCAGAGACTTGGTACCAATCCTACTGAAACTATTCCAAAAGATTGAGAGAAGGAATCCTCCCTAGATCATTCTGTGAAACCAGTATCACCCTAATTAGAAAACTAGGAAAGGACACAACAAAAGAAGAAAACTGCAGAGCAATTTTTGTGATGAACATAGATGCAAAAATCCTCAACAAAATATTAGCTAACTGAATTCAACAACACATCAAAAAGATAATTGATCATGATCAAGTGGGTTTCATGGCAGAATGGGTACAGAATCGAAGTATCTGCTGTTTTCAAGAAACTTGTCTAGTAGGAGTAGTTTAAAATATGCAAGTCAGTAAATGTGATACAGCACATAAACAATTAAAAACAAAAGCCATATGATCATCTCAATAGATGCAGAAAAAGCATTTGACAAAATCCAGCACACTTTATGATAAAAACTGTCAACAAACTGTTGAGAGTAGGCATGGAAGGGACCTACCTTAAAATAATAAAAGCCGTCTATGACTAACGCACAGCCAACATCATACGGAATGGGGAAAAGTTGAAAGCATTTCCCCGAGAGCAGGAACAAGACAAGGATGCCCACTTTCACCACTCCTATTAAACATAGTTCTGGAAGTACTAGCCAGATCAGTTAGGCAAGAGAAAGAAATAAAGGGTATCCAAATTGGAAAGGAGAGAGTCAAATTATTGCTGTTTGCAGATGATATGATTGTATGGCTAGAAAGTCATAAAGACTCTTAGATTTGATAAACAAATTCAGTAAACTCTCAGTTTGTAATATCAGTGTACACAAATCGATAGCACTGCTATACACCAGCAATGATCAAGCTTAGAATCAAATCAAGAACTCAGTCCCTTTTATAACATCTGCAAATAAAATAAAATAACTAGGAATATACCTAACCAAGGAGGTGAAAGATCTCTACAAGGAGAACTACAAAGCACTGCTGAAAGAAACTGTAGATGATACAAACAAATGGAAACACATCCTATGCCCATGGATTGGAAGAATCAATATTGTGAAAATGACTATACTGCCCAAAGCAATCTACAGATTCAATGCACTTCCCATCAAAATACCAACATCATTTTTCACAGAATTAGAAAAAACAATCCTAAAATTCGTGTGGAACCAAAAAAGAGCCTGCGTAGTCAAAGCCATTCTAAGCAAAAATAACAAATCTGGAGGCATCACATTACTGGACTTCAAACTGTACTACGAGGATACAGTTACCAAAACAGTATATGGTGCTGGTATAAAAGTAGGCACATAGGCTGGGTGCGGTGGCTCACGCCCGTAATCCCAGCACTTTGGGAGGCTGAGGCGGGCAGATCACAGGTCAAAAGATCGAGACCATCCTGGCCAAAATGATGAAACCCCATCTCTACTAAAAATTAGCCGGATGTGGTGGCACGTGCCTGTAGTCCCAGCTACTCGGGAGGCTGAGGCAAGAGAATCGCTTGAACCCAGGAGGCAGAGGCTGCAGTGAGCCCAGATTGTGCCACTGCACTCCAGCCTGGCGACAGAGTCAGACTCCATCTCAAAAAAAGAAGTAGGGACATAGACAAATGAAACAGAATAGAGAGCCCAGAAATAAGCCAAATATGTACAGCCAACTGATCTTTGATGAAGCATACATAAACATAAATTGGGGAATGGACACTATTTAATAAATGGTCCTGGGAAAATTGGCAAGCTACATGTAGTAGATGAATGAAACTGTCTATCTCTCACTATATACAAAAATCAAGATGGAACAAGGACTTAAATGTAAGACCTGAGACAATAAAAATTCTAGAAGGTAATGTTGGAAAAATTCTTCTAGACATTGGCCTAGGCAAAGAATTTATGGCTAAGACCCCGAAAGCACATGCAACAAAAACAAAAATAAATAAATGGGACCTAATTAAACTAAAAAGCTTCTGCAAAAGAAATAATAGAGTAAACAGGCAACCCACACAATAGGTGAAAGTATTTTCAAACTACGCGTCCAACCAAGGACTAGTATCCAGAATCTATAAGGAACTCAAATCAAGAAAAAAAAAATCCCATTAAAAAGCAGGCAAAAGGCCGGGCGCCGTGGCTCACACCTGTAATCCCAGAACTTTGGAAGGCTGAGGTGGGTGGATCACCTGATGTCAGGAGTTAAAGACCAGCCTGGCCAATATAGTGAAAATGTGTCTCTACAAAAATACAAAAAAAATTAGCCTGGCATGATGGCGGGTGCCAGTTAGCTACTTGGGAGGCTGAGGTGGGAGATTTGCTTGAACCCAGGAGGTGGAGATTGCGGTGAGCTGAGATCGTGCCATTGCACTTCAGCCTGGGTGATGGAGTGAGACTCTGTCTCAAAAAAATAAAAAATAAAAAGTAGGCAAAAGACATGAATAGACATTTCTGAAAAGAAAATATATAAATGGCCAGGATACATATGAAAAAAATGCTCAACATCACTAATCACCAGGGAAATGCAGATTAAAACCACAGTGAGATACCACCCTACTCCTGAAAGAATGGTCATTATTAAAAAGACAGAGCCAGGCTCCGTGGCTCACGCCTGTAATCCCAGCACTTTGAGAGGTCTAGGCAAACAGATAACTTGAG
This sequence comes from Homo sapiens, assembly GCF_000001405.40. Lineage (NCBI taxonomy): Eukaryota > Metazoa > Chordata > Mammalia > Primates > Hominidae > Homo > Homo sapiens. The sequence goes on along the minus strand of NC_000009.12, from coordinate 123,197,904 downwards.
GTCAGGAGTTTGAGACAAGCCACCCAACAGGGTGAAACCCTGTCTCTACTAAAAATACAAAAATTAGCGGGACATGGTGGCTGGTACCTGTAATCCCAGCTACTCGGGAAGCTGAGGCAGGAGAATCGCTTGAACCCGGGAGGTGGAGGTTGCAGTGAGCTGAGATCGCGCTACTGCATTCCAGCCTAGGTGACAGAGCGAGACTCCGTGTCAAAAAAAAAAAAAAAAAAAAAAAAAGAAATATGTTTCACAGCAACTTGTATGGAGCTAGAGGCCATTATTCTAAGTGAAGTATCACAGGAGTGGAAAGCCAAGCTATGAGTAAGTGAAAGCTAAGTTATGAGTACCCAAAGGCATACGGAGTGATATAATGAATTTTAGAGACTCAGAAGAGGCACGGCGGGAGGGGAGCCTGGGATTAACAAAAAACTACACATTAGGTATAGTGTACACTACTTGGGTGATGAGTGCACTAAAATTTCAGAATTTACCATTTTATATTTCGTCCATGTAACAAAACCCACTTGTACCCCAAAAGGAATTGAAATAAAAAAAATTACTGACTGTAATCACCCTGTTGTGTTATCAAATACTAGATTGTTTTCCTTCTATTTAACTATGTTTTTTGTACCCATATACCATCTCCACTTCTTCCCCACCCTCTCGGCCTCTGATAACCATCATTCTGCTCTCTATTTCTTTGAGTTTAATTGTTTAATTTTTAGCTTCCACAGATGAGTAAGAACATTTGAAGTTTTTTTTTCTGTGTCTGGCTTACTTCATTTAACCTAATGACTTCCAGTTCCATCCATGTTGTTGTTGCAAGTAACAAGATCTCATTCTTTTTTATGGCAGAATAGTACTCCATTATGTATATGTACCATATTTACTTTATTCATTCGTCTCTTCACGGACATTTAGGTTGCTTCCAAATCTTGGCTATTGTTAATAGTGCTGCAATAAGCATGGGAGTGCAGTTACCTTTTCGATGTACTGATTTCTTTTCTTTTGGGTATATACCTAGCCGTGAGATTGCTGAATCATATAGTAGTTCCATGTTTAGTTTTTTGAGGAACCTTCAAACTGTTCTCCAAACTGGTTGAACTAATTTACATTCCTACCAACAGTATACAAGGGTTTCCTTTTCTATATATCTTTGCCAGCATTTGTTATTGCCTGCTTTTTGGATAAAAGCCATTTTAACTGGGATAAGATTATATCGCATTATAGTTTTGATTTGCATTTCTCTGATGATCAGTGATGTTGAGTACCATTTCATACACCTGTTTGCCATTAGTATGCCTTCTTTTGAGAAGTACCTATTCAAATTTTTTGTCCATTTTTTAATTGGGTTATTAGATTTTTTTTTCCTATTGAGTTGTTTGAGCTCCCTGTATATTTTGGTTATTAATCTGTTGTCAGATGGATAGTTTGCATCTAATGGAACTATTTTCTTCCATTCTTTGGGTTGTCTCTTTACTTTGTTGATTGTTTCCTTTGCTTTGCAGAAGCTTTTCAACTTGATGTGATACCATTTGTCCATTTTTGCCTTGGTGGCCTTTGCTGTGGGGCATTACTCAATACAGCATTGCCCAGTCCAATGTCCTGGATAGTTTCTCAATGTTTTCTTTTAGTAGTTTTATAGTTTCAGGCCTTAGATTAATTCTTTAATCCACTTTGATTTGATTTTTGTATATGATGAAAGATAGGGGTCTAATTTCCTTCTTTCGCATATGGATATCCAGTTTTCCCAGCACCATTTATTGAAGACCCTGTCCTTTCCATAGTGTATGTTCTTTGAACCTTTGTCACAAATGAATATCCACTGGAGATGTATGGATTTACTTCTGGGTTCTCTATTATGTTCCATTGGTCTTTGTGTCTGTTTTTATATCAGCATGTGTCTGTTTTTATGCCAGCACTATGCTGTTTTTGTTACAACAGCTCTGTCATATAATTTGAAGTCAGATAATGTAATTCCTCCAGTTTTGTTCTTTTTACTCACGATAGTTTTGGCTAGTCTGGGTCTTTGGTGGTACTGTGTAAATTTTAGGATTTTATTTTTTTCTATTTCTGTGAAGACTGTCATTAGTATTTTAGCAGAGATTGCATTGAACCTGTAGATTGCTTTGGATGGTATGGACATTTTAACAATATTGACGCTTCCAATCCATGAATATAGAATATCTTTTCAATTTTTTTGTGTCCTCTTCAATTTCTTCCATCAGCACTTTATAGTTTTCATTGTAGAGATCTTTCACTTCTTTGGCTACGTTTAGTCCTAGGTATTTAGTTTTATTCACAGCCATTATAAATGGGATTATTTTCTTGATTTCTTTCAGAGTGTTTGCTGTTGGCATATAGAAATGCTACTGATTTTTGTATGTTGATTTTGTATCCTGCAACTTTACTGAATTTGTTTGTCAGTTCTAATAGTTTTTTTGGTGCAGTTTTCAGGTTTTTGCAAATATGAGATCATATTATCTGCAAATAAGGATAATTTGGCTTCTTTCCAATTTGAATGCTCCTTATTTCATTCTCTTGTCTGATTATTTTAGCTAGGACTTCCCAATAGTCAGATTTTAGATAGTGTTGTAAGGTATAGGTAACAGGATTTAATGATGGATCAGATGTGAGATGTGGGAGGAAGAAAGGAGTCAGGGATGACTTTCAAGTTTTTGGCATGAACAATTAAAGGGATGAAGTAGTTGCCTTCTCTTGAGGGAGGGAAGACCAGGAGGAGCAAACTTGTGTGGTTTTTTGTTTTGTTTTGTTTTGTTTTTTGTTTTTGATGCATTAGGTTTAAGATGCTTATTAAACATCCAAGTGGATGTGTTGATTATTTATTTGAATGTGAATTTGGAACTCAGGTCCATATGAATTTGGGAGATCCTCAGTATATAGATGGTATTTAAAGTCTCAAACCTAGATAACATTGCCAAGGGAATGTTGAAGGTAAGATAGAGAAGAGATGAAGTCTGAGGGCTGAGTCTTGAGGCACTTCAGCGTTTAGAGGTTGTGGAGATAAAGAAGAAAAGGATACAAGGGAGTAATTTATAAAGTAGGAGGAGAACTAAGAGAGTGGTGTCTTAGATGGAAGCCAAGGGGAGTAAAGTGTAGGGAACAGTCAACTGTGTCAACTGTTGCTGAGAAGTCAACTAAGAGGAGGACTGAGAATTATTCACAGCATTAAATACCATGGAAATCCTAGGGGACCTTGACAAGAGCTGTTTTGATGGAGCATTGGGATGAGAGGCTGATTGGGATGGTTTTAAGAGAGAATGGAAGGAGAGGAAATAAAAACCCAAAGTGTAAACTCAGTTATGCTCTAGAATGAGAGCAGAGAATTGGGCTAGTAGCTGTAGCAAAGCAAGAGGTCAAGGATGGTTTTTAATGTTTTTTCCCTTTTTATTTTTATTGATGGGTGCTATTACAACATGTGGGAATGCTGATAGAAATGACTCAGTAGAATGGGTAAAATGGATGATACAGGAGAGGAAAGAGAGAAGAGGGGATGATTACTGAGTGACATCCCAAGTAGGCAAAAGGAGGTGGGATCCAGTAGAGTTTGAGTTCAGGAATTTGCATTAGATAGGAATGGGGACAGTTCATTTATAATAACAGGAAGGAAGAATATATGGTTAATGATGCAGCAAGGTTGGCAATTTGCATGAAGTAGGAAGCAGGGTGACCTGTTGAATATGAAGAGGTAAGAGTATAGATGTTTGAAGAGACAAGAGAAGTGTGAGAAAATCATTAGGAGAGTGAGGAAGTGAATGAACATTTAACTTTTTCATTGAGGCTCCTACTTGCATTTTAGGTGGGACAGATCTTGGACACGGCAGGATATTTTGCATTCCAGGGTCCCAAATGCCAGGATTACCTACCTAGTCATTCTTACAACTAAAAAAACTTGACTTCACATTTTCACATCCCTTTAGAACTATTGATTATTGGGCCTTTTGAGGCTAATGGTCATGAAAAAGACTAATTAGCATGATTATGTGATACTTTTTTTTCTTAGTTATATTTAATGGTACATGGTTAATGATGTGGTGTGGCCAAGAGGCTTGGATTTAACAGGGTTAGAGTTTTGCTAGGAGAAGGAAAGAGAAGCAGTTGCTGGTATGAATGATAAATGATGGATCACGTAATTTCGGTTGGATAAGGACAGAAATGAGGGCATGAAAAGGATGAGGGACTGTGAAAAGTGGTAGCATTAGCGATTGTAGGTCCCGGTGGGGCGTGTTTGTCTAAAATAGGAAAGAAGATGAGAACATTGGAGGAAAGGAATACAAGGACTGGAGAAGCCTGAATTTTAGAAGGGTCATCTCTGCGGTTATTAAAATTCTAATATTTATGCCAGAAGTAAAGTTGAGTGTGTCACTGAGCTAAGTACAGCACTAAAGTCCTGAAGGAATGGGATAGGGTTTGGGGGATTAATCCAAGATGGAGAAGTCAAATAAGTAATGGAATTTGTGCTTATGGAGGACGAGTCAGAAATTCCCTGTTAGTCACTGTGGTGATGACTGCCATGGAAATAATGGGAAGAGATGGTGACCTTTTGGATGGAACCTCCTTAGATTCTGTGGTTATGGCACTCTAAGGAAGGATAAATTTAGGGTTGAATTCAAATTCTATTGAGCCTCTGCTGAGTGCAGGGCGATGTACTAGGTGCTGTGGAGATAATAGTAAATCATATCATTAAAACTGAGTAATAGAAATATAAAGGAAGCTGAAAAAGTGCTGGATGGCTCAAAGGAGGAAGAAATTATATAAACTGAAGTATTAGGTAAGGCTTCATGGAGGGGTAGATTTGAGATGGGCATTTGATGAATAGAACAATGACAAATCATGATGGCGTAGTGGCTGCAGTCCAGGTAAGGGAATCGTTTAACTCAAGCTTAGCGGTAGCACATTGCAAGGTGTTCTGGCATAGAGTCATTATTCCCGTGTTGACTGGAGCTGTGGTGGTGAGAGAAATGACAAGAATGACGATAGGACCTTGGATGCCACTGAATATTTGAGTTTAGTGCCAGTTGCTTAGGTAATTAGTGGTTATTGAAGGTTTTGAAGAGGAGTCTGATGTTCTCAAGGTAAAATTTTCCTCAATGATGGGCTGAAATGGGAATAGTATAGGAGAGGATAAATCCCCGTAAATGGTAAAACATAGTAAAACAACTTTACACAGTGGTATACAAGACTTCCAAATATGTAAGTATCCTTGAATTATTAGATATCTGTAGTAGTAAAACAAGGATTAAAACAAGATTCCTGTTCCTATGCACTATCCCCCTTTCCCTTTTTAAAAATTGAGATGGGGGTCTCTGTATGTTGGCTAGGCTAGGCATGAACTTCTGAGCTCAAATGACCCTCCCCTGAGCTCAAATGATCCTCCTACTTCAGCCTCCCGACGGACTATAGGCCTGTGTCACTGCACCCAGCCCTTTGTTTGAGTTTAATTTAGACATCTTGCCTCCTTTGTAATTTTTCTTTTGTTGACTTTCCAAATAGCACAGTCTCATTTTCCTGCCATCTCTCAGGTTATTCCTTCTTTGAGTATAGTTGTTCTTCTCCTTTTGCTTTTTTTGTATTCATTGGTACACCCACTCCCTTGGCCATTTTGTGGCTTCACATACCAAACTACTGAAAACTCCCAAATTTATATCCTAATCCAGACCTCTCTGCTGAACACTAGGTCCATATCCAGCTGCCTTCTTAGATGTCTAATAAATAACTCAAATTCAATGTCAGCATGTCCAAAGCTGAATTTCTGATCTTATTCCCAAAACCTCCTCTCCCTGGCACCTTCCTTAACTGAGTTGCTCAGGCCAATAACCTTAAAGTCAATCCTGATGCCTCCAGTTCCTTCACACCCCACATCCAATCTATTCGAAATGCTGTGGCTTTTACCTTCAAAATATATCCAGAATATGATCACTAAACCTCCTTAAGTGGCCTCCTTCCTTCCACTCTTATACAGTGTTTTCAACAAGTAACCATAGTGATCTTTTAAAGATATGACTTAGATGTTGTCATTCTGTGCTGAAAACCTTCTAAGGGCTCCCCATCTCAGAGTAAAAGCTACAGTCTTCAAAGTGACCAGAAGGGCCCTAAATTAGGACTTGACAAACTGACCCATGACCAAATTTGGCCCATTGCCTGTTTTTATATGACCAGTGAGCTAAGAATGGTTTTTATACTTTTAAGTGGTTAAAAAATATCAAAAATTGATATTTTTTGATGTGAAAATTACATGTAATTCAAATTTCAGTGTCCGTAATTAAGTTTTATTGGAACAGAGCCACACCCATTTGTTTGCATATCATGTATGGCTACATTTGCACCACAAAGGCAGAGTTGAGTAGTAGAGACCTTATGGCATGAAAAGCCTGATGTATTTACTATCTGGCACTTTAAAGAAAAAGTTTGCCAGCCTCTGCCATATATGGTCTGATCCCCTCACCCCCACCTTTCTGTCCTCTCGGCCCTCCTCTCTCCCCCACCTCACTGCAGCCACTTTGGACTCATTATTATTCTTCCACTGAACGCAGGCACGCCCTTCCTTAGGACCACTGCTTTAACTCCCCTGCCAGAAGTGCTCAATTCATAGACATCTGCATGGCTGTTAACCCCATCAAGTCTTTGCTTAGGTGCCACCTTTGCAGTGAACCCTTGACTATCTGTTAAAATGGCACTCCCTCTCCATGTATTATCTGTGTGTGCTTACTCTGTTGCCTCCTCAACTTGCTTCCTCTCTTTTCCAAGCATTTCACACCTTCTAACGTACTGCTAAATTTTCTTATTTTTATATTTATTGTCTTTTGATTATTTCCCTCTTCTGGACTTAAACCACAAGGGCAAGGATTTTTGTCTGTTTTGTTCACTGTTGGTAGCCAAAGTGCCTAGGACAGTGCCTGGGATATTACAGGTGTTCGGTAAATACTTGTTGAAATGCATTGAATTTTTGGTTCTTTCAACAAGTGAGTCATCTGTCTGGCTGAATGTTGTTTTGTCACATAAGGCACCAGTGATTGGGAAGGGCTAATAACTGCCTCTTTTAGCAAAGGGATGTGTTTTTCTGTTATCCACTCTTTTGATTGGTTATTCAATAAGAGCTTTTCCATTTTGCTCACTGACAGTAAATATTCAGGAATCTCATTCTGGTTCGACTTAGCTGGCTCATTCAGTATATTTTAGGTTCAGATTATAGCCGTCGCATCTTCTTTGTACATACCGTTAATTGAGAAAAGACCTTTCGGCCTCTGCCCATTATTGCAAGCCTTCAAGTGATATGGTAGAATAGAGCTTTTCCATCGTTATAGGTGTTTTTGGGTAAGGAGGAATAGCCGGAATTTGGAACTAGGTGAGGATTTTATATTAGCTATTGATAAGTAATTGATAGGTTTAACCTTCTTGCACGTGCCTTTTTTTTTTACATGAAAAAGAAGCTTCCAGAAGAAAATATTGAAATTCAGTGTTCTTTTCACATTACTATTGCATAGAAATAATGCCACCATGTAGAGAAAGTTGAATTTATTTGAAGGGATTTGGGGAGAGTATTGGATTTATATGTATTTGCTCTTACTTTCCTTAGTGTGTTCTTTTTTTTTTTTTTTCTTTCTGAGATGGAGTCTCACTCCGTTGCCCAGGGTGGAGTGCAGTGGCACGATCTTGGCTCACTGCAACTTCTGCCTCCTGGGTTCAAGTGATTCTTCTGCCTCAGTCTCCCGAGTGGCTGAGATTACAGGCATGTGCCACCACGTTTGGCTGATTTTTGTATTTTTAGTAGAGACAAGATTTCACCATGTTGGCCAGGCTGGCCTTGAACTCCTGACCTCAAGTGATCCACCCATCTCTGCCTCCCAAAGTGCTGGGATTACAGGTGTGAGCCACCGCACCTGGCCCCTTAGTGTGTTCTGAGTTGATTCATCTTTGTATTCTCCATGCTACCAAGCATATACATACAAATTAATAGGCAATTAATAAATATATATTTACTTGTAAATCTCACATAATTTATCTTTTTTTCTTTTTTTAAATTTTTATTTATTTTTATTATACTTTAAGTTCTCTGGTACATGTGCACAACGTGCAGGTTTGATACATAGGTATACATGTGTCATGTTGGTTTGCTGCACCCATCAACTCATCATTTACATTAGGTATTTCTCCTAATGCTATCCCTCCCCCAGCCCCCCACCCCACGACAGGCCCTGGGTGTGTGATGTTCCCTGCCCTATGTCCAAGAGTTCTCATTGTTCAATTCCCACCTATGAGTGAGGACATGCAGTGTTTGGTTTTCTGTCCTTGTGATAGTTTACTGAGAATGATGGTTTCCAGCTTCATCCATATTCCTACAAAGGACATGAACTTATCCTTTTTTATGGCTGCATAGTATTCCATGGTGTATACGTGCCACATTTTCTTTTTTTTTATTATTATTATACTTCAAGTTTTAGGGTACATGTGCACAACGTGCAGGTTAGTTACATATGTATACATGTGCCATGTTGGTGTGCTGCACCCATTAACTTGTCATTTAACATTAGGTATATCTCCTAATGTTATCCCTCCCCACCCTCCCCCCACCCCACAACAGGCCCTGGTATGTGATGTTCCCCTTCCTGTGTCCATGTGTTCTCATTGTTCAATTCCCACCTATGAGTGAGAACATGCGGTGTTTGGTTTTCTGTCCTTGCGATAGTTTGCTGAGAATGATGGTTTCCAGCTTCATCCATGTCCCTGCAAAGGACATGAGCTCATCATTTTTTATGGCTGCATAGTATTCCATGGTGTATATGTGCCACATTTTCTTAATCCAGTCTATCATTGTTGGACATTCAGGTTGGTTCCAAGTCTTTGCTATTGAATCTCACATAGTTTATCTTAATGTGATCTTCTGGGAGAGGCAGTGAGGTGTCTTTTTCTAATTTTTTCTTGCCCATATTTAATATTGTAGATGTGCGGTGGTTCTTTCATAATGAAATAAAGCCTGTTTATTTTTACATAGCTTGTTTTAGGTGGCTTATATTAGTATTAACAAAATTGAAGGTTTCCTAGTCAGTTACTGTTTTGAGAGTAAATTTACTGGATTCCATAACAAACTGTTTGCAAAACATTACTTGGGATTTTTAAAGAAAGTATTTTTATATTCTCTCTATTGCATTTCAGGAAAAAAAATCCCTAAATATTTAAGTTTCATAGTTTGAATATAGATAGCATAGTTGTTTGTTGGTTTTGAGATTTTTATTTTTATTTTTGAGATGGAGTCTCACTCTGTCACTCAGGCTGGAGTGCAGTTGCATGATCTCAGCTCACTGCAAGCTTCGCCTCCTGGGTTCACGCCATTCTCCTGCCTCAGCCTCCCGAGTAGCTGGGACTACAGGCGCCCACCACCATGCCTGGCCAATTTTTTGTATTTTTTAGTGGAGACAAGGTTTCACCGTGTTAGCCAGGATGGTCTCGATCTTCTGACCTTGTGATCCGCCTGCCTCGGGCTCCCAGACTGCTGGGATTAACAGACGTGAGCCACCGCACCTGGCCTAGTCTTGAGATTTACCCAAAAACTTTGAAAATAAGTTTTTGGGAATTTATTCATAATTGCCAAAATTTGGAATCAATCAAGATGTCCTTCAGTAGTTGAATGGATAAATTGTGGTATATCCATACAACAGAATATTATTCAGCAATAAAAAGAAATGAGCTATCAATCCATGAAAAGATGGAGAAACCTTAAATGCATATTGCTAAGTGAAAGAAGCTAGTCTCAAAAGGCTACATATGATATATTATTCCAACTATATGACATTCTTGAAAAGGCAAAATTATAGACTGAAAAAACTTAGTGGTTACTAAGGGCTTGGGGGTGGGGAAGGTGGGAAGGTCAAATAGGTGGAGCATAGGGGATTTTCAGGGGTGTTAAACTAAAACTATTTTGTATGATACTGTAATGGTGAATGCATGTCATTTGTAAAAATCCATAGAATGTACAATGCAAAGAGTGAACCCTAATGTAAACTATGAACTTTAGTTAATAATAATGTATCAACATTGGTTTATCAGTGGTAACAAATGTACCACACTAAGGTAATATGTCAAGAATAGGAGAAACTATGTGTGGTGGGTGGTGGGTGGTGTGTGGTGGGTGGTGGGGAGAAGAGGTATATGGGAGTTCTTTCCACTTTCCACTCAACTTTTCTATAAACCTAAAGCTGCTCTAGAAAATAATGTCCATTAATTGAAAAAAGTGCTCAATTAAAAAGTGACACACATTCCTTTATATATAATGCCACCTTCTGCGTAAGCTGTTCTAAGGAGTGCATAGTTAATATTTTTCTAGGCTTAGTTTTTCAGAGAAATTTACATACATCTGATGTATAAACAAAATGTTTCTATTTGACATTAGGAAATTTGAGGTGTGTTTTTTTCCCGAAACCATTTATTGGGTGTATACTATTTGTAAGATATTATTAGGTATTTTTATATAACCTGTCCATTTAGTTTGGAGTAGATACTAGTCAGCCCATTTCATGGGTGAGAAAACTCTGGCTCAGATAAGGGAAGTGACAAAGCTGGTACTTGACTCCAAAGCCTGTGTGTTCTATGGTCACATAGACTTTTTTTTTTTTTTTTTAAATAGCTGAAGTTTGTCCTCTATAGGAAATGTAAGTCCTTTAGAGCCAAAACAGTATTAAAGAGGATTGTCTAGATATGAATCTTGGCTCTACTGTTTACTTTATGGTCTTACTTAGGTTGTGTTATCTGTTTATGCTTTAGTTTCCTTATGTGTTAATTGGAGACAGTAATTGAGATTGTTGGGAGGCTTGAGTTAATATATGAAAAGTCTTAGGAACAGTGAGTACAAAGTCTGAGCTACATACATGTTATCTACTAATTAGTAGTGGAATTATTTCTCATTTTATTAAGAAAGGAAACAGAGACCCAAGGAAATTAAGTGACTCTTTGAGTCACATAACTTCTAAGGTCATATAGCTATTAACTAGCAAAGTTAGTTTTTAAAAAAATTTTAAGACCAGAATTTTATCCACTAGGTTGACCTTTTTTTTTTTTTTTTTTAAAAAAAGAAAAACTCTTAAAAGCTATTGTAGTTTCTCCATTTCAGTTTAGAGTAAATCAGACATATTATAAATTTGGCTTTTTTCTCAATCAGATTGATAAATATTGGGGAAAAAGCATTGGTCTGTAATTTAGGTTTCAGACCATGTCTTGTCCCTTGTTTGCTGATTCTGTTTCATTTTTAAAATGAGGGTAGAGTTGGTCAGATGATTTTTAAGTTTGTTTTATAGCACCAATAGAACATACAGTGAATATACAGTGAATAGAGATACAGTTTTTTTTTCATGAGTTATTGCACTATGCTATCATACTCTGAAGTTCCCAGAGGTTCTTGATGGTAGGGTAGTTACCCCCCATGCTAAATGACTGTGGAGTGCTGTACTTTTCATATTGGTGATCCATGATTTTTCCACTACATCTGAAGCTATTTCATAGCATTGTTCTTCCTTTTCTGCCTTCAATCTATTCAATTATTTTGAGACCAGGGTCTTGCTCTGTTGCTCAGGCTGGAGGGCAGTGGTGTGTTCATGGCTCACTGCAGCCCCACCCTACTGGGCTCAAGTGATCATTCCACCTCAGCCTCCTGAGCAGCTGGGACTACAGGCATGTGCCACTATGCCCACCTAATTTGTTGTTAATTTTTTTGGTAGAGATGGGGTCTCACTGTGTTGCCCAGGCTGGTCTTAAACTCCTAGGCTCAAGTGATCCTCCTGGCCTCAGCCTTCCAAAGTGCTGGGATTACAGGCGCGAGCCACCATGCCTGGCTGGCTCCACATTTTTTTTTTTTTTTTTTTGAGACGGAGTCTTGCTTTTTCGCCCAGGCTGGAGTGTAGTGGCGTGATCTTGGCTGACTGCAAGCTCTGCCTCCCGGGTTCACGCCATTCTCCTGCCTCAGCCTCCCGAGTAGCTGGGACTACAGGCACCCGCCACCATGCCCGGCTAATTTTTTTGCATTTTTAGTTTTTGTATTGTTAATTTGTATTGTTAGTTTCACCATGTTAGCCAGGATGGTCTAGAACTGGCTTCACTAATATAAAGAAAGCTTGTGTACTTTGTTTCACTTGTTGACTGAACACATAGCAATCGTTTTTGGCTGCTGGATTCACAGCTAAATAGTGACTAGCCGAATCCCTTAGAATGGAGTAGGGTTGGGAATGGGAGATGCTGAAGACTTTGGTTATATAGTAAGGTATTTATAGGAAAGGTAAAATTTTAGTATTGTATTTAGTATTATGTTACTTAGATGGAGCATTTTTGAGATATCTCTTACTGTGGGATCATATTTTGATCCCTGTTTTTTGGTTGTCCAAAAGGATCCCATGAATTGCAGCACTTATGCATTCCTTCCTTAATGCGATATGAGTAATAATAAAGTAAGTCCCATTTATTAGAATCTCTTCTGTTAAATAGTATCATTTTTTTAAAGAGATAGGGTATCGCTCTGTTGCCCAGTCTGGTCTCGAACTTCTGGCTTCAAGCAATCCTCCCGTCTTGGCCTCCCAAAGCATTGGGATTACAGGCATGAGTCACCTCACTTGGCCTAACTGCTAATATTAAGAAACTGTTACTGACAATAGGGTGTTTCCTTATTAAAGGAAAGATATTTAAATGAAGAGAAAGTTATTTTCTTTGTGAGTTTATACGATATATGGTATGTAAATTATGTCCTCTTATAGCCACATAGTTAAAGCATGTGCTGTATTTTGATGTTCTGGTTTTTTTTTTTAATTTTTTTCTCCTTTTCTTGTAGCTAGGTTTATAATATAAGTGTTTCATCAGTGCTCAGAAAAGTTTACTTTTACTATGTCTGGAATAAAATCTCATAAAGGTGGAACAAAATAAGTAACAATGATTAGGACTCTGGATAGAAATAATACTGTGGAAATCTGGTGAGGGACATCCAGGGGTAATGAAGTCAGGATCTAGTGAATATTCAGGAGTCTGGCATAGCAGTGCATACAGGCCCAGGGACAAATAGGGCCTTTTGGGAGTTAGGAAGTAGAGCCAAAAAAGCATTCTGAATTTTAGGCTGAAAAAAATTAAAGAACAAACATTGTGCCAACATGTACTCTTTAATGGCAGTATCCAATGTAAAAGCATCATGGAATAATCATTGGTATTGTTGTATTTTCAGGTGTCTTTACTGAATTTTCAGATGGGTCTGAGTAATGCCAATTTCTGATTGAAAATCTAATGGTTAACTGCAACTTGTTGCCATCAGTGGTAGTATTACTCTTTCAGGTGGTGCTTCTTGACTGAATCTCTTTGCAAATGTATTTATCTCATTGAGTGCTAGTCAGCCAGCTGCCACATTGTAGCTACAGGAGGCTTACTTTTCTGGCCATATCACCTAGGCTCCTGGGCCCAGGCCTTCAAAAGATGTGTTAGCTTTTTGTTTGAACTGAGGGAATTTTCCTCTATTGAGTTTATTTCTTTTTAATCAGGAACATGTTTATGGGTTGCACACTCATATTGGAAGCTAATAGTAAATAAGCATTTTTGAAGTTGTTTTCCTCTTCTCTTGCAGGTGTGTTCCAGAGAACAAGCCTTCAGACATTTGCTATATTGACGCTGAGCTGTCAGGGGACTCAGGCTTATGAGGAGGTATTGTTACACAAAACAGTGTCTAGTGAAGACGACAAGAAAGAGGGGAAAGGATCGGAAAAAGAAGCTAAAATACTATAGAAAACCATGGTAGGTTATTGTGGATATTTTCATAATTTAGTTACAAAAGACTCCAGTAATTTAAAATTAGAAATGTTAACAGTGAGGGCAAATGAAAAACAGTGGTGTTAATTTTTGGCTTTAGTGTGTCATATAAAGATGGCACTCTACTATTCAAAGCGAATGAATTCAGATTTACTACAAGCTATGTAAACCACAAGGTAGGGCCTCATGAGCCTGTAGGCCATGAATTATTAAAACAAAGGAGGAAATGCTCATAAATAATATTTTCTAATAAAACTGGCATTAGCAAACTGATACAAATAGCTAGGTTTTTAACTTTAAGTTCAGTTTTTTTTCTTGTGGAAATTAAAAATTCTGAACCAGTCCTTTAATTAGTGATATGAATGATGTAGAAGTTTATAATATGTGTGAATGTTTAACTGAAAAAGCCACCTCTTTTTCATACTTTTAAAATAATAGGGTCAAGTGCTGAGTATAGTAGGGGCACTGAATTGAGAATCAAAGAAACCTTGCTTTTTGGGAAGAGTTCAGACTTAAATTGAATTTGTGATGTTAGATGAGCTCATAGTCTCTGGTGCCTAGGCTTTTAATTGGTAAAATGTGCTGATTTTTTTTCCCTTAGTATTATGAGTTCTGGAGGGTGTTATATGAATTTTTTTTCTCCTAAGTATAAGCGAGAAAAGGTTTCTTTTTTTTTTTTAAAGACGGAGTCTCACCCTGTTGCCCGGGCTGGAATGCAATGGCGCAATCTCGGCTCACTGCAACCTCCGTCTCCCAGGTTCAAGCAATTCTCCCTGCCTTAGCCTCCCGAGTAGCTGGGATTATAGGTGCCCGCCACCATACCCAGCTAATTTTTTTTATTTTTAGTAGAGACGGGGTTTCGCCATGTTGGCCAGGTTGGTCTCAAACTGACCTCAGGTGATCCACCCACCTCAGCCTCCCAAAGTGCTGGGATTACAAGCATCAGCCACCGTGCCTGGCCAAGATTTTAAAAACACATTACCAGTGAGAGAAAAAGCAGAAAATATTAATCACCAGTATGATTATTTGGAATATGTTGTTTAGCCGGTCTGTTGGTGGTGATTTTTTTGATTTTTTGTTTTTTTTTTTTTTTTTTTTTTTTGAGACAGGATCTTGCTCTGTCCTCCAGGCTGGAGTGCAGTGACATGATCATAGCTCACTGCAAACTCCAACTCCTTGGGCTCAAAGGATCTTCCTGCCTCAAGCCTCCCAAGTAGCTTGGCCTTATAGGCGCATGCCACCACATCTGGCAAATTTTTAAATTTTTTGTAGAGACAGGGTTTTGCTTTGTTGCCCAGGCTGGTCTGGAACGCCTTGGCTCAAGGAACCCTGCTGCTGCCTTAGCCTTCCAAAGTGCTGGGATTATAGGCGTGAGGCACCGTGCCCAGCCTGGTGATGTTTCTTTAAATGTTACTTGCTTTTAAAAATATTTGTGCCAAGGATTATAACTTAATCAGCTGACTCCTTAGAGAAGAAATTCTGATATTTTAGATCTAGATTGTGGGAACAAATGTTAACTTGGGATTTTCCCTGTCATTTTAGTTATGTGGTGAAATGTGAAAAAACCACACTGATTCTTTTATATCTTACCATGTGAATTATTTACCTCTCATTCCGCTCATTTCTTATAGTCTTGATATTCTTACAACTAAAAGAAATGCTTTATTATTTTTCAGAGTGGATGAAGATGTCTTCCTTAGTTTATTCTTTTTAAATTCAGCTTAGATTTTCTGGTGTATAAATTTTGTGTTTTTATATAATTTAATTGATGAGTATTTTCTGGTTTCTCTTATTACTTGCTTTTTAGATCTCAGATTGCAATGAGAATTTTCTCTTTCTGCATGGTTCTTCTGATTTAATTTTTTGTCTTTTTTTTTTTTTTTTTTTTTTTTTTTTTTTAAAGAAACGGAGTCTCACTCTGTTGCCCAGGCTGGAGTGCAATGGCACGATCTCAGCTCACTGCAACCTCTGTGTCCCGGGTTCAAGTAATTCTTCTGCCTCAGCCTCCTGAGTAGCTGGGACTGTAGGGGTGTACCACCATACCTGGCTAATTTTTGTATTTTTAGTAGAGATAGGGTTTCACCATGTTGGCCAGGCTGGTCTTGAACTCCTGACCTCTGATGATCCACCCTCCTCGTGAGCCAAAGTGTTGGGATTACAGGCGTGAGCCACTGTGCCCAGTCTGATTTATTTTTTCAATACTTAAAGAAAATCTGTTTAGAGCTTATTTGAGTAAATAAGATTTCTCTGCATTTCTTCAATTTTTCCTGTTACTGTTTCTTTTTTTTTTTTTTTTTTTTTTTTTTTTTTTTTTTTGAGACGAAGTTTTGCTCTTGTTGCTGAGGCTGGAGTGCAATTGTGTGATCTCAGCTCACTGCAACCTCCGCCTCCTGGGTTCAAGCAATTCTCCTGCCTCAGCCTCCCAAGTAGCTGGGATTACAGGCATGCACCAACCACCATGCCTGGCTAAATTTATATTTTTAGTAGAGACGAGGTTTCTTCATGTTGGTCAGACTGGTCTCGAACTGCCGACCTCAGGTGATCCGCCTGCCTTGGCCTCCCAAAGTGCTGGGATTACAGGCATGAGCCACCGTGCCTGGCCTGTCACTGTTGTTTCATGGTGCTTATTCTGTCACATCCAGTAGAATGTTAGATGTAACATTTTTAGATTTAACATTGGCAGTCTGTATTATTTGTGTGATAAATGACAAATGTTTATGTAATGTAGCAATACGCAGTTTTGCTCAGGTGTGGCCGGTGTGCAGGACTAGGTAATTTAGCAAGTACATGAGCCTAGCTAACAGCCTAGCATTTCCAACTCTATGGCTCTTTTGTTCTCTAGTACTTACTTTGGGATAGATGAATATGTCTCACTAAGTGTTTAAAAAATTTGTTTCTTTGTGGCAAACTGCACCAGTTGGAAAACTGGTTGTGGATGTTGAGCAAGAAAGACATCTAGACAGATGATTTTTATTGAGAAAAAGAAAAGCTTTGTAATCTATTTTAGCTCTGTTTTTATATAATGATAGAGGTTTTCAAATGATTACCTTTTCAACCAAAGTTTTCTTTGCTTTATAGAGGACAGTGACACTATAGTGTTAATTTACTGTTATCCAAAAATAATGTGATTTTTAAACATAGATAAACAAGAACAAAAGAGGCAAGACTGTTCATAAAAAATTGAGAATGTTTTAGTTTGCGATGGACTTCAAAACAAAATATTTACCATGTACTAACATATAATTTCATGTAAGTAAAGACAGTATAACCAGCTTTTAAATGGAATATTTTAGGCTTTATGGAAAACTCACTAAGTTATCCTTGTTCATTTTGCTGTGTATTGGTATAAGTGTCTTCGTGATATTTGTAAATTTGGAAAAATTTAAAGGTTTTTGGATGTGTGACTCATGAGTGTATAGAATCTACTCTGTTAAATTTTCATGAAATTCATTCATTTTCTGGGTTCTGGTCTGTTCCACTGATCTGATATTTCATTTTAGTTAGTGGTACCACCCTTCGATCTTTGTAGAGTATTTCTTGATACCCTTATTTATGTTTTTCCCCAAATGAGCTTTAAAATGATTTTTGTTGAGATTTAAGTAAATCAATCCTGAGGAGATTTTGATTGAGAATATATTTGTAAATTAGCTTGTCATTTTGCAGTATGTATTTTTCCCACTCTGCATTTGGAATGTCTCCCACTAGTCTATTTAAAAAATTAAAGGCCTTGCACCAAAGGTTTGAATGTCAAATAGTGAACACTATTTTAATGTTTTTTATAGTTTTCTTATAGTGTTCACAGATAACTTTTTATTTCGTATTATTCTATATTATGAAATCCTAAATTCTAAAATTTAAATAGAGACCTGGGTCTTACTCTGTTGCCCAGGTTGGAGTGCAGTGACATAGTGGTAGCTCACTTAACCTCGAACTCCTGGGCTCTAAGGATCCTCCTGCCTCAGCCTCCTGAGTGGCTAGGACTATAGGCACCTGCTACCACGTCCGGCTAATTTTTTTTATGTTTTGGAGAGATTGGATCTTGCTACATTACCCAGGCTGGTCTCCAACTTCTGGCCTTCAAGCGATCCTCCCACCTCAGCCTCCCAAAGTGCTGGGAATTATAGGCATGAGCCACCATGCCCAGCCCTGAAATCTCAATTTTCTAAGGTTAGAAGTCTTTGGCAGTTTGGAAAGGTTAGAAGTCTTTGGCAGTTTATGAGTCACTCACCATCCTGCATTTCTGCGACTCTCTTGAAGCTAAGAAGTATCTAATTCTTGCAGATGATGTGTGATGTGGATGACATTTGTTGAAGTAGTATTCAGAATGTGTAGGTTCAGCTAAAAGATAACTTTATTCATTTATTTATTTATTTAGAGACAGAGTTCACTCTGTTGCCCAGGCTGGAATGCAGTGGTGTGATCTCGGCTCACTGCAACCTCTGCCTCCTCAGTAGCTGGGACTATAGGTGCATGCCACGACACCCAGCTAATTTTTTTATTTTTAGTAGAGACGGGGTTTTACCATGTCGGCCAGGCTGGCCTCAAACTCCTGACCTCAAGTGATCTGCCCACCTCGGTCTCCCAAAGTGCTGGGATTACAGGCATGTGCCCCCGTGCCTGGCCAGGATAACATTATTTATAAATAATGCCAAGAGTGACTGAAGTGAACCTTACCAAAACATGAATGGAAGAGCTCTTGTTTTCTGGTGAGGAGTTCAGTAGAATGGGATTTTACTTCCCACGCTGGAGCAGTTTTTTCTTGTTTCAGTATTAACTGTTTCACAGTAGACAGTCAGTGCTATGGGTTGGCTAAAGATATAGTTGTATATCATCTTTTTCAGGTGATGTTTCTTTTGTTGAAGTAATTGTTTTCGTTCTCCTTCTAACAGAGATCTATTCGATCTTTTGCTAATGATGATCGCCATGTTATGGTGAAACATTCAACAATCTATCCATCTCCGGAGGAACTTGAAGCTGTTCAGAATATGGTATCTACTGTTGAATGTGCTCTTAAACATGTCTCAGATTGGTTGGATGAAACAAATAAAGGCACAAAAACAGAGGGTGAGACAGAAGTGAAGAAAGATGAGGCCGGAGAAAACTATTCCAAGTGAGTGTGGACTGACCTCTGGGACGCTGTGCTAGAGTGCACAGCAAAGCTCTAAGGTCTGCTGGATTGAGTGTGTGTTATGCTGTTTTTTGGATTTTGTCTTATGCATATGTGAGACTATAACCAAGGAAGTAAATGTTACATGGAGATTTTCTGAGTTAAATTTGAAAGGAAAGCAAGTAAAGAATAAAGATTAGAGCCAGAGAAAGAAAATGGACCTGCTTAGGATCCCTTTTGAGAGAACACCAAGTCCTTTAAAATCATTATGTTTCAAAGTTATGATCTTTTTCCTGTGTTGATTCAGCCTCCTAAATTTTCAAATAAATAGTAGTGTTTTTGATCTCTGGGGAGATCATAAAATACCATTTTTGTAAGGCATTTAAAAATCCTTGTGTAGAAGAAAGAGTGTAGGAAAATGTATTTTAAAGGTATTTTTGACTGTATCTACCTCACTGATTCCCAGGAATTTAGCAGTGTCTTGCATATCATAACTGCTCTTTGTATATTTGTGGATTGGATAAAGATCTAATGGGACCCACACCCCTCAACAATTATAGTAGCATATTCTAAGTGTGACAATAATAGATTAGTGAAACTGAAATGGTACCTGGAGTTAGGTCATTAATCTTTTTATGCCAGGCTAAGCTTAAAGTTACTGTTTTGAGCAGTTGTCACAATGATTGGAATAAGTGTCTAACTTTGAAAGATGGAGCTCATTTGACTATACTCTATGAATAAAAACATTGCTTTGGCTATAATTTGTAAGTGAAAGAGGTTACAGAATTTTTGCAGCTTTTAACTTTAAATCAGTGTGATAAGTAAATAATAATAGGAAAGTATTGATAAATGGATTTTCTTCACTGAAAGATAGTATAACTTTTTTTATCTTCAGATCAAAGATAATCAGTGTGTCAGTTTTATTGCTGAAGAGCACAATTTTTTTAAACTATTTACAGGCAGTTTATACATTGTGTCTGGTCATGGTCTTGTCACTGAAGGTTCTTGGAAATGTGTAATTTTTCTCATATATGATGTCTGTACAAATGTTACTGTTAGATTTGGAATTCATGTTCATTAGTAATGTTATCTAATTATTTAGTTCTATATGTATCTCAGCTCCTGTGCAAGTTAAATAGTCACGTATTCCAGATTTAAGTTGCACTTTGCTACATGTTTATGTCATGTTAAAAATTTTTTTATTGTGGTAAAATATATAACATAAGATTTGCTATTTTTACTAATTGTAAGTATACATTTCAGTGAAGTTTATGTCTTTTTAATACATTTTCTAATTTTGTTTCTTCTCAAGCCTGGCATATTTTGGAAAGCACTCCTATAGACTTGCTTAACTGGATGAGGTCTGTGATTTAAAGACTTGTACAGGATAATATGCTCCATACTTTTATTTGAAGTTTTATTTTTATTTTTATTTTTTTAGAGATAGGGTGCTCTGTTGCCCAGGCTGGAGCGTAGTAGTGTGATCATAGCTTATTGTAGCCTTGAACTCCTGGGCTCAAGTGATCCTCCTACATCAGCCTCTTGAATAGCTAGGACTATAAGTGTGTGCCATCATGCCTGGCTAATTTAAAAAAAAAGAATTTCGTTTGGAGAGACAGAGTCTTGCTGCATTGCCGAATTTGGTCTCGAATTCCTGACCTCAAGCTATCCTGCCTTGGCCTCCCAAAGTGCTGGGATTACAGACATGAGCCACCATGCCAGGCCTGGATTTTATACTTCTGTGTGTGGATGCTCTTGGTTGTCTATGTACAGTCTTTCCGTTTTGTGGAACAGTCCCTGGGTGAGCCCTTGCCTATGATCCTTCCCATGTGGTGGAACTCAAGGAGTGCAGAATGAGATTCTATTCTTATATCAGAGGCTGGCATGTATTCCAAGGACAGAGTTGTGTTCTGGTAATAAACATATATTGTGCACCTGGTGAGTGTTAACCACTCTGAAGGACACAGAGATGGGTGGGGGGTAGCTTGTATTTATTAAGCAATTAAGCATTTTCCATTGCCAGGCACGGTTAGGCAGCTTTTACCTATGCTGTCTTAATTTAACTTAATGCTTTACCTTTTTCAAAATGGATTCAAAAGTCAAATAACTTATACAAGGTCCTACAATATGTATTATTAGGAATATTAGAATTCTGTTTTTAATTTTAAATTCACATATAGTAAATTCAAATACATTGGGTTGCTTGCTTTACAATAACTGCTATGTTCCAATTTTTAAATTGAAATTCAGAACTGTTTGAATTAGGAATTGATTTTTTGCTCAATCATGCTGTCTTCTACCTGTGGGCTGATAAGACCAAGTATATCATAATTATGGTTTAGAATTTAATAACTGAGCTAATAACAGCTACTGTTTATTGAGTGCCAACTATTGTACCACATACTTTTCCTACTATCTTGCAGCAAATCTACCAGTCTCTAATATTATTATCTTCCTTTCTCCACTCCTGTTTTACTTGTGAAATTTCCTGTGCTCCAAACTTGCTTATAAAAAAAAGAGTGACTCAGAATCATTAACAAACTTTAACTTGCTTAAGGCTACTTAGTAAATATGTGTGGTTGAACCAGGACTCATATTGAAGTTTCTCTGACTCCAGATCCAGTTTTCTTAGCATCTATTCTTCAGTTTCCTGTGAATAACATGTGAAAGTACAGAGCAGGGAGAGACGATGATGTGCTGGTTCTGGAAATCTGCAAAAGCTCCATGAAGGAGGTAGCACTTGGAATAGGCTCAGAGGATGGATAGGGGTAGGGTTTTGGCATGTGGTGAAAGTGAAAGAAAAAAATAAATCTCAGCACCGATCTAGGTATGAGAAAGTATAGAACTGTTTAAGGAATAATAACTGTTGTTTATTGAGCTGTTAATATCTGTTGGGCTCTGGCCAAAGTTTGTTAACATATATTCTCACTACCACTCTGTGAGAAAGGTATTATTCCTGTTTTACAAATGAGGAAGCAGGCTCAAAAGAAGTCAAGTTATTTGAAATTTGTCCAATGTCACACAGTAAGTAGCAGAGCCAGGATTTGAACCAGGAAGCGATGTCATTTTCTAAATTGCTTTCCAATATGGTAAGTGTCCAAGTGTTCAGTGGGACACCAATGAATTAGTAGGTAGAGTGTTATCCAATCAGCGCCTTTGGAAGATTATTCTGGTTGCTGTATACAGTACTTTGGAGATGACAGAGGTCAGAAAGGCCAGTAAGGAGGAGGTTATTGAGGTGGTCTACGTGAGAGGTAATAAAAGCCTGAAGAAACTGGTTTGCAAGTTTGATGGTGATTATAGAGGGATAATTTATAAACCATTACAATATTAGACTTGGAAGAATGAGAGGACAAGGATACAGAGGAAGAAGAAATCAAAGATGACTGATTCTCTATTGTTAATATCAGACAATTGCCTACACTTGGTCACCTGCTTTAAAATGCTTTTTATTTCTATATTTATACCACCTTTAACATTTTTCATTGATTTAATGTTTATTGAATCTCTATAAGTGTGCCAGGCACTGAACCCATGGCTGGATTATTTATCTTCCTTTCTAGTTTCCACTGCCACAATTTGTTTCTCTTCCTTCTCCCTTTCCATTTTATTCTCAACTCTGCTGATTCTTGCCCAACTCTGCTGATTCTTTGCTTATAGCTAGAATGACTGTTTCCCATCTAGGTAGATCAAGATTCTGCTGAAGTCAGACTTTCAGTTTGCCTTGCTTGACATCTCTAATTTTGACCTCTCCCTTTTCTGAACTTGGGAAGCAATCATATAATGTAAGGGACCTGAATGTTGTGGTCAAAACAACTTAGGTTTGAATTTAGGCTTTGCCATTTTACTTTCTTGGTGAACTTGAACAATTAACTTTTCTGAGGCTCACATTTCTTGTCTTGCAAATGGAGGCTTGTGGTGAGATTTAAATGAGAATATGTGACACCTGTTTGTGCTCAGATGTTACTTTCTCTTCCCCTTTTAAATAGGGCACTTAAACTGTTACTGCTTTTGTTGCTTAACTACAGAGTAAGCCTCAGGAGCAGGAGAGACTGTAACTCCTGTAAATATGTTTGCCATACCCAAACACTTGCTTATTTGTTGAAAGACGGTTAAACTTAGTTACTATTTTCATTTGTGATTAAGGGAAATGAACCAATAAGAAACTTTTAGAATTAAAATCAAGGATAGATGAGCACCTTTCTTATGCACCATTTATGACTTGATTTCTTTGAGTGTTTGCTCTTTTAGCTACTCCTGGATTTGGAATGCATATGCTGGCAGTTTATCTTTCCTTCCTTAGCTCTATACTTTTATCACATTTTTCTGCTTTCCCCATAAGCTGATATAGAAAGGG
This sequence comes from Homo sapiens, assembly GCF_000001405.40. NCBI lineage: Eukaryota > Metazoa > Chordata > Mammalia > Primates > Hominidae > Homo > Homo sapiens. The sequence goes on along the minus strand of NC_000009.12, from coordinate 123,174,652 downwards.
AGGCACTTTAGAATGATATAGTTGGGAGGAACTTTAGCTCATCTAGCCAATAGTCATTTTACTGTTGTGGATACTGAGTCAGCAGGCACTACGAGTAGAATCCAGGTCTTTTAGATTTCTGTGCTGATGTTCTTTCCCAATATACAGTGGTATTCATGTTCCTCACAAATTGCCTAATTACTACTAACACAGAAGGAAGTTTATTTTTATTTTTTGAGACAGGGTCTCATTCTGTCACCCACGCTGGAGTGCAGTGGTGCAAACATGGTTCAGTGCAGCCTCAACCTCCTGGGCTCAAACAATCCTCTCTCCATTGCTTCTTGAATAGCTGGCACTACAGGTGCATGCCACTACACCTGGCTAATTGTTTTACATTTTTTGTGGCAACAGGGTGTTACTGTGTTGCCCAGGTTGGTCTTGAACTACTGGGCTCAAATGATCCTCCTGCCTTGACCTCCCAAAGTGTTGGGATTACAGGCATGAGCCACTGCACCTGGCCAGAAGGAAATTTAAAAGAACAATTTGAAAAAATATTTAAGAGAATACAGTATTTTTGAGTTTTCTTAAGCAATATAAATGTAGTAAAGAATTACAAGATCTGTAGTATGAAATACGTTCCCCATTGACTCCTTGAGGGAAGATAGATACTTTATAAGCCTCAAATCTGAGGCTTAATTTTGTGGATACTTGGATGTCTGGATTTACATACTCCCTTATCAGTTTGTAAGAGTATTCAGGAAGCCAAGTGATGATTAAGTTATAGTTTGGGAAATAGGTTGTGAAAGTAATCATGCAGACTTTTATTTTTAGGGATCAAGGTGGTCGGACATTGTGTGGTGTAATGAGGATTGGCCTGGTTGCAAAAGGCTTGCTGATTAAAGATGATATGGACTTGGAGCTGGTTTTAATGTGCAAAGACAAACCCACAGAGACCCTGTTAAATACAGTCAAAGATAATCTTCCTATTCAGATTCAGGTGAGTACAGTTTAACTGCACCTCTAGGCGAATTTGTAAAAAGGTGAAATAGGTAGTGACTTTGAAAAAATTATTAACCAGAATTGCTAATAGCTAATAGGATAGACACAGACAAAATGAGTACTGCTACTCTGGGTCAATGACTAATTCATCACAGTTAAAGCAAACTTCTGGTGATTTGTACTCAGGATATATTTACCAAATTAAGATGGCCATTAAGGTACCATCTTAAACTTTTCCGTTGTATCTTGCTGAGAATCTTCATTTTTTCCAGGCTAGGTCTCACCATTATAAAGTTCTTGGAAGGGTTGGTATACTGCAGAAAAGAATTGGAAGATTGAAAACAGCCTAGATACTTTCTAGCGACTAAGAGACTTTCTTATCAACGAGAGACTTTCATAGATAGTAATTTTTAAAACTGAAGACTCAGTTAATTTGCCACCTCTTTGTTCTGTTAATGGAAATTACTGTTTATTTCTTGTCTCCAAACCTTTTTTACACTGGGATGCATTTAGAAAAATATGATGCTGGCATGTTCCCTGGAGGATGCTGCTGAAGGCTGAAGGCTCCTCAGGGATGAAGGTAACCATTCTGGGGTTCTGGTCATTCTAGGACCTGCCCTGCCAGCCTACCCCAAGGACTCATTGCATCACTGATTGGGAGTCTGTGATCATCTTCAGTTTCAGATGCATATTGTCTGTGGTCCAATTAAATTACAGCTTTTGATAATTTTATATTAGTTTGTCTTCATATCAATGCCACAGAAATAGATGTTGGCCTCTAAGTCCAAACTTGTGAATTGTTGAATGCTCCCCACCACCACTCACTTTTTAAAATTTAGTTTCTTTTATTTGTATATCTTTTAAAAGGGGTCTTTTTTTCAAGATGTATGAATTCTAAGTTTGTTTTTCTTAGCTTTGTTACTAGATCATTTTCTTTCATATTCACTAGCTGACCCTCAAAACCATCTCTGATTTTTTAGTACCATTCTTGACACTCAGATTTATTTTACTGATTGGCACATTCTCCTGTATTAATTTTGGGGGCACTATGTTATCATTTTGTCTTAATATATGGTTTTTAAAGTGACAGAACATACTTGGCTTTTCCACTTTCAATTTTGATGGAGAAATGTTTTCTGGTCTTTTATAGGGTTGAATCTATTTACCTTTCCCTCCCTTTTAAAAAAATCCTTTTGTGATCATTTGGAGGAAGGAGAGTGGAACATAGCTTTATGTATTAAACATGCAATAAAGCTTTACAAAGTGGAAAGCTAATTAATGGGCTTTCTGGCTAACTATACTTGTAGTTTATTAGAATATTAATAAAGTTCCCGTTTCAATTTTTATTTTGTTTTAGCATTTAATCTGTATTTCTGCTGTTAGTATAGTAAACATCGTTACTCTTACATGTAGAATTATCAGAATCAGACATACTAGTGGCTTTTTCACCCACCTCACCCCCTTTCTGTTCCTTTCATGAATCTTGTTTCTTATGAGAATGATCATATTCCTCATCCTCAGATGTTGCAGCATTGAAAAAGGGTTGAGAACCAGTGCAACAGTAAATCGGAGTTTTTATTCAGAAAATCTATCACATCTCTCCTGTTTTGAAGACAGAGAAGATTGGGCCAAGCTTTAGTTGGCATTGTTAGAGCTTTCTCTGTGCAGATCACAACTTTGTAAACTCCACATTGTTTCTCTCTTGAGTGAGGGTCTTTATTTATGAGCATCGCAGTTTAAAAAGGTTCTTGTCTAGTTAGCAAGTATTCAAGGGGGTTACCCTGGAGGGTGTACAGGGTATACAAACCATCTCAAATTTTAGGAGACTGAAGCTTTTTAGGCTAAAGAAACTAAAAAAGATATAAATACCTTTAGGTCTTCGAAATGCTGTCTGGCAGAAGGTAAAAGAGGTGTGAACTCTTAAGACTAATGGTGGAAATTAGGAGAAGTATCTTTCAATTTAACATAGCTAATAGATTTCTCCAACAATAAATCTATGTTTGGGTAAAGATACATTTTCTTGTAAAATGGGGATGATGATTGTACACTAATCTCAGATTAAAATGTATACATGTACACACATGCCCACATATATACACATGTGTGCAAGTGTATTGTTACTAATAATATTCATGAAATTAAGTGTGACTTTTACAATTAAACCTTTCTCCCCGAGCACCCTCCGCCCCTCCTGCCCTGCCCAGTTTTCATGGTGTTTGTGTGGAAAACCAGTCTCTGATACGATATTATTTCCTTATGGACCAAAAATCTTTTTCCCGAGCACTTAACATAGCAAAACTTTCAGTTATCTAAGTACGTTAGTTAGCTGAGGTTTTACCTTACCTTTTCTCTTCATACTCTTTCCTAGGATGCTTTTAGAACTTCTTTGAGCAAAGGAGGAGGAGGATGACCAAAACCAGAAATCACTTAAAATTACTCTAGCACAAAATGCATATTATGTTTATTATTTTGGGTGTGTCTTATGGTGATCGACATGCATAATTGAAAAATGAAGTTCAATTTATTCTTTGATAGACATCTTTAATGCTCTTTTAGTGACAAAATGAATGTGAGCTGTTTTTTGCAGTTTCTTTATATTCTGGTTCTTTTATCTACGTATGGCCTTTCCCTTCCTTGGCTTCCTCTATTCAAAAGTAGGATAATGAGTTTTCCCTTTCCTACTTTTTTGGGATCGTTTAATGGTAAAATGCTATTTTTACATAAGTGACTTTGAATTCTTTTAATACACACTGATGAGCAGGGACTTGGTAGTGTCCCTATTCAGCCTGGCTACTGTATGTCAGGTAATAGACACTAAATTTCACCACTAAGAAAAAAAGCCCCGTGTAACTTATTTTAAATCATATATTTAATGTATAATAATATATTAAGCATAACTTAATATATAATTCTGATCAGGTGATTATTTTGTGGGAGGCCCCTACCTAAATTGTACGTTTGTTTATATTTGTATGTTAAAAGAAGCAATGTAGGTTTTCTGTAGATGTCAGATGACTTGACCCATAGTGGTAGGTCCCATTGGAAGATCTCTGAGACCTGTTGTCGGAGAAGGGAAGAAGTTATTTGTTTATACTCATTGTTTCCTCCTGGTCAGTGACTGTGCAGAGATACTTTTTCATTCATGCTTATTTGGTGCTCTTTAAAAAGCTCCATAATCCTATATTCATAAGTTTTTGCCAAGTAGGAGTTCCTGTTCAGGCTGCTCTACAAAAAGAGCTATTGTTTTGGAGAGCAGTCCCAGCTATTTCTTATTTTATAATAGTTCTCTGTAATAATTTTAAGAACAACAATTTACCATTTATCACATACTGATGCTATTGGCATTTTACTTTCAAATATTAGAATGGTTTTAAATATTGTTTCATAATTGTATGGATGGTTGACATTGTGGTTGCTTTTTAAAGAATGGAGAAAGAGGGTTTTCTTGTAAGTTGGGAGGAGAGAAAAGTGTTATCCCCAGTAAAGAACTAGTTACAGGCTTTCTTTGCCCTTTGAGCACAGTAATATTAATAGTAACATTCGAGAACTTAGTACAAGCATTGTTTTTTTTTCTTTTGAGGTTTCAGTCTAATTAACTGGGTGATTTTGAAATCTTGGTGACTTTCAGAAACTCACAGAAGAGAAATATCAAGTGGAACAATGTGTAAATGAGGCATCTATTATAATTCGGAATACAAAAGAGCCCACGCTAACTTTGAAGGTGATACTTACCTCACCTCTAATTAGGGACGAATTGGAGAAGAAGGATGGAGGTACACATGTATATATATATATATATATGTATATATTTGTTGTTGTTGTTTGTTTTCTTCATATAAAAGCTATGTTAACAATGTTTTATGGATTTAGGAAATAACAGCCTTCATTTGTTTTATGCCACTCTATTTAATAGTATTTTAAATGGCTTTGTTTCTACATAATCAGTATATTTTGCAAAAATGTATGAATTCAAAATATAAAATGTTATTTCAAAAACTTGTGCTTGTCTTGTTGGTTTTAACTCTGCTTTAATTTTTATACCATTTGCTGTTCTGTTTTACTTTGTCTAGTATTGCATTAAGTTATTGCTATCAGCCAACTTATTCTATGTATTTTGGCTTAATGGTCGGATTTCAGGATTAAATGTGGTCCAAAACAGAATTGTTTTCAAATTTACTCATTGCTCCAAAATTACTTGCATCCTGGTTGGGCATGGTCGCTCATGCCTGTAATCCCAGCACTTTGGGAGGCCGAGGTGTGTGGATTGCTTGAGGCCAGGAGTTCAAGACCAACCTGGCCAACTTGGCAAAACCCCGTCTCTACTGAAAATACAAAAAAATCAGCCAGGCGTGGTGGTGGGCGCCTGTAATCCCAGCTACTCGGGAGGCTGAGACATGAGAATTGCTTGAACCCAGGAAGCGGAGGTTGCAGTGAGCTGAGATCACAACACTGCACTCCAGCCTGGGTGACAGAGCAAGACTCTGCCAAAAAAAAAAAAAAAAGAATTATTTGCATCATATTGCTCTTGACTTCTAATAGCTGTATAATCTCATAAGATTTGTACATGTCTGTGTCTAGATTTGTTTTATAGTGTAAGGGATGTAAATTGGGGGACTGAATTTTTTTAATGGATAATGTTTAGTAAATTTTTTTTTAGGAGGTTTGTGACCCTGTTAACATTTTGAATATGATTTATGTGAGAATCATGCTTTAAACTAACTTTCTTCTGAAGTTAAGAAGAATTGCTGTCTGGCAGCGTCATCCTCATAAAAGTAGAGAAATGTATTCAGTTATTGGTAGTTTTGAGAAGTTCATGATGGAATTGTGGTGGGCTTCTTTTTCTGATGTTTTTATCCTGTCAAGTTAGCTTGTTTCTGCCTCTCATTCCCTAGAAACTTGCCAGGTGGTATTTCTCCTGTGTCAAACCTTTGACCAGCTGGCTACTCTGTCATGACAATTTAGAGGCATTGCAGCCTATCTGGGCCAGTGGGGACTCCCTGTTGCTATTTTTCATCACCAGACTTTCAACAAGTCCCATTGCTTACTCCCTTACCTGAAATACCAGTGCCGCAGTAAATATTGGTCAGTTTCTTAGTTTATTTCAACTTGGTGATAAGGGTAGAGAAAAAGGTACCAGTAAAGTTGGAGTTTTAATTTTTGAGAGACATGACTCATAGAATCACTTAAAGTAAAAGTGATAGACTCTTTTTAAAAAAATGCTTTTTGGGATAACTAAAATCATCTATATCATAACTCAACAGATATAAACCAGACACATTTATGAGTCATATTTTAAAATCAAAGGGCATCCAATCTATAATTGAGCTTATGCCTATGCATTAAAATTTTTTTGCTGTATGTAGTATCTATAGCACCTCTGAAGAACCAATCTTAAATGGCTTAATTTTTTTAACAGCTTTACAGTTCACCATTAACTGTAGAACTATAAAATGATTTCTGAAGTGTCAAGATAAATGTTAATTCTGGTAAGATGTGTTCTACTTGACCCTCTAGTATAAAACCAACCATTTCTAAGTAGTGTTGTAATTATAGGTATTATTAAAAATTATTTGAGTATAAGGAGATGAGAAAAAGACTGAAGTTGCCAAAGGCTAAGTTAATTACATGTTTGCTTGTATCTGTCAGCATCCCTTTCATTTTTTTTTTTTGAAAGTATTAAGGGAACATCAGTCATCTTTATTCCTTGGTTTTGTGTACTTATATGAGATTTTGTCATAGCTTTCAGTGATACCTTTAAACTTAGCCTGTTGCCTTTATAACTTTAACTTCTGTTTAGAGAAGCTGAAAACATTCTTAGTATATTGTACTCTTGCTAGAAACTATTATAGAATAGATTTTGTAATAAAGTAAGAGAGTCATAGTCTCTCTTCAAGGTGTTTGAGTTACTGAAGGATCCAAAGACCTCTATGAGCTGAATCTCATCAGCTGTTATATGGGATCAGGTAAGGTGAAGGAATCAGCTTTGATCTAATGTTTTACACATCTTACTTCCTTTTTTTTTTTTGAATGGCAGAAAGATTTGCTTTGCTGTTGTCCTTAACATCCCAGCCCTGTTGACTCACTTGATATCTTTTATAATTTGCTCGTTTTTTCTAACTTGGGCTTTGTCAAAGACAATTTTTGATTTTTGTTACTGGTTTGTGTATTCCTGGGCAACTTGGAGGATCTGGTCTATAATTACGCACTTCAGACCTGGGCTGTACGATTCTGTTTTCTCACACTAGACAGCTGCTCATCCCCTTGATGCAGTTCTTTTCAGCTGCATGGGATAAAAGCACAAGATTCATTCAGGTCCCAGGAATTTGTGGGGCTGAAAGTTACCCTTTTTTCTCCTAATTTATACTTTTTTTTTTCTCAAAGTTAAAAAAAAATCCATTGTAACTTTTTTCTTGGAGACATTTTCCTGTAGTATCTCAACTTTCCTTCACCTACCCCCACCCAAACAAACTGTTCACAATACATACACACCTCACATCTTTCTTTTTTCTGTCTTAACTTGCCACATATTTGGGTAAAATCTAAAAAAGGAAGAAAAAAAAAAGAGTGGTTGAGAGCAGACAGAACCAGAGGACTGGGGCATGAAACTTATTTCCTCAGGATTGTGCAATGGATCTAACTACCTACTCCTTTCAAATCACGATTTACATTTTAAATTGCCATAATACAGAGTGAATCTCTTTGGTATTGTTTACTGTTTCATAGGTAAGTTTCCTCCTATGTTTTCCGTTGTCTTTCTGTATTCTAACCCTTTACTTGAACGCCCTGTAGAATAACCATATCCCCATTACTACGTTTCCTGCTAATGAAGGCATAGAAGCACAGATCTTGGTGTGCAGCAGTCTTTCGTTTGGCTTGTTTTTTTGTTGTTGTTGTTGTTGTTGTTGTTGTTGTTGTTGTTGCTGGAGACAGTCTTGCTTTGTTGCCCAGGCTGGAGTGCAGTGGCATGATCTCAGCTCACTGCAACCTCTGCCTCCTGGGTTCAAGCAATTCTCGTGCCTCAGCCCCCTGAGTAGCTGGGACTACAGGTGCATGCCACCATGACCGGCTAATTTTTTGTATTTTAGTAGAGATGAGGTTTTGCTATGTTGCCCAGGCTGGCCTCGAACTCCTGAGCTCAGGCAATTTGCCCGCCTCGGCCTCCCAAACTGCTAGGTGTGAGCCAGTGCCCCTGGCCTTATTTGACTCTTAACTCCATTAGTTGCTATTGCTGTGTGACCTTGGGTAGGTTTCCTCGTTTTAAATTGTGGATTATAAATACCTTAGAAAGTTGTTTTAAGTGAGAGAATTTATGTAATGTGACTTGTACAATAACTGGCACAAAGTAGTTGCTCAGTAAATAGTAGTAGTCAACTTATTGAATGCACCTACTCAAACTGCCGTAACAGTGAAAATAATGTGCACATGGTAGGTCAAAAGAAGTCAACCCAAGCACAGTTAAACTCTTAAACACCCAGTGATGTATAGTATTAGAATCAGTATACTGATTTATGCAGTGCTAATAATAAAAACCTGGTATATTGTATAGCTTATAATTCAGGTGTCTTTTTGCCTGTCCTTTATCCTTAGCACCTCTAAGGGTACCTAATACGTAGTAGATGATTTTTTAAAAAGCCCTATAAATCTGTTAAGTGAATTAACATAGTCAGCATATTGTCTGATTAAATAGGACTCTCCAGTGTGTAAGAAGTATTAATGGGCATCTCATAGCTCAAGTAATATATATTGAAGATTAATCTCTGTTAAGATATTTTTATAACCTACCATGTGATAAGCACTTCCTCACATATGGTTTATTTTAAAAGCCCTCACATGGCCCTATGGGGTAGCTAATTGCCATTTTATAAATGAGGAAAATCTCACATTTTACCCAGCTCTCCTGACTCTACGTCTAGTATGCAGGCCACTTCCCATTATTGTCTAGGATTACTGCATGAGTGGTTAGGCTGATCTGGTCATTCTGAGCTTCACACAGAGTCTCAATTTCTTTTGGTGCTTGTGATTTTAAATTAGAAATATATTTGCTATTGAAGGGGGTGATAAATTATCTGCTTATTTATAATGCAGTTTGAAACCAGGTGGATAAGGAAACTACAGAGACACTTGTGGCTTAGACTAAGAGACACCTCTCTCCTCAGTACTGGGGTGGATTTTCAGGGACTGTCAGAGAAGTTGCCTCAGAGTCCCTTCATATTGGTGCCAGTGTGAACTCGCCCTTCTTGGCAGAAATTCACTAGCATGTGTCTTGCTAGGGTCAAGGCAGTAGGTTTTACAGTACAGCCATCACAGCTGTGATAATGATGGGCTTTATTTTCCTGCCTTCCCTAGTTTCTGGATCTACGTTATCCAGGGCAAACTTTTTTTTTTTTTTTTTTTTGAGATGGAGTCTCGCTCTGTCTCCAGGCTGGAGTGCAGTGGTGCGATCTCGGCTCACTGCAATGTCCGCCTCCCGGGTTCAAGCGATTCTCCTGCCTCAGCCTCCTGAATAGCTGGGACTGCAGGCACTGGCCACCACACCCAGCTAATTTTTATGTTTTCAGTAGAGACGGGGTTTCACCATATTGGCCAGGATGATCTCGATCTCTTGACCTTGTGATCTGCCTGCCTCGGCCTCCCAAAGTGCCGGGATTACAGGTGTGAGCCACCGTGCCCGGTCAATCCAGGGCAAACTTTTAGGCACTGTCTTTCCAGTGGCAGACTGCCACTGAAGAAAAGTCATACCGAGTGACATTAGTCACATAAATTAGGAGAACAGTGCTTTCTCTGTTCTACCTTATTGCTACATTTATCTGTTTATGTTATTATGTGCCTGTGTTTTGCATGGACAGTGGTTTGGGGCATGTCTTCTCTCCAGAAAGCTTCAAGGAATTGAGAGAGAAGGGGCTGCCAGGATATTCTTAGGCTAATTAGAAAATTCTGTCAGCATAGACTTAGTAGCTCAGTTTCATCCTGATTGTCAAGGAGCCCCTCATGATACTGAGCTCAATTATTTTAACTTTGAAGAGCCTAGGTTCCAGACATATAACTCCTGTTTAATGCAATCATGTTTTGTTTTTTTGCCAGCCCCATCTCCAGGCTGGTGTTTTGTTAACAGGGACAGATAGCTAGCTTGCATGTAAGGCATTGAGAGAAACTGACCAACATTTCCTGTGGTATGGTGTGATTCTGGTCACTGATTTAACCTCTAACCAAATGAACATGGTTAGGCATAGTAGACTTTCTAGTGCTTCTGTTGCTAGAATGTTGTATGTACCTTCATGCCCTGATGCTAGGTTACTGAGTAATAGATTTTCTTAAAAGCTGTATTTCTGGCCGGGTGCGGTGGCTCACACCTGTAATTGCAGCACTTTGGGAGGCTGAGGTGGGCAGATCACCTGAGGTCAGGAGTTCAAGTCCAGTCTGGCCAACATGGTGAAACCCCATCTCTACTAAAAATAACAAAAATTAGCAGGGCATGGTGGCACGCACCTGTAGTCCCAGCTGTTCGGGAGGCCAAGGCATGGGAATTGCTTGAGCCCGGGAGGCGGAGGTTGCAGTGAGCCGAGATCATGCCACTGCACTCCAGCTGGGCTACAGAGTGAGATTCTGTCTCAAAAAACAAAAAACAAAACAAAAACAAGCAAACAAAAAAATGCTATATTTCTTTGCTTTTGGCATTTTTGTCACCTTCCAACTCCTGCCTCCCATGCTGTTTCTTATCTGTTTCACTGGTCATTCTAGGAGATAATGAAATGGCTCACAGTTCTATTGTTTCTAATTAAGAACTCCAAGATGTGTTATCAGGAAAGTTTTGATCCTCCTCAAAATTTAAACGCCTACATTAAAGTTCAGAAATATTAAAGTTGAGATTCTGCTACCAAGGGTAGCAGTGTTTTCCCAGCAGCAGCTTTGCGATTGCCACATTAAATGAAGTTTTTTCAAAGGAATGAAAACATACATAAAACTGTATATTATTAATTATATAAAGGAAACAGGCAATCTATGCTTATAAATAGCACTGTACTACCATATGAATTTGTATTGTTTTAATATTAAGAACTTTGAAAAAGATAAAATGAGATGAATTATTATATCTCCTCTACTGTTTTCTACCTCCTGAATATTGAAGCCATTTTGGATCTTTTGCTTTTCTGACTATCAGAGCATGAAGAAACACGGTCATTCTGATGGTGATGGAAAAGGGAACCTGGTGCAAGTCTTCTGTTCAGTGCCTGTCCCTTTCATCTCTTTTTCATAGAATGTGTTGTCTTCAAATGTTGACTGTCTGTAGCAAGCCAGTGTCTCAGTTTTCTAAAATAAGAGTTTGTGGTTACAATCTGACTTTGGGATGAAATAATTTATCAAAATATTTTTGCCATTGTCTCCCATTAAAAATATCTGTGTTACAATCAGAGTAAGATGCTAATTACAACCTCTGATCCCTGGATGAAAGTATTAGAAAGTACAAGAAGAATTTTGGCTTGCCTTGCCTTTTCCTATCCTCTGTGTTACTTCCCTCTTCCATTGTCTCCCTCTTCCTGACATTCCTACTTGGTAAGATGATGGAATAAAATTTAGCTTGTCATAGTATTCATTTAAAAATTGACATCTTAAAAAACAAGTTCCATACTATTTATTGGGATTACATTACTTAGTAGTTAGTCAACCTTTGTTACGTCTAACTTTTAAGAGAATGTAAACATTCATTTACAGTAGTTTGTTTTATCTGATATGTGAGCTTTACACAGATGCTTGTATTGACCACAGTTAAGCATTTTGACATAGAAACATTAAAGTGAGCTACTTGTATATTTTGTATCACTATAAAGACAAAATTGAGCTATATCACCTATGAAATGAATACCCGTGGTACATTTGTTTATATTTATAAATCAGAGTAATAATCCTTTTTGAGGCTTCCCATTTTATGAGTAAAAGGGAGTAATGAAACATTGTATTCTGATTTTGTTAGCAGTGGTTAATGGGAAACAATGCAAATAACTGGTGTAGAGCTCACCTGGTCAGAAAATAAGTGTGTAGCACTTCAGCCTTTACAGTGTCATGGCCAGTAAAGAGAACCACAGTTCTTCCTTTAATAGATTTGTTTCCTATTGGCATTATGCCTTTTTTAATGACATTTCATCAGTTAGAATAAACATTGGCTGGGTGTGGTGGCTCATGTCTGTAGTCGCAGCATTTTGGGAGGCCAAGGCAGGCACATTGCTTGAGTCCAGGAGTTTGAGACCAGCCTGGGTAACATAGTGAGATCCCATATCTACAAAAAAATTAGCTGGGTATGGTGGCACATGCCTGTAGTCCCAGCTACTCAGGAGGGTGAGGTGGGAGGATCGCTTGAGCCTGGGAGGAAGAGGTTGCAGTGAGCTGAGATCGTGCCAGTGCACTCCAGCCTGGGTGACAAAGGACGAACCTGTCTCAAAAAAAAAAAAGAAAAAAACCACAGAATAAACATTGATTGTTGTAATAGGATCCTCTGATAACTGAAGAAATCAAAAAGTATCTTTGTTATTGTCTCCCATTTAGAAATATATACATTGTATTAGTTGGCCCACACAAATGCGCTACCTCTATCCGATGTTACTATCATGATAATGCTGGGAAGAAGTGTTAGTGGGCTGTCTTATATTTAAGAGAATCCTTAAAAAGAATGGTAAATCCGACTTAATTGTATTAAACAAAGAATTATTACTCAAGAAGCATTTGCATATTGTGTGCATTTATGGAATGTACCAATCCCAAAAGTTTAAAAGCCTACTTTTCAGTAGCTTAGAGGAGATAAATTTGGCTGTCTAAACTTGACTTTAGTGTCATGTGACATCTTCTCAAATATGGATATTTGCTGCTTTGGGCCATTTAATCCAACTTTAAATTATTAAGGCAAGCTGAATAGCCATAATTAAATAGTGTTCTTTGTTGCTTTTTATTTTTAAAAGGCATGTAAAACTTGAAATGTAGTTCACTGTATTTTATATTTGTAATTTTAATAATTTTGGTTTAGAATAGGGAATTCCAAACTGATACTTGAGTTCTCAATCATGGGGTGGAGTTTCTGTTAATGGTTATCTTGTTGAATTAGTTTATCTAGTGTAAAAAAATTGTCATCCTCAGTTTATTTTTAGTATATCTCATTGATATGAGACATAATTGATTTCCAGTTTTCCTTAAAGATGGTTAGAGATTAAAATTTCTTCTGTTAAAAAAATTGTTAATGCTATTGGTCCCAGATTTCCCTTCTTTGCATCCTGCCAAAGGAAAAAGTGCTCTGTACTTATTTTGTGCCCTGTAATGTTATAGATGCTTAATAAGATCCCAGATTTTAAGTAGCAGCTGTCATTGATTTGTTTACTGAATGAATTTTTCATGTTTCATTGTATTTGTGCACAGAACTACTCTGATGACTGTTTACTTAAATAATAATCATAGTGCACATAATTTTTTTAAAAAGCAACACAGCCAAATGAGGAAATTTTCTGGGAGTCTTATTAGTTCACTCAAATGCTGTTATTCTTTTTATTTTTTATTGTTTGATAATTTGATAGGAATCGCTTGGTCAAATTGTATTTGTCTCTCTTTATCCCATTTTACTGTTAGAAAATGTTTCGATGAAAGATCCTCCGGACTTATTGGACAGGCAGAAATGCCTGAACGCCTTGGCGTCTCTTCGACATGCCAAATGGTTTCAGGTTGGCTTTTTCTTACTATCTTATTGTTATTAAAGTTTGTCCAAGTTTCATTTGGAACACCTGCCACTTAATTGGTTTCTGTGTACTACATAAAATGAGGGGTGCTTTCTAGCTCATAGTGTGGTTGTTGGAGTAATTGAGTTAATTTAGATATGTGCCTAGTATAGCTTCTATAGTTCATGATGTTTTATTATAATTCTTTTTGGCTTAGTATTCTGAATTTCAGATGGTTGCTTATAAAATCAAACATGACTGAGAAAAGCTAAAGGTTAAATTAGGTAGTTGCCTGGAGTGGGGTTGCCATGAGACTACGAAATTAATTTTAATATTATGGTCCTTTTATTTTTAAAATGTACCTTTTTAAGCCTTAATTTTACTACTTGTGATTAATTGATTTTTTTGTTTGCCTGATAACTGATGAATAATTTGCTACTTAGTATTCACTTGAAAGAACTTGCCCAAAATGAAGAATAGATCTCAATAGGGATATCTGGAATCATTTTGTTTGTTTTAGGCAAGGGCAAATGGATTAAAATCATGTGTAATTGTCCTCCGCATTCTGCGTGATTTGTGCAACAGAGTCCCCACATGGGCACCATTGAAAGGATGGGTAAGTACTTAAATATGGCTAAAAGCAAATTTGGAAGCTGTAGCAGAGAAAATCCTGTAGAAATGAGATGTTACTTTAAAATGGCTATCTCCTAAGTTAGCTAAGGCATGCATTATGTATGTTTGCCATGAAAAAAAAATAAAGCATCTTTTTAAGCGAATTCTTCTTTTGTGCATATAACTTGCCTCTTCTACCTCATTGTATTCATGTTACAGAGCTTGAAATATTTTTTGCTGACAAAAAGGTTTTATACCTTTTAGAAGTGAGTGTCTTCTTACACTTGACTTTGCACTGGTGGTTAATCACTTAGTGTTCACCTGCTGCCCACAAAAGTCTCCTTGGCTGACCCACTTCTCTTTTGGTGCCCCCTTGCATTACCATGAAAATTACCCAATAGGCCGGTATAAGGATCCTATACCTCTGTAGCTTTCTCTTTGAGTGGAGACATTTACAAATAAGTTCATGTTAGTAATTAAAGTCAGGCAAACAGTACACTTAACCCCATATGGATATCATTTATATATATTGTAAAATTGACTTAACTTGGAAATTATGCCTGCTCCAATCAAGACAACTTAAGAACATTATAAAACAATTTAAATAAAGCCGTGAAAGATCATTTTATAAATGAATGTAGCAATGATTACTTTGACAAAATATGAGTTCTTAGTTTATTGAACATGGACATTTGGTCGTTTGTTTATTCTAATGGTAATACTTGAGACAAGCTGTCTGAAACGAAGTCTTATTATTATATTGAAATATTTGTGGTTTGTGTGCTTCCTAAGTGGGAGATTAAGTGGGCTGGGTTTTGTACACTGGCTAGTTATTAGCTATTACTAACTTATATGAGGACTTGTTAAGTCTTTATTAAATGAATTAGAGACCATAGTTTCTCTAGTGATCCTTTCTGGGTAAATAAATGTAAAGTTTTTGTTACAAAAATGTCTTCTGAAGATACGATCTTAAAATTGCTTGATTTAAAAACTCTTCCCAGGGTAAAGGTTGATAATCATGGGGAAAATGTTAAGTGGGTCCTAAATGTTAAATTGAATTTCACTCTTTGGCCTCCCTTGTAGATAGAAATGTTAGCTCACATTTAACTGGAATCCTTTTAACACTTGGTGCATGTACTAATTTGTAATTTAATATCTTCTAGCCACTAGAACTTATATGTGAAAAGTCTATAGGTACTTGTAATAGACCTTTGGGCGCTGGGGAGGCCTTGAGACGAGTAATGGAGTGTTTGGCATCTGGAATACTACTTCCTGGTAAGGGTTTCAAACTCTGGAAGCAGAACAATCAGCAAATCTCAGTTTAGTTTATTTTTCTAAATATATGCTAAGTTTGTTCTCTACACAGGAAAATGATGCATAGGAGTTCTTTTGCTTGGAATTTTGACAACTAGAATGCGTGTTGGAAAAGTGCTATAAAACTCTTTTTCAATAATTATAATTTGTGTTTTATATGTACTAACATAAAGGGTACTAATAATATATTGTGTCTGCTTTGAATTTGCTTTACCTCGAACTCTGAATTTGAAATTGCAGATGTTTAGTTAAAATGTATGAAGTTCATTCTGTTTGTAGTCTGGTTTTAAATTTGGAAAAATTAAATTTGGTCTTATTTTCCATATGTAATCCCTTTTAAGATTTGGGCTGATTCATTGTGCTGTTTCTAAATTCTCAGAGTAAGACTCAGTTTGGGCCTTAGATATACAAGTGACTTCCAGTATAAAATAAGGACATACAAGTGCTAACATGTTGAAAATGAGAGTGTGTCCTTTTTACTCCACTTAACTGAGCAGACTTTTAACTTAGTTCCTCAGTTTTTTTTTTCATTTTCTCTTCATTCTCCCCAGCCATCTCTCTTTTGTTTTAGTTTACCGAATTCTAAACTCAGTTCTAAATGATACTTGTGTTTTTCCTTTGCCAAAGGGGGTCCTGGTCTTCATGATCCTTGTGAGCGAGACCCAACAGATGCTCTGAGCTATATGACCATCCAGCAAAAAGAAGATATTACCCACAGTGCACAGGTAGAAGATTGAGCATGCCACTCTGACTTATTAGTGAAATAACATAACTTAATTTTCTCAATTGTGTTCAAACACTTTTTTCTTGTGTGTTGTTAGGGACTTCTGCTGTTATAATGTCAGAATTTATGAGTGTCTTTTTAGCTAGATGTTCTAAGGGCTTTATGAATGGCTATTGAAATGTGATTAAATATAATACTTTGTTCTTTAGCATGCACTCAGACTATCAGCCTTTGGCCAGATTTACAAAGTGCTGGAGATGGACCCCCTTCCATCTAGTAAGCCTTTTCAGAAGTATTCCTGGTCAGTTACTGATAAAGAAGGTGAGCATGGAAGTTTTTTATTAGGGTTGGGGGTTGGCACTGGTAGAGATAATCATGGGATTCATCTCTCATTACAACTTAGGGAACTTAATAATTGTGCATCCAAATCATATATAAAAAGCTTTCTTCCTGACTGATATAGGTTGGCTGTGTCCCCATCCAAATCTCATGTTGAATTGTAGTTCCCGTAATCCCTAGGTGTTGTGGGACAGACCGGTGGAAGGTAATTGAATCATGGAGGCAGTTACCTCCATGCTGTTGTTGTGATAGTGAGTTCTCACAGGATCTGATGGTTTTATAAGAGGCTTTTCCCCAACTTCACTCTGCACGTCTGCCACCATGTGAAGAAGGATGTGTTTGCTTCCCCTTCTGCCATGATTGTAAGTTTCCTGAGGCCTCCCCAGTTATATGGCACTGTGAGTCCATTAAACCTCTTTCCTTCATAAATTACCCAGTCACTGGTATGTCTTTATTAGTAGCATGAGAATGAACTAATACAATAAATAGAATGGACCAATACACTGACTTTCTTCTCTTCTGTTCTTATTAGGTAACGTCAGCTAATGTAACATAATCATGTTTTCTTATTAGTGACTAACTCATTTGGCTATGTTGGCCAGATGCCATTACTGCATAGACTATACTTTCAGAACCCCTGGTCTAAGGAGAAGAAATCAGCGATAAGCTAGGAGGAGACGTTATCACTATCACTAATCAGTTTGATTATCTTTCTCAAGCTTGGAAATGTTATCTAACTGAGAAAGAAAGAAAAATACAGAGGAGAAGAAAAGCATATTGGAAAATTCAGGACCATCTTCCATTTGTATTAGTCTGTTGAATTCAGAGTTTCAGCAGAAAAAATGTAGGTTTTGGGCTCAGTATGACCTGGGTTCCAATCATAGCTCCACCACTTCCTAGTTTTAGGCCTTGAGCAGTTAGCTCATCTCTCTCACTAGGGATATTACCCTCTTTCTTATTTTTTTGACTCTTGTCCGGTTAAAATGCCTGACTTGTTGCCTAGAATACAGTGGATACTCAAATGTGAATCCACTTACTGCCTTCCTTAGGCCTCAAAAATATTTTTTTTTCCCTCCCTTTCTCTTCTTTTAAACTAGAAAGTGGAATATTTAATACCGGATATTCTTCACCTGGAATGCAGCCTACCTCTAACAATGGAAATTACTCTACTTTTAGATATCACAAAAATAGTGCAGTTGCCCAGTCTGTTTATTTAGATGACAGAATTCCAGTGGGTCTGAAGACTTTCAGAGAGTCTACAACATCAAAGCTGTTGAATAGTAATAATAATATTAAGGGGTTTTTTTTTTTTTTTGGCCTTTTTCTCTCTTTCTTTCCTAAGTGTATAGTTTTCCAGAGGCTACATGTGACATGTGATGAGATCGTTGCTCTGATGGCTAATGGAATGTTTTATTTTCTATATCCTTGTGTTTAAAATTGTTTTGTTTTATTTTTAATATGCTCAATATTGACAGATATTACCCACAAAGCATAGCACTTCGGGTGCTTAATAATTTTTTAAGAGTGTAAAGTACTCCTGAGCTAAAAAGTTTGAGAATCAGTGCCTCACACTGTAAACTCCTCAGGAGAAAGAATCCTCCAGATTCTACCCTATGATTATTATAAACCAATGCTTAATATTACTTGAGGAATGAAGGCCATTTTCTTCCTGCAGGTGCTTGCTTAGTGGTGAAGAAATTATTGAAAGGGATTTACATACCCATGTGACATCAAGCATTGTCTGTGCATTGAATGATTGAATAAAAATGTTATATATATATTTAGATTCTTATGATTAGTATCAGAAAATTTTATTTCAATCACCAAATTCACAACCACTCTTTCGGTTTTATATTTTCCCCTTCACTAGATAGTAAAAGTATGTTTACTATTATGTGACTTAGTTTTTTTTTTTTTTAACTTTAAAGATCTTTCTCAAAAGTTTGGGAACTGCTGGTTTGTCAGTTGATAGCATAAAATAGAACCAGACTGCCAGTGTTCCTGTTCTAGTTCTGTCAAAGTTATATGGCCTGGGCAAGTCACTTTACCATTTTGTGCTTTGGCTATACAATGATCTCTCCAATACTTTCATGCTTTTAGCACCTAGCTTCCTGACATTCACGTTTAAACTTTATTCGTGTTATTCTCGGTGATTTCCTTATGCATCTCAGGTGATTTTTTTCAACACTAATGTCTCAGTTCTGTGACTTCTTCTCTCACAAATATTTTATCCTCTGCCTTTCCTTGGTTACTTATTCTGTGGGCATAGCCTAGTTCTTGTCTTCATCAATAACTGTACCTGTATTATTTCCATAATCATGTTTTCAAGAATCCCACTTTCCAATCTCTTGTCATTACTGTGTCTCCTACCCTTATTTCAGCTCTTGAATCTTGTCATTTTTTCCAGTACCATTGCATAGTCCTTCATCCTCCTCGTGTTCTCCCTTCTGTCCTTACCGTGCTTGTATTACATGATCCTTGATTACCACTCTCTAGCACGTACCTTTACTTCCTTGATTCTCTGTTTCTGGCAAAATTCTAACTGGTTGAAATCCATCTCTCTACCTTCTCTGTGTCTGTACTGGGTTGCTCAACATGGTTGGAGAACAGCCGTCTTGACTGTTTTCCCTTTAAGTCGGTGACACTAATTTAATAGGGCTGTTTGTGTTGCTGGGCAATCCTGTAAGTTTGAGACTTCTCCAGTTTCCTAGATAACTGTTTCACATTTTCTCACATTTCACACCTCCTTCTCTACCTCCTTATTCATCTGATGAGCTTATTTGCTTCCATTTTCTCAGATAAATATTAAGAGATAACTTGTATATGTTCTCATCACTGTCTCCAAGCCCCACTGCATCAACTCGTGTCTTTGCTTTTCCCTCCCTTGCCTCTGCAGAAAATGCCTCGCCTCTTAAGACCGACCTTTCTACTTACCCACTATCACATCCCCTCTTGCCTACCAATGGACATTATTCCAGCAATTATCTGTTCTCTCACCAGCGTCAGTTCCTCCCTGTCTACTGAATGCTTCTCATCAGCGTAAAAACCTGCTGCAGTATCTCCCATCTGAAAGACAAGGCCAAAACAAACTCTCCCTTGATTCTGTAGGTCCTGCAACAGAGTTGCATTTCTCTCCTCTTTATAAGCAGCACTTTGGGAAAGAGCAGCCCTTTTCTCTTTTCTCCATTTCCTCACTTTGAATTCTCATTGAACCTATTCTAATCAGGTTTTCTTCCTCACCACTTGCCTGAAGTATCCCTTGCGACCTTCACGTTACTACATTCACTGGTTAGTTTTCAGTCCTCATCTTAGCCATTTTCAGCAACATTTGATACAGAGGAACACTTTTCTCTCCCATATTTATTTTATAATGAGATATAGCACATATATAGAAAAGTACAAAAAATACAGTTTAAAAAATAATTATTTCTTTCAAACCCATAAAACCAGTGCCATGGGTAAGAAACAGAATTCTATCAGTGCCCCAGAAGCCATCCGTTTTATCCTTCTCATTACCTTCCTGTACCAAGAAATACCATTTCTGACTTTCTGAAAATCATTTCCTAGATTTTCTTTCCCACTTTCCCACTTGTGTATGCTTTCCTAAATAATTTGAGTTTGCCTGGAACTTTCCAGAAATGGGTCCTAAGTTTAATCTTTCGTGACTGGCTTCTTTCTGTTCAGCATTCTTTGGGATTGATTTATGTTGCTGCACATAGATATAGTTCATTTTAATAGGTATATAGTATCCACTATGAATATGCTAGTTTACTCATTCTACTTTTGAAGGACGTTTAGGTTCTTTAGTTTTGACAACCACTTACCGTGTTGCCATGAGCATTCTTCTGCATACCTCCTGAGGTATACACATAAACAACCTAGTAAATGGTTGCACATACCAATTTACACTCCCACCAGCAGTATATGAAAATTCCTGTTGCCCTGTATCCTCAAAAACATTTGGTATTGCCATGTTTTCTGAAATGAAATACCACTTTTCATTTGACTTCCAGGTCATCAGCTTCCTTTGTTCTTCTAGCTCTGTTGCCATCTCCTCAGCTGTCTTTGTTCTTTCTCATCTTCCTGACTTCTGAATGTTAAAGTGTCCTAGGGTTCAGTCCTCAGACCCTTTCTCTTTACACTGATGCTTTAGGGGACCTCATTTAGTCTCTTGTCTTCAAATACCTTTTTATACTGAAGATTGTCCCAAATTAATACTTCCATCCCAGACTACCAGCTCTTGAACTCAGACCAAAATATCAAAATGCCTCCTCAATATCGCTACATGGATGTCCAGCAGACATCTCAAACTTAAGATGTCTAAGATCTAAGCTCCTGCCCTCGCTCTCCCTTTGCTCTTCTCTTTCTATAGTTATCCCTGTCCCAGTCATTGGAAACTCTCCGTTTGCTCAGGCCAGGATTCTCTGAGTTGCCCTTGAATCCCCTCTTTCATTCACCCATATCCCAAACGTCAGCAAATCCTTTTTGCTTTTAAAGTGTGTCCAGGCCGGGTGGTAGCTCACACCTGTAATCCCAGCACTTTGGGAGGCTGAGGTGGGCAGATCACTTGAGACCAGGAGTTCAAGACCAGCCTGGCCAACATGGCGAAACCCCGTCTCTACTGAAAACATAAAAATTAGCTGGGCGTGGTGGCATGCTCCTGTAATCCCAGCTACTCGGGAGGCTGAGGCAAGAGAATCGCTTGAATCCGGGAGGCAGAGGTTGCAGTGAGCCCAGATCATGCCACTGCACTCCAGCCTTGGTGACAGAGCGAGACTCTGTCTCAGAAAAAAAAAAAAAAATGAGTCTAGAATTTAGCTTCTTCGCTGCTGACATCCTTATCTAAGCTGCCATCATCTCTCACCTGGATTATTGCAGTCACCTCCTGGTCTGGTCTTTTTGCTTCTGTTCTTGCCCCTCTATCTGTTCTCCACAAAGAAGCAATTCTCTTTATGGAGAACACCACCCCTCTTCAACTTTTTATCTTAAAATACTTGCAGATTCATAGTTGCAAAGATGATAAGGAGAGATCCCATTTACCCTTCAGCTAGTTTCTCTTGATGGCTGCATCTATGTAAATTTATAGTACAATATCAAAACCAGGAAATTGACAGTGATACAGTGCGTGTGTGTAAGTTTTATGCCATTTTATTACGTGTGTAGATTTCTGTAGCCACCTCCACAATCAACATACAGAACTGTTCCAACACCATTAAGATCTGCTTCATGCTGCCCCTTTATAGTCGTACCCGCCTCTCTCTGCTCAGCCATCCCTAATCCCGGGAAACCACTAAGATTTACCCATCTCCATAATTTTATAATTTCAGTGATTTTATATAAATGGAATTCTACAATAAGTGACCTTTTGCGATTTTTTTTTTTAACACTCAGCATAATGCCCTTAGGGTCCATCCAAGTTGTTGTGTGTGTCAATAGTTTGTACCTTCTTGTTCAGTAGTATTCCATGGTATGAATGAGCTAGAGTTTATTTAACTGTTTACCTATTGTAGGACATTTAGTTAGTTTCCAGTTTGGGCTTTTTACAGTTGAAGCTTCTATGAACAATCATATATATATACACGTGTGTATATTTATATATAAAATTTAGGTTTTTGTGGGCAAGTCACAAAAACACAGGTTTTTGTGTGTTAGATTTGTCACCAATTCTCCTGTGTTTCGGCTTCAATGTTATGCTGGCTTCATAAAGTAAGTTAGGACCTATTCCTTCTTTTTCTATTGTTTGGAAAAGTTTGCATAAATTTGATGTTAGTTTTTCTTTAACTGTTGGAAGAATTAATCAGTGAAGCCATTGGTGTGTGTTTTCTTTGTGGAAATGTTTTAAATTACGGATCTGATTCCCTTAATAAGCATAGGACTTCCATCTTCTTAGGACAGTTTTGGTAAGCTATGTTTTTCTAAGAATTTATCCATTTCAACTAAATTTAAAAATATTTTAGAATAAAGTAATTTATAAGATCCTCATTTTATTGTCTGTAGTATTTGTAGTAATGTCCTCTTTTATACATTTTGTACCTTATTTTATTTTGCTAATGACTCTCACCTAGGGGATTATTATTTTTATTAATCTTTATAGGAAAATTAACTTTTGGCTTTATTCATTGTCTTCTGTTGCATGTTTGTATTCTGTTTTATTGGTTTCTGCTCTTTTCTGTAGTTTTCCTTCCTTATGACTTTCTTTGGGTTCAATTTGCTGCTCTTTTTAAACTTTATGAGGTGGATGAATACATCATTGATTTTTCATCCTCTTATTTTATATACTATTAAGATGGTAAATTTCCCTTTAAGCACAGATTTATGTACATCACAGTCTTTGGACATTTGTATGTTTATAATCATTTAGTTAAAGCTATTTTTTACTTTCTTTTATTCCTAATTTTTTGACCCATGGGGTATTTAGATGTCATTGCTTAATTTGCAGACAAATGAAGATTTTGTAGTTAACTCTTTTGTTTTTGAGTTTTTACTTATTCTGCTGTCATCGAAGAACATGTGTTGTATGATTTCTGTCCTTTGATACTTCTTGAGACCTATTTTATGCCCCAGCACATGGTCGTTTTTTGCTCTGAAAATGTATATTCTGCAGTTGAGGGTCATAATATTTTTTTCGTGTTAGGTCATGTCAGGTCACTTGTTCATTGTGCTTTTCAGATGTTGTTTGTTATTAATTGCTGAGAGAGCTCTGACAGTTCCCATCTATTGTGGATTTGTCATTTCCCCTTGCAGGCCTGCCAGGTTTTAGTTTATATTTTTCATTTATAGATTTTTGGCTCTTTTATCGTTTCAGATTTTCTGCCTGAAATTATTTTTAAGAAAGTTTGTTTTTGAAAGGTCCATCATCTGGGTCCATTTTGGGTCTTTTTCTATTGTGTGTGATTTCTCTTGATTTTTGATCATGATATCTTCTCATGTGCCTGGTTATTATGAGTGCTGGATTTTTAAAATAAGAAATTGTAGATAATTTAAAGTGTAGAGTAATGATATCTTCCTCCAGGGAGGATTTATATTTGTTTCTGGGAGGTGACTAATGAAATTGGCAGTCTTAGATCATTTCAGTGTAGTCAGGGATTAAGATAATTTGAAGCTGGGCTTTCATCCTTGTGAGAGCCACAAGGATGAAGAAATATTTCCCGTTCATCTTACTTCTAGTGTATAACATTTCAGAGGCCCAACCCAGTGTGTGGGGGGTTCACCAGCCCTTCTCTGCTTGGACCTTGAACTTAGTTTTGGACTCCTTGAGACCTGGGAGCCTGTTGACATTACTCTCTTCAGTTCTTAGTGACCTCTTCTGGATTAGGAAGATGCCCCTAGGGTTAATGTAACCCCCAATGCAGAGAATTTCTTTCACCTTCCATATCTTTTTTTGTTTATTTTAATTAATTAATTTATTTATTTAAGAAAACACGGCTTGGCTATGTTGCCCAGGCTGGAGTCCAGTGGCTATTTGCAGGTGCAGTCATAGCCCACTTTAACCTCAAACTCCTGGACTCAATGAATCCTCCTGCCTCAGCCTTCTGAGTAGCTGGGACTACAGGCATGTGGCACCGTGCCAGGCTCACCTCCCAGATCTTGATTTTAAAATTCTTCATTGCCCAGGAACAGATACTTATTGTTTGTTTTGCCCAGTTTTTCTAATTGCTCTAGTTGGGAAGCCTTTTTTGACTTATTTACTCTCTCATACTGGAAGTGGGCCCTTGATATTTTGTCAATTAATGGCACCGGGGTTTGAGAACTACTGCCTGGCTCTTCTCACCTACTGCTAGCACCCTCTCCTTGTTTGTTTCACTCCAACCACTCAGGCCTTTGCATCATTTCTTAGCATGTTTCTGCCTTAAGACTTTTGTAGTTGCTGTTTATTTTTCTCTGCCTGGGACTCTTTCTCCAAATGGCTGAATAGTTCACTGTTTTACTTTCTCAGGTCTTCATCAAAAGGTCTCCTCATTAGTGATACCTTTCTGCTGAGCACGACATATAAATTGTCCTTCATTACACTCACTACCCATAGTATATGTTGTAATTAGTTTTGGCCAGTATATGTAAGCTCTTTGAGAAAAGGGAGATTATTTTGTTACTTGCTATGTGTCTAGCGCCTAAAATTGTCTTGCACATAGTAAATGTCAATTAATATTTCTTGTTTATTGTTGAATGAATATATGAATGAATTTATAATGGGGACAGTAAAGGTAATGGCTTCATGAGGGTGCTCATGAGGATTAAATAAGTTAATACCTGTAAGATGTTAACAGTGTCAGGCATATGGTAAATACGAAAATATTATTTTTAAAAATTGTTGCCTCAGAAATGATCACTTCTCATCACTAGATATTGTGAAGGTTGAATACCACCTGCTTTTTGTAAAGCAAGACCCTTTTTCTCCTTAGGTTGCTATTATGATTAGCCCCACATTTTACAGCCCCTTTCCAATGGCTGCTATGATAGAATGAAGCTTAATCCATAGAACTCTATGTAGCTGGAGGATTTAGAGAAGAGATCTCTGCATTTAAGCTAGCTTGTGATTTCCAGGCAATCAAGAAGCTGCTTTTAATGTAACTTAATGAGCAGAAGAGTGATTGAATAGACATAGTTCCTTTTTAACTTTTATCTCTTAAAGACTGCATTCTGGGAGACTGGCATACTCATAGTTGTATGTAATGCAAATGAAATATAATACTCAGCCAACGTTGCCTTCTGTTGAAGAGAACATCAAGATTGATTAACCTGAGTGGTAAATATTGACCCAAGCAAATGCTGAAGTCAGTGTTTACCTCAAGGGACAATAAATCTTGATCAGAAAATACATAGTTAATCTCATTATTATTATAGGCTTTCACTAGAAGAATCTGGAAATCTTGTGGCATGAGTATCTTGAGCATAATTTTCCTTAGGAAAAACAACTAACTTTTAAAGTGAAGACATAAAGAGATGAGATCTTTAAAGTACTTGAATAGGTTGATGAACTTTTCTCTAATAATTTTTAACTTGGACAGCAAAACTGCTGCCTTTTGCTTGACAACATTATAAATTGGTGGCTTCTTTATCCAAGAAACTGATTATTAATCAATTCAGTTAGTTTTTGCTCAGTGCCCATTATGTTGCTTCTAAGTCTTGTGTTAAGGTAGTTTGTAAGATACAAGACAAGGAAAAAATATCTTTGACCTTCAAAGAGCACTGAAGACACACAAGAATATATGAAATAGGCAATGATACAAGACTTTACATTTCTGATATAAAATCTCTGATATGAGAGAACATTTTTATAGAGGAGGTGAACTGTAAATAAAATTTTGAATAGGATTTGAAGAGGCAGAAGAATATTTTATAGTTGGATAATCAGATTTCTAAAAGTATAAGATGTAACGTGGACTTCTAAAGTTTATACAAGTCATAAATGTTAAATTATAGAGATGTTTGAAATGATATTAAGTAAAAATAAATCCTACCAGAGGTAGCTACTTTTTAACATTTTGATATATAGCCTTCTAGACTTTTTCTCTTCATGCATATAACGTGAATATATGCTGTCTGTGCGGCTGCTAAAACAAAATACCTTAGACTGGGTAACTTATAAGCAACAGAAATTTATTGCCCTCAGGGGCTTGAAAGTCCAAAATCAAGGCTTCAGCAGATTTGCTGTCTCGTGAGGGCTCATTGCTCATAGATGGTGCCTGCTATGTATCCCCACATGGCAGAAGGGACAAACAGTCTCTGTCAGGCATCTTTTATAATTGATAAGGGCTCCACCCTCATAACCTAATCACCTTCCAGGTTCCCCACCACCTAATCCCACTGCACTGGGGATTAAGTTTCAACATATGAATTTTGGGGGGACACATTCAGACCATATCATAGACATAGATATTGGTGTGTATATATGAATAAATGGGAAAAAATAAATATAAAAAGTGATAATATTGTTTCAAGATTTGCTGTAAAAAATTTTGCTTTTCTAGATTATAAATAATGGTAATTTAACTGATCAGTGAAAAAGTTGTATGGTCCTTGGTGTGATTCCTAAGATTTTCCTACCTGAACATGTTAGATACATATGGTACGGTAAGGGGATTGTTGTTTTGACTGATAATGAATCCCTCATAATTTTTTTTAGGTGCTGGGTCTTCAGCTCTAAAGAGGCCATTTGAAGATGGATTAGGGGATGATAAAGACCCCAACAAGAAGATGAAACGAAACTTAAGGAAAAGTGTGTAAAACCTTTATTCTTATAGATGCAAACTAGAGAGGACTTGTAGCTTCAGATAGAAAAATTAAAAGTGAAGGGTTTTTTTTTTTTTTTTTTTTTTGAGATCGGTTCTCATTCTGTCACTGAGACTGGAGTGCAGTGGCGCGATCTCGGCTCACTGCAGTCTCCACCTCCTGGGCTCAAGTGATCCTTCAACCTCAGCCTTCTCAAATAGTAGGGATCACAGGTGCGTGCCACCACGCCCTGCTAAGTTTTTGTATTTTTGGTAGAGACAGGATTTTGCCAAGTTGCCCAGGCTAGTCTTGAACTCCTGAGTTCAAGCAATTCACCCCCCTTGGCCTCTCCAAGTGCTGGGATTACAGATATGAGCGACTGTGCCTGGCCAAAAAGTGAAGAATTTGATTGATTTGAATTAGAGTTTTGAGACTAGATCTTAACTGAGCAATTGATAATTGGATAACTTTTTTGTTTCCAAGCTTTTTTGCTTAGGATGCATTTATATTGACAAGCGAAAATTAATGTGTAGTTAAATAATGCATACAATTTTTATAGTGATATTAGCATAATAATTTTAGAATTACTTATGAGGTTAATCTGTGTGTTTTGAAATCCTCATTTAAAAAAATTTTGGTGAATTTACAGTAGTTACTAGGAACCCCAAAAACGCATAAAGCAAAATTACTTTCTAGTTAATTTCTGACCTCATTCCTCTTTCTTTAACAGTTCTGGATAGTAAAGCAATAGACCTTATGAATGCACTAATGAGGCTAAATCAGATCAGGCCTGGGCTTCAGTATAAGCTCCTATCTCAGTCTGGCCCCGTTCATGCCCCAGTCTTCACAATGTCTGTAGATGTGGATGGCACAACATATGAAGCCTCAGGACCATCCAAGAAAACAGCAAAACTTCACGTAGCGGTGAAGGTACAGTATTTGTTTTACTTTGCAATGCTTTCTTATTTTATGTTCCAAATAATATGCTTATTTTCCTATAATAAATTATCATTTTTAAAAACATTTTAATAGCAATAATATTATATATAGACTTTTGTTACTTCTGGATAACAAAGTTGTTTTTGTTGTTGTAAAATAATATGTGGTAGTCTTACAAAATTTGGAAAATACGGAAAGAAGTAAAGAATTAAAATATGTCAATTGAACATTTTTGAAGCAAAGATCATTCGTATTTGTATCTAGTATGTTGGTTTATTTCCCATCATTTTCTATTTTGCTGTTTATTTTTTAAGTGAGCTCACAGTATATATGTAATTTTATCTTCTGATTTTTTTTCATGTAATGTTTCATTAGTGTTTTTCCTCATTATGAAAATCTTCATAAATAATTTTTAATGGCGGTACGATTAACATGCTACGGGAAACTATTTGTTTAAACATTCTCCTATCATTGGATATTTTGCTTATTCCAGATTGTTTCTATTATAAATTTGATCAGTATCTTTGTATATGGTGCTTTGTCTGTATTTTTAGAATATTTCCATCGGGAATAATATCCAGGATTGGACCAATTATGCATGTAGGTTTGTAGAAAATTTCCAAGTAATGGGATCTCTCTATAAGTATATTTGACCTCTTGCAGACTAGTGCAAAAATGTTAAAGATCATGTAGACTGAAGATCAGATTCACTTAAAAGTTCTTTCATATAACAGTATGGCATACGATATAATTGCTCTATTTTCATGGTCATTTCATTTTGTATGTATTATTAGTGTAGATGCAAACACCATCCTAGATACTGGGGATATAGCAGTTAATGAAACAAAGTTCCTGCTCTCATGGAGCTTACATTCTAGTGTGTATAGGATGGGAAGATAGACAACAAAGTGTGTAAACATCAGATAGTGATCAGAACAATGCATGCAGAAAAACAATAACTAAGCTGTAAAAATGTCAAACACTATATATTACTTATGCTCTGTCTTCATTGGAAAAGGGATATCTAAAGTATGATGAAAGAGTATGAATTTAAAATGAGGCAGAAAAAGAAAACCAACAATGAGGGGAAAAGTAAATCCAGGAATAAGACTAAACATATAGTTTAGTAACAACATACACTGAGAATGTGTCACAAGTTTAGAGCTAAGTTCTGTAGCAGCTGACACGAAAAGCTTGTGAAATATACAATTCACTCTCTCGTCTTAAGAACAGAGAGTTTGGTTATGAGAGTCACAGTTGTGGCATTTGATCGGGTGGGCATTTCTCCTTGGGTAGATCTTCACAAACCAAGGATATCAGTGATCTCTTTTAAATCTATGATGCAGTGATACATTTTGTGGGTTGTTTCGTACAGTAACCTTTAACATAAGCTAGTGGCCTCATAGCAAATTCCAATTCAGTAAAATTTGGGAGAGCTAGTAGAGTGGCACATTTTGCAATGTGACAAGATTTGGATGCTGCTTTCATTTGATGCAGTGATATATTTTTATGATATAATGGAACTTGGTTGGCCTGGATTTGCTTTTGTCTTCAATTCCCAATATTATGTTTTATTCACCTGAGCTTTTGGTAAACACGGAGGGGCTGTAAGCTTGGGATTAAGTTAAGCTCCCTGACAAATTTCGGAAATGTAGATATCAGTTATGATCTGAATGACACTGGATTTGAGGAAATTGTTAATGGTTTCTTGTGACTTGTGTGGCAGGTAGATGACCTTCTTACTTTTATTTACCTTGAGTAGCATTTTGGGTAGAATGTGCAGTAACTAGTAAATTTGAAATTTGTGAAGAGTTTAAGATTTGCCCTTTTCGAAAATGGGATAAACTAAACTTTGATCCATCCAGGTAGAATGAATTAAGAATCAGAGTAAACTAGCTTTGAAGATTTGAAAAACTCTGCTTACTTTATTTGGTTTATCAGCTATAGGATATGAAAACCTATTACTAGCTGTCAGTCTTAAGTGGCCTGCAGTCTTTTCTAGGCCTCTAACATCTCAGGTTTATGACTCTATAGCTTTATTCCATAATTTGCTATTTTGAGGTAGTTTGTTCTCCCTAAGGTCTTCATAGATTTTTTTGTGTTATGTCTTGTTTTCTAAAAGTTACTTTTGGCTTTTTAAATCTTATTATAAATGTATAATGTGTGTTTGTTATAAATGGTTTAGAAAATGAGGGGAAAAAATTCATAGTTCTAATACGTAGAAATAATAACCATTAACATTTTGGTATTTTTTCTTCCAAGCCTTCTTATTTTAACTTGCAATTCTAACTTCAGAAAGCATTAAAAATGAAAAAAATTTCCCTAAGTTTGATGCAAATTCACTGGGTGGCAAAACATGACCTGAATTGATGCGGGGCTATTTTTAGTCTTTAGTATTCTATTTAGTGGGATTATTTTATATGTTCCTTTGCATAAACATGGGGCAGCACCTGAGAATCCACTGGGGATTTGGAAAATACGTGGTATATGTATTGTATTAGATGTCAGAATTGAAAAATTATGAATTCTCAAAACAACCTGGCACCAAGGGTTTCAGATAAGGAATGGTGAACCTATATAATGTCTGTAAAAATATGTTTTTTAAAAATAGGATCTTTCTTTCTTTCTTTCTTTTTTTTTTTTTTTTTGAGACGGAGTCTTGATCTGTTGCCCAGGCTGGAGGGCAGTGGTGCAATCTCAGCTCACTGCAGCCTCTGCCTCCTGGGTTCCAGTGATTCTCCTGCCTCAGCCTCCTGGGTAGCTGGGATTACAGGCGACTGCCACCACGCCCAGCTAATTTTTATATTTTTAGTAGAGACGGGGTTTCGCCATGTTGGCCAGGCTGGTCTTGAACTCCTGACCTCAGGTGATCCTGCTGCCTCGGCCCCTCAAAGTGCTGGGATTACAGGTGTGAGCCACTGTGCCCAGCCGATACTCTCTTCATCTAAAAATATATTATGAATGTTTAAATAGCTAACTCAAAGATTGCTCTTATTGTTAGTGATGGTCTAACATTTCATTATTAGCAGATGGTCTGTTACAGTATCATAATGTAACTAATCATTTTAGATTTAGATACTTCCATTTTATTGCTTTACATCTTTCTGAACTTGTCTGGTGATCCCTTAAGATATATTCTAGAGATAGAATTATTGGGTCAAAAGATAAATACATTTTAATGATTCATTAATTTGTTAAAAAAATGCATTGGAATTCTTATTCTATGCCAGGCATATATTGCCAAATTGTTATCCATAAAAGTTATATCACATGTTATGCGTTGTTTATAATTGAGCGAGAAAGAATTTTGCATCTAACGTGTTTATGAAAGTAGGTCCAACTGAATAAAAATCCTTTTAGTTCTTACTCAATCGCTTGGTGAGGGTTTTGTACCTATTAAGACAAATCACATCAGAGAATCAAATCAAAAGAAAAGAAGAAATCAGTAGTTTCACATGAGTCTGGCCTGGCTGCAGAGCAGCAAGCACCCTAAAGTGGTGGAGAATTAGTGGCCAGGCTTCCCTTCACTCTTCCACTTCTCTATCCTGGCAGCCCCCCACAAAGGATACCTTTAGGGTCATAATCATCCATATTACATGAAAAGAATCTTAGTCATTGTGAGGAAAAGATCAGCTAGAAGGGGATGAAGGTGAAGAGAAGGTTCTTTGGAGAGGTTCTTAGAGACATCAGATTTCCTGAGAATCTGATGAAATCAGATCTCTATTATACAGAAGCCATGGATGTTACTTTCTTTTGAGTAGAGAGCCATGATGTAGAAAGCCATGTTTTCTTTTCATTCTTGGCCCCTAGTATTCGAGGGTATCATCTTTCTCAGTCACAGCCTTTCCTAACCTCTGCCCTCTTCCAGGAAGAAAGGGATTTGGTTACACACAGATGATTTCCCAGTCACCTTGTTTCCATGAGTGATCTTGTCATTTTTAAGCTCAATTGATGTATTAGGTTTGAATTTGTTTGCCAGATACTTGAAATTCACTTTTCTTTGGTATACTGGTTTTTTAGCATTAACATGGATTCCAAACAAACTTGGTTCTGCCAAAGAAAACCAGAGCTGGACAGTTGTTAAAACAGTAAAAAAAAAAAAGTGTGTTATCAGGAACTATTATTGCAATAGGGAAAAGAGACCTCAGTATAGAACTGGGCTCAATTCTGACTTCAACATGGACAAGTGAGGATTTGTAGCCAAGGAACAGGGATGGATCAGTGGATGGAAAATTACTAAGAGGAAACATCAGGATGAAGGGGGATTTCTGGCTAAACGGGACCCATTAGGATTCTTGCTCAGAGCAGGCCAGGGTGATCAGATACCACCTGGGCAGTGATGGACGTATTAGTCCATTCTTGCACTGCTATAAAGAAGTACCTGAGACTGGGTAATTTATAAAGGAAATAGGTTTAATTGGCTCACAATTCTGCAGACTGTACAGAAAGCATAGTGACTTCTAGGGAGGCCTCAGGAAACTTTTAATCATGGTGGAAGGGGAAGCAGGCACATCTTATGTGGTCCGAGCAGGAGGAAGAGAGAAGGGCGAGGAAGTGCCACATACTTTTAAACAACCAGATCTCTTGAGAACTCTGCCATGAGACAGCATTAAGGGGATGGTACTAAACCATTAGAAACTGCCCCTATGATCCAATCACCTCCCACCAGGCCCCACCTCCAACACTGGGGATTTCAATTTGACATGAGATTTGGGTGGGGACACAAACCATATCAATGGGGGATGAGGAAATTTGATCACATACCAAGGGTGATGGAGGGTGATTAAATATTGAGGGTGAGGGATTCTGGCTAAACCAATTTAGCAGGATTCTTGCTACAACATGGCTCTTAAGGACAAGGCCAAAGGATGGGGCCTTGATGAAAACATGGCTCAGAGGATCCTGTCTAGAGTTTGGTTAAGAGAATCTTTATCAGTTGCAGAGGTCTGAGAACTCCCTGCTTTTTTGACTTCTTAGCATATGCTAGTAAATACTGTTAGAATAACTGTTCATAAAAAATGATTTGATTTGAATTTTTTGGTTACACTGTGTTGGACACTTCCCTGAGATATAATCCACCAGTTATATAAAATATTTGTAAATGTATTGAAATATGTTGCTGTAATAATAATAAGTGAATCTGATATGTGAGAAAAGGGTGGAGAGAAGTATTAAATAATTTATATTAGCCTATTTTTATTGTCTATGTTGAGTCGAGAAAA
Organism: Homo sapiens; assembly: GCF_000001405.40. NCBI lineage: Eukaryota > Metazoa > Chordata > Mammalia > Primates > Hominidae > Homo > Homo sapiens. Next base: position 123,141,623 of record NC_000009.12, on the reverse strand, counting down.
GATGACTGTCCTTAGTTTTTATTGGAATAAACAAATCAAACTTATTTGTGATGTTTGGCTTTGACTTGCAGCCTGTGTTGGCTAGTGTTAATTCGGAATGATAGCTGTTCTTGGAGATGAGATTTCTCAGGGAGAGCATATTTACAGGACTCAGACAGTGGAGAAGGTGTTTTTAAAATAAAATATTAATAAGTATATAAACAAATGATGTTAATGTGCTTAGTGTAAAGTATTACCTGAGCACTTTTAGAACTTAAGATGTTAAAAAAGCGTTCTTGGCTTTACTCCCAAGCAAATACAAGACATTTTATTTATGATAAGAATGCCAAGTTCTCCATATGAATTGTGTGAATTAATTTCGAGTTCTCTTGGTACAGACTTCTATGTAGGTCGATTTTTTGGTTTAGGGTAACACTGTTTATATTGGCAAAATCCTTTATACAAGATGCAGTTGTTTATAAAGGCTGGCTTCTCATTTGTGTGGCCACCATAACCATTTTTTGGAGCACCTATTATGTACAGTTGTTACTATAAAGAAATATGATGTTGCTTTTAAATCTCAGCAACTTAAAACAGTTAAAAATGGAAACGAATGCAAGGGTCTTTAGGAATCTGTCCCTATATCCTCTGATGTAAACCTCTAATTAGTGACAAAGCTATATCAACCTCCTTTGAAAGAGGCTTACAAAAAGTGAACATATTCTCTTGTAAACATCTAAAAAGCAGTATAATCAGGAAGGTATTAAAAGGCACGTGTGTGGAGGTGTGTGAGCATGCCTGTGCACAATCATGCACACACATATACACATTCTTCTGAAAGCTTTATTTCAAAAAAGTAAGACAAATCCTGGGGATCGACTGAAAGTATAAGAAGTTTGAACGTTGGAGGTAGCCATAATCAGCCCTTGAGAGAGAGGGATGGAAATACAAGACTAAAATTGTTCCTGGCTTATTTAGTATAGAGAATAAACCTAGAGACTGAATCTTGTTTTTTTTTGTTTGTTTGTTTGTTTTGTTTGTTTGTTTTTTTGAGACAGAGTCTTGCTCTGTTGCCCAGGCTGGAGTGCAGTGGCGCAATCTCCGCTCACTGCAACCTCCGCCTCCCAGGTTCAAGCAATTCTCCAGCCTTAACATCCCAAGTAGCTGGAATTACAGGCATGCACCGCCACACCCAGCTAATTTTTGTATCTTTAGTAGAGACTGGTCTTACCATGTTGGCCAGGCTGGTCTCGAACTCCTGACCTCAAATGATCCACCCGCCTTGGCTTCCCAAAGTGCTGGGATTACAGGCATGAGCCACCGCGTCTGGCCGAGACTGAATCTTTTAAGTTTTGATTGTGGTCTATGTTGGAAGCAAAGTAGAAAGTTTTAGATGTTATTTTGTAATTGACAGGCAAGTTGGTTCAAAGATAAAAAATTTCTTGATTGCCTTTCTGGGCCAATTTCTCCTAATGGATTGAGTCATATAACTTAGAGGTCAACCAGTATAGTCTTCCTGTTTTGTAGATTGGAAAATTGAGGGCCAGAGGAGAAATACAGGATTAGACTCTCAGATTTTTTCCTTTCTAGACCAGGGTACTTTTTATAGTATGCTACTTCTGTCCTTATCCTATTGGTTTGAACCTAGCTATCCTGTTTGTTTTCTCTACCTCTCACCTCCAAATTAAATGAACTAGGAATAGCATCAGGTTTATATTTGTCATCCTGTATTTAAACTCAATTATCCTGAGGAGGTTTTCCCCATTTTTCCATGGTGCTACCCTGGTAGGTATACCATATTTAACCAAGGACTTACAGATTTAGTACCATCTTGCTCTTCCTGCAAGGTGTTTTATGGTTCAAACACTATGGATTTGAAACTTTTGTTCTCAATATTTTGTCTATTCTCTGGTTTCTCGTGTCTGAATAAAACTGCATTTTAATGTAATTTGTACAGGTATTGCAGGCAATGGGATATCCAACAGGCTTTGATGCAGATATTGAATGTATGAGTTCCGATGAAAAATCAGATAATGAAAGTAAAAATGAAACAGTGTCTTCAAACTCAAGCAATAATACTGGAAATTCTACAACTGAAACCTCCAGTACCTTAGAGGTATACTTATTTTTTTCTCAGAAAAAAAATAACATATATGTGCATTGTAGGAAATTTGAGAGATGTGGAAAAGTATAAATAAAATCAAAAGCATATGCAAACCTGTACATAAATTACAGAGACAGACATAATTATTATTTTGGTTTATTTCCATCCAGTTTTTTTCATGAATCTCTGTGAAGGCAGTCATCTTTTCATGCAGTTTTACATCTTGATTTTTTTCACTTTAAAAATATCTGTAAACTGCACAACACTTGAATATACCCTAATTTAACTAGTGTTTCCTGGTTGCTGGCCATGGAAGCTGCTTCCAATATTTCAGAATATACCAAGAGTATCAGCAGTAACTGATGGGCAGAAAACTACAAGATGTAGAGGAGGAAATTGGGATTATTTGAAGTTTGTGCTAAGCTGCGGGGTACATTGGGTCATCATTTAGTTGGTCCAGCCCTGAAGGAAGGCATAGCCTGACACAGTATGTATCTCAGACCCTAATTAAGTCCCGACTGGAACTTATTGTCGCAGATAATAGAATGGGATGAAATCCAAGTACTGAGTATACACAGTACATTGGGGAGTTCATGGAACCCATGTTTACTGCATTCTATGTAAAGAACATTAGCTTTAAAGTAACAGCAAGAGCTTACATTAGAAAAAAGGCTTAGTTTGTCATTTGTATGAATAAGTAGTTATTAAGGACTTAATTAATAAACTAATTTTTTCAGTCCATAAATCCCTTTTAATACCTGCTTAGTGCCAGGTGTTTCAGAAATTGTGTGCAGAGCCTGGAGATGCTCCCAGGCTAAAAGGGCAAAAAGAGGTGTTTATGACAAATGGTAATATAATGCGATAAGCTCTGTGATGGCAAAATGAACATAATAATGTCAAATCTTGAAGGAGGAAGGGGTTGTGAGACTCTTAGACATAACTTACACAATCATGTAAAATCAAAGGGAGTCCACTGTGAGCAAGGCTTCAGATGATGAGCTTTGCCGTGTGGGGAAGAGAAAGCATTCTGGACTGAAGGACGAGGAGGTGTTATGACTTTGAGTTGTGAAAGTAAATGTTTAAGAAGTGCCAAGTGGGCCAGTGTGGACAGGATTGATGGGGCTGAAGCCTGAGAAAGCCACACTTGGCACTTTGTGTGATGCTGTGGAGGACAGATGATGTCATGGCTGGCTGCTCAGAGGGACCAGTCATTCACAGGTGGCAGTCACAGGTCAAGATGTTGTTTTGCTGACAATGTTACATATACTAAAAGAAAAAAGGGCTCATTAATTATGAGGTCCAGACCATTAAGTACAAAGGTAATTAGAAAGGGAGAGAGCAGTGTGGGCTGCACTAGTAGCAGCTACACTGACATAAAAAGTTTTGGTAGTGACTACATTTATACTTTGTTTCTGTATATTGTAGTAATGGTGGGAAGGAAGGAGAAAACAAAGCCCTTATTTATTTCTTCGTTTAAAATAATAGTACTTTATTAAAATTCAGATATTTTTATGTCTCGACTCATTTTTGTAGACATGATTTCAGGTTTGGAAAGCATAGAGTGATTACTATAGACCTAGTTTCAAAAATCACTCATTATCTTTTAAAGACAGTGACTAGAAATTTGCCTTGAAATTCAAAAAATGCAGATTATAAAAACTCATCAAGAAGAGATGTTTATTGATGTTACTGATGTTTTTAAACTTGTCCTTAAAAATTGTCCTTTGATGTTTCACGTCTGAAGCATCAACCACTTATCCAAACTGCACGGAATACTTTACTAAGAGAATCTTGATTTTCATTAGGTTTATATATGTAATACTTAATATTTTGGGCTGGGCATGGTGGTGCACACCTGTAATCCCAGCACTTTGGGAGGCTGAGGCAGGCGGATCACCTGAGGTCAGGAGTTTGAGTGCACCCTGGCCAACGTGGCGATACCCTGTCTCTACTAAAAATACAAAAATTAGCCGGGTGTGGTGGCAGGTGCCTGCAATTCCAGCTACTTGGGACGCTGAGGCAGGAATTACCTGAACCCAGGAGGTGGAGGTTGCAGTGAGCCGAGATTGCACCACTGCACTCCAGCCTGGGCCACAGAGCGAGACTCTGTCTCAAAACAACAACAACAACAAACAAAAAAAACAAAATTAACACTTTTGGACATTTATTTTGTGTGTTCAGCATTTCTTGTGTGGTGGAATTACAGACATGATCTCTGACCTCAAAAAGTGCCCTATCTTTTGGTTTCTCCTTTCTCAAAATTATAGTTGTATTTTGTGGGTTTATTTGTTAGTTTGCTTTTGATGCTAGCCTCTGTTTTCATTTGCACCTTCATGCTCTTGCATGAATTATTTCACTACTTCTATTCTTATCCTTCCTCAAATCAGTTATTTCCATAGCATGTATCTCCTCTTTAACATACGTTATTTTGCAGTGATGATATCTGTCCCTCCCACTACACTCTAGCTCCTTGAGGGCAGAGAGTGACTGCCTTTATTGTTATTTTAAAATTTCAGAATCCATAGTCTATAGCCAACTGTTTTTACCTTAGGTCCCCTTAAATCTGTTTAGAGTGACTGAGAGGTGTATGGGAACATTTACCCTCTAACATCCCAAATTGAGAGTTATTTCTTCCTAACCCTAAAGAAGAAAAATGATGAACCCTTAGGCATCACGTGAATCCAAACTGTTCTATTCTCGTTATTAGTAATTTAGAGTATTATTCTTAGATCACGAACACTACAGAGCAGAGCCTGGAGTGGCCCACAGTGGTGAGGTTGCATTGATTGGTCTTGAATACTGCTTCGAAGGAAGGCTGGCCAGATGACTGCAATGTTTACTGCTTGTAGAGTTTTTACAGCTTTAATGATATTTTGCCATTTGTGTAAAGAGGTGACTCATTCTAGCCCCTGAGTGCTTTGAAGTAGAATTTTTGAGCCTCCTTCTTAGCATAATTGTATTAATAAGAAATGTAATATTCTAAAATCTTACTTGATTGAACCTTCAGATTCCCTTTCTCTTATAGGTAAGAACTCAGGGCCCTATCCTCACAGCAAGTGGCAAAAACCCTGTAATGGAGCTCAATGAAAAAAGAAGAGGTCTCAAGTATGAACTCATCTCAGAGACTGGTGGAAGCCATGACAAGCGCTTTGTAATGGAGGTGTGTACCCAGACACAAGCCAGCCTTATCTTTCTTCTCAAAGACATAGGATATCCTGAACTTAATGTAAAGTTTTAGACTGAGTCAGTTCTTGTGGCACTATTTGATTTTTGGTGTTTTCTGTGTCATAATCTATTTAAATTAAAAGGACATAGAGGAATTGCATGGGATAATTGCAAGGTGTTATTCTTGATTGTAGGTAGAAGTAGATGGACAGAAATTCAGAGGCGCAGGTCCAAATAAGAAAGTGGCAAAGGCGAGTGCAGCTTTAGCTGCCTTGGAGAAACTGTTTTCTGGACCCAATGCGGCAAATAATAAGAAAAAGAAGATTATCCCTCAGGTATGAGTAAACATTAAACCTTTGCAGAACCTGTGAAAAATGTTAGAGGAATTAAATTTTCTTTCCTGTCCATGTGGCACTTTAGCTTTTTCTGAAGTTGTTTCCTTTTCTTGGACTTGGTGACCTTTGCTTTGGGTTAGGTCACGAATAATATAAATTTGATTAGTGGTTTCATGTTCTATGGACTTTCTAAACAAAATATATATGTACATGTATATTTATATTTATATGTATATATGAGGCTATTAGCATTATTTGGAGGGTTGAGGTCATTCTTGATGAAGTCAGGTTTTGAGGTGATTTGGACCTTAGTGAGGTCTAAGCAGTTTAGTTTGGGGAAGCTGCCAGGAGCACCTGGGGCTTTGCTTTCATCAGCCTGCGGGTGCTCTTCCAGTTCCTTTGCAGTTTCGTGCTTTTGCATTGTTTATTTTGGGTTTCCTTTGCCGACCGCATAAAATTTGGCGCTGTATTGTGTCTGTTCATTACTGACACTGGGAATGTCAGTGCTACTGAATGTCCAGGATCTTAGCAAGGTATTTAGAAAAGATGGCCCTCTAATTACATGCTTGTGGATATGAGATTCTTCCATCCATTCATTTATGCATTCAAAAAACATTTTCTAGTCATACATCATATGCCTGATAGTGAGGGAAAGAGTAAGTAAATATAAGACACATTGTGCCTCATAGAGAGTACTGGTATAATAACATAACATCTGAATATATTATATGATAGAAATTAAAAATGCTTAACGTAATAAAAAGAAGCTTAGATTGTTTAATTCTACATTAAACATTATATTTAGATTCCATTATGTATGCTATGTCCATTGTAGGAGGGTAGAATTGATCTTATTTTACAGGTAAGGAAACAAGGCCCAAAGAAATGGAAATACTTGCCTGTGGTAACACAGCTAATTGATGGTGGGGGTTCCTTCTAGAACCAGGTAGTTCTCCCAAAGGCCATGGACATTTTACTATTGCATATTGTATCCATCTCAAAATTTGTTTTGTATTCATTTAAATTTCTTGTATTTGCTATAATAAACACTGCTTAAATTCTAGGATCCAAAAGGTAGAGAAAACTTATTTTAATGAGATGAAAAAATTTTTAAAGCCTTTAAATTACGCATGTCGAAAACAAGTAGATTTTATTTTCTAAAATCTTCTGGTAAACATAGAACAAAGTATGTTCTAAATTAGTTGAAAGATGATTCTTGTTTTATGAGCTTGTTTTATGGTGTTTTTTCCCATATTACATCTTATGTTTGGTCAGTTAATTTTAGTTTAAAAAGCCCATGTGCAAATATTTATTAGGTAGTTAAGTTTGTTCTACTAGACATGAGCTAGATTTGTGTGGAATCATTCTGCTACTGCCAGATTGTTGCTTGCTGACTACTTTTGACTAAGTCATGTTAAAAAAAGAAAGATGTCTACATGAAGTTCACTCATTTTTAGAAATTTTCCATACTATAAGCTATAAAACTCATGTGTTCAATGTGCTTGACGGCCAAGAAGCAATCTATTTTGGATATGTGGGTTGGTTTATTTCAGAGAAAAACAAAAACGGCAGTCCCTGTGCATGACACAGTTAACCTTGAAACTGTCTCCTGCCCATTCATACTAGAGGTAGAGGTTCCTGCCCATTCATACTAGAGGTAGAGGTTATCCTGGAAAGAATAAAGGATGTTGCATTTTCAAAGTGAGATAAACCAATGTGTATGTATTCTGACTCTTTCAGCTTCTTAGACACTGTTGACTTTATCATAGAGTACGCTTTGAGGCTTTGCACCACTTTCTTGCACCTTGGTTATAGTGGGGAATCTTAATTGTTTCTAGCTTGAGTTTTTGTTGCATTTCTATAAGTATAATATTCAATTTGAAACTAGACACCTTTTGATTTTCTTAAAATTTAGTTTGGAAAAGAGGTTTTTCAACAGTCCTGTTTACTGTTACTCCCGGTGTTATCTGTTGTATTTTTAGAATGTTTTTATATCTGTTCTCTCGTTGTTCTTTCTACTCTAAGGAAAACAAAGTATCATTATTCTCATTTTATAATTCTCGGTTACTGTTTCAACTCTAAGGAAAACAAAGTGGGTATCATTATCCACATTTTTAATTAGTGGGGAGATTTCCATAGATTATGGCATTTTAGAGAAAGAAGGGGCTTTCAAAGTGGTATTTATTTATTTAATAATGGGGCCAGGTGCGGTGGCTCACACCTGTAATCCCAGCACTTTGAAAGGAAGCTGAGGTGGGCAGATCACTTGAGGTCAGGAGTCAAGACCAGCCTGGTCAACATGGTGAAACCCTGTCTCTACTAAAAATACGAAAATTAGCCAGGTGTGGTGGCGGGTGCCTGTAATTCCAGTTACTTGGGAGGCTGAGGCAGGAGAATCACTTGAACCTGGGAAGGTGGAGGTTGCAGTGAGTCGAGATCGCACCATTGCACTCCAGCCTGGGTGACAGAGCGAGACTCCGTCTCAAAAAAAAAAACCAAAAAAAGATAATTAGTAGTGGATACATACATACACAAACAGCAGAGGAATCGGGCTCCAAGAAATCATATTACCTTCCTGAGGTCACAGTTACTTAGAGCAGGAACTGGCATCCTCATCTTTGGTCCTCCTGTCTTAGTCCTTTATGTTTTCCCCCCACTAGCCCCACTCAGATTCGCAGTTAATTCTATGTAATTAGTTGCTCAGATATTTTCTGCCTGTTGGCAGATAATTTACTGGATTTGGAACCTAGGTACCAAGTGTGTATGATTACTTTAGTAAGGCCTAAAATGACTTTGGATATAAATTGATTACTGAAATTTGGTGTAGAAAATGAACTCTTTCTGGATAACCCTCAAGCAAAAAGAAGTTATTTGCATATTCTCTTAACATCTCTGTAAGGTAGGTATCATTTTTGTTTTTCAGATGATAAATTGAAGGTTCAAGATCACAGACAGCTCATGGTCTCACCCACGTGCTCACAGTTTCTCATAGTTGTTGTGCGTTGAAGAGATGATAGAAGAAATAAAATGGTTCTTATTTCTTTCAGTAATGAAAATGTGTTATTTTAACAGGCAAAGGGCGTTGTGAATACAGCTGTGTCTGCAGCAGTCCAAGCTGTTCGGGGCAGAGGAAGAGGAACTCTAACAAGGGGAGCTTTTGTTGGGGCGACAGCTGCTCCTGGCTACATAGCTCCAGGTATAGTACAAACTGCAAGAGATTGGCCCCCTTTACTGGGCCGAAATTCAAAGAATAGCATCTCCTGCATTTTCTAAGGTTGTACAGGGTTTGTGGAAATATAACACAGGCATGAATGTACACAGAAATTTAAAAGTAGAGAATTGGCAGAATGTCATAGGTGTTCTCCTGGAATCTGCTGAGTGAGGAGAGGCTACCTGGAGGGAGATGACAGATGAGCAAATTGCATTTGGTTGTGGGACTGTATTTTGACAAGGAATTAAAGGATATTCCATAGATTGAGAAGGGTGAGCAGGGTGTTTTCATCGAGGACATAGATGACAGGTTGGGTATAACAGGAGAGAAAAACTGCTAAGAGGTTACTTAATTAGGGTGAAGCCTGGCATTATTAGTGTTTGTTAAACTTAATGTTTGGGAACCATCAAAGGCTAAAGAAATACACAAAGGAAAAAAAATTTATCCAGAGCTTACTATATATACTAGATATTTTCATGTAAATAATTTTACCTATTAAATTGTTTTTAATTTAATTTAATTTAATTTGTTTTTAATCTTCACAGTGTTTCATCAGGTAGAAATTATTTTCCAAGGAAGGAAACTGGTATTTAGGGAGATAAGGCAGCTAGCTCAGGGTGAAGCAACCACTAAACCACAGAGCAAGGATTTGAATGTAGGTGTTTGCATTTCCAAAGTTCATATTCTTTCCATTCCACCACATAGCTTAAAGAAGATTTGGGAGAATGCCCTCTCTCTGCCTTCCCTTCTAATTCTTATGTCATTTTAACAGTAGATTATCCAGCTGTCTTGTTAAAATCAAGTTCTTCACAATATTGAAAGTATAGTACTTTAAACTGGACAAGTAAACCACTTGTAGATACTGATCAAGATAAAATTGTCATGAAGATTGGGTCTTATCCAGTCATTGTTTTTTAGGTAACATCCCTAAGGGTTCACTTTGTGCTTTCCTCTAAGAAAGAATAAGACTAGGCCATTTGGGAAATTTTATGATGTGGCTTTGGAATGATTCTTCTAGAAGATAATCCTAGTAGGTAAATTGCTCAAGGAGTGTGCCTGCTTTGGCACACAGCAGACATGGATTTTGTTCTCATGCAGCTTACAGTCTGAAGGGTGAGACGTAGATTAATCAAGTAATAACAACGAGAAACTGAGATGAGTATGATGAAAAAGAAGGACATGCTGCTGTGAGAGCATGTAACAGAGAAACCTGGTCTAGTTTAGTGGGTCCCTGGAGGCTTCCCAGAAGAAGGGACATTTGAATTGGGCTTTGAAGAATGAATAGGAGTTAACTCAAAGAAGACTGGGATGGGAGAGTGTTGCATACAGAAGGAACAGCATGTGCAGAGACCTTGTGTTGCTGTTGGGGAATTTGGCTCAATTGAAGAAGCAGAAGTCCAGAATGTGTGGAATGTGGTGAGCACTGAGTGGCAGAAGTGGAGAGACTGGGGAATGATGTGAATTAAAGCTGGATGACTCAGTCCCAGACCTGGAGGCCGTTGTTTGGATTTTGGTCTTAGAACCCTAAGCACAGTGTTAAGTCTTGATGGGTTCTTAGGAGAATAGTGACAAGATCAGACTTTATTTGTGAAGGTTAGTCTTTCTATAGTGTGAAGAACAGGAGGTAGGGATAGGTGTGAGCATTGACAAGATCAGTTAGAAGGCATATAGTTTACAGTAATGTATTGTACATTTCAAACTGGCTAGAAGAGTTCAAATGGTTCTAGCATAAAGAAAGGACAAATATTTAAGATGATGGGTATCCTAAGTTCACTGATTTGATCTTTATAAATTACATGGGTATATTAAATTATCACACGAACCCCGGAACTATGTACATCTATTATGCCTCAGTTAAAAAAGGGCTACTGAAGACTACTAACCCAGGCAAGAGACATTGATAGTATTGCTACTGGAGGCAGGGAAGAAGAAAGGGGGAGACCAGAAGAGAACAGATGGGAGGAATATAAAGGAAGCAAAATTGGTGTATTGAATATATAGAAAGAAGAGTGATGTTTCAAGGATATCTCAGCTCCTAGGGTTTTTAGCTGGAGCATTGGGGGAAAAGGAAAAGGTTATGAATTTCTTATGGTGTGACATAGTTTATGAGTCTAAAATTAAGACAGTCTTCTGTGTGTCTCACTATTTCTACTGATATTTAATAATTTTAGCCTTATTCAGTGTATTATTGAAAGGGCAAAGCTTTCATTCACAATAATAGGCGGGTTATAGAGATGAACTATCTTTCTTGTCTTTGATGATGTGTTCTATTGGGGCTTAATCTGGTCACGTCTCTTGTTGCCGCGGACCATTTACCACCTGCTAGAGTGGTAAATGGCTATGGTCCAGTGGCAGTAATCATGAAAGGAACCGTTTATGGCCACTCGTTGCCAGGCTTTACTCTATAGTGACTCCTCTCTTGTGTCATTGCATTGACCTCCCTGAAAGGCCTGTGTCCCGAAGCTTTTAAAAATGAAGTTATTTTATGGCCGAGACAAGATTCAGATTAGGTCCCTTTAGATTATGAATAGGTTATATACCATTTGCACAGTATATTCTGTGCAGCAGGGACTGTTGTCAGTATATTTACATGTATTATTTAATTAAATTCCCCTGGCAACTCAGTTACTGTACATAGAACACTGAAGCTCAGAGAGGTTAAATAACAGGTGCCATTCACAGATACCTTGCTAGGAAAAGGTGAAGTTAGAATCAGGACTCCAGTGTCCTGATGAATGACCTAGTTAGTACTTGTGGTCTCATTTCTTCTTAAGGAGGTTTTGGTATAATCCTTAGAACTGCAGCCTTAGCCAAACAGCTTCTGTTTTCTGGAATAAATTTGATAGCTAACCTTTTTTAAGCATTAATTTCTTTTTTGGCCTCTGATCTGTCTCCTCTTCCTACTGCTTATTTCAGCTACATGTGTCCTCTTGAATATGATTTAGTGAGCACTCAGACTGAGTTATATGACTTAACTATAGACTAAAAAGTAAAAATTGTTCATCCCTCAGAACTGTTTCAGTTGGTCCCTAAAAGCAGTTTACTTCTTCAGCATACATTTGAATGCGTTGTCTCAAACAGGAGATTTAGAACTTGGCATTCAGAGAAGACCTAGCCTCTGCCCCAGTGACTGCCTGGGGTAGGACCAGATAATTGAATAAACACAATGCAATATGATGCAAGTATAACATGGGTTGGGCAAAAGAGAGAACAGCAAGTCTGGGAGACTTTGTAGGGGAGGTGATAATTGATCCTGTTCTCAAGGGTGAGTTGCAGTTGGTCATCCAGAGAAGGAGGGAGTGAAATCATTCTGAATAGCAGAAGTGGTTACAAAAAAAGGAGTGGTAATGTGAAAAAGCTCCATTTGTTTTGGGTACTGTGTAAAAGTGCCATGGTGATTTTGTGCCCTTGTTCTACTTTAGAAATTTTTTTCATTTATAAATGAATAAGTTGTTGTTATTATTATTATTATTGAGACATGATCTCTCTCTGTTGCCCAGCCTGGAGTGCAGTGGTGTGATCATGGCTCACTGCAGCCTCGACCTCCTGGGCTCAAGTGATCCTCCCACCTCAGCCTCCTGAGGAGCTGGGACTACAGGCATGCACCACCATACCCAGCTAATTTTTTGTTTTTCTGTAGAGATGGAGTCTCACTATATTGCCCAGGCTGGTCTCTAACTCCTGGGTTCAAGCAGTCCTCCTGCCACAGCCTCCAAAATTGCTGGGATTACAGGCATGAGCCACCACACCTGGCCCCAAGTAATTTTTATCTACATATTACCTATATCTAAGCTGTTTTACTAAAAGAGTAAAAAGATTGCAGCTTCTGTTAATATAGGTAATATTTCTAATCCCTACTAATATGGTATAAAAACTTCTTTGTACTTGCTTTTACTTAATAATGTGAGCCTTTTTCATAGGTACCAGAGGCTGATGTCAAATTCACCAGCATTTACAGAGAGACCCTGTACTTGGGCCAGAAATTGAAATATCAGCAAGTCATAGACCTTGCCCTTGGGCTCACGACCTGACTCATGTGCCTGTTTTAATGGCCATTGAGACCTCAGCCTGCTCTCTCACTACTTTCTGAAGATACTTGGAAAGTTCTGTTTGCTAACTTTGAGAGATTGGTAGTTTGAGTGGTTTTAAGTATTCTTTTGTTCAACAAATTATATTTAGAGAGTGGCTACTATATATATCATACATTCTGCTAGGTTCAGATGATGCGACGACGGATAAGTTTGACCAGGTCTATGCTACTCTAGTGGGGAACCCAGACAAGGAACTGATAGTTAATAGAGTGTGGGGTCAGTGAGTGCAGTGAGAAAGAGATGTAGGACAGTCTGGCACATCTAGGAGAGCCTTGTAGGCCATGGTGAGGAGCTCCCACATCTTAAGCAGGCACACAGAGAGTGGCTAGACTGGGACCATTCTGGCAGTGGTTCTCATTCATCCAACATCTGGAAGAAGTCCTCCGGGCCCAGGGTGCTGAGCAGGTGGTGCTTGTGAATTGGGCCAGTGATGATTGCCCTGGGTCTTGGACTGATCTGCCTTCTTCTTCTTTGCACTAGGCTATGGAACACCATATGGTTACAGCACAGCTGCCCCTGCCTATGGTACGTACACCATCTTACTGATATCTCCTCTTAGCGACTGTCACAGCAATCCAAAGCACAGTTTCTATCTAGGGTTTTTGTAAATTAATTGGAGGATCTCAGATTTATTCATTCTAGTGACCCAACTTAAATTCCTTTTGAAAATGCCACAACCTTGTGGTTCTTGGTTTGGTTGGAGTTGCTCTTCTCTCCGCTTTGCCTGATTGAAGGACTGCTTGTTCTAATTGCCTGTTTCTGACCATATTGAAATTAAATATTTTAAGTAGTTCTTCTTACAGCCAACTGATACTCCATTCAAAGGCTACTGAAGGGCCATACTCAGTTGCTAGCTTGGCTGCCTACCAGTTTTAAAGCCACACTTAAGTTTCTGGTTTGGAACCGTGTGAGTTGTGGGTAACTTAAGTCAAGAATAGGAACTGCTCACTTCAAATTTGTAGCCTTCATTCTTTTCCATAACTTTGCTTTGGGGTTGAAGTAAATGGGTATCATTGGCCCTAGAGAGGAAGTGATAGTGGGTTTCACCAGCAGTCTTACTTAAGTGCTCGCTGCAGGAAGTCTGTAGTACATGCTAGAATATCATAGGTGTTTCTCTTCTCCCCTCTAAAATAAAAAATAAAAGCAAATGCATAAATGAACTCCAGTGGCCCTTTGGATAACTTTTGAATGAGGTTTATGTGGCAATGGAGGCAATAGGTTTGGAGTCAGTGATATGCTCTTAGACACTTTTTTCTACTCAGGTGCTACATGTTATAGAATCAGCCATCTGCAGGGTGTTGTCAGAGAAGAGAGCATGAGAGTGTGTGTGTGCAAGAGTGTGTGTGTCAGCATGCCCCAGGCTGGGTGTGCATCCACACAGAAGGGAAAGGCCCTTCCTGTATTGCCAGTTTTGGCATTAGTCCTCTACATGAGCCTCAGACCTTCGCATTGTGCATTTTCTCTTCATGCATCTGCTTTGCCATTTTTGTTTGGATGAAAATTGTGTTCCTAAAACACTGCTGAACTGAACCTTCATCTGATTTCGTAACTGTGGACATAAGTAGAAAGTGAATAGTTTGACCACTTTGCCCATTAAAATAGTTTATATCCTAGAAAGATGTGAAGCTACAAGGGTCACACTTTCGGAGCAAATTTTCTTTTAGGCAAAGTGCAGAGCCTGGAGCTACATCCTTTATATCCTCTGGCACACTCGGGTGTGGTCAAGGCTTCCCCATATTTTGAACTGAGCCGTATGGGTAACTAGGAATTGGAGACTAATGCAATAATAAGCTTACGCAGGTTTCCTTCTAAATTCAAACTCTCTAGTTCCTTTGGGTTTGGGTTTGGCCATTTGCTTTTAACTATTCAGCTGGCTTCTGGGTCTCCTGACCATCTCATCCTCTCTGTGACTTAGGTCTGGTCCATTTATCCAAGTACATTTTGGCTCACTAGACTCACTGTACTATGTCTTGTATAAGTGCCAAAACATCTGCCGCTTGGGGCAGATATTTAAATCTGTGTCTTTCTTTTAGACATACAGTAAGTTTCAGATTCTTCAGTAAAGGTTTGCTAGAGCTCGATTTTTCCTTTGAAAATACTTTAATATCTAGATTCTAAGTTACATTCATGTTTTTCCTTGGTCTTTTTTTCTCTCTTGTTCCTCCCTTTCCTCCTTTAACATTATACTTTCACCCTGTGCCCTCTGAGCCCCCACATCAGAAAGCTCCTCTCTTCCACGTGCCATATAACTGACTTCCAAAGCTGGTGAAATTTGATGCCCCCATTTTTCACATAAAAGATTTGGTTTTTAAATGTTACTGTGATGCAAACCTACTAAAACGATGCTTTATTTTGGCTGTAAGGTAAATATGTCTTTTGGCCTTTGTAAAGCTGTTGCATGTGGGGTAATTTCCCTCTGATCATCTGGTGCTCTTGAATACCTGCTGTTGCTGCTTTGTGATTTCTCCATAGGTTAAATATTAGCATAGGAAGAGGAGCAGATTTCAAATCATGCTCGACTATGCAGAAGTCTGTGAGGCCACAAGAACGTATTAATTACAAATTCAGAAAGTAATTAATCTTTCCAGATTTGCCATGCCAATATTGGCCATAGCCATTAAGAAGTTAAGTAAACGCCTGGCCATGGCTCCAGCTGGAGCTGAGGTCTGCATGGAAAGCTATGCTTTGAACCTTGACAACCCGTTTCTCCTGGAATATGTGATATGCCACATTGAGAACCAATATGGATTTCTACAGTCGATTAGAACATGATTCAATAGCATTGCTTTTGATTTTCAGAATTCATGGTAGCTCACTCAATGAAATTGCTTCCTAGATGTAGCCATCCTGATTTTGAGAGTGGAAAATATTATTTATCAAAATATTAAGAGCAATTTCAAAATAGATCTGTGAGCGATTTATGGGCCTCTTGCAAAATGGTATACATGTTGACTGACTGATCTGGAAAAGGTTAATGATAATTACTGTCAGATATTTTTTTACCTGAAATTTTTATTGGAGTATTAAAACTTATTTGGAGTCCTCTCCGTTTCTTTTCTCTGTAGGTTTACCCAAGAGAATGGTTCTGTTACCCGTTATGAAATTTCCAACATATCCTGTTCCCCACTACTCATTCTTTTAGCAAATGACAGAAGCTAATTCCTATTGAACAACAATACAGTACAACACAGAATGTTAGAGAAAAAGCCTTTTTATCCTGCTTTCTTTGAACACATACTTGATCAAAATTATTTGTAAAGAACATCTTTCCTACTTTTTGATTTTAACAAATGCAAATTTAGTTCTCTAAAACTTGAAAAAAAAAAAAGAAACCAGTTCTGTGAAAACGGTACCTCATTTCTGGAAAATAACTTATACCAGCCCTTCTGTTCTAGGGAAATAAAAGTCTAGCAGTTCAAAGTTTAAGTTTTAAGAGACGTATCAGATTATGTAAAATTAAATTTGTGAAGGATGTATAGAGTCTCAAACACTGATCACAAATAAACTGCTTTGTTGTAACACAGAGTACTGCCTGGTTCCTGATGCAGTCACTGATTCTTAGTTGATTGATATGTATTTGCCCCAGGGCACTTTAATTTGGGCTGTAGTTATTTTTTTTAATACAATAGAGACTTTTCATTTAACTTTAACTTTGTAAATATTGAAGTGTGTAATAAAGCCAATAAAATATGGGTTTGAATATTGTTTTAGCTTATTATTTTTGATATGTTTTGGTATCAAATTACAAGGAATTGAAAACTAATAACTTAGCCCTAGAAGCCCATTCACTTGTAAGCAAAGTGCTAAAACAAAGCAAAGGTGATTGTTAGTTTGAGCCAGTCTACTCACTTTGTAAGCCCTTTGTACTCCTGTTGTACAAGGGCCATCCCCATGATAAAGGTTCCATTCTGTTATTTGAGCATTGCTTATTAAAATGATGGCACTACCCAGAGATGGGGAAGGAGAATGTGATTATCCTAGTTTATGAATTTCCAAGTTTTTAAAAATAATAAATTAATCAATCAATCACCCTCTCTTGTTCTTGTGGCCTTCTTCACTCTGTAAGATATTGTGTTCACTCCCTGGCTTTTTTCATGCAGATAGAAGATTAGTGATTTTGCTGGGATTCATTGAAGGGTCTCCTTTCCTCTTCAATTACATCAGAATCTAAAGCAGCAACAGGGTCCCCATAAAAACTTGCTCTTCGATTGTCCCAGTTCTTGTTGAGTGCTGCTGTGAAAAGTGACAGGTTTCAGCCATGGGTCAGCATTTCTTTTTAAGACACCTGATGATGCTGGTGGAAATGGATCAGTGGGTAACATTGTGCTGTTCTGTAAAGGGTGCAGACCTAAGTCCTCCACTTGCATTCTCACCTTGTTTGGAAAGCCAATGATGTTACTAGGTCAATGGTTTCATTAAGGTACTCACCCCCATGAAGGAGCAGCAGTGTGGTCCCCTGTCAATATTTATAAGGCACCATGTCTTAAAAATGTCTGTTTTTAGTATGAATTAGCTTTCATTTTCCCTATTCAGTTCTGCTTTTGGGAACTTGACAGGGCCCATCCATGAGAATGGGCTTCACAAAATATGGCAAATGTATGTACCAAATTCCTTCGGGACCACTAAATAAAGGTGAAATGGGCAATGTACAACAAATGTTAGTGTCACTTCTCAGATATATATTACACAATGATTAGTTTGTTTCTTCTCCTTGGTCTTTTGTCTTTATTAGTGGTGGGTGATACTTTAATAAAACCTCATCACTTGCTGGAAATAGCTGTAACTTATCATTCTCATCCTGTGCATTAGTGGCTAGACATAAACAAGAGGGCCCATTTCAGCTGGGAGTTTTCATGTTTCATTGATGCGTTTTGCTGACCTATGGATGAAACAGAGCCATCACTGAGAAGAAAAAGCATGGCTGATAGTGTCCAGTTTTTATTAATTAAATCTTTACAGTAGTCCTCATTGTCTTTGGAATACTATTAATTGGCAGCTGCGGCTGTATTGTTATTTGAAATTGGTCATCAAATTTGGATTCCACGTTGGAATCTCTAGATATTTCTCGTTAGAAAATTCTTTTGAAGTAGCTGACTCTGCTTCATAACTCACGCGCTCTGTAATGGTGAAAAGGGAGCTGTGCTGTTTTCCAACATGATGGCAGTCATTTCAAATGGTTTCTACCAAGTCTTTTTTTTTTTTTTTTAATTTTGTTGTTTGTTGGAAGTTACTAACCATGTTGTAAACCTGCCCAGTTGCTGCAAACTTTTACATTTCTCTGCTTTACTTAAAATAATCGAGCTGTCAGTCCTTTGTTAGAAGTGGTAACCATGCAAGTTCAACTGTTTAAATTCTGTAATGAATTAAGTGTCCCCCCACCTGTTGCCCTTCCCACCCTTCCATTTTGTAATGAAAATTCCACTTACAGCTGAAAGAGCAGAGAAATATAAATGAAGCTCTTGGCTTCACCAAATTGCCTGAGATTAACATGAAGTTTTGCTTCTCTGCTCTTTTCTCCACTGTAGGTGGTTTTTTCATTGACAGCCCCTATTGCCAGCCTCTGAGCGTCGCACCATTTATTATTCACTTGGGCCCTCAAGATTTCTTCTCTGACTTCTAGAACCATCAGGTTGTCTGGCTTGAAATGGCAATTTCTATGTCTTGGTCTTAAGAGCAATGTGACACCCTGAGGCTATCCAGCTTTCAGACACTCCACTCTGACACCCTCTTTTTGAAAGCAATGACTGATCATTTTAAAGAAGAGCAATACTTTGTTCAAAGCCACGGTGTCTGTTTTAAAACTTTTCCTTTGGAAACCTAGCAATATCTGTACTTAACCCCTTTTTAGCATAGTTTCTTGTCAGGGAGTTTACAGGTCAGTGTAGAGCTTAAAATTAGCGTGTGAGCTGTGCTATGTTCTGACAGTTTTTTACACTTTTTAGCACATAAATAGTTACATTCCTGACTGCGTCAGTTAGCGTTACTATAATTTCTCAGAGATAGGGGTCCTCCTTGAAGCCATATCCTCTGCACGGGGACTGGCCCCTAGCCAGGGATGTGGCTTGCAGCTTGTGTTTCTTCAGGCTGCAGGAGTACCCCATCTCTTGTGCAAGGTAATTGGTCCAGTAGATTTCCAACATACCTCATGCTGACTAGATGAAGTGCATGGGTGGTGAAGTAAGGAGTTGAGTTTATATAGTTCTGAAGTCGTTTGTAGTCTCTCTCAAATTGTTAGCCTGGGGAACAAACCACTGAGAGATTTTGCTGGTATTGGCCTTTTCTTTTTTTTTTTTTTTTTAATTTTGGGTGAATGTTTGAAAATCATGAATCAGCCACCATTATTAATTGAAGAGCTGGGAATACCTCGTTAATGTATTTTTAAAACTGGTGTTGGACCCTCTGTGTATTTCAGGTTAATACTTTTAAGCAGTTTTCAGCACGTTTATCTCACTTTATTCTCGTTCTCCTCGGACCTTCGTAGCCATATCACTTGTATAAAATAGGCTGAGATATAGTGACTGTAAGCTGTGATCTCAGTATACAAAGGTAAGCTCTTTTATTTTCTGATTAAAGAGAAAAATAGTCAATTAAGACAACATGCATATATGACAATCATATATGATGTATTTGATCTCTTAGGTCATATGTCATCGCATTACCTTTAAAAATTGTATGGTCTAAATGTAAAATAGTTATTTTTCAACATTTGTTTTAATACCCTTGTAACTGCTTTTTACTCAAGACAGACATTTCACTTACACTAAGTGTGTGTGTGTGTGTGTGTGTGTGTAGAAACTTAGGATATAACACGTATGTAAATTACACACACATACCTGTTTAAATGTAAGAATTCAGTGATAGGAACAGTTCATCTAAGAAGATTTTAATGACAGGGCACTCTTTTGGCCAAAGCAGTGGAATTTCCTAAGCAGCAAGGTTGGTAATAGTGCTGGTAGGATCTGTATGTGTAAGCTGTTACACAAGCTGAGGATCAAAGTGCCAATTTCTCAAGGAGAAAAACTTCTCCGAGAAATGAAAGTCTCTGATCTGTGTTGTATGCCCTAATACAACAACAGCAAGAAGCCATAGAAAAAAGCAATAGAAAATGAAAAAAAAAAAAAACAAAAACAAAATATTATGGTAACTATGGAAAAGTATATAATTGACTGAGCTAAGTTAATTATTTGCAGAACCAACTTCAGCAAGACTCGGGTGGTGAATATCGAGTCTGCAGAGACCAAATAGACTTAAAGCAATCCATCTGTCTTTTCCAGGTTAGGTAGCTAGATTATTTATTTCCCACCTTATTCAACCATCATGGAGTTCATGTAAAGATGTGAGGGTTAGGCAGACATTTTAATAAAGATTTGCTTCATTTAGGTGTGTCCCATAAATGCATTTAATTGTGTTAGATGTTGTGTGCTAAGGCTGTATTTGATATATGTAGATTAAAATGAATTTCATGTTTCATATTTGTTTCTAAGTAGCAGTTTCTTTTGATGACTCACTTTAAAGTTGCTGGAACAACTCTTGTTTTTTTCCATGCAGAATCTGTATGTACATTTAATGTGGCTTTGGCATCTATAAAAGGTTGTATGAGGTATAGCTGACTAGTACTGAGTGCGATCCAGTCCTGCTGAAACAGCCCAGTGCCTATTAGGTACCAGGTCCTCTTCTGGGTACAAGTGAACAGAGGCTGTGACCAGTGGAAGCATTTTAATTCTGACAGTCTCCTTGTTGTTGGAATTGGGCCTATTACAAATATCCTACTTTGGGAACCAGATACTTAGTTAACTGTGGCAAAAAGAATATTAGCTCAGTTATTAGTTTAATTATAAACTATTTAATAATGTAGGCCCTCTGACATCACCAAAATAGGCGTCACTTGGAAATTCACTCATTTAAAATATTTCCCTGGCAGTTTTGAGAGCCTGAAACCTACTCTGGTTTATGTTCATGGACCTCTGTCCAATAAGTGAACGTAATGAAATGAATTCATAACAAATACTCCGGTCCTTTCCAAGTAGTTTTTATAGTAGAACAAAGGACAAAGTGGTTAATTTAAACACGGAGCACATTTTTTTTAATGACAGATGAGAAAGTTTCACCCTTATAATCAGTCATTCACCATAATTTCCCTGTTTCCTAGATTTCATTAATAACTGGAGGGAAATCTTCAGCAGTGAGTTAGAGAGGAAAGAACTAAGGAGATCCCCCCTGCTTTCCCCGCCCCTGCCCCCCCCCCCCCACCCCCCCGCCCGCAATTAGATTTCAAGCAATCCAGAGCCCTATACACCAGGGTCATTAAGAGCAGTTAAAGCTGAAAACAACCTGCTCTGTGAATGGTCTTCCCCTAATTCCCATTCATCTGATGCCAGTGCCTCCTGAGAGAGGGTGGGGGCTATCTCTGAATCATCCAGAATGAGAAAGGTTCTGTGTATTCAAACTCATACTCTATACAGTCTGACGCCATGCTGTGCAGTGACCACAGGTTTCTCGGTGTTATTAGGAGTCTTGGAAAGGAGATGGGTGGTAAATGGATAACAACAGCAGAGCCAAGAAACTACTGCTGAGGTGGGTTTCAATATTGATGTGTTTCTCTCTAGCCCTTATTTACAGAGCACAGAGCTAGTACTTATATAAGAATGAGTCCCTTCCTTTCTTAATAGCCTCTTCCCAAAAGACTGTTTTAAGTCAAGAATTCCAGTTGAGTTGGTTGTAAGAATAGATATCCTTTCCCACATTATCATTTTAGGTAGGAACTAACAGATTCCATTGATGCTTTGAAGCAGCGATCTTTGGAGGTTTTTAAAAATAGTACCATAATGCAAATTAGGTTATGTAAGCTTTACAGCACAGCTAGAAATAGAGACTAGAAACCATGCGGGAATCTGGGCCAAAGAATTTCTCTCCTTCCAGCACATTCCCATGGGGCTCAGGAATTAGATGAGTTAATACACATAATATGTTTTGAACAGTACCTGGTGCAGAGTACGTACTCAGTGAATGTTGAGTGTTCTTACCATGGTTGGCCGAGGTGAGGATGAACGTGAGGAGGGCAAGGCTCTGCCAACAGGTGTTGGAGAGGCAGGTGCATGGCCTGCTCAGGGTGGAGCTGTGTCGGTTCCTTGGTGCTGATAGGCGTCAGCTGCTGCCAGGCTTTGGGAGAAGACTCCTGGTATCTAGGGGTTAGACAAGAAACACACCCCAAAGACCTGGTGAGAGCTAGTGTGGTGGCGTTGCTGCAGATCCAAGCTTAAGGAAGTTGCTCATGTGTCTGTTACAGTAGTTAAATTACCAGCCAGTCTGCTGCCAAGGGTTTGTAAATACTTGTTTTTTGGCGGGGGGCGGGGGGTGGGATTTAAGGGTGCTTAGAACTTCATAAGGGCTGATCTTAGAATATCTACCTGCTGAGTCCAAGTGTCCAACCAGTGCATTAATAATTTTTTAAAAAGGTGTTTGGTTACAACTGCCTCCGGAATCTAACCTTCAGGGCTTACCAGTGTTTAGTAGGTAGAAAGCAAGTTCCTTTAAAGCACAGAAAGGAAAGGAGGAAACTGATTGGTGTGCTTAAAAGGCTGTTGACTAGGATGCTTCAGTGAAAAGCACTCCTATAGCTTGTCTCTTCTAGTTTGCTTTGATACTTTTGGGGGGAAAAATCTGCACTCAACACCATATGAGGCCTCCCTTCTGCCTATTAGTCTTAGAGAAAACATATCTGCCCATCTATTCGTCTTTCTTTTTGTCTATCCATTTACTGTCTGGACACAGTTGGAAAGTTGCTTTTTTTCGATAAGAGGAAAATGGGTACATGATGAAATTGATGCTTTTGGATTAAATAGAGGGTGCACGTCTTATCTTCCATTCCTTTGTGTGTCTACAAAGACTTCAGGAGCCTCTGCAGAAAGGTGGTCAGATGCATCCTTGGCTGTTGGTAAGAGGTGAGCTAAGTGGGGAACATAGATTGGAGCCCTCAGATGCTCCAAGTTTATAAAAACTGCGTTACGTAGACAAGGACTGAGTGTTACCTTTAAGGAGGCAAATAAGATTTGGCTTGTAGTCAGGAGGTTTTTCTTAAATCTAAGAAATACTTGTTTAGCTAATGTCCTGCAAAAGTTAGTACATTCCCCCCAGGGGAGGCTGTTTGGTGGAGTCTTTGCCTTGTTCAGCCAGCATTGAGGGAGGACTTTTTTGCCTTGACTGATCAGTTGTCAACATTCTAATTACTTACTCCTTCTGAGGAGGGTCTTGGTCTCTCTTGGCAGAACTTTGCCATTTCTGCAGATGAACTGTGCCACCCTGCTGGTGGGCAGAGTGAAGATAGCCACTGTTTGCCCAGGCAGTTTCAGCACTGGACAAAAGGTGTCTGCATGCAGGTGTCTGCTAAATGCCCCAAGTAATGAGGTGAACAGCAGCCCTCAGTTTAGGTCATTTGGAGCAGCAGTGGACTGAAGGAGTAGGAAGGGAAGGGGAAGGAGAGATGCCAACATTTGTATCTTGTGTGCCAGGCACTTGGACATTCTTCTGAATTCTCCAGCTACCTTTCTGGCAATAGTAGTATCCTTAGTTTACAAAAGAAACTGATGCTCCAGGTTAAGTGCTAGAACCATTAATGGAACCTAGTTCTGTTCTAAAGCCTTTTTCTATTCCATCCTGCTATGGATTAAAAGGCTGCGGCCGACAGGATGGGCTCTGCTGGTAGCTAGGCCCTCTGACTTGAGGTGACT
This sequence comes from Homo sapiens, assembly GCF_000001405.40. Taxonomy (NCBI): domain Eukaryota; kingdom Metazoa; phylum Chordata; class Mammalia; order Primates; family Hominidae; genus Homo; species Homo sapiens. Next base: position 123,118,011 of record NC_000009.12, on the reverse strand, counting down.
CCAGATCAGATAACCTGGCCTAAAATAGGGCTCTTTTCATTTAAATTGGTTGTGAAGAACGATTTAACATACTGGAAGGACAGACTGAAGGGCTGCATTGCATCTGTATCCACAGAGGAAGCATTTTTATCTAAAGCTTGTTTTTCTTTGAATTTCAGTGAAATCTGAGGTATGTGTTTTCACTTAGCTTATATTTTCCGAGTGCATGTTCTCTGCCTGGCCTGAGATAGGTCATGAGGATGTCTTCAACAATTTAAGCCAGACTCTGAAGGCAGGCTGGTGAGGCTTTGGCTCATTGGGTACAAGGAAGAGGAGCACAGAGGGGCAGCAGCCCAGGTCTGAGGTGTAAGTGCAAGGGGGTGTCCCTGGACGAGTACTCAGTAGAGATGGGTGGTGGCAGATTGCAGAGGTCAGTGGTCATTGCCAGGAGTTTCCCTTGGAGTAGGCCTCAGGGCAGACTGCCAGCCTGGAGTTTGCTGTCTTCCCTCCAAGTTGGACCCGTGTATGGTAAGCCCTGCTTGGATGGCTTTGGGGTCTCTAAATTGCTGCCTGTGAACCACCCTGTTGAGCGTGTTGGATTCTTCTGCTGCTGTAACCACTTTACCAGCTCCTGGGCTAATGAATGACAGCTGGGTCTCTGCTCAGGCGTGGGTGGGTGCGGGGATGGCTGCGGGATCCTTTTCAGGACAAAGTATTCCTCATCCACCCCAAGTCATCCTCTTTCTGGGCACTTGGCAATGTTTCTGTGCACCCTGCTGTAATCCTGGAGGGGAGCAGGAAAAAGGAACCTTTGAATCCCAGGCTGTCGTGTTCTAGAGCATGACTGTGTCAGGGAGAATGAGCGCCTGGCATTCATAGAACACAGTCCTCTCTCAGGCCCTTTCCCGTTTGCCATTTCATGACTTGCTGTACTGGTGGCCCTTGGAGAAGCAGCAGTGCATAGATCGTTGTTCCCACCTTGCAGACAGGGAGAGTAGAGCCCAGAGATCTCTCCAAACCACACTGCTTATTTGTGGCAAAGCATTGTGGCCCCTAATGAGTTTTTAACCACCAGAAGAAATAACATTTCTTAAGACTGTTTTTAGAGGTAACAGCAGCCCTTTCTGAGGAATTAGTTTTGAATTTCACCACAACTGGAATTAGAAATTTTCTCCTTTTACAGATGAGGAAATAGATGCTTAGATAAGGTGACTTGCCCCAAATTATAGTGCGGTGAGTGGCGGCGCTCACCCCGTCTGAGGCTATGCTGTGTGCAGGTGGTTTGCGTCGCTAGTAGGCACCAATGTCCGTTCTGTCTTCCAAGCCCACTTGGCAGCAGTGGCTTCTCTCTCTGTGATGTGTTCGGCTCACCTTTCCTGTAGGCTTCTGGGCTATCCCCTGTGCGCCTTGAAACCAAGCAAAAACCAACCCACATCTCCCTGATCCTTCCTTAGCCTCCTAAAATCCAGACTTTCTGGGCTCGTTCTTTTTCTGTTCCTTTGTTAGTGTGCTACTGGGCAAGGTGACCAACTGGTCAGCCCTGGGCCAGGCAGCCTGTTTTTTTGTTTTGTTTTCTTTTTTGCCAGCTACACAGTTGGGGTTAATTTCTACAGACCATCATTTTATACTGTAACTGAACCCTATAATAAAGTGCAAATTCAGTAATTGCTACTTGGAGAGCTCCTCAGGGGTGGGAAGGAGGACAGGGGATGTGCTGTTGGAAGTATGTGTTTTATGTTCCGCCTCATCCACACTTTGGTTTTTGGCCACATCCTCCGTTCCTGGCTCGGCCTTCAAACATGTGCTCTAACCCATGGGATCACCGTCACAGTAACACATTTTCCAGAGCAATCTGGTGTTGGGATCCCCTTGGATTCTTCCATCATGAGACTTCTCGGAAGTCTCAGCTTTCTAAAAATCCCTCATTCCTGCAGAGGCTACGTTAAAGGAATATGGTAGCCATCATCTGGGAGGTAAAAAACCTATGGAAATTGGCACCTGGGGAACTCAGGAAAGCTGAAAGCACCTTGAAATGAGATGGAAGGACCAGAAGGTTAAGGCTGGTGAAGAGGAGACCTGGAGAGAACGTGGGCACTCCTGCCAGGTATTTTTAAGGGATTATATTTATTTGTTGTATGTGGTTCCAAAGGGTGAAAGACAATTATGGGAAGCCAGTGGGGCAATTTGAGCTAAAATACACCTCCCGCGATGACAGACGCAGCCTTGAGAGAGCAGCTGAGGTGCGACATGAGCTCCCTGTAACCAGCATGTTCAAGCAAGAAGCCGGTTGTGTGGACGGCAAAGAGGAAATGCTGTGGAATGTCAGTTTGGACGAACTCTGATGTTGACTGGTGATGCTGCCAAGACCATGTCTCCCTTCTTGGGCACGTAGATTTATTGAGAAAAACCATTCACTGTCACCTACTGCTTCTTACCAGGCTCTGTGATGGGGGAGAAGGAGCAGTTGGAGAAAATGTCAGAATCTGCAGCTTAGACAACTGAGTAGAAGGTGAAATCATTGACCCAGATGGAGAGTACAGGGAGGGGAAGAAAGAGGTGCAGAGGATTTGAACAGAATGAGAGTCCTCCTCTGTGCAGGGAGAAAGGCTTCAGTGGGTCTCCCCCTCCCTGCTAGGGATCCTCCTTGCCAGCCCTGGGCTGGGCGCTGGCAGGCCCGTTCCCAGGTCTCCCGCCGAGGGCAGGAGAGGAGCCAGGCCTCAGGAGAGAAGTGCTTACTGAGTAATTTACCAAGAGCGATAGGCTTCCCACTGAGCCAGACGGGATCCCCAGGAGGGGAGTCAGAGGCGGGCCTGGCATGCATGCACAGAGAGAGTGTGCCCACTTGGGGAGTGTGAAGGGCCTTGCTGTGGGACCCGAGAGGATGAGCAGAGTCAAGTGGCAGGTGGGACACACAGTCTGCAGTCACTTCTTAAAAGGCCCTGGGTGGTGTGTCCTTCAATGATGACCATTGTCCACAATAGTGAGTTCCAGAGGGTCGATTGGGACAGTTGGATAGCCAAGGACCAGAGTCAGGAGGCAAGGCTGATGAGCAAGAGGCTGTTGCCATTGGCCAGGCGAGGCGTGAGGGAGGCTGATGGAGCGCAGCAGCAGAGGGATGGAGAGGCAGGAATGGCATCTCCTCACAGGCCAGGCTCCTCTGCCGGATTGGGTAGGGACGGGAAGATGATGGCCCCCAACCCTGGGCCAAGGAACAATAGCACCCATCCGGGGGCGGGGGACCTGCTGGAGTACTTCTCCTGGACCACTGCTCAGTGGGCAATAGAGGGAACAATGGTGTTTCTGACCAGGACGGGGGAAGGCAGGGGAATGGAGGAAGATACTGACAGGGTACAGAGGAGGTAGAATGGAGCGAGGGCCATCTCCACCGGGCTAGGAAATGGGGCTTTGGTGGGCCACACTCCATTGTGCTGGAGCACTCTGGCATCTCCATTGGCAGTGGGGAGGGGCTTGTGACCTATCAGCATCTTCACCCTTTCTGAGTTTCCGCCGGGCTGGGCTCTCCAGCCAGGAGTCACAGGTACCGGGTGGTTGTTCATGCTGAGGCCTTTTGCTTGGCAAAAAGTTAATCCATTTGTGTTCATTTTTAACCTAAGCAAGGGTTGGAGCTTGTTGGATTCAGCATCTGTGGAACACAGTCTGTAGCCCATGGGAAGACGTGGACATTCTTTCCCAAGTTCTTGAAGGACGGAAAGGACCATGAACTTGTGAGGTGACCGGAGGATTGGTTTTGGGTGTCAGTTTTGTGTCTGTCCCAGTGCTGCCACTTTTGCTTTGAAATGGACGGGGAGAGCTGAAGGCCAGCATGGGTTTCTGCACCTGTTTCCTACAGCTCTGCTGGGGACTGTGGCTCAGGTGGCAGCTGTGGACACGGATCCTGTCAGCCTTTGGGTGGCCAGAGCTCCAAGGCCAGGTGTCTCTTAGCTGCAAGCAGCCTTCACTGTTAATCAACAGGCTACACAAATCTCACCTCTAAAGAGGTGAAATGTGAAAATATATGGGAAGCGCTGCCTTAGCCCTGTGTCCACAAATCCTTTCTGTAAAGGGCCAGATAGCATTTCAGGCTTTATGGACCATGTGGTCTCTGCCACAACTGCTCAGCTCTGCCACTGTAGCACAAAAGCAGCCAGAGACAGTGCGTAAATAGATAGCATGGCTGTGTTCTGATGAAGCTTCACTTACAAATACACAGGGCTGTAGTTTGCCAACCCCTGCAAAGTAGGGAGTATTTTGCCAAACTTGGCTGTATTTCACCAACCCCTTAGACTATAGAGATGACTTACCCTTTGGCTTAATCATGACTGGAAACTTCCTTCCCATCCACTGCCTGGATCCATCCACCTCCCCACAAAGGCTTCCTGAGCATCTCCTCCGTGTGAGCACTGGCTCAATGCACAGGACGATGTAGTTCCTGCCCATATGGAACTTAGGTTTTGAGTGACACGTGGGACATTGGAAGAGGAGAGCAGGTGGCTAAAGAGCATCATACAGAACAGGGCTCAGGGAAGTCCCAGGTGATAGAATCTCAAAGAGAAGGGCTGAGGGTGAATCAGGAAAGCCCTGAAGGCAGGCAGCTCCGGAGTCGGGTTTAGACGAGGAGGCTGCAGTTCTCCAGGAAGGGAAGCAGGACCAGATAACGGATGAGATTGTGTCAAACAATGAGGAGGCCTGCATAGTCACACAGGCGCATGAGGTCTGCTCGTAAAGGACCAGGAGGGCCAGGCTCAGGGGTGTGGACTGGATTCTCTGGGCTGTAGGGAGCCACTGGACAGCTGTGCTCAGGAGGGTCATGTGATCACAAATGCTTATTAGAAATGTCACTGGCTATGGAGGACCATGTCTGTGGTTGTAAGTTACGCCTTTCCGTTTAGTCTGGACTTCCTGGTCAAGGTACTTTTGGTATTAGAGTGGGGAAGAGAGGCCCAGAGAGTTGGACAGGTTTTCTGACCATTGGCTTATAGTCAGTGAGCACCCCACCTTTATTTTGACATGACAGAGCTTTACAGAATCTTCCTTCTTCAGGCGTTTTCTTTCCTGCTATCCTAAAGATTCACGTACGAGGGCAGGATAAATGAAACATTCTGTCTCCAATCTAAGTTCGGCTTGGGGCCTCAGAATATGAAGGTAAAGGGGCGGGGACGGACTGACTGCCCCTTGCTTCAGAATCAAGTCACATGGCGGGAACGCTCTATGGAGCAGATTGCTTCCTTTGTACATGCCCTAGGCCCGTGTTCAGCAGGCCTCAGAGAAGCAGAGGTGCTGGCCTCTCGTCTCCAGAGGCTGCCAGCTACTAAGGGAGGTGGAAGCAACTACCCCTGGGGGTGGACTGCTCTGGGCCGGGCCCGACGTCAGGCGTAGGGGACTGAGGTGAATCAGACGTGGTGGCTGCATTGAGGAATGCTCAGTGTAGTTGGGGTGTTTGTAGCGCTTTCTGCTGAGCATGGTCTTTCCTCTCAGAGGGGTTTCTAGGCACGTTGAAGGGAGCTGCCGTTCAGAGCATCGGAGAGGTGCCAGGGACGTGAGCTGCTGCCAGTCTGACGTGAACAGAAGGTGGGAATAGCTGGCGCTGCCGTGCGTTGATAGGAGCACAGTGTCCGCTGCGAAGGGGCGGCTAGGGCTGGAGAAAGATGGCCTGATAGAAGCGCCTCCACAGGCGCTGATTCAGCGAAGCCCCAGCAGCCCCGCGGGGCAGGCGAGGATCACATGCAGCTCGGAGAAGAGGAGGCACTTGCCCCTCTGCCTGAGCTGGGAGGTGGTGGCCAGCTGCACACAGGGCTGTCCCAGGATGCTGACGAGGCGGGACCAGCCACAGGCCGGCAGCGCTGCACTGTGACTCCCTTTCACGGGGCCCAGCCTTGTCTCTGGCCTTCCGGGACTGAGTCAGGAGGCGAGGGCTACGTTGCTGCCCCAGCACAGTCGGGCCAGGTGTGGGGAAAGGCGGGAGGGAGGTGTGCTGTGCTCTGAGCAGCCTGGCAGGCCCTGGAGAGGCAGGAAGCCACTGCAAACTTCAGAAACTGGGTGCTGCTTCCTCTCGGTGAAGTTGTGTTTTGCTAATCTCTGATAATCAGGTCAGGGATACAGAAGGAAGAGTTGCCCCTGGGTGGCTGCTGTCTTTAGACTTGTCGGGCTCCCTCTGGTACAGAAGTGCCTCTCGGATTTTGCTGCCTGGTCTTCTCTCTTATGGACATGGAGTAGCTCTCAGGCTCTTATGGTACAGCTCTAAGAAGGAACACTTCTTGCATTGTCTAGTGAAGTTTCTGGGTTTATGGAAGGGAAACTGACAAACTGGAGCCGGCACAGATGGACACTGGGTAAAGAGAATGCAGCCTGTCCCTGGCTGCAGTGCCAGGTGTGGCCTTTCCTGTGACAGCAAGTCACGTGCTGTGGCTCCAGCTTCATAGGAAGGCTCTTGTCTGTCAGGCAGTGGAGTTACTTACAGACAAGAGCCTTGCTCAGGCCAGCCCTGCCCCTGCCTACAGGCACAGGTGCTTTGCCATCTGTCCCGTTTTCCTGCTTAGGGAACCAAGATGGTCAGAAAGTTGCTTGACTCTAACCTAAATATTTCTGCCGCTTTTGCGAGTCAGACTCTTTTTCTTTTCCTTGTTCATGGAAATGGATCAAGGAGTAGGAGTTTTAGATAGCTAGGGAGGTGGTGAGAAGTTCCGTCTCCACCTGTAATTTACAAGTCGTGTCTTAGGTTTCCAGCCTCTTTCCTCTGTTCTGGGTATCTCGTGCTCTCCACCCTTTAGGGATTTTGGTGTGGTGGGTCCGTGGCAAGACACTCGATCCAGACACACGCATTTCCGAGGCACTTCCATGTCACTTACCAAGCCTCCTTGTGTGTGGATATCACTTCACTGGCTCCCTCAGGCTGCAGCCCTGACCCCCAAGGTAGTGATGGCAGCTGGTGCATGAGGTTTGATTTGGAAGTAGCCAGGCAAGCCCTGGTTGCAAAAAATACCTCTTCTATTCCGACAGCGGGCCAGAGGCCGCTGCCATTAGACGCATCCCTCTACTTACCCCCGATCACTTTTCATGGTCAGGCCGGCCTTGCACAAGCAGGTTCTGTTCACTGCGCACCCCCATTTCTTAGATGGGGTACTGAGCACTGCTTTTCCCTTAGCTCACTTCATGTGGCAGCTTCTCAGGGATGGGACCTACCATGGCTGTGGGAGATGCTTTGCTACTACTTACTACCTTTCCGAGGGAGGAGGGCTCATTTTTAGAAATGTTACTGGGGAGCCAAATTGTAGGCCTCCGACCAGAGGGCCTCGCTCTCTCCATCTCCCAGGAACCAAGGGTAGCTCTGGCTCTCTGAGGAGCTGTCTCCAGCCTCCAGGTGGACGTCCTTTCCAGCATACCAGGGCTTATGGAGGCAAAATGAAAGCTGGTCCACGTGGGAACTCCCTACTGTTGTCCTTTCCTTGGGCAGACACCATATACTTTTTAGCTCCTAGCAGTGTTTATCCCGTTTTCCCCAAAGCATCCTTGGACTCAGGCCTTTCATCCTGGACCCATCTGTCTGGCCTGTTGTGCTGAGCCTTTGGTCTAAGTGGTTGGTTGGTCCCAGCCACTTCTTCAAAAGAAGGTTTCCTGAGGTAACCATAAATTAGGGCAATCGTACTTCCAGGAACAGTGAGGCTGATGGGCCTGTTCCCAAGGGTACTTTGGCAGGGGGTGCTGGGGAAGGGGCTGGCCTAGGGCCAGGTTCATCATACCGTTAGCCCTGCAGCCCCATGCCTGTGTGTCCTGGTTTACCCGCCGTGTAGTGGTCCTGCAGGAGTGGAGCCTGTAGGACTTGCTTCTCAGCGGCTCCAAGCAGAACTCTGTCTGGGAAGGTGGGAGGTGCAGCCAGTCTAGACCTGAAGCCCTCACACTAAGGACTAAGGTAGGCCTGCTCAGCCTTAGCCCTTCGTCAGGCCCAAGGGTGGGGGAGGCAGGAGGAGGCTGAGCGTAGTCGTGGATAGAAACCTTTCCCTACCGCACGGTTACACACATGGCATGGGACTCCTGGCTGTAGCTCACTCGGGTCTACTGAAGACCAAGTTGGTTTTTAGAAATCTATTTAAAATATCTATCATGTATCTATTTACTGTGTTTTTCTGAATACGCAAGTGTAAATAGTATAATTTGCAGTGCAAAATCCTTGGCAATAACTTTGTGTATTATGTTTAAAAACACTGGAAACCGTGACCACCATGGACTGCCCTTCCCCTCTGAGGCAATTATTACATGTAGGACTCTGAACTTTAAACCTTCAGCGTGACTGAAGCAGCAGCCTGCACATGTGGATGGTCATCAGTGCCTCGCCCAGAGATACCTGGCCTTCATCCAAAGGGACCCTGCTGCCACAAGTCCTCCAGGCAGCACCCGCACTGTGGCTCCTTCGCACTGAGTATGTTGGACTCTGCCATAGACTGACCCTCTTGTCTGGCTGCTGCAGTTTGTCTGTAATGCCCTGACATGTTGCATTCTCCCCATTTGGATAAATAAAAACAAACAAATGCTTCTGTCACACACAGTAATGGATTGTTCTGTGCAAGACCCACTGATAAAATGAAGGATACAGCTTTGGTGAAAGGTTCAAGTGCAGGCTCCCTTTTCCTGGCCCTTAAGGCTCTAGTTCAGTACATGTTACAGGTTCTTCCCTTCATGCAAAGGGATGGAGGGGCCGAGGATGTTTGAAGGGGGGTGGATGGCTCCTGATAATGGACAGTGATTTGGGTGGGGCCAGGGCCTAATTCATGATCCCGTTATGGTCCTTAAAACCCTGCCTCTCTGTGGTGTGAAGTTTCCTCAACATGAAACATGAACCTGGCACCCTGGCACAGTGAGTGGTAAGTGATGTCATGTTGAGTGAGTGCTGACCTCTTAATCGTCACACCTGTTCGCGGGGTCAGTAATACCCAGACAGACAATACAGATCGGAAACCGAGGCTCAGGGTTAAAGGACCCTGCCCAATGGTGTCGAGCTTCTAGAGGGCGGCAGCAATTGGAACCCAAAGCTAAGGCTCTTCTTCCTGCTGCCTGCTTTTCTGCAAGGCTTCTGCAGTTGAGCTGCCCTAGTAACTGAGAGCTCAAGACCACAATGTAGTCCCAGTCCACTTGGAAGGACGAGGATGAAGAAGGTCCGGTAGCCCAGGGAAGTGTCCTGGTGGGGAATCGGGCCAGGGGCTGCTGCTGCTGCTGCTGCCTCCAGGTAAGTGGAGAGTTGTGTGGGCAATGGCGCCGGCTGTGTTTGCCTCACTTTAGAACTCAGGGCCCCGCCTTCTCCCTATACATCATCAGGCTGGATCTACGACGACGCAAGAATTGACTGAAAGAAAGAAGAGCCGCCCGGGCCAGCTCTCTGCTGTTCCCATCCTCATTCCCAGGTTGGCCTTTCTGAGATTGAGGGACGGCTAGGCTTTCTTGTTCACAATTGCCACAGGCCTCAGCTGCACAGGAGACAGGTTGTTGAGGTGGAACTGGGAGAGGGGGAGGGAGGGAGCATTGTCTTTCTTGCTCTTGGGCCCTGGAAGAGAAGGTGAAGGTGGTGGTATGTGGTAGGAAAACTAACTCCCCGATGGTGTGGTCACAGGCAGACTTTTCACCTTCACTTTCAAATTTGGGAATAACATCACTGAACTCAGGGGTGTTCTGATGACTGGAGGGAGAAGAATACAGGAAAAGAGCCAAGGGCGTCACAGGAGAACCCAGCAGCCCTGACGAGCCAGGCACCAGACCCACTGCACAGATCAGAACTCAGGAAGGTTAAGTGAAATGTACGTCCAAGGGTATGGCCTGGCCTTGAACCCTGAGTTTCTGTGTGTGTTGCTTGCAGTACAATGCTGTGACGGTTTACACCTACCTGCTTCCACACGGTCATCTTTAAGCAGCCACCCTGCTGGTTACTGACAGAAGTACGAGTCAACATCCCAGCCGTCTCTCTGAGCCCATCTCTCTTCACCTATCAATCAATCAATCAAATGTGGAGGGCAGAGAACTCAGCACTCATGTCTGTTGTTCTGGGAGTGCCTCAGTGCCCATTCTGGGCGGCTCCAGTCCTCATATCTGCCTGCTCCAGCGTTCCTGTTCTTTCATCACCCCCCAAATGAATCTTAGAAGAGGATTTAAATCCCAATGTCAGAATCAGGCATGTCTCTGAGCGGTGAAGTGACTCTCCAAGGCCACAAGGGGCCCATGTCACCCATTGCGCTCCCCTCTGCATGGGCTCTGGTTTTCACAACTGATGGGTCAGCTCAAACATGGGAGTTGTGTTCTGGGCTTATTCGGGTAGCCGGTGGCTCTCTTCTTCACCCCCCTCACTACTCAGCCCCTGCCCCTGGGACTTGACTTGGAATTCAGAAGAGGTGCAGACACTTTGGGGCTGATAGCTCCTGCCATTCGGTCTGAGCCGCTGCCTCCCCACTGAGAATTATCAAGGCCCTGGAAATCAGCTTGGTTTGCAGCAGGGCCTGCCAAAGAAGGTCCACTCAGCCTGTGCTGCATGCTTGCCGACCTCGTGAGCAGGAGACAACAGGTGCCCAAGGTTGGAACCACAGTCTGAGTGGCCCAGCACAACTGCTCTTCCTGCCACAGTCCCCTCTGACCACTGGCCTTGCTTGCCCACTTCCCTCACAGCCAGGCTTCTTAAAATCTATACTTGCTTGTCTCTGCCTCCTGCCCTCCCATCATCTCAACTGTAGTGGCCACTGCCCTAACAACCTTCCAGCTCCCAAATCCAATGAAGCTTTTCCAGTCCTGCCCTCATCCCCACCCCAAGGTAGCTCTTGCTCCTCTCTGGCCGTCTATGCTCCATTCTCCATGTCTTCTCTCCTGCTCCTTGAATGGCGGCTCCTAGCCCTTGTTTAAGCTGTACATTATCTAGGCAGTCTCTCCAGGCTCCTAGCTTCAGCTTGCTCGAGCAATGGTTCTCAATCAATCAAGGGTGATTTGGCCCCCTCAGGGAATATTCGGCAATACCTGAAGACGTTTTTGGTTGTGCCACTTGGCGTGGGGTAATGCACTAGCATCCAGTGGATAGAGGCCAGGGATGCTGCTGGGATTACACAGGACAGACCCCCTACAGCACAAAAGTATCAATCAGCCAAATCATCAACAATGAGGTCCAGAAACCCTGCGCTAGAGATGCCAAACCAACAACTGAGCAGCTGTAGATTGCCAGCATCTCCAACCTGCAAGTCCCAGACTATTTCAAATCTATACCCCGACAGCTAAATTTATCATCTTCCTGGTGTGTCGTCACTCTCCCTAAATTTCACTGACTCCGTTCTCCATTCCTTATTCTATCATCTGTCACCTCTGCTCACACCCTTAATTTCTTCTCCTCCCGATTTTTCTTCCTAAAGGATCAGCAGGGAACCACTCAAAGTGCAAGTTAGCTTAACCCATTTATGCCTAGTGTTCCATTATTGGAACGCTAAGCTTGTGGGAGTTATTTATATCCTACTGCTTAAGGTCATCGCCAAGGTCTGATTTTTCACACAAAAAAATTTGTAACCTCTGGCATAAATGGGTTAAAACTCTCCAGTGACTCCTTATCAGCTCCAAACTCCCTGGCATGGCCGCAACCTAATTACCCAGTTTCATCTCTCATCACCCCACCTCAAGCCGACTTTACTACTATTCTTCCCACCTAAATGCCGCTGTCCTCTTGCTGCTCCTCTGCCTAGCTAGCAAGTCCCTTAGTTGTCAGTCACAACTGTCACTACCACTTTGTCCCTCCTGCATTTATACATAACCTTCCCACAGGATCCCATGCACCTGTACACGACTTACCATACGGTGTCACATTATTCTCAGTCTCAGCCTCAACATAACCAGGGGACCTCCCCAAAAGCAGAACCCTCATCCGAGTCGTTTGAGGCCTGTGTGCCAAGACTAAATAGTATATGGACTCCTTTTCTTGGGCCAGTACGCAGCTACAGGGATGAGGATTCTGCTGAGTCCCTGCCCTACTGAACACAGAAGCCATGGGACAGGAAAAGCATGGAGCAGGCTGATCCAGAATGTGGATCCCAGAAACATGTCCTCCAGCCTGCAGCCTGTGAGCATCAAAGGGACCTAGCTGTGCTCTGGAGCCACAGTCCTGGCTTCTGCAAGAGTACCTGCCAGGGGCTGAGCCCTATGCTAGGAACTTTCCTAGTTTCGTTGCAGTGGAGAAAGACAGACAGACAGGGCAGGGGCCCACCTGCTCTCTGTCTAATCTGTATCTCTATCCCTATCTATCTATCTATCTATCTATCTATCTATCTATATCTATCGATCTATCATCTATCTATCCATCTTATCTATCTCATCTATCTATTATTTTATCTATCATCTACTTTATCTATCTAATCTACATTTATCTGTCTGTCTGTCCATCCAGCCATCCATCCAGTCATCCTTCTTGCAGGCATGAAGCTATGGTCTGTTCAGCCTGCATCCATTTAAAGGCTAGGCATAGGTGGGGTCCTAGAGGGCAGGTCAAGCGGGAAGGGGGAACCGTAAGATTAGGGAAGCTTCGTTCTTCTTCCTGCTATGGAGAAGGGGGTTGAGGTGGTGAAGAGGGGCAGCAGAAGGCCTGGGAGCCTCATCTGTATGGTGCAGGGATGTGGAGGACAGGCGATAGGAAGAAAGAGGCTCTGAAAAGATGATGACAACTCCATGTCACTGCTTTTAAAGCTTTTAGCAGACCACAGCCGGCCCCCAGGTGCTCAGCCTGCCTTTCTACTCTTCAGCTGTTTCCCCTGCACATGCACACTTTGGCCCTGGAATTCCCTCTTCCATCTCTGCCTGGTGAGATGCTTTTGCCTTTGAAGGTCTAATTTGACCCTTACCTCCTGTAAGGCTTCCTTAAGCCTCAAAAACACCAAGTGTCCCTCATCCCTGCTACTACAGCATGTTATTTCTCAGAGGGGCAATGTTCATCATAAACAAACACAGAGGCATCAACGTCGTCATCTTGCCCCATGTGGCCTGCCACACCCTACCACTCCATACGTCTCAACAGGTGGGTGAGGGGCTGCCTCGCGCTCACACATGCCTCTCTTACAGCACACACAGTGGTCTTCTCTGACTGCTTCTGTGCGCAGGGGATGAGGGAAGAAGGGGAGGCGACAGGAGTAGGTGATGACAAAACTGGTTTTTACAAAGCAATGCTGTTTGTTTGTACCAAAATATTTAATCAATATGCTGTTAAAATAAAACCAACAAAAGAAACAGTAATACAATTTTACTGGTTTATATTTCAATTCATAAAGTTGACACACTGAAACTACCTTAGCACAATGTCCACACACCTAGCATTAGATAGGCTTACAGCTATTTTGGTAACTGAACAAGAAAGACACAGAAAGCAGCAAAGGGGATGGTTGGTGGGGAGGGGGTTGCCACTTGTTACCTCCCTTATTACAGATAACCTCAGCAAGCGTTAGTACAGCCAATAAGAAAAAGAGCTACAAAACAACCCGAGTGTCTTTATATACAAAACCAGTGCCTCTTGTAAGCAGCCGCCTCAACACTGAACGCAGAAAAGAGGACAAAACCATCTGCGTGTCAGCCTGTCAGCATATCACTATATAAATTAAAAGTCAAAGTTTTTTTTTTTTTTAAAGGTGCTAAAATCCATTCCATAGCTTTGAAGTGAGAACTTACAGCCCATCTGAACAGTGAGGTTTGTACCCAGGCATACTCTGAGGAGGGCCCAAAGGCCCAGCCCATCTGGGAGGGACAGGCCCGGAGGATGGAGACCTCGCAGCATGTGCACCCTGCGCAGACATTTACAGACACGCAACTCAGTCTTTCTCACTTGGACAACCTGTTGTGCAAAAACACTAGGAATCTTGAAGTGAGGGAGCTCTGTCCACAGCTCCCGTAATGGCAGGGAGGAGAGCAGAGCCCAATGAACCTTGAGTGAAATTAAGTGCTCGAATAACCACATAATTAAATTGTGCAGATCAGCAGTCCTAGTCTGGAATTTAAACACTGTCAACGGGGCATATTGGGAAAGATATTTATATATATATATACATACACACACACACACACACACACACACACACACAAACACATTAAGCAAAATAAGATTTGTCCATGTTATAATCCAGTCTCACAGTCAAGTCACCCACCCCAGCCTTTTGAAGTCATTTGGCAGCTAATGCTAAAAAGTAACAGGAACTATGAGAGTTGCATAGAATTGATCAGAAACATGAATAATGCCAAACCCAAAACCTGCACCATACAGTTTAACAGAACCAGGTGGCTTCAGATGCAACTATGAAACCCTCCTATTTAAAACAAAGTGCTTCTCCATGTCTACCTGGGGGACCTTCTGCTGGCATTGAAGCAGAAAAGAATTATTTGAATTTCTGATCCCTTGCCCCACCCCCACTATATATATATATATATATATATATATATATATATATATATATATATATGTATATTAAAAAAAAAAGGTTTAGAAAAAAAATCAACAGACTGAAGGATCCCCTAACTCTGATCATGTAAACTCAGCCTTTAGGCTGGGTGAGGTGTTGACGTACACGGGGAAGAGGCCTGGGAGGTCACACTGAGGAGTGATTTCTAGAGTGTCCAGAGCGTCGGCTGAGCTAGCAGGCCTGTTAGTATCAGTAGTCTTACCCCAGAGGTTGCCTGCTTCACAAGCTCTGGTCCAGTGACCTACCAACATGCGTCTATGGATCTGACTTAGGTACATTCTGGTCCTGGGACAAGTCACAGAATCACACATCTGGCCAAAGAAGGCAACAAAAGGTGTCGTGTTTTCTGAAGGTGTCGGGAGGCGGCAGCTGCTCTCAGCAAGTCTCTTTCCCTTGAACCCCGGTTGCTGTCTTTATGGAGCTCAGTGTTCGGTTAAACCACGTCTTCTTGGCTGCCTGCACCTCATTGAGGGCAAGCCCTAAATGGTGTTCCAAGTCCTGCAAGAGGAACAGTGTGCATGAGGATGCTGGGCTTGGTGTCAATGACACTGGCTCCCCAGAGGAGAACCAAGACAAGAATGCAGTCTATTTACTCTGGAGAGGCCTCGGGGAATTCCCCCAGTCTCCAACTGGCATAGAAATGCCTGAAATGCCTAAAGATTTGGGAGCTTTTAGTTAAGATCTAATTTCTTGCCTGGTCTATTTATTAAAACAGTCTTCTACTTGCTATGTCTCCCTCTTCTGTCCACCTAATGCACACCAGGCAGACAGGTAATGCTCTATTTCTGGTGACATCATTTCATTTTGGCAAAAATCTTTAAACTCCCTAGCATGGCATTTGAAATGCTTCGCAATCTGGATCCACACACTCTCTTCCAGCCTTAGCACCACCTCCATCCCCTACTGCAAGGAAAGAACTCCTGAGGGTCCTTCCTGGGCAGCCACTCTCCTCCTTGTGCTGCTGAACATGCCACTCCCTCTGCCTGGAATTGCCACTGTTCTCTCTCTCCTGTAGCTACAAGCCCTGTGCATTCTTTGATCACAGCACAGCTACTGCTGCCTTGGTGATGCCTTTCCTGATTATTCCGGGTAGTCACACTACCAGGCCTTAGCTTTGCAGTCCCAGACCTATAACAGGGCCTGCCAAAGAGCAGATGCCCAGTGAATGTGTGCCATGAGGGAGAATCAGCCCTAAAGCTTTTATCCTGAACTTGTTCCCTCCATAAACAGTGCTTAGGGTTTAGTGGTGCTGGTGGACCTAGCAATGTGTATTAAGATGACCAAAACAAGCCCTAACTTCTTTATCAGGAAAGGAGGCTCAGATAGGTAGTATATTAACAGTCACAAAGCTAGTTAAGTGGTGGGAACTGGAAGAACAAAAGCTTGCATTTATAAAGCCCCCGACATTCTGCCAAGCCATTTGTGCACACTATCTTACTTAGTCCTCAAACCAACCTATCAGATAGGGACTCTCATCATTTCCATTTGTAGATAAGGAACCTGAGATGTAGGGAGGTTACTAACCCAAGGTCAAACAGTTCAGTGGTAGAGCTGTGTTTCTAAAGCACTGTCTTCTCATCCCATCAAAAGATTCCAAGCTTTTGTGTATTATTCTCAATATGACAGCGGAAATCCTCAAGACAGGCCAAATACTGATGAGACATCCACTGGCCAGTAACAAGTCCTATATTTCTTCTCATGACAACTGTGACCAAAGTTTAAAAGGTGTGGAAAAACCCCAAACCATAAAGATAATTTCTGGGGTCTCTAGTGCACATCAGGAAACCCAGCCCGCAGGCACATGTCTGAGCTCTGCTGCTGTTACCTGTATCTTACACTCGGCCTCCACCAGCTGGAGTTTGGTCTGTGCCAGTTCTAGCTCCATTTCTCTCAGCTGGTTCTTGAGCGTCTCTTTCTCTTCATCCGTGTCCTCATCTAAAACCTCCTTGGTTGAGCTTATGCCTTTTACACGCCCTTCTTTGTTGAAAAATTCCCGGCACCGCTCACAGTCATCCACTTTTTGCTGAAATTGAATGTTAGATGTGAAGAGGCAAAGAAGAGGAACTGGCCCTTTAGGATGGTGTGAGCATCTCCTTTGGGGGACACCAAGAGACGGCTTCTCTGTTGAGCACTACAGTTTCTGAAAACCTGTGCTCTTTGTAAACTGGCAGATAACCTACTGGAAAAGCCACTTGGTATTATACACCAAAAATAATAAAATTATCATTGTCTTGATTCAGTAATCTCACTTCTAGGAACCCAGGCTGAAAAATGAAGCTGTAACTAGATAAAAATTTATGTACAAAAATTTTCACTGTAGAACTGGAGACAGGCAAAAAAGCAGGGGATAAACTATTCAAAAACAATTAAATATTAAATATACTGTGCTATATTTATACAAGGAAGTACACAGCCTCTAAAAGGTTTTTGAGGAACTTTTATAACATTGGAAAATGGATGCATGCTGGTTGAAATAGAACACAAAAATGTACATAAACTATGATTACAAATAAAATGTATTCCACATTTCATCAAAATAAGATGCCATTAACTGTAAGAAATGTCATTTTATGTTCCTCTAAGAAAACATTCTGCCAATTAAACCACAAAAAGCCAATTATAAAACATCCGACTTTCAGAGATGTAAATGTGAAAAGAAATGCTTATCTCAGAATGAATGAAATTTTAGACGTTAAACACTGAACAAAGACTGAAAGAATACACACCACAGTATTAATAAAGATGTTATATGTGGAAAATGGATCATAAGGGCTTTTTTCCCTTATTTACTCTTCTTTTCCAAATTTTCTGCAAGAATATTAAAGTTTTAGAATCAGAAAATAAGTTCTGTTTAAAAACCAGATCTGGTTGGCCAGGCGCAGTGGCTCACAGCTGTAATCCCAGCACTTTGGGAGGCCAAGGCGGGTGGATCACGAGCTCAGGAGTTCGAGACCAGCCTGGCCAAGATGGTGAAACCCTACCTCTACTAAAAATCGAAAAATTAGCTGGCACGGTGGCACAAGCCTGTAATCCCAGCTAGCTGGGAGGCGAGGAAGGAGAATAGCTTGAACCTGGGAGGCGGAGGTTGCAGTGAGCCGAGATGGCGCCACTGCACTCTAGCCTGGATGACAGAGCAAGACTCTGTCTCAAACACACACACACACACACACACACACACACACACACACACACACACACACACACATCTGGTTAAACATTAATTATGACGAAGGCCAGTGTCATCCTGCTCTAGGTAATGTTGCTTTGCGCAAACATAGCCATGAGCACAGAACTTTCCCAAGTTCCTGTCCTCTGAGCTGTAAATATGTTAGTGAGGCACTTTTCAGTAAATTGCTTATCTTAGTAAAATCTGACAAGTTCTGTAATACAGGTAGAACTTAAAGAAAGAAAGCACCATGTTATAAAAACTCCTAAGCTGCCAACAAAACATTAAACAATTAAAGTTCTAAACTGGGCGCAATGGTGCCCACCTGGAGTCCAGCAGCTCAGGCTGAGGGAGGGATTTCGCTTGAGCCCAGGATTTCAAGGCCAGCCTGGGCAACATAGTGAGACCCTGTCTCTAAAAATAAAAAAAAATAAAAATAAACTAAGGTCCTCATTGTAATTGGATGTGTTACAGCAGAAGGCATGAACTCAGAACAACACTGGAAAGTGACAAGCCACAGCACATGATTCTGACCTCTGCACTCCCACCACCTCAAGCAAGACCTATCACTTGCATGACTCCTTCTCCTCAGCATCACACTGCGGACATCGACTGCCTTACAGACATTTGGAAATCATGGGGCACTTGCACTTTGAGATCTAAAGCTAGAGCTTGTTTGATTTCATCTGTACACCCTTCCAGAGAAAACAGGCGTAGTGTTAGTTGTCAACTACTGAGCCAGGACCTGTGACAGGTGCCTTATTGCTTAGATTCTCTCACTTTTGAAATCAACTGCCTCCTCCCAAAACCTGTTTATACAGCCATAAAATGAAGTAGGTGGTATAAAATCTTTTAGGTAAAGAGAAGTCTTACCCGAATTTTCTCAATTTCCACCTTATTGGCTGTCTGCTGCTTCTCCAATCTTTCACTCAACTGAGAACAAATCTAAAGAAACAAATATAAAACAACAATCTCTTGAGCAATTGTAATCATCTGCATAAATTCCATAGTGGAAGCTGGAATATGTAAATTGGAATTAACATAGTAGCAAATAGCCTGCTACCGCTCAGGAGGGGATATGAAGTCGATGGATAAGCAGGGGTTCTTCTAGCTATGCCGCCTCTGCATTCACTGGCCTAGGACTTGCAGAAACCAAGCAGCACCACACTCAATGGCCAATGGTTTCTGAACACCTGCCAGACTCATGAGCCAGCAAGAGATCCTAGTGTAGGAGGGAACAAGACCATTCTGTTATGTTCTTAAAACTCAACCAGTCAGGGAAATAACCGGTTTAAAACTACACGTAAACAAAAGTTCGTAATTCTGAATCTGAAATACATACCAAAACATACTGTGGTTTTAAGTACCTACTATGTGCTGGGCACTGCCAGGCACTCTACAAACATGGTCTTTTTAAATCCTCGTAACAACCTTCCTAGGCAGGGATGATTTTCCTTCTTTTACAACTGAGAATAAGTGAAGCCACTTGTCAGTGCAGGGGCAGAGCCAGGATCTGAAACCAGGGTGCTTGCATTTGGGTTTGGGGGTGGGGGGCGGGTATACATTTTATCCAGACTAGGGGCTCCCAGATTACACAGCCCAATCCCAGGGTACTGGAACCTACCTGCTTATAGTCACCAATGATAGAACTGTTTTTTTTAATCTCAGATTCTGCCTTGTCGAGTTCCCGACGGCACATTTCTTTTAACTGCACACATAAAAAAACAAAAGGGACTATGTTAACAGAAAAATAAAGGAAGTTCTGCCACCAACCGCTTAGTGCTAGGCTTCCCAAAAACTGCTGAACCAAACCCTGGAAGTCCTCTAATTCAGCTACTTTCTTCCTTCAATCTTGGCAGCACTAATCCCCTGTTCCTGATGCAGGAGAGGGAGAGAACAGTTAAAACTTCCAAAAACGTCAGACCCCATTTCAGATTGAGGCTTCTGCTGAAGGTCTTCCCTGCCAGTACAAGCCAACCTGTGGACCTTCACTGACAGACCAGACACAAACCAAAGAGCTCATAAGAGGACTGCGGGTTTTCAGCATCTCATGGTTTCTGTAGAAAGGGCTTTGCAGTCTCTCACCCCAGCCAGTCCTGCCTCCTGGACGACCGTGGTGTGACAGGGGAGGGGACTGCTCCCAGGCGCACAGCACCCAGAGCTCTTCCCATGCCTGCAGGTCTGTGTCTCCAATGACTATGGAGCACTGGCTCAGAACAAGACTTCCCAAGCTTGCTCTATGAGGGAGACAGCAGAGGACAAGTAGGGAAACAGCCAGGCATTATATGATGTGTGCTTTCCTTCTGCAGGAATTCTACCCCCTCTTCTTTGTTATGCTCAGATGCTGATACACAGAAATTCTCCTGCCCCAACAAAGGATGGGCTTCAACCCACTGTCTCCTCCTAGACTTTAATTAGGAACCATTGGACTTTACACAGTAGGGGGAAAAAAAAAGTCTTTGGAAAGAAACTGAAGCCAGATGTCTCTAGGTTTTCTAGTGCCAACAGGAAGCCACCAGCTGAACTCCCAGTTCTCAAGCATTTGCAAGACAGAGGAATGTGGGAGAGTTCCCTTACCTGAGCAGACTCTTCTTCCAGCCGTCTTTTCTCTTCTTCTGCATCAATCAACTTCTGTTTGGTCATCAGCAGCTCCTTATTCAGAGCATCTGCCTTTTCCTCAGCCTGAAACATTTAAGATATGCTGTCACAAAACAAGAATTGGGAACTGCAAAGGATTTCCATTACTTAGCATAATCCCATTTTAAGATGATGGGGAAACTCTGATTCAGAGAGGGGAAATTATATCCCCAGGGTCACAATGAGAATACACTCATGCATAAGTGCCTGTCCCAGTCTCTTGCTCAGAGGTAGTGCAGGGCAGTAGTTAGGAGCTTAGCCTTTGGCATCAGACAGCCTGGACTCATCGCCCATTGTTCACTGACCATGTGCCACTTGGACAAGTCATTGAGAACCTCTCTAAGCTTCCGGCTCTTCATCTGAGGGATAAGGCAAGAAAAGCATTCAGCACAGTGCCTGGAATACAGTAAACACCAATAAAAGGTAGCCATCATTATTATTAATAAACTGGTTTTCTTCCTCCAAGCTGTGTTTCCTCTGCTTCATCCAACCCGTCTGGCATTTTTCTCTTGTTATTACCTGATAAAGGAGGCTGCCCCTTTCCTGGCACTTTTTCTTATCTTTAATGGCCACTCTCCACTCCAGTCTTTTTCTAAAGCATGCAAAAGGTCTAGTGGGCGTATCTGTGAGTTCTAGTGAAAATGATATACTTTTGCCTGACATACGAGTTCCTGGTGCTGGGCACTCCAAAGATAACTGAAGAAGGACTGACTATACCATATTAGAGAAGACTCAAGGACTAAATACAGAGGGTCTCTGCTGGGCTCCTGATATGGATAGGATTTCCCTGAAATTCTGACATCACCTAAAGTAGTGTAACTGGGCCACTGAGTTTTCCACTATACTCTATTTCCTTTCCTGTATCTTCTTTGGAAGAAACAGGTTCCAGAGAGCTGGGTCCTTAAATGGGGAACTGGGCCAGGTGCGGTGGCTCACGCCTGTAATCCCAGCACTTTGGGAGGCCAAGGTGGGCAGATCACAAGGTGAGGAATTTGAGAACAGCCTGGCCAACATAGTGAAACCCTGTTTCTACTAAAAATATACAAAAAATTAGCCGGGCGTGGTGGCAGGCGCCTGTAATCCCAGCTACCTGGGAGGCTAGGGCAGCAAAATAGCTTGAACCCAGGAGGCTGAGGTTGCAGTGAGCCAAGATCGCACCATTGCACTCCAGCCTGGGCAACAGTGCGAGACTCAGTCTCAAAAGAGAGAGAAAAAAAGGTGGAACTGAGAATGGCATGATACGCAGATTCAAAAGGCCATTAATTACTGGCAAACTGCAAATGCACGCAATTAAATTGCGTGACTCTTTTATCATTAGGAAATGTCCCTCTTTGTCCTTGGTAATACCCTTTGTCCTCGGTAATACCCTTTGTCCTGAAATCTACTTTATCTGACATTTCTATAGCCAGTCCAGTTTTCATGGTATTGTGTGGTATGTACATCTTTTTCCATCTGTTTACTTTGGTAAAAGAGTGACTCTTTTATCATTATGAAATGTCCCTCTTTGTCCTTGGTAATACCCTTTGAAGGTGTAACAATCCAAAATGTATGCAGAAATTCAAATTACATGAAACAAATCCCTACACAACTAAAAGGAGAAAAAGAAAAATGCACAGTTAGAGTCACAGAACCTTCTACTGTGCTCTCTCAGGAAGCGACAGAACAAGCAGAGAAAATCAAGTTGTTCTACATAAGACTTGAGCACTATCAACCAATTTGGCCTAATTGACACAGTACACTCCACTCACAACAGAACATACATACTTTCCAAGTGTATGTGGTACATTCACCCAAATAGATTATATGATAAGCCATAAAATAAGTAATGGTATATTCTAAAAGGATTAAAATCAGGCAGGATATAATCTCTGATCACAACAGAAATAAATGAAAAATAACAGAAAAGTTTCTGGGAAAAACAATAGTTGGAAATTAAATTACATACTACTAATAAACTTGTATAAGTGAAAGAATAAATCACAAGAACTGAATGAAAATAAAAGCACAACACATCAGAGTATGTGGAATGCAGCTGAAAATAGTGCTTACATGGAGATTTCTGATTTTTTTTTTTTTTCTTCAAAGACACAGGGTCACATTCTGTTGCCCAGGCTAAAATGCAGTGGTACGATCATAGCTCACCATAACCTTGAACTCCTGCGCTCAAACAATACTCCCATCTCAGCCTCCCAAGCAGCTGGGACTACAGGCATGTGTCACTATGCTCAGCTATTTTTCAAAAATTTTTTGTAGAGACAAATTCTTGCTATATTGCCCAGGCTGGTCTTGAACTCTTGGGCTCAAGCAATCTTCCTGCTTTGGCCTCCAAAGTGCTGGGATTACAGGCATGAGCCATTGTGCCTGGCTGAGATTAATAACTTTAAATGCTTATTTTAGAAAAGAAGAAAGGTCCAGAGTTATTCAAACTTCCTCTTTAAGAAGCCAGAAAAAGAGCAAATGAAACCCAAAGAAAGTAAAAGCAGAAATCAATGAAACAAGACAACAGAGAAAACTCAATAAAAGCAAAAGCTGGCTTTTTTTTTTTTTTTTTTTTTTTTTGGGACAAGGTTTCACTCTGTCACCCAGGCTGGAGTGCAGTGGCATGATCTCGGTTCACTGCAGCCCCTGCCTCCCGGGTTCAAGTGATCCTCTCACCTAAGCCTCCTATGTAGCTGGGAATATAGGCATGTGACACCACAGCCAGCTAATTTTTGCCATGTTGCCCAGGCTAAAGCTGGCTTTTGAAAAGATCAACACAACTGATAAACTTCTAGCTAAGTTGGTTATGGAAAAGTGGGAAAAAGAAATGACGTACATCAGGAATGAAAATGAAACATCTCTACATATCTTATAAATATTAAAAGAATACAAACAACCTTATATCAACATACTTAAGATGAAATGGATATATTACTTGAAAGACACAAATTATAACAACAGACACACGAAAAATTAGAAAATTTGCATAGCTCCATATCTAGAAAAGAAAAAGAATTCACAATTAATTTCCTGCAAAGAAAATTTCAGGTCTGCGTGACTTCACTAGGGAACTAAAGACTTAATCAAAGAACAATCATATACAAAGTCCTCAAGAAAACAAGAGGGAACACTTCTCACTTCATTTTACGAGGCCAGCATTCCCTAATGACAAAACCAGACAAAAACATTAAATAAAACTCCAGACAAATATTCCTTATGAACATATAAATATTTAATAAGAATTAAAATCTTTAATAAAAAATAGAAACCCCAACTGGAGTTTATCCTAGGAATGCAAGGTTGGTTTACATTGAAAAGTGAATTTATTTCACTATATTAACAAAATTAAGGAGAAATACCAAATGATTATCTCAACAGACACAGGAAAAGCATTTGACAAAATTCAACACCCATTCATGACAAAAACTCTCAGCAAACAGGAACAGAGGAGAATTTATTTCCTCAACCTACTCTACGAAAAACCTACAGCTAATGTCCAGAACCAGGCAATGATGTCCACTCTAACCATTCAGCATCATTCTGAAGATGCTAGTCAGTGCAGTGAGACAAGAAAAAGAGAGGCAGATAAATATGAAAGGAAGAAAAACTGTATTCAGAGATGATATGATTGTATATGTGGAAAATCTGAAAAAATATATTTAAAAAGCTGCCAGACTAACAAATGAGTTTTTACAAGGTCACAGGATACAAGGTCACAACACAAAGACCAACTGCATCTCTAGAGACTAGCAATACACAACTGGAAGATGAAATTTAAAAAACAATACCACTTTACAAAAATAGATTAAAACATGCACGTCTTGTAAATTGAACACTAAAAAACATTGCTACTGAGAGAAACTGAAAAAGATCTTAATAAAGGAAAATTTTAACATGTTCTGGATTGAATGCTTCAACTGTTGTTCAGATGTCAGTTCTCCCCAAATTGATCTACAGATTCCATGAACCTCACTCAAAAGCCAGAGGCTTTTATTTCTAGATATTCATAAGCTGATTCTAACACTGATACAGAAATGCAAAGAACAACAAAGTCAGAGAACTCACATGAACTGATTTTAAGATTTATTATAAAGCTACAGTAAGCAAGACAGTGTGGTATTGGCTTAAGGATAGACACAGAAACAGACGGAGCAGACAGAATCAAGAAGTGAACCCGCCAATTTAGGGTCAATTGATTTTTAATAAAGGGGCCAAGCTAACTCAATGGGGCAAGTTCAGCAATCTGCAAAATGTCACAGAACTAATAAGGAGCTGAGGCAGAGTTTACATCCTGCTGGACAGCAGTTGGGCTCACCAGCAAGTTTCCTTCACTCTCATGTCTGTCTCAACACAGAGGAGTGACCCTGCTAGAGGGGACTCGGACATGGTCCTATCAGCTCTGCAGGGACCTTCCATAGCTTCCCCTCATCCTTTTAACACCAGTGTCAGGTCTAGTCATTACTCCCATTTCATACAGAAAGCTTGATTGGGGTCACCGAGGAATTAAGTGGCTGGCATGGAATTTCTCCACAGCTGTTGTGTGAAGAACAGCAAAAGTGACAGGTGATGAATAACAAAAGTGATGTATAATCAACCGAAAATACAAGAGGGCCCTGGAAATTTTAAAGCCTCACACCAGAGCTTTTCTCTGAGATGCAGGAAGGAAAGAGCTCAAAGGAATGACGTTCTTTCAAAAACCTAAGTCCCTAAAGTAAAAAAATAATGAAAGGGCCCCACACTCCTCCCTTCAGTGAGGAAGAATCTAGCTGATTTTCAGTGATGATTCAGAAGAAACTACAGAGAGAAGTCTAACTTGGGAAGGGAAAGTGAGTGTGGGAAAGGTGTGTCTGCAGCATTTTAGATGACTGCAGGATGGGCCCTGGTGTGATGCTCCTGAGCCCTGCCGCCTGCTTAGGAGGGTGAGCTCTGGTGTCAGCCCTTCAATTTGAGGGCTTGGCCACTAGCTGGGTGATCTGTGTGGGATATTTAACCTCTTTTTGCTTCAGTTTCCTCATCAGTAAAATGGGGATCATAATTATATCCCTTCTACAACACGGCCTACTCTGAGGATTTGATAATATATAGAAAGCACTTAGAACAGTGCCTAGCACTTGGTAAGTGCTCAAGAAATGTTAGCTCTTATGTCACAATCCCTGGTCCTCATGTTTTTGATACGGTTATGACATTGATTCATAGCTCCTTGTCCCATATTTACTGTGGAAACAGGCTGGCACTGTAAAAAAAAAGCCTGGGCATTCCAGTTCCATGGGCCTGGCTCTGCTTCTTCCTGGGTACCTTCAACTGAATCTCAAGTTTTATAGCTGTTAAAAAAAACAAATCCTCATCCATAAATGGAACTTACATTACTGTTCTCTCAAGGCTGAGGTAAGGGTAAGAGAGATCAAAGTTTAGTAAAATGCTTATCATAGTGCCTAGCACCACAAATCATCAGTAAATGGGAGCTCATATTATAATTCTTATTATTTTGCACTCCTAATATCAGGAATGAAACCTGGTTCTCTCACTACTGTGTCAGGATAAGATGACTTGAAAAAGGGTTTATACTGTTTAGGGGCAGGTTTTAAGAACATAAGTAGTCTACGACTCACTAGTGGGTGTCACTGTTAATACTGGGCCTGTTAGACTGGAAAATACAACAGCTCAAACTAAAAATCCACCTGGAATTTTAGCCTAAGCTGCCTCTTAATTTCATTGTAGGACACAAAGGCTCCTATTCAAGACCCATATTTTTTTTCTTTTCCTTTTTTTCCTCCTTTCTGCATGACCCATGGCTGTTATGAGGGCTGTGTTAGGCACACACCTCTGGCCCTGCTTCAGTAGTCCCTGCTCCATGTACACCTGCCTCCCTCCACTCACTAGGCAGAAATACCCGAACAGGGAGAGAATGACCCATATAGTGTTTCTACAAAGAGGAACAGAGGATATGCTGGGAATTTGCACCGTAAGGAGGAAACTCAACCCTGATGAGCAGACTGTGGTAAGCCAAAAAGCCATCAAAAGACCTCAGGTTCTGGTCATTGAGGGCTAATGACCTTGAAACATTCTCCCTGCAAAAACTGCAAAGAGGAGCCTTCCCTGTTAAATTCAGTTATTTGTAGATGACAAGCAGACAAGCAGAGGGCGCTAACAATGCCTGTGCCTGATTTTTTTTTAATGATGCTTTCATATACATCTAATTATGTAATTCTCTCTATACCCTGTGACATAGCTATTATTTTACCACCCCTCATTTTACAAGGTGTCCAAGGTGAGCTGAAAGCAGAGTAGCTGGCATTAGAATCCAGGTCCATCCTACATTTTCTGAATGGGTAGATACTGTGGTCTCTGTCTCACCTGTTAACCACTTTGAGAATCTGATGAAACCATAGTCTTTCTACCTAGGAGAACTAAATGAAAGCATAGCCTTTCAAGGAAATGCATGAGTACACAAAATTTTTGTAAGCTTCTGGTGGATGTCAAGGACATCCTGAAATTCATGGACCCTATTTCAGTGCATATAATGTAAGACCCCCGTAAAAATCCTCAACAGCCTGAGCCCATCCCTGGAACTTTAGGAAACCAATGAGTAGAAAGGTAATCCTAGGAGCCTAGCAGGGAAACCTAAAGGGTTGGCAAACTACAGTCCAAGGGCCAAATCCAGCCTGTCACTTGTTTTTGTAAATAAAGCTTTTAACTGGAACATAGCCATGCTCATTCATTTGCATATCATCTATGTCTGCTTTTGCTAAGTAGTAGCAATGTAGACTGTAGGGCCATAAGCCTCAAACACTTATTATCCATCCCTTTACAGAAAATGTTTGCCAACTTCTGACCTAAACCATGATCGAGAGATTATACCATTTCTTCTAAGGTTAGTCTGTAGTACAGAAAATAGAAAAGGGTTTCTGCCAGGAAAGACATCATTCCAAAATTGTTAAGATTAGGAGAAGCAAAGAAAAATGAAACATCTGTCAACAGAAACTCCTGATGAAACTGCAAGTTGCTGAGGTACTGAGCTGCATTCCAACTGGCAATGCTTTTTCAACAGTCACCAAATATGTAGGATAACAAAATCTCTTCCTGTCTGAGGAGGGAGGTTAACGTAATTATAATGATTAAATGCTCCTGCCAATTATAGTAATGTAAGAATTAACCACAAGGTCTCTTAATCAAATGATGTTTGGGAAAGAAGCTCAAGGATTATGTGCACAATGAGAAAAGAATGTGGTAAGGAGGGCTTTGTGAGACAACAGATAATTCCTGAAGGAAAGGAGGGAAGTGACACTGACAAGCAAGTTGTATCACAAGCGGGAAACTTTACAGGTGGCTAGAATAACAATCACTAAAATTCCAGGATTTCTCTTGAGGGGAAAAGTCAAGTGTCTCAGTGAGATCTTTCCCTTCAGACCCGTTGGACTTACGTTATCCAGGTCCTTCCGTAGTGCAATCTTGCTGGTCACCAGCTCATGGGCTAAGTCATCGTTTTCCTGTTCCAACCTCATGTTAGCTTCTTGTAGACGCCTATTCTCCCGCTGAAGGGTAGAAAGAAACCAGTTACAGACACATAAAAATCAGATGGAAATGAAAATTTCTCAGGGCTAAACCTCAAAATAAATTTCTAAGTCCTATGGAAACAATAAGAGAAATGGCTGGACCTGATGTGTTTCCAAATCAACAATTTCTTATTTTCTAGCTCCATAAAGAAATACTTAACTGATTCAAGTGACTTTGTCAAGCACCTACTATTTGTTAACTGTGACGAAAAGCCACTGAACTGTAACAAACCAGGCAGCTGGTTTGAAGCAAAAACAGATCTTGCTTGCTAATTTGCAAACTCAAACCTGAACCTACAGAGGAATTGAATTTTAAAAAGGACTCAATAAAGCTAGTTACAGGCGCAATCATATGAAATGAAAGCATGGGAGCTCCTCACACGTAGGCCATAAGCAAACAAACCTCAAATCGCTCGATGGGGTCTTCTTGCTGGGCCTGCTGTTCCCTCATGGTGTGATATTCTTTCTCGTATTTTTTCAACTTCTTCTGACTAATCTGTAGGATAAATCATAGGGTAAATTAAGAAGTATTAGAAAGTAGTGGGTGCTTCAGTGCCTGCACTGAAGACCAAGACTTCTGGTGGCCTGGGCAATCTCAGTCATTATGGATGTGGTATTTCCTATTTTTTTGGAGGGAAATCATCAGAGTAGGGTATAAGCCCAGGACCCCAAATTCTCAATGCGTTTAGAGTTCTGTTGGAGATGTTTGGGTCCTAAGGCTTTAACTGACAGTATTAGAATGAACACCCTACAGACGGCTCCTCCTACAAGTTCTGGGTCCTATTTGTCCCTAATAATAATGCCACCATTTTATTTAGCATATACCAGTGCTGCTGCTAAATCCTTTAAATCTGTGACCTCACAGCACCTCTACGAGGTGTGCTATTCTCATCCTCATCTTATAGGCAAGTTAACTGAGGTATAAGGAGGTTGGTTATGTAACTTGACCAAAGTCACACAATAAGGGACTGGGAGATCTGGGATTTGAGCCCTGGCAGTTGGACTCCATCCAAAGTCCTCACTATCCTAGCACCTCTCTATCCCCTCCCTTTCCTCTCTCCTACCTTCTTCTGTGCTGCTTTCAAACAGACAGTTATCTCTACCCTTAAAAACACAGCTGTGCTGACTACTCTGCTTAGATGCCCTCTCACCCCATCAGATTATTGTTCTCTTTCTCTCAAGCCTTTTCTTACCCACCATTGCAAACCACAGGCCTATATCTTCACCTCCATTGCTTCAAGACCTGCCCCTCCTTAATGTAAGTCAGGCCTCTGCTCTGACTACTCTATGAAAGAACCCTCTTGAAGGTCACCAGTGGTGTCTTTTTCCTCTGTCCAGTGGTCTTACATCTCCCCAACTAAACTTCAAAACTCCCTGACTTTCATGCTTTAACATGACCAATCTTCTCTGCTTTCTTCTAGAAAATCTTTTCTCCCTTTATTCTCTTGGCTTTCCTTCTAGGTAACAGGCTTTCCCCCTCTTTACTGGTTGGCTCTGTCTCCTTCTTCAAGCTAAACTATAACCAAGGGCAACATACCTTCAAGATGCAACTGGCTTTTTTTTCCTCTTTGAGACAGGATCTCTATCACCCAAGCTGGAGTGCAGTAGTGTGATCTCAGCTCACTGCAGCCTTGACATCCTGTGGCAAGTTGATCCTCCCGCCCCAGCCTCCCAAGGAGCTGGGACTACAGGCACACGACACCACACCTGGCTGATTTTTATTTTTTGTAGGGATGGAGTTTTGCTATGTTGCCCAGGCTGGGTGACTATCTTTCCTTCCTCTGAACAGCTAGCCATTCCCTATGGCATTGGCATTGTTTTAAATTACATGTTCAAAAGTTATGAGATATAATAGAAAAGTGATTAAAAAAAAAACAGATGTGTGCAATTTAAGGACTGATTATGGCTGGGTGCAGTGGCTCACACCTGTAATCTCAGCACTTTGGGAGGCCAAGGCAGAAGGATCACTTGAGGCCAGGAGTTTGAAACCAGCCTGGGCAACACAGCAAGACTCTCTCTACAAAAAAATATAAAAATTGGCCAGGTATGGTGGCATGTGCCTGTAGTCCCAGCTACTCTGGAGGCTGAGGTGGGAGGATCCCTTGAGCCAAGGAGGTTGAGAATGGAGTGAGCCAAGCCAAGACTGCACCACTGTGTCCCAATCTGGGTGACAAGAGAGAGACCCCATCTAAATAATTAAAAAAAAAAAAAGAATATGAAACTAATGGTAATCCCTTCCTGAAACTTCAGTAATCAGCACTAAAGTGCTGACGTGGAAATCTGCCTGTTAGTCCCCAGGTCCAGGTAACTAGGACTCTCAGATCTACTCCACTCTAACTTTCTTATTTTACAGATGAAGAAATAAGACCTAGAAAGGGAACAGGATAGGCCCACATTTGCTGCGTGTTGGTGTCAGTGTCTCCAGACGCTCTCAGTGGGAGAGTGTGTTCCTCTCCCATTGACTGTGGACACCTCCCCTAGTCAGGCTGTTTGCAGGTCTGCCTCAATCAGAGCTCTATTCCTGGAGTCTGGCTGCTGCCCAAGGTTAGACAGCCAGGAAGACAGCATTCTGCTCCAGCTGACCTCTACAGAAAGATGCTCACTCAACACCTGGGGTGAGGCCACAAACTGGAGCAGGACATCTTTAAGCTGAGATCTTCTGCAGTTTAGGCCCAATGCTAGGGTAAACTTTTATTGTGTACCTAAGTGACTCACAAAGAAAGCACCTAAGTAAAATGTCTATGCAATCAGTAAGTGTATAGACAATCCTAACAGATCAATAGTAGTGGAACAGAAAATAAATGCGGCTGCGAACAGCAAACACTTCATCCCAGTGCTTTTGCATTCTGAATAAATGAGAGGAAGGGCAGTGGTTATGAGGCTCCCATGGCACTTTATTAAAAAAAAACAAATTGACACCAAATCCTGTAAAACATTTTCACAAATCTTCAAGTTTCTTCAACTTTTCATTCTTTTGCTGGGGTAAGGAAGAATTAACATTTTTCCCCATAGATATATGTTGTAATAGGCTAATTACAAAACAATGTCTTCTATATTTCATTAACCCTTATTATAGCTGCCTCACCCTCATAGTAATAGGGTTGATTCTCCCTCAGTATCATATATAACAAGAGTTGGTGTGTGATAAGTACCTGGTAAATAATAGAACTTTTACACGGACCAACATCTCATTTGCTTCTTACATTCTCATGATAGGATATGGGTGTTTCTTTTCATTTTTCCCATGTCTTCCAAGTATTCTGCATTGAGTATGAATTATTTTTATAATTAGGAAAAACAGAATGCTGTTTAAGTATCATTTTCATAATTATACAGGGTTTCTCTAAGAGCTCTGCTTGTTTCTCTAGCTGATGGTCTTCATTTACTTCCGAATCAGTCCTCAGGGGTCACCTCTCAGGAACGGGTGTACACAAAGCTCTGCTGTCTTCACAGACTTTGCTGGTCCAGAGTCCTGACTTCTTCACCAGCTCAGTCTTTTCCCAGTCTTCACCCTCACCTCTTCTCAGTCTCTCTCTTTCTCCCTCCCACCCTCCCTTTCTCCCTTAAACACTCACCACAAACACAAAATCAATAAAAACACCATAGCTTCTCATGGGTTCACGGCTGATGCTGACTTTTGCAGCATGGGTGGCTGCATACCAAACCCAACTAGTTTAGGCTGCCTCTGAGGCACCAATTCCAAGATAAAGGCTGATGCCTGAAACCCGAATGGGGAACCAGAAGGTGCCAGCAGCAGCAGGGGCATTTTAAGCCTCCTTTTGAGGCCATATCTGGGAGAGGCCAGCACCTCCCAGCCTGCCTATGACATTATGAATGTCTTCTCCAGGCCAGAACTGTCTCTCACTCATTGTTGTCCCCTGTTCATGTATAGCGAGTACCCAGAAATGCTTGCTGAATTACTGAGAAAGGACTCTCTTTTCCTTGCATTGACTTTTCTTCTGAATGGAAATGGCAACCAAAGTGGACATGCAATGCAAGCATGCTCCTTCTGCCTGGACAACCTCATACCTGGCTCACTCCTATTCACCTCTGGGATTGCAGTTCCAACACCCCTTCTTTAGCAAACCCTTCCCTCATACTCTCGTCCTGTCAGGCCAGTTCTTTCAGTTATGTAACTATTCTCATAGCATCAAGTCAATTCATCCATGGCACCAATCCAAGCTCACGATTACTTAGGTTTCTACTTAATTGTCTGTCTTCCCACCAGGAGACAGGCCATATCTGTTATGCTTACTATTGTATCTCCAGTGCTCAATGCTTGGAAAGTAGTTGGGACTCATAAAAATAGGATGTTAAACAAATCAAAGCCAAAGGCTTCCTTTTTACCTTAATAAAGATGCAGCAGGGACATTTATTTAACCAATAGTTAAGCACTACTATGTGCAGTGGCATTAGCAATACAAAGATATATATAGGTGCCAACGTACAAACTCCATGAGGGCAGGAAGTCCTATTCATTGTGAAATTCCTAACGCGTTTCACACAATAAGAATGAAAACACTTAATGAACAGAGACTTAGAAGTCCAAGACTCATTTTTTTCTCTTACTTTTAACTTTTAATTGAATTCGGGAAGCAAGGGAAGCTATGGATTTAGACTCAGAGCTCTGAATCATACCCGCTGTTCACTGATTCCTATCAGAAGGCTTTGGAAATCACAGCTTCAAACAGAGGTATTTTTGCCCTCAAAGAAAATTAAATTTGAAATTCAATCCTTGTTCTGTTTAAATATACTTTGTTGGGGGAAAAGAAGCCTAACAAATACTTAGCATAAGATTGGGTTTGTTGGTAAAACCAACCTTATACCCCACTGTATTAGCACAGGGGTTCTTAACACCGTTAGAAATAGCACTACTTTGAAAGTCTCCTGAGAGCCATGGTTCCTCTCCAATAAAGAATGCACAGAAGCCAACTTCCCCTCTCCCTTCACAATCAAAACATTCTACATACCATTTCAGAGGGCTCATGGGCCCCCTGAGGCCTGTCCATTGTCCCAGGTTAAGAAACCTTAAATTAGAGAGAAGGAAGACTTGATACATGCCAGTTTGTTATTTTGATAGAAGCACAAATTCAGTCCAAAACATCTCTCCTTTGGTCACTCACTTGTCATTAATCTGTCACAGGAACTAGATAATGTGCTTTCTTAAAATCTATGCCACTTGCCTTGGGGAAGCTGGTCTCTGATCAGCCCCTGGAACAGACAGGGACGGCAAGGGCAACACACATGGAGAAAGAGTGAGAGTGGCTGCTCACCTGGGCAGGCGCGACGTGGTACAACCTGCCCACTAAGAGCTCGGGCTGTGCAGGTGGAACAGACCAAGGCTGGAGTCCTGGCTCTGCCAATGACTTACTGTGTGACCAAGGGCAAGCTGCCTAATCTTAAGCCTCTATTTCCTCATCTGTAAAAATCGTTAACAGTCCTTATGAAGACTACTGTTATGAAGATCAAAAAACATCAAATATATATAAAGTCCTCAGAAAAGTTCCTAGCACACAGTGAAGTATTTTCAATAAATTTTAGCTACTATTTGTCGTTATTACCTGGCATCCCGTCCTGAATCAAGAGACACAGCTACAACTCTGAACATGTGCTGCAAACAAAGAGCCATTTTAAACAAAGTCAATTTAACACAGAAAAGCATGAAACAGGCTACCCTCTGGAAGTGGAGCTGCTTTCAAAGTTTGGCTTAAAAAAGTGTTGCCAAAATCAGAATCTCTGCTGAGCTGGAGTCATAGGGAATCCAGTGAAGTGGGAGGTTGAACATTAGTAGCTCTGCATGGCGAGAGAGAAGCATGTTGTTGGGTGAGTGGGTAGACAGTGGGGGGTAAGAAAGAGTCTGGTACATTAAGGAGATCCTGACTCCAAAGTCTTCATTGCTTCATGTGGTAGGACTATCAGAAAGCTAAATAAAGAAATCTGACACAAGTCTATCTTCCTGTTTAATGCTCAGGACAGGGACTGATTTTTAGTTACTGATAAAAAGAACCTGAGATTTACTCAGGACTTTCAGGATAACAAGATGCCTACATATCTACTATTTTATTTACTTCTCAAAACAACTTATTGAGATGAGTAGAGCAGGGATTATCTCCCTCATTTTACTCTATCATAGATCATATCACAGGTGATACTTATCATATCACAGATGGCTCACATCATACCGTATCATAGATAGGTGACTTGTCCAAAGTTAAGGACCCAGTGTTAAGTGGCAATGCCAGCATAAGAATGCAAGTTTGGGGTGATTCCTGTTTCTTATTTATCTCTGTGGCCTGCTCAGTGCTGAACACATAAGAAAATCTACAAGCGTTTGTTGACTTGAACTGACTTAAGGAAAGTACTCTGGATGCCTGGGCAAAGGTCAAAACAGGGCAGGCCAGAAGAACACTCGTATTTGAGGGATGCAAGCAGCAGCCACTTTAAAGGCATCATCTTATTCTGTCACAACCCTGCGATGTTAACCTACCCTGGGGTCACACAGCAGAGGCGGAGCCAGGATAAAAGCCAAGGTCTGTGGGTCTCGAAGGTCTGCATTCTTCACCAA
This sequence comes from Homo sapiens, assembly GCF_000001405.40. Lineage (NCBI taxonomy): Eukaryota > Metazoa > Chordata > Mammalia > Primates > Hominidae > Homo > Homo sapiens. The sequence goes on along the minus strand of NC_000009.12, from coordinate 123,083,688 downwards.
TGGAAATAAACATTCTATTTAATTTCTGAGCCTTTTTATTTAATTTGTTCAAACAGTTAATACTCAAACTCCTTCAAAGATCACTAAGTACAATTAGGTATTCTGGTTCTACCACCAGAGTGTTTTTCTAAAATGGAAGAAGCAAATTAGTAGCAGAGAACCCAAACAGATAAGGACTAAGGGAGACCAGCTTATTAAAAGAAGGCAGTGCCCACTGCTACCCTTGCAACAACTGGCAAAATTTAGGGTTCATTACAGAGAGAGCATCCATTCAGAAGTTTCCTCATAAAATCTGATTCTAAAAGGTAGGAACAAGCAAAGAAATAAAACTACAGTCTGGTCTAGTTATAAAGAAAGCTGAACTTTGTGTAGTGTATAGAGAATAAGTTTCAACTCTGACACAGAGATTGAGATTACATTACTAACATCACTAAAAAGGGATAACACACAAATGGCTCCTGTCCCATTCATTCAATCCATCATTTACAGTAAAGCAGAATGCCCATAAGAATTGACTTCAGAGTCTGAAACTCTTGGGATCTAATCCCAACTCCATTAGTTACTAACTTTATATCCTTTGAGAGTTTACATCAATTCTCTATGTCTCAGTATGCACATCCCTAAAAGGCCCTCATATGGTCACTGTGAGGATTATTTCACTGTATGAGAGCACTGTGTATGATTCTGCGAATCCATCAACAAACAAGACGGATGAAGTCGCTGCCCTCAGAGAGCTTAAATCTAATACATACTAACTACACAAACAATTTGAACAGAGAATGAAGTTCAAACTAGTGTTGTTTTTAAGCTCTGGAATAAAAATATCCCCCAAGGGAAAATGCTGAAGAGTTTTCTGTTTCTCCAAATAGCAAATGGTTAAGAATTATATTAATTTGGAGACACTGCTATTTGGTTTTTGTACTAGTATCTTTTCTTACAAGTAGTTTGAAGTCTGGCACATCACGTTGTGTTTAAAATGACACGTTCTAATGAAGCAATGGTTCAGCAATTCCATTTCACCTTAAGCAGGATTCTATGGCAAAATGGCCAAGTCCTCAGGTCTGATCTAGGAAACTCACTGGGCCATCTCTTAGAGCATGATTCTTGGGTCTTCTAAACTAGCCTCATATGTCTCACTTGTTCTCAAAAATGCCTATACAGACATGAAGAAAGAGCTTCCCTTGCATATTTCTTGAATCAAAAATCTAAAAGACCTTTCAATATTCCCCTCTAAAGACTATGCAAGGTGCAGTTGTATGAAAGGGCTGTGGGGCTCCCAGGTCCATAAATGATCTTCTAGAATAATCTATTTAGAATGGAATTCCTTTTAGATCCTCTATCAGAAGTGGAACAATTTTTCTATCTCAGGTCACTGACCCATAAAGCGGGAGAAGTTCAATGGATAGCTAAATGAGTTCTAAGGTACACTGTTAAATTTTAGTTTAGGAGCAGGGGATCTAAACTCCTCAAGAAATAAGTAAAACATTTCAGTTCCATAATAAGTTCACTTTAAGGAGAAAGAGGGAGAATAGGAGAAGTAAAAGGCCTGAAAAAGACAAAAGTAGAGAGGCAAGTAAGGACTGAGACAGACAAAGATTTATAAAGAAAAAAAAAAAAATTTCCAAGGGCACCGAGAAGAAGATAGACATTTTTGAGCAACACACCCATCTTGTGGCCATTTCAGATACTGCCACACCAAATTTAATTCTTGAACCTTTGCAATGGTAAGAGACAGTGGAATGCGTTGGAAAGCATTGGGAACATAAGAGTCAGAGGCCTCAGTTCTACTAGGGTGGTCTGTCACTATACAGCTGGTATGACTTGGGTAAGTCACTTGATGTGCCCTATTGTATCTCACAGGGTATTGTGAGGAAGAAATAAGATGCTTTTAAGAACTATATCAATACTACAAATTACAACAATATCATAATATTAAAACACAACAATGGTCGGCGCAGTGGCGCACACCTGTAATCCCAGCACTTTGGGAGGGAGAGGTGGGTTGATCACTTGAGTCCAGGAGTTCGAGACCAGCCTGGGCAACACAAAGAGACCTTGTCTCTACACAAAATAAAAAAAAAAAATTAGCCAGGAAATGGTGGTGCATGCCTGTACTCGCAGCTACTTGAGAGGCTGACATGGGAGGATCGTTTGAGTCTGGGAGGTTGAGGCTGCAGTGAGCCATGACTGTGCCACTACATTCCAGCCAGGGTGACAGAGCAAGACCCTTCTCAAAAGACCAAATATCACAACAATGACAACAAAAGTAGCTATCTTTTTCCTAGACTGGCATGTGAGGCAAAATATTTCCAATTCTCACCTTGATTATCAGGAAGTACAGTTAACCCTTGAACAACACGAGTTAGGGGCACTGACGCCCTGCGCACCTGAAAATCCACGTGTAACTTCTGACTCCCCCAGAATTTACTTACTAATGGCTTACTATTTACCAGAAGCCATAATGAAAACATAAAGTCAATTAATACATATTTTGTACATTATAGGTATTATGTACTGAATTCCTACAATATAACAAGCTAGAGAAAATATTAAGAAAATCGTAAGGAAGAGAAAATATATTTACTATTCACTAAGTGGAAGTGGATCATCATAAAGGTCTTCATCCTGGTTGTCCTCATGATGGGTAGGCTGAGGAGGAGGAGGAAGAGGGGTTGGTCTTTCTGTCTCAAAGGTAGCAGAGGCAGAAGTGGAGGAGGCAGAGGTAGAAGGGGAGACAGGAGGCATAGTTGGTATAACTTTTATTGAAAAAAATCCACGTATAAGTGGACCCATGCGGTTCATACCATGTTGTTCAAAGGTCAACTGTACAACTGAGTAAACCAAGCCACAATTTACAAACATTTAAAAAATAATGGAAAGAGATTTCAGTGAGTTGCAGAGCAAAAGTTACCTTTGTAAATTCCACATGAAAAAGTTCAAAAGCTTGTTTCCAAACAAGCTTTTGGAACCACATATCATGAACCGCCCTTTCGAGGTCTAATGGACTCAAACCACAGATCCTCATGTGTACTCATACCTCACGCAAGCCACAGAATGCAGGGCTCAGGATGCACTTGCCAATGACTTCCTAATTTTGAACTGGCAAGTTACCACTGAATTATCACTTTGCCCATAACAGGTTCAACTATTGTGTGTATCTCTCTTAAAATTTTTTGGTATTAAGTATAGCTGCCAGAAGACAACAAATCATCACTAACTAAACTGTACATACCATAGCTCACCTTCTGGCAGAAAAATCCCATTCTCTTATGTTCTGGTGAATCTGTACTCTTTTCAGGCTATGAGCCGATTTCAAGAAAAACTACTATCTCACCTGAAATCATGTGCAAATAGGGGGAAACATCCAAAGTGTACCCCAAACATGCAAAGTTCTCCAGGTCTAGAAGGAATTATATATCTAAGCACAAAATATATGTGCTGTGCAGACACACTGAAGGCAGCCTTGTCAGACTTAACTCATTGAAGGCATAGGCAAGAAAAAAAAAGACATTAGATACCTCCTATCTGGACTTTCCCCACCTTTCCATATATGGAAATAAAGGATCCATATATTATTAAAGTGTTTCAAGCTAATGGGAATCCAAAAGGTAAAACTTCTGGCTGGAAACTATTAAGCTTTGCCCAAATCCATGTTAACTCTTCTTTGTAAAACACATGGTAGACACTCAACAGTGTATTTATTCATTCACTTATTCAATCGATATTTATAAGCGAGATCCTGTTCCTGGTACTGTGGATTCAGCAGTAAGCCAAAGAGATTGTCTCTTCTGCTGCACAGCCTCCATTCCAGTAGGGAAAAATAAGATAGGATAAGGACGTAATGGCATAAAGGTTGGGGGAGCTGCTACTTTAGATACTGCAATTTGAGAAGCTGTGGATATATGAGCCGAAGACTGGATGAGGGGACAGTGAAGCCATGCAGACATTCAGGAGAACATTACAAGCAGAGAGACTGACCAGTGCAAAGGTCTGAGAACAGCAAGGAGGCCAGCGTGTCTGAATTGGAAGGAGAAGGGGGAAACGTAGTAGGAGAAAGAATCAGAGTTTAAGGAAAAACTCTAAAATCCAATGAATCTTTATGTATAAAACCGTTCACATCACAACAACAAAAATTTAAACAAGAGTGGCGGGCCGGGTGTGGTGGCTCACACCTGTAATCCCAGCACTCTGGGAGGCTGAGGGGGGTGGACCACTTGAGGTCAGGAAGTTGAGACCAGCCTGGCCAACATGGCGAAACGCTGTCTCTACCAAAAATACAAAAAAGTGGCTGGGCATGGTGGTGCACCTGTAATCTCAGTTACTTGGGAGGTTGAAACAGGAGAATTACTTGAACCCGGGAGGCGGAGGTTGCAGTGAGCTGAGATTGCGCCACTGCACTCCGGCCTGGGTGACAAAGCGAGACCCTGTCTCAAAAAAAAAAAAAAAAAACAAAACAAAACAAAAAAACAAAAAAACAAACAACAACAACAAAAGCAAACAAATTTAAAAAAGAAACAAACAAGGGGGCACAGTTAAATAAACTGTAGCACAGTGAGGCAAATTCAAGCAGAGGAATTATATAACCATTTACAACTGATTATTTACACACAATATCTCAGTGAGGAAAATCCGTATAATTGCATGAAACAGGAAGAAAAATGATACTGACTGTATGAACTCAATTATTTAAGAATGCATAAAAAACATTTGGAAAGAAAAGGAGCAAAATTGAATGCAGGATGCCTCTGGATGGTGGAAACGTGAGTTTTCAGCAAAGGAGACATGCGATAGAGAAGAGCCAGGGAGGGAGCCACTGTGGAAACAGGAAAGGATGATGATGGTTAGATTAGGATGTTAATAATGAAGGTGGCGGTGATCAGAGTCAGGATATATTCTGACGACGAGCATAGATGTGGAGTGTGAGAAAGAGAGGAGTCAAGAGGACAGCAAGGTTTTTGGCCTGAGCAACCAGGTACCCCTAATTGAGATGGGGACACTGAGAAAGGGGATTTTGGAGGCAAAGAAATCATGAACAAAAAAGAGGCAGCATCCTCTTGTGTGCTGAACCAGGCTGAGGTGGGAAGAGTGACTCAAAGAATCTCAGAACTCACTTGGTTCTATCTATGCTTTGTGCAAACCTATTTTCTTTGAAAATATTACTGTAAAATGTTTGTTATCTACTTAACGATCAGGGAGGAAATAATTATAGTCGTAGCCATCATTTCTTGGACCCTTACTAACTACCAGGCACTATGTTAAACACTGTACATACGATATCGTCGCTAATCCCCACATATAAAAGCACTTAACCATAGTACCAAGCACATGGTAAACTATCATTAACTGTTAGCCGTAATACCTATGAAGTATGTAACATTTTAAATAGAATGTAAACTCTGATGATTATTTTAATTACCAGAAGTTCTATTTCCTTTTTTTTTTCTAATCCACTATTCATTTTATATTATGATTTCTACTGTTTCTCAGGCTAATAGGTAGTTTTTGTATTCCTCCTTTAACAGATAGGGGAGCCATTCAGAGGTCTTAACTTTATGCAAAGGCCTCACTTTTTCAGCTGCCTCCTAAAGGCCCAAAATCATATCCACTATGTCTGTGTGAGCATTAAACCCCTAATAGCTACACATAGTTCCATACTCCCCTGAGATGTGTTATATCAGTTTACACACACTAGTTGAGCTACTTTGTTTTAAATACCTGTGCATTTCTATTTCAAGTTCTTCCAGGCATTTAAACATTTCTTGGGGTATATTTTATTTAGCCTCTCTATGTGTTAAAAGAAGGGTAATCTGAGTTAGCTCAGTCTGACACATAACCAGAATGAGAAGTAAAATATTATTTTACAAAAGCAGAAACTGAGCCCTAAATAAGTGAGTCCAGGGAGGTTGAGGCTACAGTGAGCTGTGACTGCACCACTGCACTCCAGCCTGGGTAACAAGAGTGAGACCCTGTCTCAAAAAAAGCCCCACAGAAAATAAATACAATACAATACAATACAATACAATACAATACAATACAATACAATACAATACAATACAATACAATACAATACAATACAATGTTATGATAACATGAACACAAGAAGATCCTATACCTTTTTACTTTTAAAAAAATTGTGCGAATCACAAATGCCACTTGAAGTGATAAAACTGAGTTTTCTTCATGTATTATTAGCTTTGTTTTAGGGAACTTCTGACCAGAACAAATGTTGAAAGTTAAGGCCAGGCGTGGTGGCTCACTCCTGTAATTCCAGCACTTTAGGAGGCCAATGTGGGAGGATCACTTGAGCCTAGGAGTTTGAGACTAGCCTTGGCAACATAGTGAGAACCCAAATCTACAAAAAAAAGTTAAAAATTAGCTGGGTGTAGTGGCACATACCTGTAGTCCCAGCTACTCAGGAGGCTGAGGTGAGAGGACCGCTTGAGCCTGGGAGGTCCAGGCTGCAATGAGCTATGATTGTGCCACTGCACTCTAGCCTTGTCTCAAAAAAAAGAAAAAAAAAAAAACAAAAACAAAAAACCAGCACAGTAGAAGAAATCATGAAACCTGAAACCTGAATTCTGCCACTAACCAGGTGTACAACTAGGGAACTACAACCTCTTTTTGTTTTGATTTGTCTCAAAACAGGGATATTAATACTCTTCTATAGTTTGGCGGTTGGGGGGACAACGAGATTTCATTCGTAGGATTATAATATATAGGAAAGTATTTTGGGGAAAAAAAGGTTAAGAGTTATATAATACAGAAGAAAACATCATTAATATTATTTATATATTATAAATGTTAACACTAATATGTATTATAAATGTTATAAATATAATACATAAATAATTATGTATTATAAATGATCAGGAATAGTGAGACACTAAGTGAAAAACAGAATCTTAACTAATGCAAAATTATTTTACCTTCATGTTGCAGGCTAATTCCATTAGTTTTTTTGCATTTTCTTCTGAGCGGTATCTCTTAGGAAGCTGAACCCTAAAGAACTTCAAGGCACCTTCAAAGTCTGTCAACAGCAGGTCATCTTTCGAAGTCTTGAAGAAAATACAAACACATATAGAAAAAATGTGTTGCTATAAGGATGCACAAGAAGTTTTTTATATTCTCAGCACTTTTCAGCACTTTTACAATCCCCAGAAGATACTTCTTAGCTTTTGTCAGAGCCACCTGCATACATCCACTGTTAGGGGTAATGCTAGATTTCCAGCACTTTTATAATCCCCAGAAGATATTTCTTCGCTTTTGTCAGAGCCACCTGCATACATCCACTGTCATGGGTAATGCTAGTGCACAGTGACTGCTCAGAATGAGACTACAACCAATGTATTGCAAGTGCAGAGCAGGGAATGACAGATAACTCAGCTAATAAATAAATGAGTACCTTTAATAATCCAAGGGCGACATTAAAAATAACACTTATTCCCTGAAAGAGAACAGACAAAAAGAACACTGTCAGTTTTTATATCTCGACTATTATGCTATTTGTCCTTATACCCCACATTTTTAAAGAAATTGTGAAAACTTAAGGAAGGAAATGCATTATCTCAGAACTACCTTGAAAAATAAAAACTAAAGGGCCATTGAAAAGCTGCTTAAAGACCTAGCTTCCCCTTTTTCTGAGAGAAGAGCTTTTCTTGCCCTGTTCTCATATTCAATAATAAGAAATGCTTTTCCAAAGCATTCCATGCTTCCAAACCAAAAGATCAGTCATAAAGTTGTGATCTCTCAGGAAATAACTCCTGGGGAACTTTTCCTTTATCTTGTGCTGTCCCAATCCATGCACAGCAACCACTCTGTCGATAAGCCCTATATTCCAGAACTGAATCTGCTCAAGGCTCCCTCCATTCTGCAAATCCTGGGGCTAAGAACAAAGGAGAGGAAGCACTAACATCTGTTGATCAAGTTAAACTGCTTAAGCTGCTGGGCCTCAGTTTCCATAACTAATACTCTCCTATGGGTTTTCTGAGATAATTAGCTGAAAAGTTTATGTAAATTACTTAGCATGCCACCTGGCCTTTAGTAGCTACTTAACAGATGGTTGTTTATACTACTAAAAAGCTAGAAACAATTTAAAGGTTTGTGATTAGAAATTGGTTACATAAAGTATAGCACATCCAAATAATGGGATACTTGGCAGCAACTAAGAAAAACGGCATATTTGGTAATATTTATTTCTTCTGTTTCTTAGAATATTTCAAGCTGAGTGGTAGATACAAATTCTTTATGAATTTTTGTATGTTTTGAATATAGCATAATTAAAAAGGATAGTACAGATGTGTATGTTCAAGTATATGAAATTTAAAAAGAGGATACCAAAGAGTATAAATAACAATCATATTTTTAAATATACACATAGGAGAACCATAATATATATAGTGTTCCATCCATATGGAAACCATACTATTCTGTATAGTAATTATACATACACATATATGAACACATAAAAAAGGCTGAAAGGATACTGCTTTTAACCAAACTGTTAAAGGAGGTAACCTATAGACAGTGGGATTTGTAGTATTTTAAATTATTTTTACTTATATTTTCTATAAACATATATTATTTTTATAATTATGTTTTTCTTAAACACACCACACAAAATCCAAAATTACGTCATGGCAAAGACTGTTATTTACTCTAATATCTTATTTTCTCTTTAGTAATAAATCTCTAATTTTTAGCAAATTCCTGCTCAGCTTATTTTTTAAAAAGTCTCCCTTGCAGCTAGGTGTGGTCATGTAACTAAGTTCTGACCATAAAGTGGAAATACTGGATGGAACTTCCAGGAAGTCTCTTTTGAAAACAGAGGAGGCACCCTCTCCCATCCTCTAATCCTCCTGGCTTGAATATGATATAATGGCTGGTGTGCTACTCCTCCATACGGCTAACAGCCAGAGTGAGGGGAAGGCACGCTACTGCCAACATTGACTTTTTTTCACAAGAGAGCAAAAAGCTATTTTTTAAAATCACTGTTACTTTGGGTTTCTTCATTCAATACAGCCAAAACTAATATGAACTAATACAAATGTCTAATTCAGTACGTCTTTTCAGAGTACACCTTTAACAAATACGATCATTAGCTTTAGTCCAAGGAAGTCACTTAAACCTAGATTTCCTAGCAATAAAATAAAATAATTAAAGAGACCAATTCTGTTTTGACAGAGCTGACACTCAAAACAGAATCTGTTCTCCTCAAGTACACTGCAAACAAAAGCCAAAGTGCTGTGGCCTCTGATACATACCTCACATAAAAGCAGGTCGATGATATGGAAGACCATGTAGAGAGGGAATTTTGCAGTGAAAAGAGTAAGAAACCACTGGGAGGCATACATGTGTGCTTCAAGGCTTATATCCAGGAAGTGGTTGTACAGGTCAGGAATGTATTCCTGAAATAGCAAACCAATTAGTTCTGGGCACATATGCATCTGTCCAATTCCCACTAAGGAGGCTCATAAATCTACCAGGAATAGGCCAAAAAAGTAAAATACTTGTGTTTTTCTAAAAATCTCCAAAGTGCTTAGAACACTTATCATCTGGTATTAAGCTGGCACTCAACTCTTTTTTCCAGACCACAAACTTGTTCTAAAGAAAGAGGAATCCCCAAAATGGTGACAAGTATTTGGAAAGCCTGTTTTTCTCTCCAAAGTAAAAAACATTTGGGAAAGTTTGTTTCACTTTTGTTATGAGATTCCTAACCAGTCAGCTTCAGAGCCTTGGGGAGTACTTCTTGACTGAGTTAGCTGTGGAAAAGACCCCTAACAAAGTCATCTGATCTTTTGGGAGTTTATCAGCTCACATCCATGAGGTGTGAAAGTTTAACACTTTGTTAATCTTTGCATCATAATCACATAGTGATAAAGGATAAAAATGAAACCCATCCTTAGCCACGGATCGCTAAGGCAATTACCAATGCTCCCTGGCACCATTTCCTCAATTTGGTGCTCCTTAGTCCTGTACTCTTTTTGTCAAACACAAGCTGGTTTCTCTTTTTACCTGCATGAGGCGCTCCAACTGGTAAAATTTGCAATGCAAATCTTCGAAGTTTTGCTTGAAAAGTTCCCTGAGCCCATAGTCAAACATGATCTTGACCAGAACACTGAATGCCTGTTCTTCAGGCATCTGTAACAGATAGGCAAGTTGTTGGGTAGGGAGGATGGCGGTGGGGAATCACAAAACATACAGAAGTTTTCTCAGGATATTAAATCCAGCTTTATATTATTGCCTTACCAGAAAATTTAGTGCTATGCAGAAACTCAGGCCTAAGGTTGTGTTTAAAACATTTATTCACTCAAACAAGGAATAGTTAACAATGACTACTCTTTGTCAGTATGGTTCCTGTCCTCAAGGAGTCTCTCACACAGCCAGTATTAAAATAACTGTAATAGGAATTAGACATCAGTGATAATACAAGAACAGGAAGGCCTGTATCTGCCTAAGGCAGTCAGAAACAGACTTTGTAGAAAGGACAGAATTTGAGCTGAGCAGAAATAGGCTGATATACAGTGTAGGTGTCATCTTTCCCAAATCCTGGGACCTCTGTTTAACCATTTTTCCTCCCTTAGCTGCTATTTCATTCTAGCAAAATTGTTTTTCTTCCTCACTGTTAAAAATATAGCTTGTTTTAGAAGAACCTTACATATTCTAAGGCTTGCAGTAATGCTTGAAGTACTACAAAAGCCTCCTTCACTTCTATTTACATTTATAATAATACCTACATTTTCCATAGTTTTATGGATAATTATTTCCCTGAGAACTTGGCAAGATATTTTCAAAAGAGAAAAAAGAAGCACTGGAAATGTTATTTAAGGATTGGTGTGAATGTAGCAAGCCTTCAAAAAAGTCAAGAAGGTGGGCAGGCTTCTATGGAACAAGATGATGGAGGCGGGCTGAGCACAGAAATCACTGAGAAGAAAGCAGAACTAAAGAGCAAATCAGATTAAGTAATAAGTGAGAAAAGCATAGCAGATCATTACTGGTAAGTTAAGAGTATCTGGGGCAAAAGCCCAGATCTTTGAAGTCTTTGTCATGGAAGGCAACTTCACTTTGCCACATGCAAGGAGATGTGGCCTAACCCACAGTGGTGATTCTGATGCTAAGTAGCCCATCTCCCCTCACTCTAAACAAGCACTTATAACACTCTGGCAAGCAGCAAGAGTTCAAAACAAGACATGGAGGGTCTGATTGGAAAACCCATTTTCAAGGGGATAAATGTCCTTGAACTGAAGGTGAGAACGAAGATAAATCACCCAGGCTTGTGGGACTTTGAGATATAAAGTCTCATTAAAACAACAAAACAAAATAAAAAGTCAACCTCTTTATTCATGTCATAGCTTTATCATATTTTTACATGACTACCAATAGCAACAAGCTGGGTTCAGTTAAGAAAAACCAAAGTGGTTTTTGTTTTACTTGTACAGGTTGAGCAACCCATATCTGAAAATACAAAATGCTCCAAAATCTGAAACTTTTTAAACACTGACATGATGCTAAAAGGAAATGCTCATTGGAACACTTTGGATTTTTGGATTTGGGATGCTCAACCGGTATAATGCAAATATTCCAAAATCCAAAATCCAAAATCCACAACACTTCCGGTCCCAAGCATTTCAAATAAGGGATACTCAAACTTGTATTGCAATCTACACAAAATGGCTTAATACCCTTGAATACCTGTTGCTTAGAAAAGCAAGATTCAGACTCCTTATCTGGGCTTCAAAGCTCTCCCTAGCTCTCTCCTCAACTCCCAGTCACTCAGGATACTCCAGTCACACTGTCCTCCTTTCAGTTCCTCCCATACACCAAGTGTTTCCCCAGTTTAGGACTTCTGTATACTGTACCATTCACTTTCCCATTAACACTCTATTCTCTACTCCCTTTTCAAATAGATCTATTATTTTCATAACAACATTTTGAAAAGTTAACACAGAAAAGAGCAAAAGAAAATGATATCCCTTATCATTTTCCAGGCTGCTCCTTACAGGTCACTTCCCCTGAGAAGCCTTTAATCTAAGTAAGACTCCCTTGTTACAATCTTACACCAAACTTTTTATTATACCTTAATAGCACCACTGAAAGTAATAAATGATATACTTGTGTGATTATGTGCTTAAAGCTAGTTGGATTCACAAGCTCTGTATCCAGGAGGATTGAGACCATGTCTCTTATTTACCTCTGATCTTCAGCACAGTACAGATCATAACAGGTACTCAAAACTCTTTGCTGACATCACCTGTGTGGTATTCTTGCCAAGCATTTTAAACTGAATCATGAGAAAATGAGACAAATCAAGACTGTGGGACATTTTATATGACAATTTGTCTGAATTTTTCAAAACTATCAATGGCATGAAACACAAAAAAAGGCAAAGGAGTAATTTAGATTAAAAGAATAAAGAGAAATGACAATTCAATATTTGAATCTTCATTAGATCTTGATTAGAAAAAAAGCTAGATTCTATGGAGTAGACAATTGGGAGAAAATTGAATGTGTATTGTGTATCAGACATTACTGAATCAATGTGGAATTTCTTGGATGTGATCATGGTATTATGATTATGATACAGAATTCTGTGCTCCCAGAAGGCATATATATGATCAAGTATTTAGAAGTCTTGATGTTTGTTATTTACTTTCAAGAATAATTTCAAAAAACAATTTAAGTAAAAAAGAAAATGTGTGTTTATGCAGAAAAGAGAAAAAAAGAGATGCAGAGGGAGACAAACAGAAAAAGCAGTGTGGAAAATATTAATTGGTAAACTAGATAAAGACTGTTCACCTTAACACTGTTTAGAGTTTTCTGTGGATTTGAAAGAAAATAAAAAAGGTGGAGGGCAAAGGTGTTTGCTAAGCCAATGAATGAATAAAATGGTACTAAAAGAAAACCAACTTTTCCGCCTTCCTCCTACCCCAATACCTAAATCTCAAAACAAGTATTAATGACAGCGGCTACTTTAGAGAAGATAAAACGTCCCCAAGAGTTCAACCAACATTAAAGTCTCTCCAATCATCCTATTAATAAAAAGGAAGTCTACCCCTGTACCAGTTTTCAACATTGCCGTTTATTCTCATCATATATCTCCTCCACAATGACATTAAGTTAATTTAAGGAAAAAGTTTCCAGCTATAGGTGTTAAAATTCATGCCTTAAGAGTCTGTCCAAACCCAATATAAAACCATGCTCAAGCCTAAGGTTAGTATAAGCTGAGGGAGGCCATGTGTTAAGTCATAACAGAGACCTAATTACTCACATGGAGAAGGAGCACAGCAGCAAGAAATGACTGGCCCTGGCAATAACCAATCTCTTCATCATACACAGAATAAGCCTGGAAAATAAAACACACAGAGGAAATGTAAATGAATGTAGCCACTTGTGGGCCATGGTGGCACTATAGGACCTTGAATACAGAACCCTGGAGGATGCTACCCACACTGGGACAGCATTTTGACAGACAGTAAGTGGTGCCAATACTTCTCTCCAATCTTAACTTTTTCTTTACAATGAATACAGCTATCACCACTGCATTTCCTGTGGCGAAGGAGTAGGGAAGATTAAGGAAAAACCACTTCTGCGCTAAAAAAAACTTCGTATTTCCTTGTTGTTGTTCATGATGTTCCCTCTCCTTGGGATGTCCTTTCCCTCTCTGCCTCAAACATGCACTCTTCCTTCAGGCACCAAACTTATTTCAATTCCCCCAGAATGAATTCCTCTCTTCTCTGCCTCTATGGCACCTGCTATACATGCATGGTTATTATTATATTATTACCACATTGCATTTTATTTTATTTTTAGAGACAGGGTCTTGCTCTGTTGCTCAGGCTGGAGTGCAGTGGTACAATCATGGCTCACTGCAGCGTCAACCTCCTGGGCTCAAGGGATCCTGCTCCATCAGCCTCCTGAGTAGCCTGGACCACAGGCTTGCACCACCATGCCTGCCTAATTTTTAAAAATTTTTTATAGAGATGGGATCTCAACTACGTTGCCCAGGCTGGTCTCTAACCCCTAGGCTCAGACTATCCTCCTACCTTGGACTCCCAAAGTACTGGGATTACAGGTGTGAGCCAGTGTGCCTGGCCCACACTGCATTTTTTTTTTTTTTAATAGAGACAGGGTCTCACTATGTTGCCCAGGCTGGTCTCAAACTCCTAAGCTCAAGTGATCCTACTGCCTCAGCCTCACAAACTGCTAGGATTACAGGCGTGAGCCACCAAGCCCAGCCCCACACTGCATTTTACATGTCCATCTTCTCTGCCAGATGGTAGGCTTTGTGAGGGACAGGGTGATGTTCTATTCAACCTTGAGTCAGCACCTCATATACAGCATGCGCTCACGAAACACTGTTAATGTTATTCATTTTTCTTTCTGGGAAAAGCTCTTTTGGCAAAGACACCAAAATATAATTCTTTCCACAACACCAGTAATAACTTTTCTGATAAGTGAGATTACTCTGAAACCATTTGTGGGTTCCTCTGGAATTCTTATTTTTATTTTTCTTGGCAGCAAATGATTACTACCCATCTCCTCTGAACATTATTTTGAATAGAATATTGACATCTAACATTCTTCATGGTTTACTCTTTGGTTTTTTAGTTCTTTTTCAGAGTTCTGTTTTTATGACTGGTATTTGCAGTTCTCATGTAAATGTGGTAGAAAGGGAAATTCCTATAGCTTCAACATGCTATTCCTTGTTTGACAAATTTATTTCTTGTGAAACTCCCTTTGTTTTCCACTTATTTTTTGTGCCAAAGTTGCTCTGTGTCCCAAGAAAGCAACTTAGAATTGGGTATGTTTAGAATATATAACTCTTGGCAAAATATAGTGCCAATACTTATTAGATGCTAGTCAAGTTAATATGCAACCAAGTTTTATCACTAGCTTTGGTGAAACTATAGCTTTTAAAAATACATACATTATGATCACGCATTAATAAATTTTCGTAGAATTCAATGTAATCTTATTATACCACACCCATTTCTTCAGTTTATCTGATAAGAAGGCTACAGGATGAGAAACATACATACTTTTCCAGAGACAAGATGTGCAAAAAGGGCTTTAGAAATGATCAGTTTATAATACGAGGCACCACTTTCCTATCAAATTAATAACAATTAACAAATGTTATTACCAGTATTAATACTGTGTTAAAAATGAGTAGTAATATATGCTAACACAGCTCTCTGGAAAACAGGCAATGTCTTTGAAGATATCCATTAACAGTTTTATCAGTTACAAAAGAACAGAGGCTTTAGAGTTAGTCAGAGTTGGGTTAAAATCCCACAACTCCCAATGTCTAGATATGGATTTTTTCTTTTTTTTTTTTTTTTTTGAGATGGAGTCTCCTGTGTCACCCGAGGTGGAATGCAGTGGCACAATCTTGGCTCACTGCAACCTCTGCCTCTCAGGTTCAAGCAATTCTCCTGCCTCAGCCTCCCAAATAGCTGGGATTACATATGCCCACCACCATGCCCAGCTAATTTTTGTATTTTTAGTAGAGATGGGGTTTCATCATGTTGGCCAGGCTGGTCTCGAACTCCTGACCTCAGGTGAACCACCCACCCTGGCTTCCCAAAGTCCTGGGATTGTAAGCATAAGCCACCGCGCCCAGCCTAGATATGAATCTTGAGCATGTAACTTACTTTATTTGTAATAAGAGAATAAGCCTAGTATTAATAACACAGAGTTGATGTATTCTTCTCATTTAGTCCTCTCATTTAACATGCTCAGCACAGAGCTTCACCAATTATGCAGTAATAATAGGATGAAACTGTACTGAATTTCTATAGGTAGAAAATGGAGGGGAGCATATTTTTCAGGCTGATGGACGATAAAGGAATCATATACGTGTGAAATTATATGATACATTTGGAAAATGTTTGGAGTATAAGTTTCATGTTGGCTGTAACGAAATCTGGGGGAAGAAAAGACATTTCACTAATTCATCAACACTTAATGAACACCTACTATAGACCAAGCACTGTGCCAAGTGCTACAGATGCTACCATATCTAAGAAATGATCCCTGCCCTTGAAGACATCACGGTTCAGTGGGGAAGTTAGACAAGTGAATCAACCAGAGCACAGTGAGAAGTTCAATGTAGTTAATGCATACAATATTTGGAGAAGCAGCAATAAGGGCTAAGTCAGGATATAATACAAAATATCTTCAACACTAAGCTAAGGAATCCAGGGAAATGAACTAGGACTTTTCATTTAATTCCATGGGTTATAAAGTAGCAGTTATAAAGGTTTCTGTGGAGGCCACTGAAATGATCTAATTCTGCGTTAGGCAAGGAGCAAAGAATCAACAGGCCAGAACCCAAAGGCAGAGCAGCTTTTGTAAAACTGCCAGCAATGTAAGATACTGGCCTGTACCAGGGCAGTGAAGAGAGAGAATGAAGCTAAGAGAGACATCAGTCATATCTAACTCAACCTAGACAAAGACAGGACTGAAAACCAACAGAAATGACTGTCTGCAGCAGGACAATGGTATGGGAGAAAAGGAGGACTATGTTTAATTTAAAAAGAGACAACAACTTAATGTAATGTGGGTCTTATTGGCTCTTGATTCTAACTAGCCGTATTAAGGATATTTGAATGTGGAGTAGCTACTAATTAATTGGTAAAGATGGATAAACTTATTTTTTAGAGATGTAGTATTAAAAAATTAGGATCATGATGTCTAAGATTTGTTTTAAAGTACTTTAGAAAAAAGGAAAAAAAAGATGAAGCAACTGTGACAATACATTGATAAATAATTAGTGTGGGGGATATTAACTATACTTATCAGTTAGACTAATCATTATACTAATTAATGTTTACGTTTGAAATTTTTCATAATAAACCATGTTTTAAAATGAACTGTATTTTTAAACCCATTCTGTTTGATACAATTGACAGACTTTTACATGGAGACTAATTGTCTGCTGGAAATTTAGACCTTGAGTTAATGTAGATTTGTGAACATCTGTACAGTGATGATAGCTGAAGCTTTGGGGGTAGAAGGGATCACCCAGGGAGATGGTGTAGAGCTAGCCAAACTACCCAACTGAGCACCCAGAGGAAGGCCTCTGGTTTAGGGGCAGGTAGTGTGAGATAAAATGATGAAGTCAGTGAAGGCATGAGAGGGAGCCCGTACCCAAGAGAGTGACATGTCTTATGCTCAAGAGCAGAAAGCTCTGCAAGGAAGAGCACCATGAAATAGGAACTAGAATATAGTGGAGTCAAAAGTATGTGACGAGGGACCAGAGGCAGTGGACATAGCGTTTCTTTCTAGGAAATTCTGTAGTAAAGTGAGAGATGGCAGGGGTCACTGCTTAAGCAGGAAATAAAACTGAGAAGGGGCTAAAAAGGATGATCAGAAAGAAAGATTACCACAGAAATCTGTATCCTATGTAAAAGTTAAAATGAAATCTAAAAAATATTTCTCTAAACTCAACTGTCCTTGTAGTTTAAATCATCGAATTTTTCATTGGCGAGCCTATCCTTTACTGCTAGTCTGTCCTAAAACCAGTTGTCATATAGCATTAGCGACATGTCTCATGCCTTACCTGTACTTACTACATAGGAGATGCTAAATAAGTACTTGATTACTTTTGGGAGGAAAAGACTGAAGACTAATTCTGAGAACAGATGAAGACTGAAAAACTCCGTTCCTATCTCCTCCTTTTATAACCCAATAGCTCTAATGTGCCAAATCTATTTGAAAATGGAATACGGAAATTGAACAGGCTATTACTTCCTTTAGTGTTCGGGTACAGACCTTTTGAGAGAAATCAGAATCTTCCATCATTTACTATGCTGCAGTGCTATAAGTACACCTGGATGGGCAATGACACTTCCCACTGTGAGACCGTACCGTAGGTGCCAAGTTCATCACTTATAAAGTGAATACTGAAAAGGAGTCTGCAGTGTCACAGGGCTCAGAGGTTCTTAACATAAAAACAAATTTTGAAAGTCTAAATGTGGAGCCAGGGAACTGTCATCTAAAAATCCTGATTAGAAGGGGAAAGGAAACCCTACCATTTTATTTCTTATTATTTTCTACTCTTTAATGAATCTAAAATTGTGTTCTCACCTTTGACTTTGCAATGTCTTTTCTCTTTTTGGAATTCTTGAACATCAAATACAAATTACACTTTGTAGTTGTTTCTTATGTAATTTCAAAGTAGAACCACCACTCAGAATTGAGTCCTTTTTTTTTTTGACATGAAATACCTTGCATATTTTATATAAGGAATCTTGTCCATCTCCTCCTGTGTCCTTAAAGTAGTCATGGGCTGGGAATGTTCGGTTAATATCCCGGGTGATAGCACTGTCCTGGGGAGACTCCTGTGGAAACATAAGGAAAGAGAGGGTTTAGTTAGGTTAATCATGTAAACTCTTATTCAGGTTTAGGCAAGGTCTTCTCATTTACACACTTTAAATGTTGCAGGGACATACATACACATATGTATGCCCATAGTTACTGCCTCTTCAGGGACCAACCACTCAAGCAAAAGCAAATGTAAAGGGGGAAAAAAGATGGAAGAAAAGCAACCCATTTCACTCTATACACTTCCATATTATACTCCATCCTTACTGCAAAGAACTGCAGCTGGTGACCCTTCTATTGTAAGATGGAAAATGTGCTATTAAGAATGGATTTCCTATAGGAAAATACTCAAACTAATCGCAAAAGGAGGAGGTAAAGTGCTCCCAGTAGAAAAACTGCTGCTTTAATTGATGCTTTGGAATGAAGCCCATATGCCAGTTTTCAAATGGAAAAGAGTAGTTACTTAATTGGGATTTGTCCTAGAGGCAAATGGCATAAGAATGCACAAAGCAATCTACTCAGTATGAACAAGACCACCAAATGCCAAGGGATTCAAACAGGCTATGGGAAAATATCCTTTGCTTTTTCCAATGGACAAAAACTGTTTCCTCTTCTATAATGAGTTAACTAAAACGGAACAAATGTCAATAATGTCAACAAACCTTTGTAAAATACACCAAGCACCCAGTTATTTCTAATATTCTCCCCTTGTTAAATTTCATTTGCTGACACAGTAAAGAACTGGAACACAGAAATATGACCTTCTACTTTAACAATGCAGTGTCTTCATAGCTAAGACAATAGAGTTGATTCCCCTTGGTAAGAATACATCATAATCAGTATACTACCAAAGAACATGATACCTCTGTTTTAAGATGAAAAATGCAAGTGATGTTCTTCTCTTGTCCAATAATTTCTCTAGCCTTTTGGGTAATCATGTTCCGAAGGCCATGAATATTTTATAGTTGTGGGATCTGAACTAACTTTAAAGCCTATGCTCCTTCTTAAACAGTAAACTATTTATACCTTCAAGGATGTCGCCAAATTGCTTTTCAAAGAGCTTTAGTGGCATATGTTACTTCTAGTTATTAACATAGTCTTAACAGTTAATGGCAGCTCAGGACTGTGGTGCTCTTCAACAAAAGGAAAAAATCCAAGGGAGATCTATGACTACAGCAGCTAATTACATGGTGGCAGCTTCCAGACTGAATTAGAGCTCCGCGTTGGAGGTATCTTCAAAAGTTGAGAAAGTGGGAGAGAGAGGGAGAGCAAGCGAGAGTGAGAAAATGAGAGAGCGAGCGAAGTGAGCGAGAGTGAGAGTGAGAGCGAGTGAGAGAGCACGCACACAAATTTTGGGGCGGGCAAGGTAGCTAGAATTGTAGGGTAGAGTGCTAGTGAGGAATATGCTGAACAGAGAGCTGAAGAGTTAGAAGAGGGGTCGCTATGAGATATGAATTATAAATAAACGACAAGCTGGACACTTCATCAAAATTTAAAAATCTTACTATTCAAAAAACTGTTTAAAATATGAAAAGGTAAGTCACAGGCCAGGACACAATGCCTACAAAACATATCTGATAATAAAGTTGGAGTTGTATCCAGAATATATAACTCTCCAAATTAATGAGAAAGACAATTAATTTTTTAAAGTGGGAATGTGTAAATGATTGAGGTGTTTCATTAAGGAAGATATAACACATGGCAAATAAGCACTTGAAAAGATGTCAACATTACTAGCCCTCAGGGCAGTGCAAATTAAAACCACAATGAGATTCCACTACATATCTACAAAATGCTAAAATTAAGAAGTGTTGGCAAAGGATAAGAAACAACTGGAACTCCTATACAATGCAAAATGGTACAAACACTTTGTAAACAGTTTGGTGGTTTCTTACAATAGTAAACACATAATTACCATACAACCCAGTGATTCCATTCCTAGGTATTTACCAAAGAGAACTGAACATATAAATGCATGAAAAGACTTAAACTCAAATGTTTACAGAAGCTTTATTCCTAACAGCCAAAACTGGAAACAATCCAGAGAGAATCAGATGAATTTAGGAATTCTATAAAACAACAACAGAAGCTCTAAAAAATGCTAAGAATGATAAACTGTGGTTTAAGACAACTACGAAGGTTAGGAAATTAAATTGAGAATGGAGAGGAATATGGAAACGTTCAAAATATTTTACACCAGTTACATCAATCATATCACACTGATTACGGAGATGACAACCTGAAAAAGGATACAGTTATTAGAGATATGAGATTTGGGCTGGGCATGGTAGCTTATGCCTGTAATCCCAGCACTTTCAGAGGCTGAGACAGGTGGGTCACTTGAGGCCAGGAGTTTGAGACCAGCCTGGCAACATGGTGAAACCCTGTCTCTGACTACAAATACAAAAATTAGCCAGGCATGGTGGCAGGTGCCTGTAATCCCAGCTACTTGGAAGGCTGAGGCATGAGAATCGCTTGAGCCAGTGAAGCAGAGGCTATAGTGAGCCAACATCGTGGCACTGCACTCCAGCCTGGGCGACACAGCGAGACCTGTCTCAATTAAAAAAAAGAGAGAGAGAGGAGACGAGATTTAGAAATTCAACTGTACACAGGACGTAAAAAATAACAAAAAACTGAAAGTACTCTCTATAACTGGGCCAGTTCTTGTCAATTTGCCATCCCATATCCATTAATCATGGAATTATCAGAGAATGAAGGGGCAAAATGCCCTTAAAAGAAGGTCATTTTGAAAATTCACACTCAATTTTTGATGCCTTCAAGAATGATAATAAATTGAGGAGTTCCATGTGAATCATTTGCTTAAAATATTTGGCCTTAAGGAAATATGCTGAAGAACTTGGAATAAATTCATTTGACTTGCTGGAGGCCACATCATGCAAAAGTGATGCAGAAATTCTAATAATGATGAGTTTAGTAAGTTCCTATCAGAATGACATTAAATTTGAAAAGGTTCTGAAAATAAAACACAGCAACATTATGGATGATCCCCTAAGAGAAAAAAAGCAAAGAGCTTTTCAAAATAGTCAAAGCAAGTGCTTACAAAATTAAGCTTTATACAACAATATATATTCCTTTTCTTTCTTGTTTCGCTCTTGTCGCCCAGGCTGGAGTACAATGGAGCAATCTTGGCTCACCGCAACCTCCGCCTCCCTGATTCAAGCGATTCTCCTGCCTCAGCCTCCCAAGTAGCTGGGATTACAGGCATGTGCCACCACGCCTGGCTAATTTTTGTATTTTTAGTAGAGACGGGTTTTCTCCACGTTGGTCAGGCTGGTTTTCAACTGACCTCAGGTGATGCGCACGCCTTGACCTCCCAAAGTGTTGGGATTACAGCTGTAAGCTACCACACCCGGCCATATTCCTTTTATTTCTAAGGAGTTAAACATAAATGTAACTGATGTAGAGAGCCTGCCAATGCAACACATGTAACACTATTCGTGGCCAAACTGATCAAGTCAACCAAATACATCCTCTTAAGGAGGCTGTAGTTAGTATAATGGCTTAACAGACAAGTTTTTATAAATGTACTTACGGCAACAGTGCACAGATGGTGACTTTAAAAGAACACGGAATGAATGGCAAAAGTATTGTCAGTTGTTACGTTCTGAAAATTACTGCTGTTATAAGAGAGGTGGGTTGTTTTGTTTTGTTTTGTTTTGTTTGATCAACTGGTTTTGTGTTTTGGCTAATTCATTTATCCCAAGAAAAACACCCTTAATTTCCAGAAGAAAACAAAAATGCAATAGGATTATGCACTATTGCCATCTTGCAAACTTCTTCTATAAAGGGTCAGGTAAAAATTTTTGGCTTTGCAAGCCATTCAGTGCTGCAGTTATTCAACTCTTCCCTTGTAGAGCAGCCATAGACAATATGTAAATAAACAAGCACTGCTGTGTCCTAACAAAACTTTATTTATAAAAGCAAGCGCATGCCAGGCGCAGTAGCTCATGCCTGTAATCCTAGCACTTTGGGAGGCCGAGGCGAGTAAACCACTTGAGCCCAGGAGATTGAGACCAGCCTGGGCAACATGGCAAAATCTCATCTCTACAAAAATACAAAAATTAGCCGGGCGTGCTGGCATACACCTGTCTTAGCTATTCGGGAGGCTGAAGCAAGAGGATCCCTTGAGCCCAGGAGGTAGAGGTTGCAGTGAGCCAAGACTGTGCCACTGTGCTCCAGCCTGGGCAGTAAGAGAGAGAGCCTGTCTTATACAACAATAACAACAACAACAAAAATGAATAAACAAAAGTGAGAGGCAAACTGAACCTGGCCCTGAGGTGGTAGTTTGTTAACCCTTGTTATAAGTATACTACAACACAGTAATTTGTTATGGTCAGCATGACCAGAGAGAAGATTTTTGTTATGATTTTAAATATACTAACATGTTATTAATTTTATACATGCTTTGCCCTCAGAAACTTTGTCACAACCTGCTACAACTTGAAATGTATATCTCTTTGAACACTTTTGTACTTTTTTCACATAATAACAAATGTTAAAAATGTTTGCTGCATTTTGCAAAAGTCTGTATATTCCTGTCTATGCAGTGTAGTACACGTTTCAATAAAACCCTGTAATTGTAGTGGTATATAGTCCCTGACATTTCAAGCAGCAAAATAAACAGTATATACAGCTCACAAATTATAAACACAAACTGACACACATGAGACTGGCTAAAATAAAAATACCAAATGTTGGTGAGAATATGAAATTACTGGAACTCTCAATGGTTGCTAATGGGTGTGTAAATGATATAACCACTTTGGTAAAGAACATGGCAGTTTCCCAGAAAGTTAAATATATACCTAACTACCATGACCCAGCAATTCCATTCCTAATACCCTCATGTGTAATAGCCCAACTAGAAACCTCAAATGTCCATCTACAGAAAAAGTGATAAATTATGGTATATCCATCTAATGGAATACTACCCAGCAATACAAATGAACCTCTAATACATGAAACAACACAAATAAATCTCAAAAACATTATGTTGAGCAAAAGCCCATGGTGACAGAAACCGAAATGGTTACCTGGGGGTGGGAGGGAAATCAACTGAAAAGGGGCATAAGGGAACTTTCTGAGATGACAGAAATGTTTATATTTTCTTTGGTGTTTACACAAATATAAGAAATTGTCAAAACTCATCAAAATGAACACATAAGGTGTATGTTTATTGTATGTAAATTATACTACACTCACAAAAACTGTAATCTCACATTCCCCACCTCCCTCCACCAACATTTCTCAACAGTTCTCTATTCTTGTGAATGGCAGCAGGTTTTACCACCTTGTTTCTGATTCTAGCTACCATGAATCATCACTGATCTGGAGATCTTTCTGCAGAGTCTGGATTCTGTCTCTTCCTTTCCACTTCTAGTGCATCACCCAAAGGCAGACCCATGCTTCATCTTACCAAGACTAATATAACAGCCTAAATGATTGTCTTAGTCGCTTTGGGCTACTCTAACAAAATATTACAAACTGGGTGGCTTATAAACAACAGGAATTGTTTTTACAGTCTGGGAGGCTGGAAATTCCAAGATCAAGATGCTGGAAAATTCAGTGTTTGGTGAAGGGTCGCTTTGCAGCTCATAGGTGGCATGTGCTTGCTGTGTTCTCATATGGGGCAGGGCAGCTCTCTAGGTCTCTTCTTTATAAGAGCACAAATCCCATGCATAAGGACTTTGCCCTCATGACCTAATCACCTCCCAAAGGCCCCATCTCCTAACAGCATCACATTAGTGATTAGTTTTTTTTGTTTTTGTTTTTTAATTTTTATTTATTTTGAGACGGAGTATCGCTCTGTCACCCAGGCTGGAGTGCAGTGGCGCAATCTCGCCTCACCGCAACCTCCGCCTCCCGGGTTCACGCCATTCTCCTGCCTCAGCCTCCTGAGTAGCTGGGACTACAGGTGCCCGCCACCACGCCTGGCTAATTTTTTTAATTATTTAGTAGAGACGGGGTTTCACTGTGTTAGTCAGGATGGTCTCGATCTCCTGACCTCGTGATCCGCCCGCCTCGGCCTCCCAAAGTGCTGGGATTACAGGTGTGAGCCACCTTGCCTAGCCATGGTTAGGTTTTAACATATGAATTTTGGGGGGACATAAACATTCAGACCATAACACTGATCTTCCTTTATCTCTTTACTTCTACTGGCACAACCGTGTCTGATTAATTTTTCTGAAATGCATGGACCAATCAGATCATTTTGCTGGTCATAAACTTTTATGAGTCATTATTACTATGTATACAGGAGGAGGTCCATGCCTTCTCCTTCATACTGACCACTTCACAAGTAGACTGAACACTAATCTGATTTCAGAATACCACTTGAACCATGTAGTAAGTAGGGTCACTGCTGACAAAGGCACCCAGGACATTTTGTTCTCTCTCAAATGCATGCTGCAATATCCTGAGTATCTGGGGCATGCTGGGGGAAGACTGGAGCATTACAAAGAGAAAGGCCTTTAAACCCAGACATATATTCAAGTCCAATGTGCTGCTGGTGGCTCCCAGTTAACAAATTAAACCTTGTTTTCCACTTGTCACTCTTCCTTGTGTTTATATTTCTTTGAAAACTTCAAGAGAAAAAGGGGTGACTGGCATGGCACAATTTGGGCATTGTTGGAAGTAATTCTATTTAAAACTATACTGTAAAATATCAGCACTTCTTAAATTTATTCACTAAACAAATACTGAGAATTAACGCCTCATGCTAAAATCCAAATCTCTTTCCCAAACATAACCTAAAATCAATGATATACCTTACTGCATTTTAAAAGGAAAAAAAAAAAATCTAACTTTTGGCTTTCTTAGTATAATAAAACCTTTTTGTTTTCTTATTTTAATAAAATTGTTTTGCTTTTTTGTAACAATAATACTGGAAGGAAAAAGAAGAATTTTACCATTCAGATAATAACTATGGCTAATATTTGGTTCGCATATGCCAAACTTTTTAGGTTATAACCATTTATTTTTATAAAATGAGTGTAGATTTTAGAAAAATTTTTTTTTGCTAACTACAAAATATTGTATCTTTTCATATTATTTGGCCATTATCCTACCTTAGTATTTTTAATGCACAGTAACCTGTCACACTATTATACCATAATTTACTCTGCCAAAATCTCCAGCTTTGGGATATGCAGCTATTCTACCCCTTTTGCTATAAACAAGGTTGTAAAGTAGAACAGTGATTCTTAAGGGAGAAAAGACAGTTTCCACAATCACTCAATTTCCCTAAAGAAACAGCATTCTCCCTCTCCCTCCTCCCCCTCTCCCCCTCTCCCCTCTCTTTCCACGGTCTCCCTCTGATGCCGAGCCGAGGCTGGACTGTGCTGCTGCCGTCTCGGCTCACTGCAGCCTCCCTGCCTGATTCTCCTGCCTCGGCCTGCCCAGTGCCTGTGATTGCAGGCGCGCGCCGCCACGCCTGACTGGTTTTCGTATTTTTTTGGTGGAGACGGGGTTTTGCTGTGTTGGCGGGGCTGGTCTCCAGCTCCTGGCCGCGAGTGATCCGCCACCCTCAGCCTCCCGAGGTGCTGGGATTGCAGACGGAGTCTCGTTCACTCAGTGCTCAATGGTGCCCAGGCTGGAGTGCAGTGGCGTGATCTCGGCTCGCTACAACCTCCACCTACCAGCTGCCTGCCTTGGCCCCCCAAAGTGCCGAGATTGCAGCCTCTGCCCGGCCACCACCCTGTCTGGGAAGTGAGGAGCGTCTCTGCCTGGCCGCCCATCGTCTGGGATGTGAGGAGCCCCTCTGCCTGGCTGCCCAGTCTGGAAAGTGAGGAGCGTCTCTGCCCGGCCGCCATCCCACCTAGGAAGTGAGGAGCGCCTCTTCCCGACCGCCATCCCATCTAGGAAGTGAGGAGCATCTCTGCCCGGCCGCCCATCGTCTGAGATGTGGGGAGCGCCTCTGCCCTGCCGCCCCGTCTGGGATGTGAGGAGCACCTCTGCCCGGCCGCAACCCCGTCTGGGAGGTGAGGAGCGTCTCTGCCCGGCCGCCCCGTCTGAGAAGTGAGGAGACCCTCCGCCCGGCAACCGCCCCATCTGAGAAGTGAGGAGCCCCTCCGCCCAGCAGCCGCCCCATCTGAGAAGTGAGGAGCCCCTCCGCCCGGCAGCCACCCCGTCTGGGAAGTGAGGAGCGTCTCCGCCCGGCAGCCACCCTGTCCGGGAGGGAGGTGGGGGTCAGCCCCCGCCAGGCCAGCCGCCCCGTCCGGGAGGGAGGTGGGGGGGTCAGCCCCCCGCCCGGCCAGCCGCCCCGTCCGGGAGGTGAGGGGCGCCTCTGCCCGGCCGCCCCTACTGGGAAGTGAGGAGCCCCTCTGCCCGGCCACCACCGCATCTGGGAGGTGTACCCAATAGCTCATTGAGAACGGGCCATGATGACAATGGCGGTTTTGTGGAATAGAAAAGGGGGAAAGGTGGGGAAAAGATTGAGAAATCGGATGGTTGCTGTGTCTGTGTAGAAAGTAGACATGGGAGACTTTTCATTTTGTTCTGTACTAAGAAAAATTCTTCTGCCTTGGGATCCTGTTGATCTGTGACCTTACCCCCAACCCTGTGCTCTCTGAAACGCGCTGTGTCCACTCAGGGTTAAATGGATTAAGGGCGGTGCAAGATGTGCTTTGTTAAACAGATGCTTGAAGGCAGCATGCTCGTTAAGAGTCATCACCACTCCCTAATCTCAAGTACCCAGGGACACAAACACTGCGGAAGGCCGCAGGGTCCTCTGCCTAGGAAAACCAGAGACCTTTGTTCACTTGTTTGTCTGCTGACCTTCCCTCCACTATTGTCCCATGACCCTGCCAAATCCCACTCTGCAAGAAACACCCAAGAATGATCAATTAAAAAAAAAAAAAAAAAGAAAAAAGAAACAGCATAATCCTTGTTTTTGGATTTTGAGTGGCCCTGCCAATTTGTCCTCCAGAAAAGTTGTACCAACTTACAAACCACATTGATACCACTCTTACAGCAATTACTCTGTTTCTGAATAGTCATTTGTATACTTGTCCTATGCTCCTTCTAGTCTATAAGAATGGAATCTAAAGTTGCAAAAAATTGCACATAAAGTTTATTGACTCCATCCTATTCTAACTGCAATACATGATTTGCTGTCAACATTTAAAAAGATATTACCATACATATATTTGCTTGCTCTATCAGTTGACAGGGCCTAGAAGCAAAAACATCCAGTAGCAAGGAGCACACCTAGCATCTATATTTTGGTATCTAATACCATTTACTAACAAAAGGAACCAACCCTCCTTGGAGAAATGGCTGGCTGATTCTAGGACCAGGGCAGATAGCCTGGAACATCTTGTATTGGCCAAAAATAGGAAATAGTCTCCCTTCACCCACACCACAAAGAAAACAAACCTACATTGATAGGGGTATGCCAAAGGGACGTGGGAGCCAAGTGAAAGAGTTCCCGATGGTCAAAGCTGGAGCAATTTGAGCAACAAAATAAACTGGGTTATATAAGTATAAAATAAATGGCCAGGCACGGTGGCTCACGCCTGTACTCCCAGCACTCTGGGAGGCCAAAGGTGGTCGGATCACCTGAGGTCAGGAGTTCGAGACCAGCCTGGCCAACATGGCAAAACCCTGTCTCTACTAAAAATACAAAAATTAGCCAGGCGTGATGGCAGGAGCCTGTAATCCCAGCTACTCAGGAGGCTGAGGCAGAAGAATCACTTGAACCCAGGAGGCGCAAGTTGCAGTGAGCCAAGATCACACCACTGCACTCCAGCCTGGGCGACAAGAGCTAAACTCCATCTCAAAAAAAAAAAAAAAAAAAAGAAGAAGAAATATCTGGCTGGGCATGATGGCTCACACCTGTAATTCCAGCACTTTAGGAAGCCAAGGCAGGAGGACTGCGTGAACCAAGGAGTTCAAGACCAGCCTGGGCAACACGGTGAAATGCCATCTCTACAAAAATAAATAAATAAATAAAACCTCAACAAAACAAGCAAACAAAAAACACAAAAAAATTAACTAGGCATGGCAGCACTTGTAGTCCCAGCTACTCAGGGGGCTGAGGTGGGAGGACTGCTTGAGCCTGGGGGGTCAAAGCTGCAGTGAGCTGTGATCGTGCCATTGCATTCCAGCCTCTGTGACAGAACAAGACCCTACTTTCAGTCAATCAATCAATAAAAGAAATATCCAGGAGTCCATACTTACATAAATAAATGATTGAATAAATAAATGGAGGAGAAGAGACAAATCCTCCATGCAGAAGAATCCCAAATAATTTATGTAGATACCTCACCTTCAAGGAAGGGGAGCAAAACTCCCCACTCCTTAAGTGTGGGCTGTGCACAGTGACTTCCTTCAGAAGAGTACAGTACAGTATGACATGGTGGAGAAAAGAAACTTTATGGTGGAGAAAACTGACAAAGATGACCTTGGCCAGATAATTGAGGTCAACACTGATGTCACGCTGACAGCATGTACCATTAATGTCATAAAAATGGCACTTTACCTCTGTGTTCTTCCTCCTCAAAATTCATGACTTCATGAAAAAAAAATCAGACAAATTTCACTTGAGGGATATTCTACAAAATATCTGAGCAGTATTCCTTAAAACTGTCAAAGTCATCCAAAACAATGCAAGCCTAAGAAACTGTTACAGTCAACAGGAACCTAAGGAAACATGAGGACTAAATGTAGTGCACTCACCTGGAGGGAATCCTGGAGCAGAAAAAGGATATTAGATAAAAACTAAAGAAATGTAAATAAAGTTTGGGATTTAGTTAACAACATCTCAATATTGAGTTATTAATTATAATAAATGTACCATAATAATACAAGGTAATAATAATAGAGTTAATAACAGAGTATACAGGAATTCTTTGTACTATTTTTACAGTATTTCTGTAAATCTAAAACTGTTCTTGAAAATAAAGTTTATTAAAATAAAAAAAGGTTAATTACTTCCTTATTCTACAATATGGAAATTCAGACTTAGAGAAGTTAAGCCACCCAACTTCACACACCAGAACTTATTAAAGCACTCAATAAAATGCTGGACTAAATTTGTGGAATAAAATTGGTTAAATGAACATTGTGGATATATGCTCAATAGTAATCACAGGTAGGCTCTGTTCTTGTGATTTATTTGCAGGTGATTTCTTTCTTGTCCCCAATTATGATGATCTTTGAGTGTATCCAATAAAGCAGTGGTGAAGCTCTATTACTTTTTTAAATTTGAAGGCTCTCCTAAAATAGATTGTGCAGATAAAAATCGAAGGAAATAGTAACATTTGTGCTGTTTTCTTCTCCCCATCTTGGTTTTAAAAGTCTTCCATTAGTTAAAACCACAGTGGTACCACATTCTGTAATCTTTCTGGATGACTATTTTTATACCTTACTGTGAGAATTGGCTCACTGGGTAATTTCTCAGGATTAACAAGGTACTGGGAACTGTAGGAAACCCTTTGAATACACATCCTTTTGTAAACTCAAGTTGAAAAATAGAAAGCTAAGAACGGCAGGAAGAAAAGAAAGTACCCAAACAAAGAAAATGCAGTGGAAGGCTGCCATGAGAAATAACCAACATAGGGAAAATTATTATTTCCAGAGTAGCTTGCTGCCCAAAGAAAAAGTTAGTTCTTCTTAAGATTAATCCAGAATGTTACAGATGCTTTATTAAATGCCATCATGTAACAGTTAAGAAAACAGAATAAAACAAAAACACCACCAAAACCCACTCCAATACATTATACCATGTCCTATCTTTACAATATACTTCACAGGAATAAAGTAACAATTTTTGGTTACATTTTCTTTTAAAAAAGTCAGCTACTGCTTATCAGAAGTCATTTTAAAGACTAAGTTTTTAAAATCCCCTAAACAGATGGGATAAAAATTCAAAAGAAGGAAAATGAAATTGAAAGTGTGCTATGCTTAATATAAAATAAATGAGGATGAAAAATCTCTCTGAGGTAAAATAATTCTCTCCTAATTACATAGCACTCATGTCATTTGTCATTTCATTTCATATGTTTGGAAGTAGAACTGAGCAAAATAAAGAATGAGAATAAGACTGTTAAGCCTATGAAAACAGATGTCTTATGTCTGGGTAAAACCAAGATGGTCCTACAAAAGTCTGCAAAATCTGGAAATGTTATTTCAATTGGTCATGTCACATCTCAAGCACTTCTAATTTGATAGAGCCAAGAAAAGTGACAAAAAAAACCCAGTAACATTATGTTTTCTCTTAATAGCTTTGTCTTTTAAAATTAAATACTGAACCCATCTAAGGAATGCCTCACAAGAATTATGACAAAATAAAATGAAGGTGTGTATAGTATTCTTAGCCTGAGATTTAATAAACAGACTTATGGGTTTCCATAAATTATCTGACTCTGTATGCAAAGTTTTTTGTTTCATTTTGTTTTGTTTTTGAGACACAGTCACACTCTGTTGCCCAGGCTGGAGTGCAGTGGCGTGATCTTGGCTCACTGCAACCTCTACCTCCCAGGTTCAAGAGATTTTCCTGCCTCAGCCTCCCAAGTAGCTGGGATTACAGGCGTGCACCATCATGCCCAGCTAATTTTTTTCTTTTTTTCTTTTTTTGGTAGAGATGGGGTTTCGCCATGTTGGCCAGGCTGGTCTCGAACTCCTAGCCTCAAGTGATCTGCTCACCTCAGCCTCCCAAAGTGCTGGGATTACAGGCGTGGGCCACCGCACCCAGCCTGTATGCAAAGTTTTGTGCACATTTTTCTCAGACGAGTGCTCAGGGTTTTAAACATATTCACTAGAATGTTAAGCTTCATGAAGACAGAGATTTCTGTTTTGTTCACGTATATCTCTAAGCCCAGAGAAGAGTATCTGACACAAAGTAGGCACCCGATAAAAACTTACTGAATAAATTAATTCTCAAAAGGATGTATGACACATAATAAGGTTCAGAGCCACTTATCTAAAAGATCTAAAAGAAATTTTCTATTGCCAGCTGTACTTTCACAGACCTAAAAATAATTATTTAAGTAACAACATGTAGGTCTATCTTAACAACCTTTTGAGGTGGGTTCTATTATCTCCCCCACTTGACAAATGAGGAAAAATGTTAAATCACTTGGCTAGAAAGTGGGAAGCTAGGTCTGGAACCCAGCTGGTCTGGCTTCCTAGCTCACCTTCTTAATCCAAATGAACATATTGTAAAAGTGAAAATATTCTCTTATCAGTATTGAGTTGGAGTTATAATTTCTAATATATTTTTTAAAATGCTTTTCTTGTGGCTGGGTGTGGTGGCTCACGCCTGTAATCCCAGTACTTTGGGAGGTCGACATGGGCAGATCACAAGGTGAGGAGATCGAGACCATTCTGGCTAATACGGTGAAACTCCGTCCCTACGAATAATACAAAAAAAAAAAAAAAAAAAATTAGCCGGGCGTGGTGGCAGGTGCCTGTAGTCCCAGCTACTCAGGAGGCTGAGGCAGGAGAATGGCATGAACCCAGGAGGCGGAGCTTGCAGTGAGCCAAGACTGCGCCACTGCACTCCATCCTGGATGACAGAGCAAGGCTCCGTCTCATAAAAAGATAATAATAAAATAAAATAAAATAAAATAAAATAAAATAAAATAAAATAAAATAAAATAGCTTTTCTCTTCTAGACTCTTATAACTAAAATTGGTATGACACAGACTTTGAAAATAAGCTTTCCTTTTTACTCATTTGAACATGCTTGCTTGTATGAAGGCTGCTCAGTGTTTATGAAAAACAGAAATAACTAAAGGCCCTAGTAACATGTAGCCAGAGAAATATATGACACTCTTAAACATAAAACCAAGGTGAGGCCAGGCGTGGTGGCTCATGCCTGTAATCCCAGCACTTTGGGAGGTCGAGGCGGGCAGATCACCTAAGGTCGGGAGTTCGAGACCAGTCTGATCAACGTGGAGAAACCCCATCTCTACTAAAAATACAAAATTAGCCAGCCGTGGTGGCACATGCCTGTAATCCCAGCAACTCAGAAGGCTGAGGCAGGAGAAGCCCTTAAACCTGGGAGGCGGAGGTTGCAGTGGGCCAAGATCGCGCCATTGCACTCCAGCCTGGGCAGTAAGAGTGAAACTCCGTCTCAAAAAAAAAAAAAAAAAAAAAAAAAAAAAAAAAAAAAAAAAAAAAAAACCAAGGTGAATAAAATCACAACATGTGGCTCCTCAAAGAAAAGGCACAGTCGCTGAATGCTGGGGGCATGTATCTTAACCATTTCAGATCCTAAAAAAAAAAAAAAAATTGAGTATTCTTTTCAATGTTCTGAGTTTTTTTCTTCAAGGCTGACCACCAGATAGATATATTTTTAGATCACAATATCCTGGCCTTTCACATAACTACCTTCACTAAGTTGTGGTATTAGCATGTTCTAAGACCCTGTCAAAAAAAAGAAAACAAACAAACAAAAAAAACCCTGCTATTGAAACTTTGTATTTCATGGTGGTGAGGACATCTACCACTTTACTCAGTGTCCCCATCAAAAAACAGTTTCTCCTAAAAAATTATACATATTTTTCCCCATGGAAATGATCCAATGTTCATTTTTGCTTCGGCCTTCAGGAGGCTCGGAATCAAATCTGCAGCTCAATCTTACATAATACAGGACCTCATAGCCTGTATATCAGTAATAGGAATTATAGTATATTTGTATCAAACAAATTAAAGCCTCTCAAAGTCAATTACATAGTCAAATCAGTAAGAATTATAGAAATAGGTATCGATTGGTGGGCTCACTTAACACTGACAATACAAAAACATCTTCATCTTAATTTAGCTCTGAAGAATGTAATTATATAAAACAAACACATTTTTACTTGTCCCTACATGACTAGCAACACTGCCCTTTAAGTCAGTATTTTCAACTAGGAACCATGGGACCTCTCTGTGCTGTGATGCTGTTCTTCCACACCAGTGCAACAGCAGGGATTTTAGTGGAAGTTGGATTTGTGTGTAGATATTGCTTTGTGTATTTACCCTGGTGATTTGCTCTTGAAGGCAAAAACCATACTTGCAGTAAAACTGCCACTGATTAACAATAACAATTCAAAACCTGGACCAAAAAGAAATAGTAAACTGATCTCTATACATTTAAATACATGACATATTGTTTAGGTATTCAGTAATTAATGCTTTAAAATTTCTACTCCAAAGCTCCAACACATCACACAGAGCAGACTGGAATTAGATACCCATGAACATGGAGGTAACTAAAGGCATTTCAGAATCTGGTCATAATTGTGTGGAGACTGGAGTTGGACTTTTGACAAAGAATGCAGACGATGGACTTTAGGTGCTCTACTTAGATCACAATGCAACCAACAGAACACAAAGTCTAGGGCCAGGCTGTTCTGTCTCTGGGTACTGCCTCTCCCACTTACTAATTTGTGTGACCTTGGGCAAGTCATTTAACTAATCTGAACCTTAACAAACCTATCTATAAAATCTATGCAATGGTCCCTGCCTCACAGTTTATGAGAAGCAAATGAAATACTGCATGGAAAGCTGGTGGCTTAAGGCCTGGTATATCAGCGGTAGCTCTTTCTCAACAGACTTGAGATTTATGATGCTGGCATATTTCCCACCTTGGGAGAGAAGCCAAGGGACAAAATCTGTATTTGGCAAGTTTTCCTGTTTGGGACTTAGTGCCCTGTCGGGGATCTGCAATTAGACAGTATACAGTTCAGAAATCTCCTGAATGTTATGAACATCACATTTAAACCAAATGAAATTATAAAGAAATCAGGTGGCAGAAAAACTGATACTTGAAACATAAGTGATACAATAAGAGTATTTTGTTTTTTAGCCTATGAACCATACTAATGAAAACACTGTAGAGCTCAATATTAAATACCTTTGCTGATTATCTTTTTTCTTCCAAAATCATTTCTCAGAAGCAAAAATCCATCTAGGTTTCTCTATTATCGTTGTCTAATTTAGTAAGGAGTTCATCCATTTCAAGAAAAATAATATAAACATTCCAAATGACTCTACTCCCTTTACTCTTTTCCCCTCCAAACAACTTACTCCAAACACACAAAACAACAACAACAACAACAACAAAAAACACCATATGCTGTAATCATTGAACTGTCACAGAACCTTTACTACACCAGACTCAATAAGCTGGCTCTAGAAATGTTTGCCAAATAAGCTCCTTTAACATATACTTTAGAATTATATTAGCTGAATGATTATATAAGTATTATGTTCAATCTATACCACACGTTGAAATAGAAAAGCAGATGACTTCCTCAGAAAAGATGGCTCTTTATTTAATGAAATATTTTACTGCTATCACATTGTTTCAATCCAAATATGGCATTATAGTGCCATTCTAAAAATAAATCTAAGTCCCATGTGATATGCAGCCTTTTAGCTATGTTCATTTCCTTTTAGGGCTCAAGTTTCCCACAGGAAAATTATTCAATGTTTGGCAAAACGGTCCCAAATCATGTATAAATAAGACATAAATGCTAACTGCACTGTCAACCTTTTCCTGGTTTGCTATTGTTGATTCTCCTTCACAGCAATCCATCATGGAGAGGCCCAAGAAGCAGGAAATACTCAAGTACTGTTACCTGACAAAAGTGAACACACAAAATATCATTTTGATTTAAGAGGTGGTGATAGTCAAAGGGGGAAGGTAATTTATGGGTGAACTAAGACATAAAATTATTATATGCAAAGTCATATTCCAAACAAATGTTTCTGATAACTGTGATGAACTTCCAAATACTTATTTCATTGTATTATTACCAAGTAAACTGCATATCAAATGCTCTCTTAGTACAGCTTAATACGTACTGTATTGTTTGACTTGTACTATTTGTTTAAAGATTTTGTAAAGCGTTGTATGCTATGGATAAAATCTTCTCAAAATCACCTACTAATAACATGCAACACACAGACACACAGAGGACCAAGTCTCATATTGCTCAAGTTATATTTTTAAATAATCGAATCAATGGATTATTTCCAAGAAAATGCTTATAAATGCTTCAAAATGCTAACAAATACTCAGTTTTACTTTACAAAGTTAGCTTCTCTTCTGAAATAAGTCACAAATCAGAGATTTAAATGTGTCTATTGAGTAGCAAAAATATACAGCAGTTGATTGGGCATGATGGCTCACGCCTGTAATCCTAACACTTTGGGAGGCCAAGATGGACGGATCACCTGAGGTCAGGAGTTCGAGACCAGCCTGGCCAACATGGTGAAACCCCATCTCTACTAAAAATACAAAATTAGCTGGGCGTGGTGATGCACACCTGTAATCCCGGCTTCTCAGGAGGCTAAGGCAGGAGAATCGCTTGAACCTGGGAGGCGGAGGTTCGCAGTGGGCCGAGATCGCGCCATTGCACTCCAGCCTGGGCAGCAAGAGCAAGACTCCGTCTCAAAAAAAAAAAAAAAAAAAAAAAAAAAAAAAAAAAACCCAGCAGCTGTAAAATGGCTAGATATTTTTGCTCTTATAACAATTAACAAATATTAAATGAAAATCTGTGTTTGAATGATACCAGTCATGTAACAGCTCCATCAGTGAACTGCTGCACTGCATTAAGAATTCCGTAAGAGGTCTGCATTCACACCCATATTCAAAGGCTACAGGTATATATTCTGAGGTTTCAACCTTTATTTTAATTTTGAATTTTTATAAAGCTTTTAGGCAAAAATATTTTCTTGAGCTCAACATATAAGAAAAATCATATTGAAGATTTTAATTTTTCTATGGAAGAATCTTAATAAGTATCAAAAAACAATACTTAAAAGCTATCTTATTTTAGAAGTATAAAGCTATAAGTAAACCAGATCTTTTTCTATTAACTAAAAAACTTAAAACTTATCAGCACATAGGAAATAATCCCAAGCAAAGTATATTAGTATCTATGTAGTAATGCCTTAAAGGACTCTCCTAGAATTAAACTTTTTATATTTTCATATTTAAAATTCTTGGAAAACAGCTACTTTAAAAGTTACTAGACAACTTATGATCTTCCATTTTATTTAAGCAAAAACTTTACCCTTCAAACTCACTAGCAGTACAATTATAAATACCAATGAAAGAATTCTAGAAATACCCATTTATTTTTTACCTCCTCGAACAAACATTTCTGAGGTTGTTACTAGTGATCAAGAGAACATTTTGATTAGTACTGAAAGAAAATCTTAACTCGTTTGGCTGAAAGTACCAATGGAAAGACAATTCTTTGATTTTACTTAACACAAACCAAACTCTGAACAGTTGTTTCCTTTTTTTCCAAACCTGCTGAAAACTCCTATTTTCTAAGCACTTGACAAATGTTGAATAACCCTTTGGACTTATTCTAGTGGAATGACTGAGTCTAAAGGAGGTTTAATACCTGGATTCTAGTCCTAGTTCTGCAAATAATTAACTCTGTCACTATTCTGGGTCTCTCTTTCCCTGTTTGTGAAAGTAGGAGTCCAGATTATGTCTGCTAAGGGATCTTCTAAGCTCTGTCACTTAAGGATTCTATATTTATGTCATTCATTTTCTCAGAAGTCTTAAGTCTACCTCCAATTCCTAAATAGAATTAAATCCCTTAGCCATGTATTCCAGACCAGCTATCACTAGTTTATCTTTCTGAATTTATTCTCCCTTATATCTCAACTTAAAACTTCTGCTTCATCCATACTACCCTATTCACAAGACAGCTGTACCAGCTAACATGTACTGAGTGCTTACTGCATGCCAAGCACTACGCTAAGAGCTTTACATGCATTAGCTCATTTAATCTTTACAATACTCACATGAGACAGTGTCATTAGTTAAGACAACTGAGACTTAGAACGATTATGTACTTTGCCCCAGGTCTCACAGCTAGTAAGTGGCAGGGCTAGGATTCAAACCCAGGTCTGTCTGCCTCTCAAGCACATACTTTTGGCCACTACACATTACACAGTCTCCTTATTCCTTAAGTATATAAACAGCCCCCCTTCATCAGGCCTTTTAAGCTTAAAATAGGAGCTGCCAAAATTGTATTTTCTGCATAAGACCAACTCATTTTTAAAGTTTGGTTAAAGTGACCCCTCTTTACCGCTTCAGCCTCAAATTTCCTTTCCACCTCCTGAAGTATTTAAAATTCTTACCGTAAACCCCAATGACTTATTATTCCCTTGATGAAGTACATCCAAGTATTGTATGTGTATCCTAATGTCCGAGATTTGTATAGGACTAACCCTACTGCAAAATGTATTACAAAAGCAGGACAAAATACATAAAACATCAGTTGAAGAACTGGAGCTAACTATCAAGGCAGTACTTAAGGGATTTACCATCCCTGAGAGAAGGAAGCACACCAGGCCACTCCACATTCACCCAAGGCCTTTCCTCTGATGGTATGTGCCAATTTGCAGGACCTGGAAGTCATTGGAAGAATCTGACCTCTGTGTGGCAAAGAAATAATAGCTGAAATCTTTTACTGAGTTCCTACAATGCCCCCAAGTACAATTTTACATACTTTAGATGTGATAGTACCTAATTTTCACAATAATTCTAATGAGGTAGTATTATCCCATTTTGCAGAGTAGAAAACCAAGGGCCAAAGACTCCAAAAATCCATGCTCTTTTCACTACCTTCCTCTTTATCTCAGAGGAAAAAAATGATCCAAGAGTACGAAGTAATCACAGTGACAACTTTAAAAGCCTTACTATTAACATAATATGCAACTGATCTTAAACCAACTCCTATAATACTGCTGTCATCTTCATTCAAAGATGAAGATCCTTCTAACATTCAGACAGATTAAGATTACCTAATTAACTGCCAGAACTAGGATCTACATTTTGTTTTAACTTTATTTCCAGTGTTCTATAGGCTACAATACACATCCTCAGTATTATAAAATGATGTTAATGATATATAATGTTAACAAAACTTAAGTAGGAATGACTTAGATTCCTACGAATACATACCACGAAGAAGGGGAACTTTTATAAATGAAAAAAGGCTTTAGTCTGATTCAGTTCCCCAGAGGCAATAAAGACAAGAGACCCACAAATGGCCTTCTTAAACTTTATTTTTTCGTCTAGCTAAAAATAAATGGCTTTGGCAGTTGAGGTTTCCTCCGTTTTTCTGGAAGAAATTTTCAAAATAAATAATGCTATTTAAATGCTATAACTTTTGTCTTTCTCCCCAAAATATTGCCTTAACAATTCAACTCAGTAAGTATTTGCTGAAAGCTGATAGACAGAATTTAAAACTTTACTTTGAAAATATGATTACTTTTATATTTTGCTCAAAGCTAATTCAGTCGTTTTGTAACAAGCCAACAAATCTTTCATTAAGTAACTACAATCATAATAATTTCTTGTAAAGATAGGTTTTTTAATTTGCAAAGGGCTTTCTCATGTCATATATTGTTTGTTAAATTGTAGATCACTTCATTACAGTCTTTAGTCTGTTGATCCTTTGGGTTCCTTTAATTCTGTCCAGCTGGATACTTTACGAAATCTCATTCAAGGAGGGGGTCTGGGGTGAGGAGAGGAATCAGACTATAGGAATTCTACTCCACCCTGAGCCTAGCCCATCTCTCACACTGCCTTCTAAGGAAATCTATTTAACAGGCACCTCCTTGCCTTTGAACACTACATGGCATTTTGCATTCCTCTCATCATTTCACAATACCATGTCTTGTATTATACTCATGTACCAGCACACATACTCATATACATACACATACACACACACACACACACACACACACACGTACGTGTGTTTTCCTATATTCCTTCCCACGATGTCAAAGAAGGATGCATTCCAGCACCTTCTGTCTTCTCTTGGTAAAAAACAAAATTACAAAATCTGAAAAGTTCCAAACAGACACCTATGGAGGCGTAGTGATACAGCAGACTGGAAACCAAAAAGGTCTTAAAGACCCAAAACTCCATTCCCATAATTGGAAAAGAGGGACAATATTAACTTTGCCTATACTTCTAGGGGGATTAAATGAGACAATTAATAGGAAATGGCTTTGTAAAGAACCATAGGTAAAATAGTGCTATTATGCCCCCATTTACTATTTCAGTAATGTTCTATACCTGGGCCTCCTTCCCGATTTCCCTTTACTTCTGTTAAAATACATCTCTTTTCCTAAATGTGGTCTACACTTTTCATAGAAAATAATACACCTGGCTGGGCGCGGTGGCTCACGCCTGTAATCCTACCACTTTGGGAGGCCGAGATGGGCGGATCACGAGGTCAGAAGATCGAGACCATCCTGGATAACATGGTGAAACCCCGTCTCTACTAAAAATACAAAAAAAAACTAGCCATGCATGGTGGTGGGCGCCTGTAGTCCCAGCTACTCGGGAGGCTGAGGCAGGAGAATGGCCTGAACCCGGGAGGCGGAGCTTGCAGTGAGCCGAGATCGCGCCATTGCACTCCAGCCTGGGTGACTGAGTGAGACTCCGTCTCAAAAAAAAAAAAAAAAAAGAAAATAATACACCTACGTAAGTGAAAAGGTCAAACAGTACAAAGCTTACAATGAAATTCCCTTCACTCTTCATACCCTATTCCTTAGAGGCAACCATTTTCACCTCTCCTTTTTTTAAAGCTGTTTGTTTTTAATTCATACTTCTGAATAAAATGCTTAAGTTGCTATTTTCTGGGTTTTTCCACTTTAGACATCAGTTTCAGAGTTTACACTATGGAAGATGCTACTGTAGCTCTGTTACACCCACCCTCCTTCCCCTCACCCCCCAAACACTTCCCTTCCCCTCACCCTGTCAACAGTGTTGCTATCATTTTTGGCTAAACACCAAACTATACACAGCAACACATAACTGAATCAGAGTATGTCATGATCTTATTTCCTTTCTTCAATTTTCTATTTTTTTCTGAAGTTATTAATTGCCTATCTTTTTCTTTTCCTTGGTTTTCTATGTATCTATCACCAATTCTTCCCCTAAAAATCTCACAAAACTAAATTCTTCTCACCATGGTGAAAATCCCAACTATATTTTCCTAGAGACATACCTCCTAGTGCCTTCTTTGTTCCTGCTCCTATTTAGACTGGCTGCTCTCTAGGTCTCCTGCATAGTTGCTTTCGTAGAGCTTTCCTTCCTGTGGGAATTGTTTTCACCATCCTCCTGTGTCAGAGACCCTGTTTCCTGGATTCTGTATCTCTTTATTTATTTCCTCCCTCATTCTGGAGAAGCATATCCTTCAGTAACTTCCCGAGAAAGTACGTTAAGGCAGGTGAATATTTTGTGATTTTGCAGACCTCAAAATGAGTTTAGTTTACCCTCACACTTGAATGACAGTTTGGGCATAAAATTGTGGGTTGGAAATCACTTCTCCTCAAAATTCTGAAGCTATTACCCATTATCTTCTAGCTTTATTGTGGCAAAAAGTCCTCTGCTACTCAAATCCCTATACTTTGTATGTTTAGACTCCACCATCCATGCCCCACCCCATTCAAGAAGCTTTTAGGAATTTTTATCCCCATTGTTCTGAAATTTTATAACAATTTGCCATCATGTGAATCTTTTTATTACACTGAAATGGGCCTTTTCATTATGAAAACACGTATCTTTCAGCACTGGAAAATTTTCTTGTGATATTTATTAATTTCTTCCTTTCTTTTCCTCTATTCTGTTTCTGAAGATTCTGTTAGTCAGCTATTGGGTTCCCTGATTAAACCTCCGACTGTTTTGCTTTTTCATCTATTTTCTGTCTCTCTGCCTTTTTGTTTCACTATCTGACCTACTTCATTTTCTAGCCTGCTTACTGAAACAAACAAAAAAATTATTATACTTTAAATTGCAAGAGTTCTTTCTTGTTCTCTTCCTATTCATTTTTACTGCACTCTGTTCTCCCCTGCTTTAATGGATACAAAATCTTCTCTGAGAATGTTAGTTACAGTTGGGTTTTTTGGTTGTTTTCTTCAGCAACCTATATTCTTTCTGTTTCTTCTGATTTCTGTCATTTGCTTGATTGTTTTGGGCTCTGTACTTTATGTGAGAACTTTTTCTCAAAAGTGCAATTATCTCTGGCTGTCTGTTAATATTAAAAGTGAAGCAATAAAAAACTGTGAGCTCTGTGTGCATGGGTGGGATGTGTTGATTGATGGGCATCACCTTAAAGTGACCAGGCAGGGAATGTGGCTATTTTGTTTCTGAGCCCTCAAATGTCAGCCCCGAGAATACACTCCTCTCATATCCTGCTTAGAACATTCTGAGAGTGTAGTGTGGTAAGGGGGCTGATTATTTAACACACAGACTTTCTTACAGCAGTCATGTTTGCAACAAAGCACACCTTTAGTTCCATTCTCAGCTATGCCTGGCATCTAGAGTGGTTCAGCTTTTCCAAAGAGTAAATCTCCCACCTTCTGCTGCAATGGTGAAAACCAGTTGCCTGCTTGGGATGGGGATTCAGGTGGGATGGGGATTCAGGTGGGATGGGGAAGAGGAGTAAGGGGTGATGATGTCTAAATATTCCTTATATAAACTTTCTATCAATTACTCTGTTTTTCAGCTTCTATCAATTCTTGTTTTTTAGTCTCTATGCTTATAGGGACATCTTAGCAATCCAATTCCCAAGTAGTTACTGTGGTCAATAGACAAATCAGGCTGTTTCTTTTTGCTCCTCTTCCTCATTTGACTTTAGAAAGCAGCTCTGTTGATTCCGCTGAGTCAGTTACTACTCGTCCACTGAATTTCCATATTCCAAAATTCTGCTGGCATCACTGTCTGTCATCATCTCTGTTCTCCTTCTTTTTATCCATATTATACCTTTGCTATTCTTTATAGTGGAGTTAACAGAAATATGCATATTCAATCTGCTACATTTAGCAGGAGGTCTGTCATGTTTCTAAAGCCTAGGCTTACATAATGGTACAGAACACAAGCTTTAGAGTCAAAGAATTGGATTTGAATCATAACACTTACTATGTATGTAACCTTAGAAGCTTCTTAACCTCTCTAAGCCTATGTTTCCTCACCTATAAAATAGGAAAATTCAAAATAACTACCTGATAGGTTGCTGTGAAAATTAAATGTAGAATATAAGAAAAAATTAAGGCAAGAACATAGGCTTTGGAGTCAGAAGTCCTAGATTTGAATCCCAGATCTTCCACTTATAAGCTGTCTGACTCTGGCACCTCAAAATCTGTTTCATCTGTATAATGGGGTTAATAACAGTCACTAGCTCTTACAGTGTTGGAAGTATTAACATAAAGTTTATAAAATTCTCCTGAAACATAAAGAGTCTCAATTAACATTTATATTATTGCTCATACTTCTTACCCTTAGAATTACACACATACACATGTGCCCACCCCATGGCATGGCTGAGTCAAGTCAAATTCCAACTCCTCTGCAAAAGCAATATGATATACTACAAAAGAGCAACGGATTAGGAAGCATGAAGTCTGGGTATTACCATAAATAGATAACCCAGTGGCCACTGGGCTGGTTTCTCCTCTGCAAAATAACAGAATCAGACCAAATGATTCCTAAGGTCCTTTCCAACTCATCTGCCTCTCCCTGCCTCCTTTGCTAGACATTATCTGACATTAATATCACATCCCTAATTATCTGATGCTATTAATTTTTATAGGTAGTTTCATGTATTTTGCTTTTCTAACTAGGAACTACATGAAAACTAAGATGAGCGGCTCCCTCAAACTAACGTAAAAAACAAAGATGTGTTTTGAATAATAAAAAAATCATAAAACTAGTATGTTTTATGATAAAAGATAGGGCTGGGGATATAAAAAGCACCTTAAAGAGAAAGAATGAGTTGCAGGCTTGCAGACTACTAAGACTTGCAAAGAATCTGACTAAAAGACAAGTAACAGAAGTTAATTGAACTAAAGAAATACCGTAATATGTCAATGAGAAGGTAGGTTAGCCAATAATGGAAGCAGGGATGATTTCACCTTTTACTATGATCTCAATAATGTTCACATTACAGAACCATGTTCTGAGATTCCATTCCCACCAAGCAAGCTTCTGAATACAGTTTGGCTTCCCATAAATATCTGCTAATAGAGAAGACTGCTCTCAATTACCAGCATCTACTTCTTAAACTAATAAAGTGACATGATTTTATACACCAGCATCATATGATTGTACCCCACAAAAAACAGTGCTGTGGGGGTGGCCCACCAGGAAGCCTTGGTACATTCTTCCAGATAAAGTAGAGAACAGTGAGGCTTCCTGGAAGACAGATAATCACAGAATTTTTCCACAAGAAACACCTAAAGACTATATAGTTCTACAAGAAAGGAATGATCCTTCTTTGATCCCTCTCTGAGGCTAGTTATACTACCTGGCACACAGCAGAACTTACTAGATAAGTGCTTCTTGATTGCTTAAACTTTCCCTAAAAGCCACTGCTCTTACATAATACAATTTTCCATACCCTATGGCAGTATCAAGGAAATACTTCTTTCTGGATACATGACCAATAGTGTGGTAAGAAAAGGAAGGAAGAAGGAAAGACAGAGCTAGAAAACTGGGAAAGGCTGAAAGGGAGACAAAAGCAAAACCACATAGGAAGTTTCTTTCATCAAGGCTTTCTATAGTTCCTTTGGCCTTGTGACCAGTTTTACAGAGCTTTATCTGGATCCAGAGCCAAGAAGGTGTGATCCAACTACATATTTCCTAATCCATTCTGTGAAAAACTGGCAATTTGAAAGCACTGCCTGAAGTTCTCTGGGCCGAAGCTACAGAGTTTCCAGAAGCAAAGTTATCTAAGTATATAGAGGACTCACATTACCACATTAATCTCTTGATACCAAAAAGAGATATTATTTATTATTTAAAATCTAGAATAACCTAGACCAAATGGAAGGTTGCTTATGAGGCTCTGGACTACCTTTCAAACA
Organism: Homo sapiens; assembly: GCF_000001405.40. Taxonomy (NCBI): domain Eukaryota; kingdom Metazoa; phylum Chordata; class Mammalia; order Primates; family Hominidae; genus Homo; species Homo sapiens. The sequence continues at coordinate 123,039,501 of NC_000009.12, read as the reverse complement.
TCACTGCCCTATAATACCTTACAGAAGGGAGAAGGCTGGTGTGACTACATGCAATAATTACAGAGTCATTTATTCATTCTATAAAACTTACTAAAACTTCTGCTCTGAGCCAGGTCCTAGGTCAGATTGTGGGGATAAAGATATTAACCAGACAGATAAGAGACACTGTCCCTTGCCTTCAGAGAGTTTGATGACAAGTGAAGGAAGTAAATCAAAGCAATTTTATGTTGAATTCAAGGCTACTGTCATTTTAGGAGGATGAGCATTTATTTTGCTTCTCTTCTCAAGTCTGGGATTGCTAAGTAGCACAGAGTAGTGGTGTAGCATTGAGCTTCAAAGATCAAAGTGTGGGGGAACACATCATGATGTATGGCTTCCTTACATGTAGAAGAATGGCAGATACAAATAACAGTAATGATTTTTATTTGCAAAGCACTTTACAATTTACAAAGTACTTTCACATCTATTATCTAACGCAAGCCCCAAACTAACCCTATGAGGTATGAAGGGATCAATATTTCCTTCTAGGAGAAATTAAGCATTTAGAGAAGTGACTTGCCCTCATTTACAAAACTACTTAATTAGAAACAGAAGCCTACATTTTTTTATTCTCAGTTCCAACTTCATTTTTACTATATGATGCCCTTTTGTCATGCAAATTTTGAAGAAAGGCCAAATGACTCGTTTACAGCCATAAGAAATGTCTACAATATTTCCAAGGTCTGCAACATAATATTAATAATATATAAATTTAATATAAATACTTAATATTTTTTTCTTCAACCTGAAATGAAAAAAATTACACAAAAGTCAACACACAAAATGATTTATGAGGACTTCAAAAAATCTCAATGCCACAGTTTTCCCATTCTTAAATTTCCCAAAATTTGCTCATGTAACAATACATTTTGGCTTGCTGGTAATTTCACCAACAACTATGAAACAAAAACATACTCAGTGAAATTAAAACAATTCCTATACCAAGTCAACATGCAGATTTTTCAAACAAACCTGAAAAGCTGAGGAAACCCTCCTAGAAACCACTCCACCATCTGGGCCATCTGGGAGTCTAACCCTGCTGCTTCATTTTCAAGTTCAAGGAGGTGGGCAATGCATTTACGGTAAAAAAAAATTCAAGTTTTCCCAATCCTTAAAATACTGAGACCATTATTCAAGTAAAAAGTAAAAGCCATTATAAAAGGCTTGAAAAGAATTTATCCAGCAATAAAGCTTAAAGAAAACCTTTTCCAAAATGGAATTTTGAGTAAGAGTCAATAGGCCCGTGAAAAAAACGCAAATATCCAATCTAGTGTCAGGATAATGCTCTCACTAAAGTTGAGCACACTAGTCCATTTGTAATTGCTTTTCTACTCTAAGAAGGGGGAAAAAACCACTTTCACTGAAATCACTGCATTAAAAAATACAACTAGTTTACAAATATAACATCAGTATAATCCTACTTTAAAATTTACTATGAAATAATTTCAACATAATCACCAAAAGTATATGTTTCCTCTGATACCAGTCACATGCCATATAAAGTTAAATGAGCTATCCCGCCAACGCCATGGTAACTGAATCTAAAAATACATTTTTTTTGAAGTCAGACTGGTATTTAAACTAAATGTCATCAAATGTTGCATTAAATATGCCAGGATGAAAAGTTCAGTTAAACATGAACTTTCCAAATATATCACACAGAAAACACCCCCAGCCACTAAAGGGGACACTACTGTGTCCAGGAGCATCTCCTCTCTCCCAACACATACACACACAACAAAATAAGATCAAACCTGCTGATTTAATATCAATTTTTCAACAAAAATTAAGTGTTTAAAATTGCCATATTTTCTAAACTAAAAATTCATAAGCAAACTGCAAATGTGAACAGGTTACATTCTCTAACATGTATGAAAAAAGGTAAATTTTGGTTTTTTAGATCTGTACCACTTAAAGGGAAAATGTATACAATACAACCATTTTTCAGAATCTAACAGAAAAGGTTTCCCATTTGAAATGGCAATTTAACCAAGCCATTTCTAACATAACTTGCAATTTCAGTATGAGTTCTAAATTTTGAAGCAGCTTAGAATAAAATTTGCTAACACTAAACATAAAGAGCAAGCAAGGTTTTGGGAAAAACCCAGAATCTGAAGTTTGAATGTTTATGTAATGCTTAGTCACTTAAAATAAAAAAGTTTAAATAGAACACAACTGAGGTTAAAATCAAGTTGATGTCTAAAGCCTAAAATCATAAGAACACTGGCATCATGATGGAAAACCAAAGCTTATCTGCCTGCTTTATAAATATCCATGTCCTTTCTTGGATTCAGAAATCCACTTTAACCCATGTCCCCTGGGTTTCTTCCATCTTCCATCTCACTGAACACCACTGTCGCATTCAGATTACAACCTCTAGCCAAAGGCAGAGATCAAGTAAGTCCCTTGAAGACTTCCAGAACATTTCCAGAACAGCAGAAAAGTAGAGGAAATACTCTCGTGCCTGGAGCTGCCGGAATTCCTTCTCTCCTTTTAGAAAAATAAACCTCTTGCTCTAAAGATAATCACTTTTAAGAACAAACATCACTACTACATACAAACACACATAACTCTCAATAATAATTCTATAGAAGAATTATAAAATCCTATAGGTTTTTCTAGTACTTTGGCAGGAAAAAAAAAAAAGACCATTAAGAACTGTATGCCAAAGGATTTTTTTTCCAGAGAGAAAATAGCAATAAGAGACTTAAGTGTTTTCCCTTCTCCTCTTCAAATGTGGATTCCTTAGCACTAACTGAAAGAATACTTTTCAAAAATAACTAGTTGATTCCATTTAACCACAAAGAAAATGTCTCAACTACCTTGTATTTTAAAAAAACAATCTGTATACTACGGTATACTTTCTGACTCAGTTGCTTATGACCGACACCCTTCTCCCTGATGTTCTAATATTTCAGAAGTCTTTGAATAGAAAGAACAGACAATATTAAAGACACATTTTTGTATATAGTCACCATTATAAAATGGACAGCCAACAGCCTATCACTGAATTACTTTTTAGCTTAAGCACATTTTGCTGTAAAAGAGAAATCTAACAATTCAGATATTCTAAATATAGACATAACACAAAGGCATGGGCAAAAGTACTACACGATTACTTCTACGCACACATATCTTTAGATCTCTGTGAAGCATGGCACAAAAAGTAGCTCAGTTTTTCATAAATTGTATAATTTGATTGCACTTTTGCTTCATGGTTCACTGTAAAATTCTAAAATTAATGTTTATGTGTTCACATTATTCACCCTACTGAGAATTCTCTCAAGAGAATAAAACACAGAACATTTGGCTTTCTAAATGACAGTGTTGAAACTTGCAGTGTAGTTATGCTTTGGCATACATAAAAAGTAATTTCTAAAACCTTTTCATTTATATTTTACTATTCCGTTAGAAGAAATCAATTGCATATGAAGCCCAAATAGCTGGAAAGAGCCCAGAAAGTGACAAGAAAGTGATGACTTTTTAAAATGCTGACGCTTTTCACACTCAGGTTCAGTCATGCCAGCTGGAAAGAGGTGTTAGATATGGCTTTATTCATTTTAAATCTGAGAACTGTAGTCATTTCCAAGACATTTCAAAAATTGAGAGCAAGAGCAATTTGTCTTCATGATCTTGAGTCTTCTAATTCACAAGCACTTTTGAAAACCATTTCTACAAACTTAGAAGGTATCCATACGAATAATTTGTATGCTATTGTTTAGAGTCAAAGTATTCTGTCCCAGATTTCCTAGTGAATTAGGAATACTTAGAGATAAAATACACACACACACACACACACACACACACACACACACACACACACGGGAACCCCGTAACTGAGCCACTTCAGATATGACATCCATTAAGAGGGCCTTTGCTTCTAACTGTGTAAGGGTCGTTGGCTGTAGTCTGACTTGCACAAGAAGTACACATAGCCCCTGAGAGGCGCTTTAGTCCTCTTTGGAATACACTGTTGGAGAGACTATAAATTACACAGTTGCAGAAACTGTTACTAATAGCAAGCCAGGTGGTCAAGAAGGATGCGAAGCGGTTGCTGTGGCCAGTGGAGCTTTCCAACAAGAAGTAGATGATATATGGCAACCAGAGGATGTAAAATACACTAGTGATTCGAAACAGGACCATGGCATAGCGCTTATCAGGACAGGCCTGCACTTCCCCAGTCTCCCCACTCTGGCTGCTGAAGCGGGCTTGCCTTTCGCTGATATCCTTTGTGTGCTGTTGGCAGATGCGGAAGATGTTGAAATAGGTGAAGCAGACAATAAGGGCTGCTGGGGCATATAACATCATCACGATGAACAGGGTGAAGTAGGAGTCGGTGTGCCAGGACTCCGCACACCACTGAAACACATCTCCATGATATCCAGGTTTGCCCCAGTGGAAAAAGGAAGGCAGGAAGACCAGGGTCGAGTATAGCCAAATCAGGAAAATACACAGGCGTAGTCTCCAGGGTGTAACCAGAGTATTATAGGTTAAAGGTTTAGTAATGGCAATGTATCTATCAATGCTGATACAGGCCAGAGAAGCCATGGAGACGCTCTTCAGAACTGATACTACAAAACCAAATATCTGGCAAGTCAAGGACTCCTCTACTGGAAGGGGGTGATGGAGGAGTGATAAAGAAGGGACCACGCAGCTCACCCCAACAAAAAGGTCAGCATATGCCATAGTCTGGATAAAATAACTTGTAGTGTGATGGTTCAACAAAGGTGCACAGTGAAATACAAAAATCACAATGATGTTGCCAGAAATAATCAATACAGTTAGAAAGACAATAATCAATACTTCCAAAAGGCAAAAATTGACAGTTTCCAAATAGCCAAATGCCAAGAGGCAAAAAGGGTGGCTGCTCTGATTACCATCCAAGGTGGAGTTCATCTTGAGCTCAGGAGTGATCTGTCACTTCATGCTGCCGCTTGGCTGCTGCCAACAGTTCAAAGAAGCAGCTGCTGTCATTGCGGTCAGCTTTGCATGTGTGTAATAATGCCAGAGGAGCCTTACTCCCCAAGCTCCTGATGCTGCTGCTCTGGTGCATTGCCTGCAGTGCAATTCCCCTTTAAATCCTTCCTGGAATAAGGAGAGCCAGCAGCAGTTGTCTGGCCAGTCCCAGACGCGGCCATAGTGCCAGGTTCACCATACACATAGCACCAGGGGAGCAAGGTAAACTCTGGGGAGAACGTCTTCAGGCCAAGTGAGGGTAGGGGGAAAGGGTAGAAGAGAAGGGAAGAAGATTAGGAGCTTCAGCAGGAGTTGTAATGAGTCTCCTCTGAACAGCTGATAGAAGAAAAGGAGAGAGCATTTTACATTTCACATCCAATGCCCTAATCAAAGAACCTGGCTAGCTCAGGCTGGCATCATCCCTCCCGCTCCACCCCTACTGGCACCACTATTCACGGCTACCCTCAATAGCACCCCACACAACTGATCTGTACTGTATAGAGGAGCAGCAGCAACATCAAGCTTTCAAGATCAGCATAAAACAAAACCAATCACAGTCAGATTAATTTACCCCCATTTCCTTTCATTTGAGACGGGGGAGAAAAGGAATTTGCTTATAATATTTAGGAAAACCTTTCACTACAATTACCACTAATAAAATTAGCCAAGATAATTTACTTTCTTCATTGATTCCAATATAATATTTTGCCTCTTTGAAAACATTTCAACAGAATTTACTGTTTAGTTCAATTTCAGAATGTTACCTGTAATTCTGCATGCTGCAATCCAAACAAAAGCCACAATACATCCTTAGCAGAAAGCCTTGCAAAGCAGGAATGTGCTTCAACCCGCGTACTGCAGAACTAAGACACGGAGGGAGGAGATAAAGGAGTAGGAGGGGAAACAGGGAGAAGAGGGGGCTTGGGAAAAGGAAGAAAGGGGGAGGGGAAAGAAAAAGCCTGTACGTGCACACACTCTGGCATCTTTAGCAACTAATTGGAATTCATCGTCAGAGAGGTGCCCCGATTTCCAGACTGCACAGTGTGGGAATGGCTTGCTATGCCTGCAGTGCACCATTTGAAGGCTGTTTCCTCGTCTGTCTGGAATCCCCCTTTTAGTAGATAAGCAGAATTCAGGGTGCTAGCAAGGAGAAGGGGTAGTAACAGAACAGGGTGTCAGGAATTAGACTGAAACACACTACCAGAGGGGTAATTTCTATTTTCTCACGGCATTTTCCCAAAGAACAAAGAGCAATATTAAAGAAAGGAAGTATGTTAACTTCCTTTAAGTGTATGGCGTATGGCAACTGAGAATCATAATTCAGCTGCACAAGAAGTTCTAGCTAGAAGGCTATTCACCATTAATTTTGTCTCTCATGATTCACTGAATATTGGCCAAGAAACTTTAAGATCACTTTTTCAAGAGAAAAATAAAGTATCTCCCATTCTGAATACTACACAAATAGCACAGATAAATTACACTGTTCCCATATTTGACACTACGCTATAATTTTGAGATGCATTTCTTGCTTCTAATTTGCTGAGCAGTAAACAAGAATACAAACAGAAGATAGAAAAGTAAATGTACCTTCTTCTACTCAGGCATGGATATTACAGGAAGTTTCATGGTACAAATAAGCCTTTGTATCTTAGAATATACAATCTTGCTTCTGCCTATTTAAAACAATGCAAACTGTATCATATTATATTGTGGTTTTCCTGGTAATGTCATAAATGATGACAATTTTCAGCTAACAGAGTTGGGTGCTATGAAAATGTGTAATTTTAGTATCTTTATTTAGAAGGATTAATTGAAAGTATCCAGCAGAATAAAAGACAATAAACAAATGCCGGCATTTGAAAGCATTCCAAGAGGTAGGCAACTGAGTAAAAACATGTGATCCAACTTTCATTTTTATTCATTTTATACACATGCTTTCTAATTACAGACAAATGGCCACCCATAATCAGAATGCGATGAATTACATTTTAAATCTGAAGCAGCAGCAGTTGTCTGGCCAGTCCCAGACGCGGCCATAGCCCCAAAATAAAAAACCTATTTAACCGTAATCCTGATAGTAATATTTGACAGGTCTTATTGGGAAACAGAGCGAAGTGTGTGGCACAGTAAAAAGACCAATAGCATCGAAGGAACAATAATCAGGTTCAAATTCTTGCTCTAATATTACTTATCCTCTCTTAAGCCTCTGTTTCATCATCTGTAAAATGAGAACAACACTCCTTACTTCACAGGGTTGTTGAGAAATAAAGTATATAAAAAAGGCTTACCAACACCTAGCACAGAGGGGGTATATAACTTTACTCACTTTCTGCTCCTACAACTAAAGTAGCCTTCCTTAAGAGCCAGTGTTTTCCTGCCCATCATGTTGAAATGCTTAAGGCTGGGCTCCTCTGAATCCTGAAGGGCCTGCTCTTACTGAGGCTATACAGTTCTAGGTCATACAACAGCTATCTGAATACAGTGCTGTCACACATTACTCAAATACATTGAGGCTATGCATATACAAAGCACTGAAGGTAGCTGAAAAGAAGGAATGATGACATGGCGTCAATTATTCCCTCAACATAAATAATTTCTCTGCCTAGGTCTCCAGCCCTGACTTCACTCCTAAGCTCCCTTTTCCATCTACAATTTGCCTGCTAGTCACACATTTTCCACCAGTAGATGGAAGATGTCCTGTAGATGTCCTGTAGAGATTTCAACCACAGCATGTCTAAAATCAAAAACCTTTTTCCCACCAAATAAGCCTCTGTATTTTTCCAACATTTTCCCAGGCACTCCGGTATGAAACTTAGGAATCAATCACCTTGACCACTCTCTCCCTCAAAGCACTTAGTTCTGAGTCACCAAGTCCTGAAAATGTATTTCCACAATAGTTCTCAAATGCATTTCCTCCTTTCAATTTTTAATACACTTACCATAGAAGATGATTACCACCTAAACTTACAGTTTTGTTCATTTTTCTAATTTTTTCTTTTCTGTCTGGTTAAATATCCAAAATGTACATTTTATTATTGTACCCCATTGTTCAAGAGTCAATGGCTCCTTTACTGCCTTTCTAGTCTGATCTCAACTGTTTTACTTCCCCCAAATAACCTGCCCTCCAGCCAAATCAGATTACTTCTATACACTTGCCATAGACTTTATTTTTAAACCATATTTACTGAGCACCTTAATAAATACGGAATAAAGGAGTGATTTTTGAGAGTTACTGCTGTATTTCAATAAACAGAAAAAGTGTTCACCAAAGTCAAAAGTCTAGGCTTTTCTACTACTACTTGTGAATTTGGGCATGAAACTTATTCTCTCTGTGGTTTCCCATGTATAAAACAAGACAGTTACGCTGATAAAAACAGACAATACAATGGCTGAAAATTTGAAAGAATTCAAAATTTATAAAATTGCAACAAAACTACAAGCTGTTACATTACTGCCATTAGTACAGTAACAGTTCTTTCAACTTTGTTTCTATTTTAGTGAAACCACTCTAGGAGCTAAAATCAAAATATTCATTTAAGAAACTTTAAAAAAAAAAGACTAATAGCCACATTTAACTGAATCAATCAGGAATTAAATGTTTTGCTTTGGATTAAAGAAAAACATTTTCTTCAAAAGACACAATTTATTAACAACTTGGGGAGGCTCTATAAATTTGTATCCTTACAGAAATCCACATGTACATTTGGTCTTTAACCATAACATAGACTCATTCTAGTGTTCCATACCACTCTAGGAAGACTATAGTTAATACTATGTAGTTTCAAATAGCTAGAAGGAGGTTACTGAATGTTCCCAACACAGAGAAATGATAAATGTTGATAAATGTTAGAGATGATGGGTATGTGCACAATTACCATGATCTGATCAGTATATACTATATGTATCAAAACATCCTTATATACCTCATAAGTATGTATGTTATATGCTGATTAAAAAATACAATAAAAAATAAAATAATGCAGTCTCATGATATATTCTCTCTATATTTACTTTGAAGGCTGAGTAACTTTCTATATATATATGACTAAAAGGAAATACATTAAAAATCAACACTATTATTGGATGGTGGGATAACATTCATTAAAAAATCTTTCTTCTTTATAGCTTTCTATATTTTCTGAATTTTCCAATTTCTATATACTCTCAGAACCATATTGATTTAGCAAGATAGAATGATGCTGGGTTGAAGTTGTCTACTTCATGGGGCTCTGTTCCACTTGTTCTTATGCCATCAGAGCAACATTCCTTCAGACAGTCTTTGGTACTCAATCTAACTCAAAATGGACTCCCAAAATGTCAGTTAAAACCTCTTACAGAACAAGAATATAATTACGAACTTACCGATACTTAACCATTTCATTGCTAGCTAAATACTTTCTGACCTGCAAACACGCCAATTTCTATATGGTTCAACCTAATGAAATTAAAACAACTTTAAAAGCCAAAATAATTAAAATAACAAAATGACAGGCTTAAAAAGAAAAGCAGAACGAGAAATGAAATGTAACAAAAAAAGGAAAAGACCTGTTCAAATTATATTTCTTTTTCTCCCAACCTATTCAGAGACTTAACTACTTGTAGATGATAAATTATCTCAGTTCTTCAAATTCCTAAGCTTCACCTCTGGGCATTAGTGTCAACTACCACTTATTATTTGGTAAAAATGAGCTTCACTTTTTGTCTGACATCTTAGCAAGGCTGCAGTGTTCGCCACTGCTCTCCGAGCTTCACGATGCCACCCAAGGACTACAAGAAGAAGACAGACACTGGAAAGTCAGCCAAGAAAGACAAAGACCCAGTGAACAAACCCGGGGGCAAGGCCAAAAAGAAGAAATGGTCCAAAGGCAAAGTTAGGGACAAGCTCAATACCTTGTCTTGTTTGACAAAGCTACATATGACAAACTCTGTAAGGAAGTTCCCAACTATAAACTTATAACTCCAGTTGTGGTCTCTAAGAGACTGAAGATTTGAGGTTCCCTGGCCAGGGCAGCCCTTCTGGAGCTCCTTAGTAAAGGACTTATCAAACTGGTTTCAAAGCACAGAGCTCAAGTAATTTACACCAGAAATACCAAGGGCAGAGATGCTCCAGCTGCTGGTGAAGATGCATGAACAGGTCCAAGCAACTCTACATTTGGAAAAATAAAACTTTATTAAGTAAAAAAAAAAAATGAGCTTTAAACATTGATTAATTAACATATTATTTTAGTGCAGCTGATGTGAGTTTATTTATGTAACTGTCATTCCAAAAATGATTTGAGATACTTTGACTCATCTTTTATTCCTCCCTCGCCCTCATCTCCCACATTCATTCAGTCATCAAGTGAGTGCCAAGGACTCTACCTCTGAAATCCTCTTAAATAGCATCTTTTTCCCCATCCCTTTGCCACTACACCCCAATCCAAGTTGAAATTATCTCTTGCCTGAATTATTAACGGGTCTCGCTGCAATTATTCTTACTCCATGCTAGCCCAAGTAACAGAGTGATCTTTCTAAGCCTGATAATACAGATAATAAGCAAAAAATATATATAATATTAAGTTATTTACACTTAGTATGGACTATGGATTATACTAAGAATTTTCACACATTAATTCTAACAACTCTACAACTATTATTATTCCATTTTACAGATAAGGAAACCAAAGCGTATGAATGTTAAATTGCCCAATTTCAATGGCTAGAATACAGCAGAACTAGGATCTGAATTAAGACAATTTGCCTTTAGATGGAAACCACTTTGCATACTGCCTTATAAACCGGAATATATAACCTGCCTGCTTAAAATGCTTCATTCGCTTCTGTTGCCCAAAACCTTAAATATGCCTTCTGAAGCTTTCAAAGATCTGTTCCCTATCTACCACCTCTCTGGTCTTACCTCCATTCACACTCTATGGAACTGCCTTGAGTACACGCTGTTCTCTCTGACTTTTAAGACCACATCTGTTATGCAGCACCCTATCCCACCCCAACTATCCAACCCCTGGCTAATTTCTGAGCAAGAGACCTTTTAGAACACTTAGGTGAGAAATCCTTCATGTCATATGCAGTACAGCAGTATATATTTTTTCTTCTACAACTCCCATGCAACTTTATGATTGTTTATAGTTAACTGTCTATTTCCTTCATTAGACTGCAGACTTCCTGAAACCAGTGAACAAGTTTATTTTATTTATGGGCATATCCATGAGGCCTACCACAGGGTTGGCACAGGGTAGGCATTCAAAAGGTATTTTTTATTGAATAAACAATGAATGTCCAATGAAACAAAAGGCAATTCTGCTTCTAAGTTGAAAGATCTTTCAAGTAAAACCCCAGCATGGTAACTGTTTAACTCACCTATAATTATTAGGTCGAGGCATATGAAATTGCCTATTTGTGGGTCAAAAACTGTCAAATAGCAATTTTAACATGGACAAACCAAATATGTTTCCAGTCTTATAATTCAGGAAACCTTTAGAACTCCCAGCAAGTATGACTTACATAAACTCACACAAAGGAAAATAACTTCACAGGGATAAGATATAGGGCTTAAAATTATGTTCACAAGTAATAATTTAGAGGGACCTACTGTAGCAATTGCTGTATGACAGCAGACAATACAGTTCTAACATCCACCAGCCACTATTTTCATGTAGGACAAGGCAGCAAGAGTGCTCAGTTGTGAAAAAATGGAATTATGGCCTATTTTGGAGGGCAGGACTCAAACACACTGTCTGATTTTCCAGAATGTCAAAGCTTAAGGAAAAATCAACAGACTACCTCAGCTACCTCAGTTCAGAGAAGAGGAAATGAAGCGGCAGAACTGAAACTAGTACCCAGGCTTCCTCCTCCATGGCCAACATTCTTTTTTGCTAAATCGATCTCCTTTTATTGTTGGGTATCCACAGGCATATGCTTATGATTAAATATTATTCAATAATACAAACCTACCAGACAGAAGTTGTTAATTAAAAAGCAAAACAATCTGCGTAGTAATAACATAATAATTGAATACATTATTTTTTCCAGACTAGCAAAATGTGGCTGGGCCTCCAGGGATTCCTTTCAACAATTAGAAATGTAAATATTGGTTGGCAGGGCACGGTGGCTCACGCCTGTAATCCCAGCACTTTGGAAGGCCAAGCTGGGGGGATCACAAGGTCAAGAGATCGAGGCCATCCTGGCCAACATGGTGAAACCCCATCTCTACTAAAAATACAAAAATTAGCTGGGCATGGTGGCACATGCCTGTAGTCCCAGCTACTCGGGAGGCTGTGACAGGAGAATCACTGAACCTGGGAGGCGGAAGTTCCAGTGAGCCAAGATCGTGCCACTGCACTCCAGCCTGGCAACAGAGCGAGAGAGCGAGAGTCCGTCTCAAAAAAAAAAAAAAAAAAAGAAAAGAAAGAAAGAAATGTAAATATTGGTTATTTGAGCTTGCTACTAGTTTGCTTCTGGATAAAAGCTTGCTAAAGATTCTTATCACTGAAGTTGAAACTAGAGAAAATGATGCAGATAAGTTTAAGAAAAGATAAGCAAGGCCAAGTGGATGGAAGGAAAGAAAAACATCAGAATAGGTTGCTATTTCATTATTCTCTCGTTATTAAAATGATCTACTGAAGAAGTAGTTTGCTGTAAATTTTTGCTACTAAGCACTGAATTATAAGAAGCTAAGCCACCAACACAAAAGGTAAAAAATAACCATCAGAAAGAAGGGACAGAAGAGGATTCTGGAAGCCGGGAACAAGAAAGTGCCTTTGTTTCCCCTTCATTTTCAACTCCAACTTATTTGATTCACAAGATCCAAACAGCTGTAAGAATTACAGGCAACTGGAGGTAAGAGAAGCCATGAGAGTCTCTGTGGATTACTTATTAAGCTTTCTTCCCTCTGAGTCTGACAAGTTCTACCTAGAGGCCAGGGTTGAGGAGCTCTTAATCAAACACCAGAAGACAAAGACTACCAGGGGTGCTTGGTCTATAAAAATTTATTCCATGAAGCCAAGGGTAGTAGTTCAATATAAGAAGTCTATCACATGTTGATAGATTATGTAACTTATTCCATTAACAAATTAAAGAAAATCAGTAATAGTCCTGAAAAAGCTGATAAAATTCAGTAACATTCCTAATAAAAAATCCAAAGCAGGGATAGAAGGAAACCACTTAAATTAAACACAATTTATTATTATTTTAAGTCTCACTCTGTCACCTGGGCTGAAGTGCAGTGGCACTATTTTGGCTCACTGCAACCTCTGCCTCCGGGGTTCAAGCGATTCTCCTGCCTCAGGCTCCCGAGTAGCTGTGATTATAGGTGCCCACCACCACGGCCGGCTAATTCTTGTATTTTTAGTAGAGACAGGATTTTGCCATGTTCCCCAGGCTGGTCTCAAACTCCTGACCTCAGGTAATCCACCAGCCTCGGTCTTCGAAAGTGCTGGGATTACAGGCGTGAGCCACTGCGCCCGGCCAAAAACAAACTGTTTACCAAAAAAAAAAAAAAAAAAGAATATGTTTTCCAAAAGATTGAAAAACTAAAACCATTTTAATTAAATTCAGGAATTAGATGGGGGTGCTAGTTATCACCATCATCATTTAACATTGTCTTAATGCTTCTATAAAATATAAAGACGAAACCAAGAAAATGTAGTAGGCTGCATAAACATTGTAAAAGAGGTAAAACCGTTTTTACTGCTGATATTATTACACACCTGAAAATCTCAAAAGATGACGATATAAAGTTAGGACAATTAATCAAAATATTAAGAGGCAAATAGAAAAAATGTAAAAATCACTCTCTTTTTCCCTATTGTAGCAGTTAGCACCTACAAATGGAAACTGACAAAACTATTCCATTTGCTGTAGTGTGAACATGCTAAGTTAATTCTTAGGAACCAATTTAACAATAAAGCTACAAGATCCCTATGAAGGCAATTCAGAATTCTTGAAGGCAAAAAAAAAAAAAAAAAGAAAAGAAAGATCTGAACAAATAAAAAGACATACTGCATTCTCACATGTTAAACTTATACCTTCAACTGGTATGTAAATTAAATGCAATTCAAATAACAATCTCCACATAACCTTATAGGGTGATGGTGGTAGTGAGATTGGATAAAAGATTTTAAGGTTTTTATGGCAGATTAAATTTGCAGAATAGTCAAGTAAGGTATGAGATAGAAAACAAAGATTTGCTTTCACAGCTATCAGAAATAATACAAAGCCTTTTTAATCAAAACAGTGTGGGGACAGGAATATGCAAACAAATAATACAAAGAACAATCTAGAAATCAATCCCAGCATATATGAGAATTTAAAATATGACAAAGATGGTAGTTCTACTGAGTAGGAAAATAGGAGTAGCACAACTGGTTATCCATCTGGAAGAAAGTAAAATCGAACTGCTTTCTCATGCCACATACAAAAATAAATTCCAGATGGATTAAAGACATAAAAATTAACACACAGAATAAAAATCTTGCAAGAAAATGTTGGAAACCACATTTACAAAATATAGAGACAGAAGAGGTCTTAACCAAGACACAATTTTCTACATAAAAACTGCAAATGTCTTGTATGGCATAAAACCATAAATAAAATCATTAAAAAATATATTTATAATGCATATGAAAAGGATCAGTAAACATAATATATGGAGAGTGTTTAGAAACTGTTATCTTAAAAAGACTTCATAGATAAATGTACAAAGAACATAAATAGAAGAGCAAATCATTCAAATTTACTGGTAGCCAGAGAATTGCAAACTAAAGATATGCTAGGCCACATGCAGTGGCTCATGCCTGTAATCCCAGAACTTTGGGAGGCCGAGGTGGGAGGATCACGAGGTCGGGAGTTCGAGACCAGCCTAACCAACATGGTGAAACTTAGTATCTACTAAAAATACAAAAATTAGCCAGGCACGGTGGCATGCGCCTGTAATCCCAGCTACTCAGGAGGCTAAGGCAGGAGAATCGTTTGAACCCGGGAGGCGGAGGTTGCAGTGAGCTGAGATCGTGCCACTGTACTCCAGCCTGGGCGACAGACAGAGCAAGACTCTGTCTCAAAAAAAAAAAAAAAAGATATGCTGGCATCACTTACATCCACTGATAGTAAAAATTAAATATAACAACTAATACTGGTTGGGATATGGGGCAGCAGGTACTTTGCTGGTACAACTATATGCAACTACATTGCTGGTGGAACTGTGAATTGTCACATCCAAGTGCGCTGCACAGTATCTGACACATACTTAGTGCTAAAAAAGGTAGCTATTACTATTGTTCTATTATTTCCCTTCTGGATCCCTACTGAAATTTAAAAACCTAAAAAATTTTCACTTTAAAAAGCAAAACGGGAAGAAGAAACTAACTCCATTGCTTATTGAAATAAGAAACACCTTTAAAAGCATACTATGTATTTTATGTTACTGAAAGGTCATTTGTCCTTGGGTTAAAATGGTATATTGAAAATTTCCCACATGTACCCCATACAAGACAGGCTTGACAACTAATGCAAGATGATGACAAAGACATTAATCAGTTTTGTTTGCCAGGTTAATTTTTTTGATCTTCACTCTATAAATCAAGTCACTCTTTCCTGCTCTAGTCTTTGAAGAAGCTAAGCAAAAAAAAAATCTCAAAGTAATATTATATGTAAAATTTCAGAACACAACGCATATATCTGGCAAAGAAGCCATGTTCAGAATAAATACTTTATAGAAATTAGTGGTGTGTATATATATATACACAAATATTGTCTAAATAAGTATAATATGTACAAATCCTGCTGTGTGCAAGAATGTTTATAGCAGTTTTATTCATAATAGCTAAAACTGGAAAAAAACAAACATTTGTAATAGCCGAATATATTTTTAAAGTGTAATTTATTCATATAATGGAATACTCTAAACAATTTTTTAAAAAGACAACAAAAAACAAGCTACTGATACACTCTCAAAATAGATGAACGAAAGAAGTGAGATACAAATGAGCACGTGCTGTGTGACTGTATAAATGCATTTAAATTAAATTCAAGGATGGGTGTGGTGGCTCACGTCTGTAATCCTAGCACTTTGGGAGGCCAGGGAGGGGAGGGATCACCTGAGGTCAGGAGTTCGAGACGAGCCTAGCCAACATGGGGATACCCTGTCTCTACTAAAAATACAAAAATTAGGCAGGCTTGGTGGCGTGTGCCTGTAATCCCAGCTACTTGGGAGGCTGATGCAGGAGAATCGCTTTAATCCAGGAGGCAGAGGTTGCAGTGAGCTGAGATCATGCCACTGCACTCCAGCCTCGGTGACAGGGCAAGACTCCATCTCCAAAACAGAAAAAATTCAAGAACAATCAAAACTAACCTAAGGAGAGAAAAGCCAGAATAATGATTACTCAGGGGTGTAGTAAGGGTATTTATGACTAGAAAGGTACATGAGTAACTTTTGGGGGTTATGGATATGTTCTTGCTCTTGATAGTGGTCACCGCAGTGTATTTATATGTAAAATGTCATGGAGCTATGCACTTTTAAAAAAGTAACTTATATGCAAACTTTGACAGCTCAGCTGGTAGAGTAGACTGTAAAAAGTACCTTACTCCCCCCAAAAACATTTCAGAGTAAGTTAAAAGATGTCAATTACCATTCCCACACAATGATAACTCTTAATTCCAGGAAGACAGAAAAGAAAAGCAATACCAACTTACGTTAGCTATCACTGACATTTTTTTAAATTCACAAATATTATGGTGGTTAAATAATTTCTATTTTCTGATCATCTACTAGCAATTTAAATTAATATATATTCATTAAAAAATTTGGGGGGCCGGGCGCGGTGGCTCACACTTGTAATCCCAGCACTTTGGGAGGTCGAGGCGGGCGGATCATGAGGTCAGGAGTTCGAGACCAGCCTGGCCAATATGGTGAAACCCCATCTCTACTAAAAATTAAAAAATTAGCTGGGAGTGGTGGCAGGTGCCTGTAATCCCACCTACTCAGGGGGCTGCGGCAGGAGAATCGCTTAAACCCAGGAGGCAGAGGTTGCAGTGAGCCGAGATCGTACCACTGCACTGCACTCTAGCCAGGGTGACAGAGCTAGACTCCGTCTCAAAAAGAAAAACAAAATTGTAAGTTTAATGTGAAATATAAAGTACACATCACCAGTATATACAAATCAATCAAATGTTTCATATTTTGTTAATAGTCTTTCTTTTACATATCATATAACTACCAGGTTCCTTTTCTATCAACAGACGTCACCACTTTCAAGGAACCAGAAAAACAGAATCCATTCAGTTACAGACACTTCATGTCTTATGAATAGTCTTACCAAAATATTTCGTTTAAAGCAATAAGCTCTTAAGAATCATTTTTGACCAAACATTTCAAAGGACTTCAAAAAAAATAAGTAGTGTTACAAATCCAAAATATGATTTGCCAACAAAAGAAAATAAAAACTAGGTGTATCTCTGCTAGATATACATGTTATATAACCTTATTCTTCAGTGGCTCTGTTCATACTATGAGTACAATGCTGTACCCATCTTTCTATACCTGGAATTCATCTCAAATGTTATATTCCTGATAAAGACTCCTCTGTTCTCCCAGATAGAACTGTTAACTTCTTTTGATGGCTCCCACTGTGCTTTTTCAGACACATTCTATCATAAGACAGCTACTTGCTTTTGTGTTTAACCTCCCAGCTCCAACACTGTGGTTGTAACAGTTACTCAACGATAAATACTAGCTAAACAATTATATCAACTTAATGGAAGGAATCAGAATACTTATTGAAACAAAAAAAATCTGTCTGGATATAGGATGATGGGAAAGAACATTAATATTCTGAAGACATAAAAGTCATTTTCTGGTGAAGGTCCTATCTCATGTTTGAATGCTGTTTTTCCAGGCCAGGTGAGGCAGCTCACACCTGTAATTCCAGCACTTTGGGAGGCCAAGACAGTTGGATTGCTTGAGGCCAGGAATTCAAGACCAGTCTGGCCAAAATGGAGAAACCCTACTCTCTACTAAAATTACAAAAATTAGGCATGGTGGTGCGCACCTGTAATCCCAGCTTCTTGGGAGATGGAGGCACAACAATTGCTTAAAGCCGGGAGGCAGAGGTTGCGGTGAGCCTAGATCATGCCACTGCACTCCAGCCTGGGCAAGACTCTATTTCAAAAAAAAAAAAAAAAAAAGCCTGCTCTTCCCTTATAAGGTTTTTTTTTTTTTTTTAAATAACAGCTTTACAGAGAGATATCATTCATAATTTATAAGGTTTTAACTTTTTTTCTTTTTTAAGACAAAGTTTTACCTTCTGTCACATTGAAAAATCTCCTATATTCTTGAAGATTCTGAGCAATACATTCACGACCCAGGTTTGGGATTTGCATACTATTGGAGAAACTGCTTCCTGAAGATAAACACTTCAAGAATTTGAGAAAATTAAAACTAAAACCGAAAACATGAACACAAAGGCACAAAACATTGCCTAACATTGCAGAAAATTACTTTAAATCCTGATATGCTTGTAGAAGAAATAGTTTTTCTTGTTTTGCTTGCAAAACTTTGAGGAATGCATGAACTTCAGAAGGGGAACACCATACAAATGAGATTTTTTTCACTTTAGAGGAATGAGCTAAAAGAGAATATGGTTTAGATTAAAGAATTATTTTCTTACAGTTGCAGAAGAATTAAGAAGAACTAAGCCTTTCCTACCAAGAGCACATTTCTGTAAAATGTGAGAAGTATTAAAATAATCAAAAGAAAATTTTTACACATTGCATAGCACAAGTTGTTTGACTAAAAATGTTATTTACACTCAAAAAAGAATCTGGATATACAATGGGCTAGAAGACACCTTTGGTCTCTGAGGTGATATGAATCAAGGAGAAAAAACTATGACTTCTTCGTGCAACAGAAAAAACATGTTAGAGCTGGAAGTATTAACAGTTCTATTCTTAAATAAATTAATAATAAACACTTCTTATAAGTCAAATAACTATAATGATCTTTTCATCACAAATCTCTAAAAGGATTAATGCTGAAGCTGAATTATCACCCCCTTACCTTTGTGATAAGAATGCGGTATTTCTCTACCAGGTGGTCATTGTTATGACAGCCTGCTAGCAGCTGCCAGACTTCTCCTCGAAGAGCTTCAGGGACACCGTTTCTTACTAAGGATGACAACTGCTTCGGTCTCACATTCAAGTTGAGATGCCTAAAAATAAGGCCATAAACCATAAATCATAAAAGGAAGATAAGATTCTCTAAAGAATGTTACTTTTATCAAAGTCAATTTAAATGGCTTACAAATACGTGACAAGGTAACAAAGTAATAAAGGGAAAAAAAAGTGCTTCTGAATTAGATGAGGCCAAGATAACTAAGAGAGATTGGGTGGAAGAAAATAAAAATCCACATAGATTCTGCAAAAGGCTTCTTAAGTATTTTTAAATTATTTCTCTACTTTAAAAAAAAAAAAAAAAAAAAGCAAAACTGGAAATCACAGATGAAGCTCTATGGCTATGGTTTATATAAAAAAGATGGCCGGGCGCGGTGGCTCACGCCTGTAATCCCAGCACTTTGGGAGGCCGAGGTGGGTATATCACCTGAGGTCAGGAGTTCAAGAGCAGCCTGGGCGCCATGGTGAAACCCCATCTAAATACAAAAAATTAGCCCATCATGGTGGCGCATGCCTGTAATTCCAGCTATTCAAGAGACTGAGGCAGAAGAACTGCTTGAACCAGGAGGTGGAGGTTGCAGTAAGCCAAGATTGCACCACCGCACTCCAGCCTGGGTGACAGAGCGAGACTGTCTCAAAACAAACAAACAAACAAACAAAAAAAGAGCAAAATTCCAATCAGTGGACATATAATAAATGACAAGAACCTAGCTCTACATCAAACTGACAAGTGGTCAGCAGGGCATGGTGACTCATGTAGTTCCACTGCTTTGAGAGGCCAAGGTGGGAAGATTTCTTGAACCCAGGAGTTCTGGACCAGCCTAGGTAATATAGCAAGAACCCCGTGTCTACAGAAAAATAAAAATAAGCTGGCATGATGGTTATATTCCTAGCTACTTGGGAGGCTGAGGCAAGAAGATCGCTTGAGCCTAGGAGTTCAAGGCTGCAGTGAGAGACCGCACCACTGCACTCCAGCCTGGGTGACAGAGACAGACTTTGTCTAGAAAAAAAAAATTGACAAGAATATTGTATATTTATATGTTCTAAGTTAAAATAAAATATCTCAAGTATGTTTCCAACAGTTTTTATGATGCTTTCCTTCAAATAACTTTTCTGAATGTTTATGGTGGCTAATAACATTTCCACTGAACTACTATATCACTACAAGTTATCGAAATCTTTGGACTTCATTTATGTCACCTATAAAATGGGGAAAATTAAACTAGCCTTGAAATGTTGGTATAAATGTACAATGTGCTTCTGCATACAGTATCTTATTTGACCTTCAGAACAACCATCTGAGGTAGATGGTAGTACCTCTAGTTTTACAGATGCAGAAAAAATTTCAGGGAAGTCAATTAAATGACTGAGGTAGTCCTCAAATTCTTAAGACTAATGAATGCTCTGTTATAGAGCAGCTGGTTTGTGACTTGAGAGCCACCATTACTGAGTCAATAAAACAGGATCCTGACATTAAGAAGATGCTGTGGCTATCAGACGTAAGCAGAAGTTACTGATACAAAATAACCACTATCAAATTATAAAAAGGCCTGTGATTTTTCTCAAAATGTTCACAGAATCCTATAAGAATTCTGCACAGCACATTTAAAAGTGATTTATTCTGTGACACTGGTGCCCTAATGCAAGTGCTATGGACAGTTCAATAGTTTTCTCCTTGTTTAGATAAAAACATTATGTAAAAGTTGAAAAGTTATGAGCAGAAAGAACAGACATAGTTCTGCTGCTAACCCAATCCCTGGTATGCTATAGCCTGTGGGCCACACTGGGCCTAACTATCACCTGTTCTCATAAATAAACTTTTACTGAAACACAGTCATGCTTATTTGTCTAAGTATTGTGTATGATAGCTTCTGCATTACAATAGTAGAACTGAGTAGCTGTGACAGACTATTAGCCTGCAAAACCTAAAATATTTATTATTTGGCTCTTTACAGACAAAGCCTGCTAACCTTACTAGCTTAATTTACATTGATAAAATTACTTTCAGAATAATTTCATCTCATTGATAATATTAACTTTATCCAACTTAGCAACCTATTTTATACTGACATTAGTTCTCTTATCCATTAACAGTCATATTAAAATGAACTTGTCACGAGGTCAGGAGATCAGGACCATCCTGGCTAACACGGTGAAACCCTGTCTCTACTAAAAATACAAAAAATTAGCCGGACGAGGTGGCGGGCACCTGTAGTCCCAGCTACTCAGGAGGCTGAGGCAGGAGAATGGCATGAACCCCGGGGGGCAGAGCCTGCAGTGAGCCGAGATCGCGCCACTGCACTCCAGCCTGGGCGACAGCGAGACTCCGTCTCAAAAAACAAACAAAAAAAATGAACTTGGAGAATTAGAGCTCAAAGATACTATTAATACTACCACTAAAATCTAATATAGAGTTAAATAAACCAGCCTTGGGATCAGCCGTGACTGTGTTAAAAATTCTGGTTGTGACATTTACTAACTAGAATGCCTTAACCTATGCACCAGTCTCATCTGTAAAAAACAAATACTTTATAAGGTTGTTAGAGTTGACACAGAGCACATAACAGCACAGTGCCTAAAATATGGTAAATTCATTAGTTCTATGTTACTATAACTACAACCATGGCATCCATTATTTTTAATCTATAATAATTACAAATGGTAATTTTATAGACTTCTATTTTCTAAATGAAGAAACAGACTCAAAAGAGTTAAGTGACTTGTCTAAGACCACACAGCTTAAAAGTAGGAGAGGTAGAATTTGAAACCAGGTCTACCAGGCTTTAAAATTCCATTATTACAATGCTTCTTACCCATAGAACACATATCCATAGAACACAAATAATAATGAGAAAAAATAATGATGTAATGAACTAAAGAAGAGACACTATTATATCTGAAGACATGACTAAAGCAAGCAAAAATAGTTTAAATACCCTGAAAGATGGCAGACACAGATGGAAACTCAATAAATACATTTGAGGGAATAGGAAGACATGTTAATTAAATGAATAACAAAGCTTGATAACAAAACGAATTCCAAGTTGTATAAGATGCTGATGGGTTCGTGTAATAAAATCTAACTAGAGTCTTAATGCTATATCTACATGATTTTAAATATATTATGTAACCATGTCAAAACTCAATTATGTTTCTGTTTTAGAGCAGAAACCTTTTTATACAGATAAAATTCCTGCCAGCAGCATCCCAAACACTCCAAACTCAATGAACTGAAAATATTATTGTGACAAGAGCACCAGAAGTTTTGTCTCCTGATGTAAAGAAATACCAAAAATATAAGAAAACTATTACTCTGGTTTTTTTGCAGAGTTCATTTATTAAAACAACTTGTGTAAAGACAAATCGTGCTTTGGTTTGCTTTTTTCTCCTGTACACATTTGACATTTTCCAGTGTGGAGAGTGTTTTGTCAAAAGTGTAAAGCATTGTGAGAGTAATATAAAAGCAGATAATGCCCATTTGTAGTCCTATCCCTTAAGGGCATGACACAATGCTTTAAAATTCTGAGACACAGCTTTATTCTAACAATGCAGTGAAATACTTCAACAGTTAAAATGTCTGAGAAAAATCAAACCCCAAAGTAACAGGCCAATAGGGAGTTTATTTGACAACCCTAGTAACCAGAATGTCAGAAATAGAGAAGTGTTCAGATCACTTCCAAGCTCAGCTTTTTTCAGCATATACTGGCATCCTATTCAAGGAGAAAAGGAAACTGCATAAATGTCTCACCAACCTGACTTACCAGAATATCTGTGGTCATGTTAAATACCTAAAGGCAATGTATTCTTTTTGTTTGGTATTTTTTCTTTTTTGTTTTTTGGAGAAAGGGTCTCAACTCTGTCACCCAGGCTGGAGTGCAGTGGTGCAATCAAGGCTCACTGCAGCCTCAAACTCCTATGCTCAAGCGATCCTCCTGCCTCAGCCTCCAGAGTAGCTGGAACCACAGGTGTGCGTCACCACGCCCAGTTAACTTTTTCAATTTTTGTAGAGATGGGGTTTCACCAAGTTGTCCAGGCTGGTCTTGAATTCCTGGGCTCAAGCAATCCTCCTGCCTTGACCTCCCAAAATGCTGAGATTACAGGCATGAACCACTACACCCATCCTGAAGGCAATGTATTCTTTTTAGATAGCCTATAGGATAGTGCTTCTTAACACTGCTGTCAAACCATCTCTTGAGCTGATGAGAAATTCCTAAAATTTGTAAGTGTTAGTAGGAATTTTATAAGAGATAGTAATCGATAGAGCAGGTAATATATACCATGCTTATGACACTTTGCTCTGTCATTCTAGATACTTATCACAGATAAGGGAAAAATCCTACCTGGGGTCTCTACCATGGCTCTATGCATTGTGTGAACACCCTCTAAACTGACTGTTGTGTATTATCTGAACCACTCAGTGGTTCCTAACCTCTTCAACATAAAAGATACTTTTCTTATTTATTCTGTACATGAATTCCACATTTGGATAAATATTTTCTCCAGCAATGAGAATTTATTAGGTTCCTGATATTCTGAAAATTGATTTCAATTCTCTACTTTTACTCATATAAATCCCTAAAATAGATCACAGAATGCAAACATTGCGCTTAGGTTTCTACTACTGGTTCCAAAATTGATTATAGTTAGGTAAGATTCTCTACCCATAAAATGAAAATTGCAGATAAAAAAAACTATTCTATCATAACTTACCATTTTGACAACAGTTCTCCCCATGTTTCAAGAATTTTTTCTGCACATTCTTTGGATACATCACCAGATCCACTCAGGAGAGGTTCATCATTATCTATAATAAACAAAACACACAAAAACGGTAACAGAGATGGCTATGCTAGCCAGAAGAACACTGGAATGTTAAGAGTCAAATTTGAAAGACTTTACTGGGAGCATAAAGTCATAATTTCTCTCTTTTAGTATTTATGGATAGGTACAAAGAAAATAAAAATAGTTCTAGGTAAAATGCTGTAACCTCTTTAATTCTCTTTTGTTTTCCACATAGGTCCATAATTATGTCAATTGCAAAAAAAAAAAAAAAAAAAGGAGCTATTTAATTATAAAACTATAGGATTCAAAATATGGTATTTTCTCTCATTTTCCAAAGCAAACAGCTTTATGCATGAAAATATATGTCTTATTTAAAACACTTAAAAAATTTCAAACTACCTAACTGTCCAACAATAGGAGTAGAGAATGGTTGAAGAAATTATAATATATGTATATAATGCAATTGCATGTTGACATTTATGTTTATATAATAATGATATGGTTTGGCTCTGTGTCCCCACCCAAATCTCATCTTGAATTGTAGTTCCCATAATCCCACGTGTCATGGGAAGGACCCGAAGGGAGGTAACTGAATCATGGGGGCGGTTTCCCCCATGCTGTTCTCATGACAGTGAGTTCTCATGAGATCTGATGGTTTTATAAGCATCTGGCATTTCCCCTGCTGGCACTCATTCTTCTCTTTCCTGCTGCCATGTGAAGAAGGACATGTTTGCTTCCCCTTCTGCCATGATTCTAAGTTTCCTGAGGTCTCCCCAGCCCTGCAGAACTGTGAATTAATTAAGCCTCTTTTCTTTATAAATTTTGCAGTGAGCCAAGATCGCACCACAGAACTCCAGCATGGGCAACAGACCAAGACTCCGTCTCAAAAAAAAAAAAAAAAAAAAATTAAACCTCTTTTCTTTATAAATTACTCAGTCTCGGTCGGGTATGTCTTTATTAGCAGTATGAGAACAGACTAATACAAATGATACGGCAAAATACGGTATAAAATGAAAATACAAAGAGCTTAATATTCATTATGATCTAATCTATGTTATAAAATAGAAAACAGATAGGTATAAACTATACCAAACACTAACAATTGCTCCCTCTGAGTGATGAAGTTATGATTGGTATTTTTCTCTGCTCTTTTATGTTTTTATGACTTTCTAAATTTTCTAAAATGGGAAATATTAATTTATAAAAGAAAACACAAACATACTTTAAAAGGCCAAATTAAATCGTTTCTAATTTAATTCAATTAAGGAAAGTAAATTCAAGTCAGAAGTTAGAGATTATAAGATATGAAGACAGTGAAATAAGTGGCACTGATCAAGGCATGAGAGGAACTAAAAAGCATAATAAAAGCAGAGAATAAACATGGACTAAGATATCTACTTAATCCTCTTGCTTGACACTCAGAGAGTTTTTAACTTTTTGCTACAAACGGAATCAGGATGAATATATCTCATTGCTTTCATCGGGTTTATGTCCAGAAACTGACTTTCTCAGTTTTAAAAAGAATGCATATTTTTAAGAATACTGAAAATTTCCGACAAACTGACTTCCAAAATGTTCTACCAATTTACAGTTCCACTAACTGGGTTACAACAGTACTTGTTTCCATGGATCTTTACCAATGCTCTTTCTAGATTTTGTTTGTTTTTATTTTTTAGCTTAACTTGCCTAAACAAAGTTTGGATCTTTACACCTCTAATGACTACATGTTGAATCTGCATCTCCAACAGAGACAGCAATCATCTGAAAGCACTAATTTTAAAGACTCAGAAATCTGTGATACTTCTTATTGAACGTTTTTATATTATAATGCTTTGGACATTATCATCAGTTTTGCTGGTGAGACACAGAAGATGATAGAATGTGAGAGATCTTCTATATATGGATGAATAAGGTAAAGAAGAGAAAAGGCTAGGCCCGGCACGGTGGCTCACACCTGTAATCCCAGCACTTTGGGAGGCCAAAGTGGGTGGATCATCTGAGGTCAGGAGTTCGAGACAAGCCTTGGCCAACCTGGTGAAACCCCATCTCTACTAAAACATACAAAAATTAGCTAGGTGTGGTGTGGGCACCTGTAATCCCAGCTACTCAGGAGGCTGAGGCAGGAGAATCACTTGAACCCAGGAGGCGGAGGGTGCAGTGAGCCGAAATTGTGCCATTGTACTCCTGTCTGGGTGACACAGCGAGACTCCATCTCAAAAAAAAAAAGAAAGGCTCAAGGGCACTAAGGTAAATGTCCCCAGCTTCACTACCTTGCAAGACTGGCCCTACTTTCTAATCTCTCAAGTAATTTTCTATTTATTAAAACACCAATATACCAAATACAACTCTTTGGGGAAAGGTGGCTATGAAAAATGTACTAAAATTTAGAAGGGATGGTAATTTCTTCAAAAATATTAGAAAAACTTTTCTTACAAAATTCTCTTTCACATTTTGGATACTTTCAATAAATCTGGGTAGTAGTAGTTTAAAATCTGTGTTAAGAACCCATCTGCCTAAGGTGGGGTAGGACAAGCATCTCAGTTTCAGAATGATGCTTCTAAACATGTCCCCTTTATAATTTCTGGGTTTCTGCCAAATGTCTTATGGGTAAGAAGCCTCTCGAGAGAAATGTAATCATTTCTTCCCTGGAAGCAAACAATCACAGCAGGAATGGTTTCTCTGGTTTGTACACTGCGTTAGGGAGAATTAAAAGATAGCATGGCTACACAGTTTTCTTTAGTCCCAGTTCTCCTGTTATTAACTCTTCACTATAAAAATGAATTCTAGGGGGTTACCCATACTGCCAATATTTACTGAGCACCAACTACATATCAGATGTTGTGGTATACGCTAGGGAACAACATGAGGCAAAAGCAGACACTCTTTTCCTTCACAGAGCTTATGTTCTAGTGTTCCATGATTTCCCCCAAGGGGTACACACTGCCATTAGTCCTTATCTCTCCCTAGTTAAGAACTATCAGTAGAGGCCTTCTGAACCCCCTAAAATTTTATTTTTAAAAAAGGTATGTCTGCTATAAATTAAAACTTGATGCCAGTCCTGAGGAACCTTTAGTCGGGCCCAGATTTCTTTGTAACCAGCAGATATTCCTCAAAATCTATGGTATGAAGATTTGAGCATTCTCTGGTTTCATAATAGTGTCTTTCTCAATTTTTGTGTTTGTTTTGTTTTATTTTTATCGCTGAGTGTTAAGAGAGGAAAGTTATGTAAACTTTTACCCACTCTGTCATCTTAACCAGTGTTGACCTAGAAGAGAAACTGCAAACCTCAATCAAGACTGTTACACAACAGACAATTTCAAACAGTGGGAACAATCCACCTTTCCCAGATATAACATATGACTTAAATTGGCTCTCCAGGGGGACTCTGAATTGCATCTCTGACATCAAAAACAATACATATGCTTTTTCCATACTTCAAAATGCTTTATGTGAACTAAATGCAAGAGATGATGATAGACTACAGCTATGACTGTGGATTCACAGACCTAGATCCAAATCCTGACTCTGCCAATTTCTAGCTGTGTAACCTTGGGCAAATTCACTTTTCTGAGATTCCATTTCTTTTTGTTGTTGTTGTTGTTGTTGTTGAGACAGAGTTTTGCTCTTGTTGCCCAGGCTGGAGTGCAAATGGCGCAGCCTTGGCTCACTGCAACCTCCACCTCCTGGGTACAATCAACTCTCCTGCCTCAGCCTCCCAAGTAGCTAGGATTACAGGCATGCGCCATCACACCCAGCTAATTTTTTTGTATTTAGTAGAGACAGGGTTTCACCATGTTGGCCAGACTAGTCTCGAACTCCTGACTTCAAGTGATCCTCCCACCTCAGCCTCCCATGCTGGGATTACAGCCATGAGCCACCGTGCCTGGCCAGATTCCATTTATGTGCAAAGTTAGGTTAACAATAAATCCTATTTTTCAGGATTATTATGAGGATTATATTAAGCACAGTAATTAGTGGCCATTAGTATTACTAATAAATGATGCTAAATTGATTAATCATAAGGGCAATGGGAGTTATAGCAAACAGTAGGTATTGGAAACTCAGTGCTCACTCTAAACATGAAGAAAGTCAGTGCTCACTCTAAACTTGAAGAAAGTACATGGATACGTTTCATTTAACCAAATCAATCATTCTTGCCATCCCCATGCTTTTGTTAATGCAACTTCTTAACTAGAAATTCCAAGGAACTCCACTGATGACTACTAGATTCTCCTTGCACTTAAAAGTCCCAACTGAAAAACTACTCTTTATGATGCCCCACAACATTCCCCACAATGAAAACCGAATTCTCCTCTATGAATTTCCAGAACATTTCCTGTGAGCTTCACATATAGATGCATGGCTCACATGATCTTATATTGTAATCAGGTTTTCTTCCATTAAATTCGAAGCCCTGGTAGTAAGTTAGAAATTAGAAAACGACTCTCATTCATGTTTCCTGTGGCTCCCTTCCTTCATGCCTCATTAAAAGGTAATTATATCTTTTAATAGAGAATGACAGATTAATTCAATAGATTTAGCCAGAAAAAAAAAAAAGAAACAAAGAACCAGTGGATTCTTAACGTTTATCAGTGTAAAACATAGTAATATATAAACGTATATATTTATAAATATATTTGGTAAAAAGGGTCATGTGTGCAAGCCACATTTTGGCACAGTGAATTTGTTCCTGCAAAATGAATGTGTTGAGATAGGAACATTTCTTTAGGTGTAAGCTGTGTCAAACTTGTTCTAAAAAAAAATGTGCTAATATACCAAGCTAGCACTACACTGATTGTTTAAAAGGAGCTAATTATAAATCTCATTTTTCCAACTGGGTTACAAGTATCTTAAAGAAAACTCAATGTTAATCATTTTTAAATCTCCCACAGCTACTTACATATAGTAAACTCTCATAAGGAATTCATTAAATGAATTATAAATGCCGTATCACATTATCAATCCCCTGATACGATTTTAATAGTTTGCATGGTCTTCCACCCCCAAAAATAAATTAAGCTATCCCTACAGTTTACCTTCCTCTTCATCATCTTCTGGAGGAGAAGGTATCACTGAACTTTGCGATCCAGACTGTGGCAGGCGAACTGAAGGACTGGCTGTAGTTTTCCTCCTCTCTCTTTCTGATTCACTTTCCAAGCATACAACTTCATATAAAGTGTCAGTATTATTCTTTCTCTCCCTTTGCTTTATCTTGAAGATGAAAAAATATTATTTATTAAGCAGTAAAGTTCTTTATGTTTTTAATTAATTGCAGTGTTTTTAATGTTTTTAATTGCAGTGATCTCGGCTCACTGCAATCACTTCTGATTTCATACAGGATGTGAAAATAAATGATGTTTTTTTGAGTATCTACATTAGAAGTAACTTTTTAAAACAGAAAAGCATATGTTTAGATCTTAAAATTCTTAGGAAAATTGGGCATTTACTAAGCAGTACTCTAGTTCTGCTTCAAACCATATTGGTTTGTCTTCAAACCATATTGTCAAGTATCCAACTACCAATGTTTAACCAGTGTCAACTAAAGAGCTAACAGTTCTGTATCTCCCAAATTAGTGAAGGCATCCTTCAAGGTTTCCTATATAAAACTACACAGAAAAAGTGTTTTAAATTACTCTAAAACATAAACTTCAAGACTAAGAAAATTCTTACTTCTAATAATGTTCCAGTGTTTTATCCCCACTCCTTTTGCTTAAAACAGTGTAGAGAACTTTTTCTTCAACTGAAAGCTACAACTTGGAGTTGGGGTGGGGTCAGGGGGAGGTGAATGGCAGAGAACACATCAACAGTAACCACAAAAATGTTGATTACTCCAACTGATTGTATTTTAGTTTTATTTTGAGGCAAACATATAATTTAAACTGACCTAAATTAAAAATTTAAACCAGGAATATAAAACTTTACACTACAATACACATTATAAGTACATTAACATTCCATATTACATGTAAGTAAGTATACTAACATTCTTCCTTCCATATAAGGAAGGTAGCATGAAATATAGGGAAGAATAAAAAGGGAGAGCTATAGGAAAAGGTACAGAGAAAACTAGAAAGGTGGCTATACAAAAATATATATATACACACATACCAAAGTAAAAACACAGAAAGGGAGATGGGGGAATAAGATGTTCATGAGCTATAGAAATATCAGCCAGAGCAGATTTTTATCATTGCAATGTTCATTTGGGTTCTTAAAATAAATTAACCCTATCATGGAAGTAAGGCCACGATAGTGGCAACATGCTCTTTCAATATCATCTTGAAGCACTGTTTAATACAGAAGTCAGTAAACTTTTCTGTAAAGAGCCAAATAGTAAACATTTTAGGCTATATGGGCCAGTTGTCTCTATTACAACTACACAACTCTGCTGTTATAGTGCAAAAGCAGCCAGGCAATAAATGAGTGAGTTTGGCTGTGTTCCAATAGAACTTTATTTACAAAAACAAGTGACAGGCCAGGTTTGACCTACAGGCCTGTCTGTCAACTTTGGTTTAACATGTCCACCCAAGGATTACTTAATTTTCTAGATGAATATGCCATTTTGACTTAGCTACTTACTATTAATTAAGGACTCAGACTCTGAAGTTACATGTTAACCTATAGATTTGTGTCCAGGAGATATGCAAATGATTTCTGTCCAAGAGAAAATATAACCCAAAAGTTACCTAAAGGACATTAACCAGTTTTATTTCTAATCTAGTAATCTTTTTGTAACATTCTTTTTTTTGAAAGGAAGGACCATGTAAATCCAAGTTCCACAAGTACTCAGAGTTTTGCTACCTTTCTGGTTCTCTCATTAATTAATACACTGAATTAGAATATTTGATACATGTTCATTCTAAATTGATAATTATGATTTTTAACTCTTGAAAATTATACTTTAATAAGAAAGAGAATTTAAAATTTTTGTTTTGTTATAAATTGCTCTTTGAAACATCAGACAATTGGTATCCTAAACAGTTCAAAGATCAGCAATAGCTCTTTTTTTTTTTTTTTTTTGAGATGGAGTCTCCCTCTGTCGCCAGGGCTGGAGTGCAATGGCATGATCTCGGCTCACTGCAACCTCTGCTTCCTGGGTTCAAGCGATTCTCCTGTCTCAGCCTCCCGAATAGCTGGGATTACAGGAGCCCGCCACTATGCCCAGCTAATTTTTTGTATTTTTAGTGGAGACGGGGTTTCACCATGTTGGCCAGGCTGGTCTCACGATTTACCTGCCTTGGCCTCCCAAAGTGTTGGGATTACAGACATGAGCCACCGTGCCCGGCCAGCAATAGCTCTTTATCTTAAAAATAAACAAACCAACGTGGTCCACTTAGAAACTCTTCTGTATGTCATAATGACCAAAGGACACGCTGCCTTTTGAAGTCAGATAAATACAGTCAATTACTGGACCAAACTTGTAAGCCAAGGACTCTAACTATGAAAAATGTTAATTGTTGAAGCTGGGTAATAGTACATGGGGATTCGTTATACTATTTTACAATTTCTGCATATGTTTGAATTTTCCATAGTAAAAAGCTTTTTGAATTATATATGTTAAATATAAAACTTTTATATATTAAATTATACATATAATTTAAACATAGGTTTTAAATTATATATAAAATTTAAACATAGGTTTTAAATTATATATAAAATTTAAACAGGTTTTTAAATTAGATATATTATATTTATGAAATATATGTTATAAACATATAAAATAATTAAAAGCAGTCAGATGAGACAAAAAAGGGTAGACTTGAATAAATGGAAAGACATCCCATGTTCCTGGATAAGATGACTCAACATCATAAAGATGTCAATTTTCCCCAATAAAAACATCAGCAGTGGCCAGGCATGATGGCTCATGCCTGTAATCCCAATACTTTGGGAGGTTGCGCATTTTGGGAGACTAAGGTGGGCAGATCACCTGAGCCCAGGTGTTTGAGATCAGCCTGAGCAACAAAGGCAAAAGCCCATCTCTTTCTTAAAAAAAAAAAAAAAAAAAAAATACAAAAACTTAGCCAGGTGTGGTGGTGCGCATCTGTGGTCCCAGCTACTCAGGAGGCTGAGACAGGAGGATCACTTGGGCCCGGGAGGCAGAGGCTGCAGTGAGCTGAGATCGTTCCACTGTACTCCAGCCTATGTAATAGAGCAAGACTCTGTCTTGGAAAAAAAAAAAAAAAAAAAAGCCAGGCTCAGTAGCTCACGCCTATAATCCCAGCAATTTGGGAGGCCTAGGCAAGTAGATTACTTGAGGCCAGGAGTTCAAGACTAGCCTGGCCAACATGATGAAAGCCCATCTGTACTAAAAATACAAAAAATTAGCTGGGCCTGGCAGCACATGCCTGTAATCCCAGCTACTCTGGAGGCTGAGGCAGGAGAATCACTTGAACCTGGGAGGTGGAGGTTGCAGTGAGCCAGGATCATGCCACTGCACTCCATAGTGAGACTCTGTCTAAAAAAAATAAAAAATAAACCCACAAACAAATGAAAAACACCAGTAGTTTTTTTTTTCCAGAGCTACACAAGTTGAACATAAAGTTTATATGAAAAATAAACAAGTAAAAAAATCCAGGAAAACCCACAAAAAGGAGTATTTGAGGAGGGAAGGTAGACCTACCAGATATAAAAACATATTATAAAGTCTACACATTGTCAGGTGCAGTGGCTCACGCCTGTAATCCCAGTAGTTTAGGAGGCTGAGGCGGGTGGATCACCTGAGGTCAGGAGTTCGAGACTACCCTAACCAACATGGTAAAACCTCGTCTCTATTTAAAATGCAAAAAATTAGCCAGGCGTGGTGGTGCAACCCTGTAATCCCAGCTACTCGGGAAGCTGAGGTGGGAGAATTGCTTGAACCAGGGAGGTGGAGGCTGCAGTGAGCCAAGATCGCACCATTGCACTCTAGCCTGGGTTGACAGAGTGAGACCCCATCTCAAAATAAATAAATAAATAAAAATAAAGTCTACATAATTACAACCGTGTGATTCTAATGCAAGACCAGAGGAACAGAATATAAATACCAGAAAGAGGTTCAAACACACAGGGAAATTTCATATATGATAAGTGTAGCATTTCAAATCACTGGGTAGAAAAGTTAATAGTTTTTAATGAATGGTGTTGGGACAAGAGAATAGCCATTTGGAAAAAGATTAAATCAAATCCACACTTTACGCTATATACCAGAGTACACAGGAATAAAATACTAATGAATCAGAAATCTAAAAGAGTAAAATGAAACCATATAAGTAACAGGAGAGTAACAGAAGAGTGTATTCTTTTTGTAACTTGGGAGTTAGGAAAGCCTTTCTAACTATGATCTCAAATCCAGAGAGGTTTAAAAGAAAATACTGATATATTCAAGTACATAAGAAGAAACTGCATGACAAACCCAAAAAGAATCACCATGATGTAAGCTAAAAGATAAGTGACAAACTGGGAGGACTATCATATCTCCAAGGGTTAATCTCTCTTGAATATACAAAGAGGTTCTGAAAATAAAGACGAAAAAGACCAAAGTCAAAGAGAAAAATAAGCAAAAGATATGAATAGAAAATTCACAGAAAAGTCACCCTTATACATTAAAAAGGCAGAGGATAAACTAAAACTATTCTTAGACACCACTGCCTCACAGATCCTTAAGTCTGACAACACACTCGACAACCCTGCAGAGAAACAGGTATTCTCATACCCTGTCCATGGTTACACCTTCTACAGAAGGGAATTTGGCAAATATAACAATAGCATATGTACGTTCACCTTATGTGTCAGTGATTATACTAATAGGAGTCTATTCTAAGATGCACTTTCATAAAATCAAAATAACACATACATAAGATTCCACACTGCAACATTATTTGGAACAGCAAACGACTGGAAACCAGTCCAAGTGTCCATCAATAGCAGACTGGTTGAAAAGCCCATAGTTCATCCAAATAGGACAGTACTAAATAGCCATTAAAACGGAAATGAGGAAATCTCTATGCACTGATGTGGAATGATCCCCAGGATATATTAAGTTTAAAAAGCAATGTATAGGATAAGACATATGGAGTATGCTAATTTTTATTTCAGAAGGAAGTTAAAAATATACAGAATTTTATCTTCACAAAAATGAAATCAGGATAATAAACCATAAACCAATAATAATTGTTATCTATGGGTATGGGGGTAAGGAGATACAAATGGAAGCGGACTTCCGAGTATACATTTCTACATAATTATGACATTTATAAGTATTTTATATATTCAAAAAAAAAAGGAAAAAAAAAAATCCCAAGCCCCTAAGCTAAAATAAATGGAAACAAATGAACCTAACTATATGTCAAACGGTAACAGAACCACAATAAAAAATTATTCCCAGTGATTTTTAAACAGCAACCATTTTATAATCTTACTGAAACATATTCAAAGGACAAAAAGAAGTTCCATAAAATCTTAAATTTCACCCAATAATTCTATTATTAACTGCAAGACTTTTTTAGTTTTTTTTTTTTTTTTTTTTTGAGATGGAGTTTCACTCTTGTTGCCCAGGCTGGAGTGCAATGGCGCGATCTCGGCTCACTGCAACTTCTACCTCCCAGGTTCAAGTGATTCTCCTGCCTCGGCCTCCCGAGTAGCTGGGATTACGGATGTGCACCACCACACCCAGCTAATTTTGTATTTTTAATAGAGACAGGGTTTCGCCATGTTGGTCAGGCTGGTCTTGAACTCCTGACCTCAGGTGATCCATCTGCCTCGGCCTCCCAAAGTGCTGGGATTACAGGCATAAGCCACCGTGCCTGGCTGACTTTTTTAGATTTTGATGAAGATAAGGCAAATAAATTATTTACTGTTACTGTAAATAAAATATATGCATATAAATATTTTAAAAAGAAAATCCTGTAATGTCAAATTATTACTGAAAATACGTGAATGAACTCAACTGAATCAGGTAAATATCACCAACAGATACTAAAAATATTAGTTAATTAGTTATTGGCTGGGCATAGTGGCTCATGCCTATAATCTCAGCACTTTGGGAGGCTGAGGTGGGAGTATCATTTGAACTCCAGTTTGAGACCAGCCTGGGCAACATGGTGAAACTCCGTCTCTCCAAAAAATTAAAAAATTAGCCAGGCATGGTAGTGCACCTTGATCCCAGCTACTTGGGAGGCTGATGTAGGAGGATCACTTGAGCCCAGGAGGTCAAGGCTGTAGCGAGCCGTGCTTTTGACACTGCACTCCAGGCTGGGCTGCAGAGTGAAGGAAAAAAAAAACAAAAAAGACGTTGTTGAGATACAGGATATTTGGAAGTTGCCAAAGCGTCACCCCCAAAGATTACTTGCTAAGTGTCAAGAAAAACCCTATTTTACAAAGGAGAGATCCAGTGGTCACCACCTTAATTAAGTGATCACACTTCCCATCAGAAATACTGGAACAACCTAATATCACACACCTCTCAATTCAGCAGTGGAATGGAAAGCATTTGTATATTTTTATCTTGAGAGGAATGTGTGTACCACACACATACACTCTCAGCAAATTAAAATAAGAGGCCCGGGTATCCAGTTATAGTTATACTAATTATCTGTACAACATTGGCCATACCACTTAGTCTTTCAGATATCAGCTTCTTCATTTATAAAACAGTAATTTTATGAAAGATTTTAAGACCCCTATAGTTTAATTGGCAATAAAAATGACATTATTCTATAGTTATAAGAATGTTTAATTGGTCTTTTGTTCGCCTTATGTCACTATTGGAAAATCTATTCATTAGCTCATTTTCTTGCTCTTTCAGTAAGTAGTATAAGAAAATTTAAGTCCAAGAAAGCAATCCTCCTGTCCCTACTAATGTTTAGTTTCTTCTCTACTATGATGCTATCTTAATATAACAGTCTCACAGATGGGAAGGCTTCCAGGATAAAAGGAATTGCTGAGTCACCAGATAATTTTAGTGAAAGGAAAAAGAATCAATTTTTAAACAGGTCTTAAAAAGCATTTACATATTGTTTTCCTATACTGGCAGCAAAAAACAGAAATGCTGTATGTTGTATATTCTTAAATTTGCTTTGTAGCATTGTTTCCTTTTCAGTCTAAGGAGAACGGAAAATGGTTAAAATTTTAAATTATGCTTAATTTCAGTAAATCCTAAAAATACTCTTATAGATGAAAAGACAAAAGTAGCATGTTTCTCTGGAGAGTGTCCTGGCAGAGACTTTTAAAAGGCTTAGATATATGTTTTGTTCATATAACATCCCATAAAATCTACTGCTAAATATCTTTGGATCTCAGTTTCCTCATCTATAAAGTGAAAATACTATTTATCCTCATTGAATCACTGTGAAAACTACCTAAGATTTTAAAAAGTGAAGTAGCCAAGACAATGATGGTCACAGTTGAACCTCAAATACTTTTTAATGCCATGAATGTAAAAGAGGGAATACATTTAGTTTATTAAGTTACAAGGGGTGAGATTAACAGTGTTCTAAATGCTTTAAGACAGCGAAAAGTTGTTCAAATTCTTCCCATTCTACCTCTCCTTTCCCACTCCCTAGCACTCCCCCTAAATCCCCGCACAAACACAAAGACTTATCCAAATAAGGAGAAAAATAAAAGATTATCATCGGGAATTTCCTGCTCTCCCCCGAGCTTCCACATACACACTTCTGCTTTTTGCAAAGAAAACAGTGAAAACTCGGCTTAAGTTTAGTTTGTAGCCTTAATAAAGAGTCCAGAGCAGTCTCTTAGGCTGCATTTCAGGTATGTTTTTGGCTGGTTTACCCTGTCAAGTCATTTTTTAGCCTAACTAAAAAAAAATTAAGTTATTAATAGAAGTTATGTTATTATTTGAATAACATACTGTATGATAATATTTTAAAAGTTTTACATTGAATTAACATGTAGCTCTGATTATGGTTGCTAAAAATAAAAAATAAATTTTTAAAAATAAAATTAAATAAATTTGTTTCCATAGAAAGATATATTCTTCTATACCCAACCACAAAACCTTGTAAACCCATGCAGTCTTTGAATCCAAGGTTGTATAACATTAGATGTCAAAAGGAAATGCAAGATCAGGGGAATCTTATTTATGTTCACTAAAATGAGATTAAAGGGTTAGAATGCTAATTAAACAGAACTATTTTTACATACAACTTTTACTGAAAATTATTATATAACTATTCTCAGGCCAGTAAGTAAAAAAAAAATATATATATATAATAAAAATATATATACAACTAATTTCTATTTACCATCTAGAAACTTTTTTTTTTTTTGACGGAGTTTTGCTCTTGTTGCCCAGGCTGGAGTGCGATGGTGTGATCTTAGCTCAATGCAACCTCCACCTCCCGGGTTCAAGCAATTCTCCTGTTTCAGCCTCCCAAGTAGCTGGGATTACAGGCATGCGCCACTACGCCTGGCTAATTTTGTATTTTTAGTAGAGACAGGGTTTCTCCATGTTGGTCAGGCTGGTTTCAAACTCCCAACCTCAGGTGATCCGCCAGCCTCGGCCTCCCAAAGGCTGGGATTACAGACCATCTAGAAACATTTAAAGATCATTCTCTCTTAATCTCTAAACTTTCAAAGTGATGTTTGTAAACTAGTTTAATTTCTGATGCGTTCTTCTCCCGGGGCTCACCCTCCATCTAAATAATCAATGCTGTTCTGATTTCATGACTTAGTGCTTTTTTATTAATTTGGTGTCCCAGAGAGGTTGTATAATCCTTCTCAATAATAACAGCAAATACGTAGGGAGAACTTACTATGTACTGGGAACTATTCTAAGCATGTTGTATAGTTTTTAATTTAATGCCACAACAGCACTATGAGGAAGATTCTATTATGCTGCCAATTTACAATTTAGTAAACTGAGACTCAGAGAGTTGAGGGAACTTGCTCAAAGTTAACAAGCTAGCGGTAAAATCCATGTGCTCTGACTCCAAATTCAAGTTCTAGATGACGACCCCTAATCTCTGCTCCTGCTACAATGAAGAGCTGGGAGAATAGTGCTGGGACTCAGCTTTACTTTGTCTCTTAGGACAACACTGAAAATAAGTGTCCATGCCTGCTCTGCTTATTTCCTTTTTCTAAATATACCCAATAGGGCTAACTTGGGTATACTAGAATCAAAATTCTTGCTATCGAAATAAAAAAATGTAATATGGAAAAGTATATTCAAGTAAGCCCCACATACACTTTCATTTTATGTAACAGAAAACAGAAGTTGCATGTAAATAAAATCAATTCAACGTATATTTATTGAGAACTACTATGTTCCAGGTACTTGGGATAAGTCACCAAATAAGACAGATTAAGAATCTCTCCTTAGTAGAGGACTCTAACATACAAAATAGATAATAAACAATATAAAAGTATGTTACATGGCATTATCAGTATGTAAAAGTCTGGTTAAAAAAATAAAAAAATAGGGCCAGGCGCGGTGGCTCCCACCTGTAATCCCAGCACTTTGGGAGGCCGAGGCAGATGGATCACGAGGTCAGGAGTTCGAGACCAGCCTGGCCAACATAGTGAAACCCGATCTCTACTAAATAAAAAATAAGGTGAGGCACAGTGGCTCAAGCCTGTTATCCCAGCACTTTGGCTTTTACTGAGTAAAACTTTGGCTTTTATTGAGTAAAACAAGGCTGGAGGGTTTTATGCAGAAAAGTGATAAGATCTGACCTTAGGCTACTATTATGTTGAAAAGAAATCAAGAGGGGACAAAGACAGAAACAGTATGATGGGTAAAGAGGCTACTGCTAGGCCAGGTGTGCTGGCTCATGCCTTATAATCCCAGCACTTTGGGAGGCTGAGGTAAGCAGACTTCTGGAGCCCAGGAGGTCAAGACCAGCCTGGACAACATGGCAAATCCCCATCTATATTTTAAAAAAGAAAAAAAAAAGGCTATTGCTATAAATGATG
Organism: Homo sapiens; assembly: GCF_000001405.40. Taxonomy (NCBI): domain Eukaryota; kingdom Metazoa; phylum Chordata; class Mammalia; order Primates; family Hominidae; genus Homo; species Homo sapiens. Next base: position 123,000,654 of record NC_000009.12, on the reverse strand, counting down.
ACTCAGATGAGGACTATTGTACTCTAGCTGGTGAGAAGTGATTAGATGGAGATGAGATAATAAACCTTTTTGGACATGTTAAGTTTGAGATGTCCTGAGAACCAAGATAAAGAGGAGCTTTAAGGAAAAGAAAGTAAGGAAAAGAAAGTAATCATCTAAAGCAAATGCTACAGACAGGTCAAGATGAGGACTCAGATTAGCAATTTAAATCAGTGGTGACCTTGATATCTTCCAAGGAGTTTTGCTACAAAGGAAAGTAAAAATGGAAGCAGTAGGTGGTAGAACAACTGGGGGCCAAAAAAGAGTAAAAGATTGGAACAGAGATTTTAGCTGCTACCCACCCACAAAAAAGACAGAGTATGAAGTTTAACTTTGATCAAGTTAACTGCCCGATTTAAGAAAAAAAAAAATCAAGACTCTTCAGAAGAAAGTAACAGAATACAGTCTCTACAATGCATCACTTAAGATGTTTAACTTGTAATCCAAAATTACAAAGAAACAAAAATGTGCATCATCATACATGAAAATTAGCAGGCAAAATTCTAAAGTGGCTGTACTGTAATTATGCTTAAGGATTTAAAAGAAAACCTGCTCAATGTAAAAGAACAAACAGGAAATCAAGAGACAACAGAGATTAAAAAAAACCCACACAGACATTTTAAAAACAAAAAATATAGAAAATGTTTTTAAAATTCATTGAATGACTCTAACAGATTAAAAGTTGATAAAAATCAGTGAACTTAAAGACATATTAATAGAAAGTATCCCATCTGAAGAAAACAGAAAAAAGCCTGGGAAAAAATAGAGCCTCAGAGATATCAAAAGCTCTAAAATATACATAATTACAATCCCAGAATCAAAGAGAAGAGAGATGGGCAGGAAAAAAAGTTTAAGAAATAATGGGCCAGATTTCCCCCAAATCTGGTTAAAAAAAAAAAAATTTAAAAATTAAAAGTAAAAGCATAAATTTAAAAACGCAAGAACCCCAACAAATCCCAAGCAGGATAAACGGAAAGAAAACCGTACCTAATCATGTCACAGTTAAACATCTGAAAACCAAAGATGAATAATCTTAAAAGCAGCAAGAAGAAAATGACACATTATACCCAGAGGAACAATAACATAAATGAATGCTGACTTCTCATCAAAAACAATGGAAGGGCTGGCTGGGCAAGGTGGCTCACGTCTGTAATCCCAGGACTTTGGGAGGCTGAGGTGGGCGGATGACCTGAGGTGAGGAGTCCGAGACCAGCCTGGCCAACAGAGTGAAACGCTGTCTTTACTAAAATTACAAAAAAAAAAAAATTAGCCGGGCATGCTGGCATACACTTTAGTCCCAGCTACTCGGGAGGCTGAGGCAGGAAAATCACTTGAACCCGGGAGGCGGAGGTTGCAGTGAGCCAAGATTGCGCCACTGCACTCCAGCCTGGGTGGTGACAGAGCGAGACTTCATCTCAAAAACAAACAAACAAACAACAACAACAACAATAAAAATGAAAGCCAGAAGAATAGGAAGGACATCTTGAAAGAAAAAAAAAGGCAACCAGAATCCTATCCAGTGAAAATACCCTACTGGGATGAAAGCCAAAAACAGACATTTTCATCTAGAGAAGTTTAAGAGAATACATCTTTAGCAGATCTATACTTAAAGAAATGCTGTTCTTCGGGTTGAAAGTAAATGAGACCAAATGGAAATGTGGATCTTTGGGAAGAAACGAAGAGCAATAAAAATGACAAGTAGGTGGGTAAATATGAAAAATATAATTTTTCCTCTTAATATATTTAAAATACACATGACTGTTTAAAGATCTGAGGGCTTAGAAATCAGCCTCAGACGTGATTTCTCCTTTCTTATTCCCCCTTCTATATTAATAGAAAAATACAGTACCTGTTTTAGTTTCAAAAAGAAATTTTCAGTAGTACTACGTTTGCTGAAGGGCCAGAATAATCTTTCATTAGGTGAGCAAACGCGGACTTTTGTCTCCAGGAGAAATCGAACAGGCTCCTGTACTTCTGTTATTACCAAATCTACAGCTGTGGTCATAAACAGGACTTTATCTAAACAAAGAAAGAGAGAGGCTGAAGAGGTAAATCAGAAACACAAATATATTTGCTCATAAGATTCCATAAAAGCTATTACTTTTATTATAAACTTTCAAAATACCTTAAGTGAACCATCAATTAAACATGTAAAATAACTAGACAAATAACTGGTTTCAAAAGCAAATTCCATATTGAGAATTATTTTAAAGTAACTGACAGTAGTATACACTGTAAAGCTTTCAAAACTGTACTGTCATCAGGAGACCAAGGCAGGCAGATCACTTGAGCCCATGAGACCAGCCTGGCCAACATGGTGAAACCTTGTCTCTACTAAAAATACAAAAATTAGCCAGGTATGTTGGCACATGCCTGTAGTCCCAGATATTTGGGAGGCTGAGGTAGGAGAATCACTTAAACCCGGGAGGTGCAGGCCGCAGTGAGCCAAGATTGTGCCACTGCATTCCAGCCTGGATGACAGAGTAAGACTCTGTCTCAAAAATAAATAAATAAATAAATAAAATAAAAAAAATAAAACAAAAACACCACTGTACTGTCAGATTGTTCTGCACAAGTGGCATATGACTTCTTTATGTCACCCTCATCAACACTGAAACTTCTCAATTTTTAAATTTGGTTAACAATGGTATTTGAATGGTCTGTTTACATCCTTTAACTATTTATCTATAGTGCTATTAATAACAAAAAACTGAAGGGGGGAAAAATGCTCAATAAGAGGCATTTATTAAGCAAATTACATTTTCAGAATGGGATAATATGCAGCTATTAAATGCCATTCAAAGAGCATATGAAATATCTTCCAGATACTTTATGCATAGAGTATTTGAAGAGCTACACAAGAAACTGCTAACAGTGATTCCTTTGGGACAGAGCCCTGGGGACTGTGGTAGACTCACTTCCCCCTATAAATCCTTTGAAATTTTTAACCATTTATGTGCATGGATTACCTCTGTACAAAAATAAAACTTATAAGTCTGTAAGTAAATAAGCATATAAATAGAAAGAAAGAAAAGAAAGAGGGGAAGGAAAAAATGAAAAAAAGGATGGAAAAGTGGGAAAAAGTGATACTTTGCTTATAGGTCAAATTTAATAATAAAGTGAAGAACTATTCAAATTCTTCGGTTTCATCAAAATTAGGTAAACACTGGATATTGGTCAAAGAAGGGGTCCTTAGTTTTGCATCTCTTCTTGAGACTAAAATTTCTGTTCATGATGTCAACAATCTGTATCACCTTTAGGAGTTTCTTCATTTACAACTTGAAAATGTGGGGATTTTGGATTCCAGCTCCCCGTAATAACATACGACTTTCCATCTGAACTTTTGCCCATAGATTCCTAGAAAAAAAGAGTAAAAATAAACCCGAATGCCACAGTGAGTGAACAACAGTTAACCCCCATCTTGCTGCCTTTAAAAACCAGAAGCTGCAAAAATATAAGAATATGGAAGAGGATAAGTGTATGTGAATGATTACATTTATGGTAAAAAATGTGACAATTATTTATGCAACTGTCCTGAAGTTATATGTATATGCTTACGAATATCAAATTGTATACACATTAAGAAAATCCACAACCTAAATCCAATGTTGAATTCTTCTTTCATGTGAATTATAATTTTTAGTTTTGAAAATAAAGATTTTCAGATAATGGGAATAATACTAATAACTCCTACTATTGGTAAGATACACGACAGTCTATAAATCATTCTTTAATAAATTTTCTCTTTTGATTATCACATCAACTGTACTCAAATATTTAAACAAGAATTTTATCACCACCACACAGTTAACAGACCAAGGCTTATCCAAAGTCAGACTTGTAAATAGCTAGTCAGGAAAAAGGAAATTATCTTACCTTTGCATGTTGTCTTTATAGCTTACAAGATCACCTTCTTAAACATGTTTTAACACTAGATTCAGATGAGAAAAAGTGAAACAACCTTTACTGAGGAAATAGTATGTAACTTTCTAATAAAAATAAATTCTTACCAAATCTAATAAGTGCATGTCACTATTTCGTACATCTTTTCCTGGACTAAGGAGAAGACCAAAACACCTACAAAAAAAGAACTGACATAAATTTAAGAAAAAAGATAACACAAAAGAACGTTTAAATTAGGCCACTTTAAAAACAAATTCTTGCTGATAGAAAAGAGAACACATTAGAGTTATCAATAAATTTGTGTTGCTAAAATAATAATCCTTCCTTCAAGGTCAGCTAATTCCGTTTGCCTTTTATTACCACATAGTTGAAGAGAGCGTATTAGCTGATTATTTATAGTAGCTATTTCAAAGTAATGAAGCACTGACTTCAGTAAACAAAATAATTTCCTAGGGAACAAAATTCTTTGGAAATACATTTTTTAATACAGTGTAAAACTATGCCATTAGATTGATAAAAGCCAAAATTTATATTTAAGCTAAACTTACTAAAAATGCTTACCTTTCAATGGCAAGTTCTTTATTAGTTGTTTGCTGCACATAGATGACAATCTTCTTATCAATTCCTTGGCGTAGTTTAAAGCACTGTCTGTCCTTATCTTTGGGAACTGCACTGTAGACCAACATGTTTCATTAATTTTGCAAAGCATTTTCTTGTCACATACTAGAACCATTTTTTTAAACAAAGACCTCAAATCTCTGATTCTTTTCTGTGCCTAGTTTGCAAATAATAACAAAAAAGAAAAAAATCATTCTATGCCTCTTGATGTGAAAACATCATTTGAGTCTAGGCACTATGGCTTACACCTGTAATCCCAGAACTTTGGGAGACTGAGGTGAGTAGATCACTTGAGGTCAGGAGTTCGAGACCAGCCTGAGCAATATGGTAAAACCCCATCTCTGTTAAAAATACAAAAATTAGCTGGGTGTGATGGCACATGCCTACAGTCCCAGCTATTCGGGAGGCTGAGGCAGGAGAATCGCTTGAACCAGGGAGGCAGAGGTTGCACTGAGCCAAGTTTGCGCCACTACACTCCAGCATGGGTGACAGAGCGAGACTACATCTCAAAAAAAAAAAAAAAAAAAATCATTTGATATTTGCAGGTAAACCACTAAAGCATTTATAAAGCTAAAAAAATCACTCCTATGCCCCCTAAAACATAACCTTAATTTTCTCTTTTGTTGCTGTAAAGCATGTTTCATGGCATCTGACATACAGAACTCAAAAAAAGTAAGTATTCTTTCCTTTATATTTATCACTGGGCTTTACAGATAGATTATTATCACCTTCTTTGCTTAAACATATAATGAAGAAAAAGATACTTAATCATAGATCTTTTGAGTTTCAAAGCAAGGTATCTTTAAAAAGTAATAGAAATGAGGAAGATATGGCCAATAAGCTGTTGTCCAACACTTCCCTTAAGCACTGTTAACTTTATTATAAACCAGTGTAATAATTATAAAATACTAACTAGTGATAAGGTTAATAAACATCAGCTTAATTAAAAAGGTAAAAATATTCTTTTTCTTTTTTTGAGGCAGGATCTTGATCTGTCACCCAGGTTGCAGCACAGTGGCACAATCTCATAGTTCACTACAGCCTCAAACTCCTGGGCTCAAGCTATCTTCCTGCCTCAACCTCCAGGATACCTAGGATTACAGGTACATGCCACCATGCCTAGCTAATTTTTTAAATTTTTGGTAGAGATGGATCTTGCTATGTTGCCCAGGCTGGTCTCGAACTCATGGGCTCAAGCAATCCTCCCACCTCAGCCTCCCCAAGTGCTGGGATTACAGATGTGAGCCACAGCAAAGTTCTTAAAATGACAGTTTAACAAAATAATCCCCTGTTCTCCCACACACCACTTTCTCTAGCTCACTGTTCTCAAAGGTAAACATCTGTCCATGGCCATCAGCCAATATGCAAAAAATCTAAATTGTATCTTATTTCTGTACAACTTTAAGATAATGGCAATAGAACCATTAGTAGCTACCGTAAATGGCTAGATAAAAGCTCTGAACACCTACTCAAACTTAAAGGTAGCCCTAAAGAAATACTAATTTGAAGCCCTTCTGCACTTTATTACTATTTATACTAATTCAAGAACATTTTTGAATACTTCCATTAGAAAATCAAAGAATCTTAGCAAAGAACTCTAAAAATGTCAAAAATGTTCAAAGAAAATTTTTGCATATCAAACTGTTAAATATTTGTGACAGAGTTTTCACCTATAAGGAAATGGAAGGGTCTCAATTTTCAACTTGTAATAGATACACTGGTCTCTATGTTCTTTGGATGCTCAAGTAAATATAATCCCATTGTTTAGCAGTTTAAAACAACAACAATAGACAGAAAGTTGTCTCTGGTGTTCTGAATCTACAGGGATGCAGTAACAGGAAGCAGAATGGAGAGTGTAATCAGTGGGTGTTCACCTCACTGAATGTCAGGGTCCTAGATCATATTTCTGGTCTAATAACTACATCATGTGAATGTATCCAAGTAGGGAATTTAGTATTTAATTTCTATTGTATAAAATAAGAAACTGAAGTACAGGCTTAATTTCCCTGGCTTTACCTATAAATAAGCACAGTATAAACTACCCAATTTATCTCATGAGGACGGTTAGTGGATTAAGTAAAACAAAAAAGAAGTGTCTTGAATGGTACTTTGAATGAAAATGCTCAATTTAGGTCGGGCACGGTGGCTCATGCTTGGAATCCCAGCACTATGGGAGGCCGAGGCAGGTGGATCATTTGAGGTCAGGAGTTTGAGACCAGCCTGGCCAACATGGTAAAACCCTGTCTCTATTGAAAATACAAAAATTAGCCGGGCGTGGCAGCACATGTCTGTAATCCCAGCTACTTAGGAGGCTGAGGCAGGAGAATCACTTGAACCTGGGAGGCAGAGGTTGCAGTGAGCCGAGACTGCGCCACTGTACGCCAGCGTGGGTGACAGAGCGAGACTCCGTCTCAAAAAGAAAAAAAAGTGTGAGACCCTGTCTCAACAACAAACAAACAAATGCTCAGTTTTCCCATGGGCAAAATGGAGAAGCAGGTTTCTAATCATAATAATTTAAAAATTGGCCAGGCATGGTGGCTCACGCCTGTAATCCCAGCAATTTGGGAGGCTGAGGCAGGTGGATCACCTGAGGTCAGGAGTTCGAGACCAGCCTGGCCAACATGGTGAAACCCCGTCTCTACTAAAAGTACAAAAAGTAGCCAGGCGTGGCGGTGGGCACCTATAATTCCAGCTACTCGGGAGGTTGAAGCAGTAGAATCACTTGAACCCGGGAGAAGGAGGTTGCAATGAGCCAAGATCACGCCATTGCACTCCAGCCTGAGTGACAAGAGGAAAAACTCCGTCTCAAAATAATAATAATAATAATTTAAAAATTATACTTTTTCAGAAATGAGAAGAGCATTAATTATTCTCATCATACTTTGTCTATATTTATGTTAAAGTAAAACCACAGTAAATCTTGTGTTATACACAAATATGAGTTGGACAGGGGATAAGTAATATCCATAAACCAACATGTTTTAGTACTCTATTCAACACTTAATTTCTACTTTTAAAATTTGCTATTAATATTATACACAGTATGTTGGAGAACATTCATAATAATAATTCTTTGAAAACCTCAATGATTATTTCTGCAGATAAATTTCCATACATATTACAGAATTACTGGATAAGAGGAACTACCTTTGACAAGTTTAAATCTGACAAACCAAGGTATATTTTGCTAGGATTTCATACATCTAAAGTACTGTTGTGTTAACCTAATATATTTAGGTATAATAATTATTTTGGTATAATAATTATTTAGGTATAATATTTAGATAAAATAAATATTTAGGTATAATAGTAAGTATATAATAGGTTTTATATAATAATAGGTATATAACTATTACATAATTTATATGTATAATATATAATTATTATTATACCTAAATAATATATATTAACCTAATATATTTAGGTATATTGATCATTATACTTAAATAATATATTTAAGTTAACATAACAGTATTTATTATAAACCAGAAATTCAGCAAAGCCATGTAGCAAAAGGAGAACAAAGTCCTAACAAATGTGAAAAGCAAATCTGACCATCCAGGGATTTTCTGTAATAGCACTTTGTCAGTATTAACAAATAGAACAGAGATGTTTATGATCATTCTACCTTGAATATGCCTGATTTCAGAAGGAAGGGAAGTTATACTGATACTTCTGAGGGATCTTAATCTTTCCTATTTAATAATTAGAATTTACAGACCAAAACTACATAAATATTTTCAATAAAGAAAAAAAGGCCAGGCATGGTGAATCATGCCTATAATCCCAGCACTCTGGGAGGCCCAGGTAAATGGATCACTTGAGGCCGGGAGTTTGAGACCAGCCTGGCCAACACGGCGAAACCCTGTCTCTACTGAAAAATAGAAAAAATTAGCCCGGTATGGTGGCAGATGCTTGTAATCCCAGCTACTCAGGAGGCTGAGGCATGAGAATTGCTTGAACCTGGGAGACAGAGGTTGCGGTGAACCGTGATCGTGCCACTACATTCCAGCCTTGGTGACAGAGCAAGGCTCTGTCTCAAAAAAAAAAGAAAGAAAATATATTTAGTTTAAAGGTTGCTTAACAAGGTAAAAAACTACTTAAAATTATACAGATTATAATTTTCACTTTGCAGGGCAGGAAGGTACATTGCAGGAAGGACTACCTCACAGCATTGCTTTGAGAATAGAAATAGTCAGGAATGGTTGGCTCATGCCTGTAATCCCAACACTTTGACAAGCTGAGACTATCACTTGAGACCACGAGTTCAAGACCAACCTGGGCAATGTGGCAAGACCCCATCTCTAGAAAAACTTAAAAAAAAATTAGCCAGACATAGTGGCATGCATCCGTGGTCCCAGCTACTCAGGAGGGCGAGGTGGGAGGACTGCTTGAGACCAGAAGGCTGAGGCTGCAGTGAGTCATGTTTGTACCATTGCATTCAAGCCTGAGCAACAGCGTGAGGCGTATCTCAAAAAAAAAAAAAAAAGAGAGAGAGAGAATAGAAATCTATCTAATTAGAAAGCATAGAGCACAATGAGTCATACTTTACTCCTCAAAGTTTAAGCTGCACTGTACACTAAATTGGCCACCAGATGGCATGACAATTCCAAAGTCTGAAGAAAGACTAAAAATTATCAGTTTTTCTAATAATCTAATAAACCAATCACTGTGCTTAATTTAAAAGCAAAATATTAGAAATATTCATATTTTTATATAACTTCATTTTACCAATTTAATGAGGTAGTCATGGAGGAAACAGACTTCTACATGCAATTACTGATTATAATACAATCATTTTGGGACATGGGCTGTAATTTTAAAAACATCAAGTCATCTTGCAACCATAAAATTTTAAAGTGAGAAAGGGTTTTAGAGTCTAGCCACCTCATTTAATAAATGAGGAAACTACTGACAGATGTAAAGAAACTTGGAAATGGGGACACTGTTAATAGTAACAATAATTAAACTAAAGCTAAGTTTTGACTTCTATTCCATGGTTCTTTCCACCACTCAAAGGATTATCATTATATTTAAAAATTAAAATCAGTCACTTCTAACCCTACAAAAGATTAGACTTCAGACACAGACCTTATTTCTCCCCTTCCAATGTATGCAGATAACTTTACTGGGAAAACTTGACTTGAAAAGGCTTAAGATTTTTAGATTATTAATATAAGTAAATCAACCAACTAAAACAAGCAAATACAATCAGCAAAACAAATATAGCTACAAATCCAGCTGACTAAGCTTTGGCCATATATATATATATATATATATATATATATATATATATATTTTTTTTTTTTTTTTTTTTTTTTTTTTGAGACGGAGTTTCGTTCTCGTTGCCCAGGCTGGAGTGCAGTGGCAGGATCTCGGCTCACTGCAACCTCTGCCTGCCGGGTTCAAGCGATTCTCCTGCCTCAGCCTCCCAAGTAGCTGGGATTACAGGCACCCACCACCACGCCCGGCTAATTTTGTATTTTTAGTAGAGACAAGGTTTCTCCATGTTGGTCAGGCTCATCTCGAACTCCCGACCTCAGGTGATCCGTCCGCCTCAGCCACCCAAAGAGCTGGGATTACAGGTGTGAGCCACAGCGCCTGGCGGTTTGGCCATATTTTTGTGAGCAGTTAGCCACTTGGTATCTGACTAAAAGAAGGTAGCAACATGTTCCCAATATGACAATTTTTTTAATTGCTTTAAAATTCTTCAAACTTTGCCTCTGTTAAATTTATGTATTTATATGCCTTTATCATCCAGATTTTTTTTAAAAGCCCTCCCTTTAAAAGCCATCATTTTATGGTATGAAAGTTATAATCTGACCTAGAATTTCCCCTGAACCACAGCATGTTAATACATGAATAAAATAAGATTCCCTACCTAAAATAACCTTTACCATCATCTTCTTTTATTTCTAAAGACACAGAGAAGGTAAAGATGTCACTGTCAGGAGTCTGGGGTGCAGCAGTGGCTGAAAGTGGGGTCTGCTTGGCAGAACGGCGGAAGGCAGTGGCAAAACTGTAAAGTATCCGGCTTACCTACAACCAGACATGTTAGGAAATGGGCTGTTATCAAAAGATATAAAATACCTTTATTAAGGCTGGAAGATTACCTACTTTGGAGGGCAATAATTATCTTTATCCCACTTATTTCTTTTGGTAAATTACCTAATTTGTTAGGCCTATAAAGCAAGCAACACTAAAAATGTCCAGACAAGGGGTTTTAAAAAAGAAATGGTTGTAAGCACTATAAATCCAATTTAAAAATCACTTCCTAAATTGTTAGAAACTATCTGAAGATATTACAATGAAAACAGTCCTAACAAGTTTTGATTTAAAAGAATGGTTTGCAAATCTGTCAATGTTAGAACCAGAATGCCTACTTAACCCAATCAAAAGTAGCCAACAGATCTCCTCTGACATTCTTAGTAGTAGTAACAAAGTTCTAGTTAATCAAATTTTTAGTTAATTTATATTTTGGCCCATGAGGCTAGAATCACTAAAACAATAGCAGAGAATTTCATCTGGCTTATGAGTGATCATAATAAATACCATAATCATTTCAACCTAGTGAGGGCACTGGTGAAGTTTCATTTGCAGAGAGTTTTCTCTTGAGGACTTACAGCTTCTTGTATTTCACACCGGAAGACGTGTATTCTGAAGAGCTCTGCATTGTAATGACTTTCAGTGAAAGCAAAACAGTCACTCTCAGGAGTTCCATCATGCCCTCTGACACAGAAGAGGATTTTGTAGATAGGGTAGTTTGCTATTTCAGTGTTTGTCTGAGGATCTAAGAGTCTGTTCAGAGAAAAAGATACAGAGAGATTACAGGAATTATGAACAATCTGCACTACGTTTAGATTAAGATGTGAGACTCATTCTTTCTAGTAAGAAGATCATATATTTGGTATGCTGATATTAACCTTAAATTTTAATAAGTAACTCATATGTGAATTCCGGAAGCTATTGATTACGTAATTCCATAGTACTAAAAACCATATAGTATCATGTTTTAGGGAGGCAAACAGAAAGGTATAAACAATATCAATAAGCACATTTCTTATACAGTCTGCTACAAAATAAAGACGATTAATACGTAAATTAGACTACCAAAATACATCATTGAAGCTGTGCTTTTTTTTTTTTTTTTTTGAGACAAGTTTCGCTCTTGTTGCCCAGGCTGGAGTGCAATGGCGCAATCTCAGCTCACCGCAACCTCCGCCTCCTGGGTTCAAGTGATTCTCCTGCCTCAGCCTCCCAAGTAGCTGGGATTACAGGGATGTGCCACCATGCCCGGCTAATTTTTTGTATTTTTAGTAGAGACAGGGCAGGTTAGCCAGAATGGTCTCAATCTTCCGACCTCAGGTGATCCGCCCACCTAGGCCTCCCAAAGTGCTGGGATTACAGGCATAAGCCACCACACCTGGGCAAAGCTGTGCTTCTAATTATCTCCTTTAAAAATGACCTAATCTGTTATGAAAAAATAAAAAACAAAAAACTGATGCTTTTTCTCAGACTGAAACAAGTTTTTTTTTGATTCATGGAAAATAAGGACAGAAATTATACAAAATGTTAACTCCTCAAAAAAAAAAAAATCATGAATAAAAGCAAAAGGATGCCATTCAGTAAAAAATCAAAGGGATAGCATTCATTCAAAAATCTACTTATTCAACAAATATTTATGTGATACCTACAACATTCCAGACTCTGATCAGGGCAGTAAGGCACAACTATGGAAGGTCTAAAAAGAAACTATGCAATTTCAACACTATGTGGGTAGAGCCATTAATGGGAAAGCCTAGAAGGCCTTGCTCATCACGGAAATACCTAGGAAGAGGATCTAACACAGGTTTGAAAGCACTTTTATGAAAACTCTAAAAATGTGGGGTAAAACCGACTAGCTTTCTAACTTCTTTTATAGAATTAAAAATATATTAAAGTCTAACTTCAGTTAGAGGAATGAGTATTGACTAAGAAACATATAGAAATGAGTGCTAAACACATTTTATTAATAGTTTATCATTAATAAATAGAATTTGTGAGTCTTTGCAAAATAGTTATTTAAATACTTAAGGGGAAAAATTACATATACAGATTATTTTACTACAATCAACACACAGCTATTACTCTGTCACCATGAAAGTCCAAAATACTTCTGAGGATACTGAGAAATGGATATTCTATATACTGCTGATAAAAGTATAAACTAGATCAATATTTCTAGATGGCTAGTTGGCAATGTTATTAGAAGCAATAAAAATAGACAAACTCAATAAGTTTACTTCTAGGAATTTATCCTAAGGAAATCAACAGAAGTCTAAAAAGATTGAGCTCAAAGATACCTATTTATAAAACACTGATATTCCCATATAATTAAAACTAGCTATCATCATTCATGCTTTTTTCTCTGAAAGATAAAAGCCTTAAAATGTCTAATATAAGAGATGGGTTATTTATTTATAACCCATTCATATGCCATCATAAATTAAAATTTTTAATAATATTTACTGGCATGAAAAGAGGTTTACGATATAAAACTAAGTACAAGATGGTATGTACAGGTCCATTGCTGTTAAAAAAAAAAGTTGATTCTAACAGTTGTAAATTATGTATGTATATATATGCAGGTATATTTACATATACCTAGACATATACATATACCAATATGCAAAGAAGATCTTAATAAGCCAAGATGTTAACTGTATTTATTAGTGGTAGAGTAGAATTAAGGCTATTTTTATGTGGCAATTTTTTTAAATAAGCATGTATCTTTGGTAATAGGGAAAAAAAATTTATTTTACCTGCATTCATCTGACTTATTGAGCAACAGTATATTTAGCTGGTTGATACAGACATCTGATTAGCTATCTGCAATTGTTATTTGTTCTATTAGTATAAACAGCTAGAGGCTTCTCTGTGCCTCAGTTTTCTCATCTTTTTTTTTCATTTTGCTTTGTTGAGACAGGGTCTCACTTTGTCACTCAGTCTGGAGTGAAGTGGCATGATCACAGCTCACTGAAGCCTTGAACTCCCAGGCTCAGGTGATCCTCCCATTTCAGCCTCCTGAGTAGCTGGGACTATAGGTGTGTATGACCATGCGTGGCTAATTTTTGTATGTTTTGTACAGACAGGGTTTCACCATGTTGCCCAGGCTGCCCAGGCTGGTCTCGAACCCCTGAACTTAAGTGATCAACCCGTCTCAGCCTCCCAAAATGCTGGGATTACAGGCATGAACCACTGCACCTAGCCAGTTTTCTCATCATAAAAATTAAGGGGTGTGCTGGTATAGTTAATATTTAATAATAAATTTTTGTAACTTTCAAACTCAACATGAAACTCCATTTTGAAATAATGTGTCAAGCTTGTATTTTCATCAAAGGAACATGGAAAATATAATCTTTTAGGCTGACTCATGTCAATATATTTCATTTATCCCCAAAACATTAAATGCCTAATGTACTACACATGATCGGGAAGAGTACGAAAAACTATTACAAATAAGTAACCATTTTTCACAAAGGTCACAGTCCTTGGGAGACATGAGTGCCAGGTAAATGAAACGTTACACAAGTAAAATAACTATTAATATGTATTTTATTCACTATTGCTTCTTTCTGAAGCAACAGGTCAGAGATCTGATGTAAATATCGAAAGATTTCAACAAACCAGTCTCACCTCACAATTCCTTCAGACACATTCGGCACTGAAAGGGTAACATCTAGTGAAATCTGACACTGGCTTCTTAAGATGGACATCATCCTTAAGGCTTCCACTTCACTCCTGGGAGCATTTACCGAGGCACAGCCTAAGTAAGTCAGTTTACTGAAAACTACGCTGTCCTCATCGGCCACTGGTGTGAAAGGACTTGAAGCTTCAGAATCTGAAAGAAACAATGAATAAGGAAGTGATTACTTTCACTTTGATATTTTGTTGATACGATTAGCAAGTAAAAATCTGCAAGTAACATTTAAGGTCTAAAATTAAGTATTAATGAGACAATATGCCATACCCTAAAAGAAATGCCCATGAAAACCAGAAATCCCACACTAGAACTCTGTCAGAAACACCAAGATTTTTAGGTACAGGTTGAGCATCCTAAATTCAAAAATCTGAAACATGAAATGCTTCAAATTTCAAAACCTTTTGAGTACCTACATGACACTTAAAAGAAGTACTATTTGGGGCATTTCAGTTTTTGAATTATTGGATTTGGGGTGCTCAGCAGGTAATTATATGCATATTCCAAAATCCAAAAACATCTGAAATCTGAAACACTTCTGGTCCCAAGCATTTCAGACAAAGGATACTCAAAATATAGTGCTATTAGAGTCGGTCTCAATCAGACTCAGATTTGATTCACCTTTCTGCCTCTTCTAATTTGTTTTGACTTTGTAATTTACATTTAGGTCGAATATACATTTAGTATTTCTTCACTCTGAAACTCCTATCTCTGACTGTCATCTTTTTTTTTTTTTTTTTTTTTGAGACGGAGTCTCGCTCTGTCGCCAGGCTGAAGTGCAGTGGAACAATCTCGGCTCACTGCAACCTCCACCTCCTGGTTTCAAGCAATTCCCGCTGCCTCAGCCTCCCAAGTAGCTGTGACTACAGGTGCGTGCCACCACGCCTGGCTAATTTTTTGTATTTTAATAGAGACAGGGTTTCACCATGTTGGCCAGATGGTCTCGATCTCCTGACCTTGTGATCCACCTGCCTCGGCCTCCCAATGTGCTGGGATCACAGGCGTGAGCCACTGCGCCCGGCCTAACTGTCATCTTTCTGAGCTGCACTGTTACAATTATTTCTCTAATTCATCATCTTAGCCACTTCATTATGTTCTCTTAATCCCTTTGGCTTTCCTTTCCCAATAACATCTATAGTTTTAGCACCTGCTTTTCCAAATGAGTCTTTTAAGTTGTCCTTCTCCTCCCATGCTATGTCTTTCTGTCCCATGTTCTAGTCTTCCTTTTTCAACTTGGCAACTGCTCCCATAGAGCTATATAGGTCTGGAGCAAACATCTGTTCACCCAGAATTATCCCTCCATTTCTCTAATATTGTACTCATATTCCTTCTTTATTTGAAAAATCTTTAAGCATTCCTGGGGGGAAAAAAAAAAAGACTCCCTCTGTGTCCTTTAGCCATGTTTTCTCTTTCCTTGGTACAAGTGAAATACATTTAAAAGGAAATCAGAATGGTATATATATTTTTACTCCTCTCACATCCCCTTAGATTTAGAATTCAGAGATTCTAGAGAATGTTTTTGCCTGTTTTTGTAGACAATGGTTTTGCCTGTTCTAAATAAAACCTAGTACAGGGTGGACACTCACATATTAAAAACAATAACCTTCAGTTACGCAAGCAATGCAGCAATCCTAACCTCCTTGTCCAGGTTTCACTGGTAGGCTCATCTCTGGTTTTTGGAGCCCTACTAATGGCACAGGGTTAATGGTGGATGAAGCGGAGAGCTGATTAGAAAGAGGCCCATCTCCTTCACCATCCAGTTGTGACCTTTTCACAAGCTCCTTTTCCCCTGGCTGGTCGTCCATTGGAGGATCCATCAGTACATCTGCTAGCTCTTTTTGCAGCTGCTGTTCACTTCCATTCCCTACAATCTAAGGGTCACAAATACATGCAATCAGCAAAGTGACAAAGATTGGCCAGTATTGATTAAAATGGGTTCACATTCTAAAGAAAATCATTAGCATTTCTTTTGATACAAAGATATCTTCTGAATGTTTTTTTTAAAAATAGAATAAATCAAGATCTGCAACAAATAAGGGTGCAGCTGCTCTCTCAATTACATAGTTTTTCATGAAAAAGTACATAGTGAACTTGAGACTAATACCCAGAAATATATGCGATAGCCTGCCAATGTTATTAAAGTCTTTTACTGTGTCCTAAACTAACAATAATTAAAGGATCTATAATTTTGTCTGATAAGAAATAACGCTTTTAAGAAGAACATCTTAGTGTCTCCTCTAGCCCTTAAGAAAAAGGGAAAAATGTGCTTGCTTCCAAAAGGTATCAACAGAAACATACATATTAGGCAATACATTTCCACAGGTATTTTACCACTCCAGTCATATGCAAGTCTCTTGTATTTCTGAGGAAGAGTTACATGATATGAACAGGTTCTGAAAGTTCTGAAACACTTGAGTAAAGCTGACATGAATGTACAAAATAGTCCTGAGAAATAAAAGCACTCTATTTCAATAATATCAAGTAATTCTATGGAGTCATGATGGGTTATTACTAGTTCCTCAACAAGGAAGCAAGTAAGTGCAAAATCCAGTGGAGACTGCCCAATGCCAAGGAAAACCACAAGTGACATAATGCAGTATTGTCACTAAATGCTTAAGAAATACTAAAAAAATTAACAAAAGAATTGAGTTAGAAAAACGAAGTCATGGGAAAAAAGAGGGAGCCCTGATTTAGGAGGCTTTCTGAAGACTAAAACCTAACAAAAAGTTAAATTGGGCAGGGCTAAGAGAATGAGGCCTACCCTAGCAAAATTAACACAGATGCTAGGAAGCAATATTCCAATAACAGAGGTAGGTACCTCTGGGGTACCAAGAAATCCAATTCAAGTACTTTTATTGATTCAGGCTTTTATAATTCTATAAACTTCAAGTCTCTTGTGCTGCAAATTATAATTGAGAAAAAGACAAGTCTTTTTTGCGGACATTTTCCCAAGGAAATTCCAACACTTCAACTACTTTTGCCTTAGAAATAAAGACCTCTTTCTTGGCTTCAATGACAATTTCTGTTTCTGTGAATTTCATTTTATGTTTGGAGTTACTGCTAATGGAATTACAAGTGGGCCGAGTAATTTTAACCCTTTGTTAAATCAGATTCTACACATACACAAGTGCAACTGAATTTCTTTTTTTAGAAGTTCTGCTTTAAAAAGTTTTTGTTTTTTTTTTTTTTGCTGGGCGCAGTGGCTCACGCCTATAATCCCAGCACTTTGGGAGGCTGAGGTGGACAGACTGCTTGACCTCAGGAGTTCGAGACCAGCCTGGGCAACACAGTGAAACCCCATCTCTACCAAAAACACAAAAATTAGCCGTGCATGGTAGCATGTGCCTGTGGTCCCAGCTACTGGGAGGCTGAGGTGGGAGGATCGCTGGAGCCCAGAAGTTGAGGCTGCAGTGACCCGAGATCACGCCACTGCACTCCAGCCTGGGTGATAGAGCAAAACCCTGTCTCAAAAACTTTTTTTTAAAAGTGACATCATATCACTATGTTGCCCAGCGTGGACTTGAACTCCTGGGCTCAAGTGATCCTCCCTCATCAGCCTCCCCAGGAACTGTGACTACAGGCAGTGCCACCACGCCCAGCTTAAAAAATTTTTAAAGCACCTAAAAATCCAACTAAAGCTTAGATTCAATTAGCCTCTTATCTTTTCAAAACTGGAGAAGAAATACTGTATCACCTGCAGTAAGCAAAAGACAGCCCAAGTGAACCTAAACTAATTTTTCCAAGGGTAGGGAGAAATAACATATAGGAATAGAGTTATACAGCTTCCCAAAAACAGATGAGAGAAGATATTAGATTCCCTGTTGAAGCAATTAGTAATTACAACTGGGAATGCAACTGGAATTGAAGGAAGACATATTACATGCTGTGAAGTACTGTTTTGATCTTTGGCACATAAGTAAACCTAAGTTTTCTGTTGGGATAGGCTGCCTACGTTGAAATATACTTACCAATCACAGAAATGTAGCTAACCCTAAAAGAAAACATGTTTATACCTTTGCCTTGTGTTTACACGTTTATCTTGCATTCTTCCCTACTTTATAAATTTTATAAACATAAGAACTGTCTTCAATGTCCTTAACTCTTCCTTAAAAACTAGGAAAAAGTAATGTACATACACAAAACAGTGGTAAGAGTGGTTTAAAAATAGTAACCTAACAAATGCCTTGAATAATCTTATCAAATACAATACTCAACAATTATCATGTTAGATCATTTGTGAACCTTCAATCCAATTCCAAATTACTACCTGTGACAGTATAGTACACATACTTTTTTTTTTTTTTTTTGAGACAGAGTCTTGCTCTGTTGCCCAGGCTGGAGTGCAGCAACACAATCTCGGCTTACTGCAACCTCTGCCTCCCAGGTTCAGGCAATTCTTCTGCCTCAACCTCCCAAGTA
Organism: Homo sapiens; assembly: GCF_000001405.40. Taxonomy (NCBI): domain Eukaryota; kingdom Metazoa; phylum Chordata; class Mammalia; order Primates; family Hominidae; genus Homo; species Homo sapiens. The sequence continues at coordinate 122,981,936 of NC_000009.12, read as the reverse complement.
GCTGGGATCACAGGCGCGTGCCAACACACCCAGCTAGTTTTTGTATTTTTAGTAGAGACGGCGTTTTGCCATGTTGGCCAGGCTGGTCTTGAACTCCTGACCTCAAGTGATCCACCCACCTTGGCCTCCCAAAGTGCTAGGATTATAGTCATGAGCCACTACACCCGGCCTGCATACTTTAATCAATTAAGTTCTTTTTTATTTTTAAGACAGTCAACTAATTTTGTCTAAACCAAGCTGGGAAACATTCAGCAGTGCCTTTCAAGGTTCTGAAACTTTGACATGCATCAGAATCACCAGGAGAGCTTGCTAAGACAGACTGTTGGGCCCTACCTGAGTTTCCAATTAACTAAGTCTGGGGTGGTATTCAATAATTTGAATTTCTGAAAACCTCCCAGATCATAGTGATGTTGCTAGTCTGGGAACTGCACTCTGAGAAACAATCTTAGATTAATGATTTTTGACCATGACTATCCAAAAAAATTATCAGTATTACTAGGGAGTATGAAATGAACAGAAGCATGTAATACACAGCATGGCATCTGTCATATAGTCAACATTAATACATATTTATCTTTTTTCAGAAGTTCTGCTTTAAAAAGTTGGTTTTTTGCTGGGTGCAGTGGCTCAAACCTATAATCCCAGCACTTGGAGAGGCCAAGGCAGACAGATTACTTGAAGCCAGGAGTTCGAGACCAGCCTGGCCAACATGGTGCAACCCTGTCTCTACTAAAAAATACAAAAATCAACCAGGCATTGTGGCATGCACCTGTAGTCCCAACTACACAGGAGAATTGCTTGAACCCGGGGAGCAGAGGTTGCAGTGAGCCAAGATCGCGCCACTGCACTCCAGCCTGGGTGACAGAATGAGACTCTATCAAACAAGAACAACAACAACAACAACAACAACAAAAAACCTCCACAGATGATTCTGATATACAACCAGGACTGAGAAACACTGCCTCAAATCTAAATCGCAAACTACGATGCCAAAATAGTATTTACCAGAGGGTCCACATAGGCATCAAAATGATCTCTGGTACTTTCTGAAAATGCAAATCCCTTGACTCCACCCAAGAAAAACCTCTGTACATGGGCCCCAAGAATCTACATTTTGCACCCCATGAGATGTTCACATGTAACAAAGTTTGAAAATCACTGGGCTAGGAACTTATACAGTTCATTTATTTTCTAATATGAATGGTTCATCATGATAAAACGACTAATTGCAAATGATTTTTACTTTTGGCACATGCCTATCTCCACTAGAGAGGCTAGGAAAGTTGACTGCTTAGTTTCCAGCCTCCCTTACAGCTATGGTTTACCATATAACATAATTTTAGCCTTTCAGATGTAAAGAAACTGGCTGGGAAGCTTCTGGAAGACTGTTGATTTTCCCAATAAAAGAAACAAGCATGACTGGTGTCACCCCCTTTCTCTCTTCTTCTTGACTTGGAACATGAATATAGAACCATGGTGGATGTACTATTACAATGAAGTGACACAGAACAAAATGTCAGTAAGCCAAGCCAAGCACAGTGGCCTGTGCCTGTAGTCCCAGCTACTCAGGAGGCTGTGGGGAAGGATCACTTGAGGCCAGCCTGGGCAACATAAGGAGACCCCTTGTCTTAAAAAAGAGTCAGTGAGCCAAAAATGAATGAGTGGATAAAAGAAATTGGGTCCTTAATGGTATAGATCAGAAGTTAAGAAACATTTTCTGTAAACGGCCAGATAATAAATATTTTAGGCTTTGCAGGCCTTATATGTAGTCTCTCTTGCAGCTACTCAACTCTGACTTTGTAGCATGAAAGCAGCCATAAACAATGTATAAACAAACTAATGTGGCTATGTTCCAATTACACTTTATTTACAAAAACAGGTGGCAGACCAGATTAGGCCAGCAGGCTATAGTCTGTTGAACCTGGTATGGATGAACAAGTTAAACCAACTAGCAACTACTTATCTCCAGACTTCTTATAGCAGAAAAATAAACCCACTCTTAGTAGGGCTCTCTTCCTTGCTGCCAATAGCATTCCTAACAGATACCACAATTATCTCTAAAATAAATGTAGTTTCAGGTAAAGTAATGAAGACATTGTGGTATTGGTGAAGAGGCAAATATAAAGATCAATGGCACAGAACAGAGTCCAGAAACAGATGCACACATATATGGCCAACTGATTTTCAACAAAACTGTCAAGGTTATTAAATGGAGAAAGTGACAAATAAAACAAATGAAGCTGGAACAATTAATCTGACATCTATATGCAAGTACATGAATCTCAATAGTTCACATCATATACAAAAAATTAACTCAAAAAGGATTACAAACCTAAGTGTGCTCTAAAATTATAAAACATACAGAATAAAACACAGGAGAAATCTTTTTGATCTTGTGACATAGAGATTTCTTAGGACATAAAAAGTATGAATCATAAAAGAAAAACTTGAGAACTTAATTAAAATTAAAAAGTTCTGCTCAAAAGAAACTCTTAAGAGAATGAAAAGATAAGCCAGACCTGGAGAAAACATTTGCAAGTCATATATCTGATGAAGGACGTATATCCAGAATATATAGAGAACTCTTAAGAAGAAAACAAACTACCCAACTAAAAAGGGCATTTCACCAAAGATACACAGATGGCAAATAAGCACATAAAAAGAAACTCAACATTACTAGCCATCAGGGAAATAGAAATTATAATAGGATGCCTCTATACCCTTATAAGAATGACTATAGTCTGGGCGCAGTGGTTCATGCCTATAATCCCAGCAATTTAGGAGGCTGAGGCAGGTGGACTGTGTGTCTCTAGGAGTTTGAAACTAGCCTGGGCAACATGGTGAGACCCCGACTCTACAAAAATTTAAAAAATTAGCCAGAAGTACTGGCACACACCTTGGTCTCAGCTACTCAAGAGGCTGAGGTGGGAGGATCACTTGAACCCAGGAGGTTGAGGCTGCAGTGAGATTATGCCACTGAACTCTAGCCTGGGCAACACAGCAAGACCCTGTTTAAAATAAAATAAAATAAAGTAAAATAAAATAAAATAAAATAAAATGAATGACTAAAATTCAAAACAACTCTGACAATAGGAAGGGCTGGCAAGAATAAGGAGCGACTAGAAAACCCTCGTACATTGCTGGTAGGAATGCAAAATGGTCTAGTCATATTATCCATTTTTTATAAAGTTTTATAAGGTTAAACATTACACTTACCATATGACTCACTCTTAGGTATTAGTTACCCAAGAAAAATAAAAACATATGTCTACACAAAAATCTGTTTGCAAATTATTTTTTGAGAGACAGGGTTTTTCTCTGCTGACCAAGCTGCAGGAGAGTGGCACGATCATAGCTCACTGCAGCCTCAAACTTCTGGGCTCAAGCGATCTTCCCATCTCAGCCTCCCAAGTTGCTGAGATTACAGGAATGAGCCACCAATGCCCGGCTGCAAATGTTAATGCATTATTCATAATAGCCAAAAACTGAATACAACCCAAATGTTTATTCACTGGTGAGTAGATTAATAAAAAGATTCTTATAGATCTATAAAATGGAATACTACTAAGCAATAAAAAGGAATAAACTACTAATACACACAATAACATGGACAAATCTCAAAAGCATTATTCTATGTAAAAGAAGCCATACACAAAAAGACTACATACTGTATGACTCCATTTACCTGGCATTCTGGAAAAGACAAAACTATAGGGACAGAAATCAGATCACTGGTTATCAGGGAAGGGGAATAAAGGTATGACTAAATAGATGCACGAGGGGACTTTTGGGAGTAATAAAAGTATTCCCCATCTTGACTGTGCTGGTCGTTACATGAGACTTTACATTTGTTAAAACTCAGGACTGTACAACTAAGAGGGTTGCATTTTATTGGTGTAAATTTTACCTCAAAAAATCTGACCTAAAATAAAACAGAAAAAGTATGATTTCCACAAAAGATGCAATTTGAGAACACAACTGTTCCTTTTTTTCTATGTACCCTACTAAAGGTGCTCATCCAGGATTCTGTCTTTGGCATTAACTTCACGTTATTAGACTCTCCTGTGCCACTGTATGGTATCTACTCCCAACAACAAACAATCTCAAATCTCTATCTACAATCCCTTCCTCAACTGTCTACTGGATAGAGACCTTCAGTTGGATACATCAAACTTATTCTGTCCAAAACTTAAGCCACTGATCCTCTTCCTGCTTTTTTTTTTCTTTTTGAGACACAGTCTCATTCTGCCGCCCAGGTTGAGCAGTACAGTGGCGCAATCTCTGCTCACTGCAACCTCTGCCTCCTGGGTTCAAGCGATTCTCATGTCTCAGCCTCCCGAGTAGCTGAGATTACAGGCATGCGCCATCACGCCCAGCTGATTTTTGTATTTTTGGTAGAGATGGGGTGGGTTTCACCATGTTGGCCAGGCTGGTCTCAAACTCCTGGCCTCAAGTATCTGCCCGCCTTGGCCTCCCTGTTGGGATTAGCAGGCATGAGCCACCGAACCCAGCCCTCCTGCATCCTTTTTTAATCAATGAGTTGCACTACCATTCACTCCATGGCCAAATTAAGAATTACAATCATCCTTGATTTCTCTCATTCCCATATAACTCACAAATCCTATTGACCCTTGTCTGTCCATTTTTCCCTTCTATCTTCTCTGCATAGCTAATACCTTAGGACAACCTCTTTCATTTTACGTAAGCCTACTGCAGTTAGTAGTTTGCCTGCCTTCTTTCTCTCTCTTCTCTTTCACATATGGCCACCATTCAACTTATAATTGCCAGTCTTAGTTGTGATCAAGCACTGCCTTGTTTTTAAATCCTTCCATGGTTCCTCAATGCCCACAAGATAAAGCCCAAATTCATAAGTATATCCTATTAGTCTTTTCACAACTCTGCTCAATCTGCCTTTCCAGTCACTTAGTCACAGCAAACTACTCAACTTTCCCAGGACCCACCATAAACTTTCAAGCACCCATACTTTGTATAGAGTGTTTCCTTTCCTGGAAAGTCATCCTCTCCTCCTGTGTATTCTTTAAGACCAACCTTAAATTCTGTTATCTCCTCTGGGAGATCTTAACCGTTCTAGATAGGATTTAATCACTCCCTCCTCAGGGCTACCATAATATTAGCATATATGTTTATTCTAGCATTGCTACTTGTTTTAGAAAATATTTGTTTAGAGAGTCCCTTGAACCAGACTGGGCAGAGACTGTTTGTTAAATTATCTTTATATCCCCAAAGCTTCAGATAGTGACTGGGACAAAATACACCTGAAATACATATTTACTGAACTGAATGTTACAAATGCAAAGAATGGAAGCCAAAGCAGTATGATTTTATCCTACTTGGATACTGAATATTCTACAAATTTTGGTTTAATTATAGAAAGGAAATCTGAATGACTTTAGCTTTATCTACTAAAATACAAAAACAAAAACAAATACCATCTGTTTTCATTATTCTGAGCAAGTGTCATTAAGGGCTAACATTTACAATAAGAACACTGCAAAGAGCCCAGTGCAAAACACAAACAATATATTTTGAAGTCCAACAAAGACTTCTAATGTAATTTAGCACAAATATGAAGACAAAAAAAGCAAAACAAATATTTATGAATAGTACAACTAAGAATTACATTTAGATTTGTGTTTATTTCCATGTACTCTACATTAAAAGGAACAGTTCTTTAGGAAAGTCCTGAATTGTTAAGGAAAACAATAAACATAAAAAGGCCAATTTAGCATTTAGCAGCTACTGTAAACATATGACATAAACGTTTGCAGGGATGGAGACTGCATGATGAATTGTTTATTCATAATTCTGCTTACATAGCAGGGTGGTACTAAAAAAAACTGGGCCCAGAGTTGTTTTGTGGCACAACTCCAAGAGGCACCCCATTCACAGCACAGATTATCTGAATGGCTCTCACTAGAACTGTAGTGTGCAAAGCCTATGCAACTGAACTTAGTAGCCATACTTGGACTCCCAAGTAAGACATATCTGGCTTTGGGACATTGCTCTGACATTAACTCTGTAACTGAGGGCAAATTAATGTCTGGGAGCCCCAACTGTCTCATCTCTAAAATGAGGATGTTAATATCTATCTCACAGGATTGTTATTAGGGTTTGATAACATTATTGGGCACTTACGTATATTTCAGGCACTGTATCGTGTGGTTTTTACAGAACTATCTCATTTAACTCTCACACCACAGTACCTGCCAAATAGCATCCAATAAGTGTTGGTATTCCTCCACCCCACTCTCAGCTCTTTCTAAAGAAACTCTGATCCACCTATTAGAGTTGAGGTTTGAAAACAATAAACTTAGAAAGCAAGTAGTTCTACTTTTCGTGGCCCAAAGAAACTCTAAGAACACACCTACTATTCATGTACAAAAGCAGCATACTGGAATAACATTTGTCCTTTCTAAATATATCAAATAAGGGCAATATCTTATACGGTAGAATTGGCTACAAGTCTGTTTCCTTGAGAGCAAAATTGCATTTATGGAACCAAAGGACAAAATGTTCCAAAGGCAAAATCCAGAGTCATTTCCTGGTCTCAATTTTCTACTTCTAATTTTATAGTCCTTGTTTCCTTTCACTGCAACAATACCAACTTGGCCCCACTTGATTTGCCAGTTATACAAAGCTACTTCAGGCAGTTTGGGATCCTTTTCTGAAGGATATTTAGGCCCTCAAGAAAACATGCTTAGGAAGGGACACTTTGTGCTTGAGAAGTCCCTAGATGATCAGAAAATTAAAGACGAATTCCTGATGATCTACAGTTTCCACTATTTTAATCCTACTGCAGTAAAAACACAAATGAAAATGGTTCAAACTGAGTAATATTGCTGAGCTTCAGTGTAAAAGCTGAGCAATTAAGAAGTATGTATGTTACTTATAACACTAAATAACCTTAGCTGTGTCAGAATACATGACACGAAATAACCAAAAGTCCAATTTGGATATTTGAAGATTTAGTTACTAATCTCAAACCTGCTTACACACTCATTCTGTGATCTTTGTTAAATCAGTAAATTTCTTTATGATTTACTTTATAAACCATGGCTGTTCTGATTATCAGTCTTTTTATCTTACTCTATGAAGGAAGAACCAAACAACATAAAGTTATCATTAGAATTTCTAGTATTACTTTAAAATAAAAAGAGGACGGGAAAGAACAGCAGCTTGTGAATTTATCCTGAAAAGTCAACTGAAGACAGGCCCAAAACATTTACAACTGTTTCACTAAGTAATGGGATTATGGATGGGTTTTATTTTAATTTTTTTATTTTAAAAATAGAGACAGGGTCCCATCATGTTACCTAGGCTGGTCTAGAACTCCTGGGCTCAGGCAATCCTCCTGCCTCCACCTCCCAAAGTGTGTTGGGATTACAGGCATGAGCCACTGCACATGGCCATGGCTGGGTTTTAGTTACTTCTCTTACTGCCTGGTTTTCTATATCAAGCAAACATTATTATAACTAAAAAAAAAAAAAAAAAAAAAAAAAAGACAAAGCCATTTCCATCTTGGGAGGAAAAGAAAAGCAAATACAATCAATTCTTCTACCTACAGTAGTCCTGACTCCATGTTCTTTCAAGCTTCTGGATCTTACCACGTTACAGGCTCACTTGTTTGTACAGGGCACTCTTAATATTTTCTCAACTATCACCTACTACACATAACCTTTCTTTTCTTCTTTAGGCAACAATTACATTCTCACACAGTTCGCTCATACCTAGATTCTAGTACATGATGAATTGTATCATGATGACGTATTTACTGATGTGTCTCCACTGCCACCACCACTATAACCCTCTTAATTAAACTGAGCTCATGTTCAGTAACTTTGCTGAATAAAAGATCTGCATTACAGAGGACAAGATTACCAGGTTCTTTTTTTCTTTTTTTTTTTTGGTTTGAGACGAAGTTTCGCTCGTCGCCCAGGCTGGAGTGCAGTGGCGTGATAGCTCACTGCAACCTCCGCCTCCCGGGTTCAAGCAATTCTCCTGCCTCAGCCTCCGGAGTAGCTGGGATTACAGGTGCATGCCACCACGCCCAGCTAATTTTTGTATTTTTAGTAGAGATGGGGTTTTGCCATGTTGGCCGGGCTTGTCTCAAACTCCTGACCTCAGGTGATCTGCCCGCCTCGGCCTCCCAAAGTGCTGGGATTACAGGCGTGAGCCACCACGTCCAGCAGATTATCAGGTTCTAAAAAAGCAGTATCAGAAACCAAATCAGAAGATTAGTTTCGGCATTACTGAGACAGAGTGACTTTTGTTATCTGCTATTTTAATAAAGTTTGGCAATTTTCTTTCATCTAAATAATGTCAATTAGATTTTTCAAGAAGAAAACTCTATGAGGATTAAAGAGTTTAAAAAATTAACTGATCTGGCCAGGCTCGGTGGCTCATGCCTATAATCCCAGCACTTTGGGAGGCCGAGGCGGGTGGATCACGAGGTCAGATCGAGACCATCCTGGCTAACACGGTGAAACCCCATCTCTACTAAAAATACAAAAAATTAGCCGGGCATGGTGGTGGGCGCCTGTAGTCCCAGCTACTGGGAGGCTGAGGCAGGGGAATGGTGTGAACCCGAGAGGTGGAGCTTGCAGTGAGCAGGGATCATGCCACTGCACTCCAGCCTGGGCAGCAGAGCGAGACTCCGTCTCAAAAGCAAAAAAAAGTAACTGATCTTTCTGCATAAGAAACACTAGTTCATCAATGCATCCCCAACCAGTATTTATAGAGTATCTTTGGGTAAGAGCTAAGATTCCCAACTGAGAGGAACATATAGTCAGTCAGATGGAGAAAATACATGTTCTGCTTTTATGGAAAGTTCTCACATTTTGATATGAGTTGTCAAAACATTTTATTACGAAAAATACCTGCTTATGGATGACTAGGTTAAAAAAAAAAGAAATATACCTCTATGTATTTTTTTTTTTTAATATATAAAGAGATAGGCTCTCACTATATTGCCTAGGCTGGTCTCAACTCCTGAGCTCAACCAATCCTCCCACTTTGGCCTCCCCAAGTGCTGGGATTACAGGTGTGAGCCATCACGCCCGGCCATACCTTTATGTTTTCTATAACCACACCATCACATAATACTTTTATTTAAAGGGCTTACGTAAAGCATTACCAACTCCAAGAAGCCTTCCTTGACCCTTCCCTCAAGCTGAATTAGGTTTCCATCCTCTGTTCTATAGCACCCTTTGCTCATCTACACCACAGCATTCATCTAACTATACTGATGTTGAAAATTAAATACGGCCAGAGAATCTCTACAGCACCTCCAATCAAGAGATATAGCCTATTTACCCAAAACTTTGAATAAGAACTGGACTTGTGACTTGCTTTGAACACGAGAATCCACGTGGTATAATTTCTAACCCACAGCCCCAAGGGCCTTACAGCTGCTACTCCTGTCCTAAGACTACCATGCTGTGAAGAAGCCTAAGACGAGCGACTACATGGAAGGAGACCCAGCCATCCTACTCAAGTCCAGTCCCCACCCGACCCACCAGATGAAGCTGTATGAGCGCAAGATTGGCAAAAACCAACCAGTCAATCCACAAAATCAAGAGAAATAGTTTTAATCCACTGAGTATCGAGGTAATTTGGAGTTTTTTTCTTACCATTTTTATTTTTATTTTTTAAAGAGACAGGGTCGCACTGTTGTTGCCCAGGCTGGTCTTGAACTCCTGGGCTCCAGTGATCCTCCTGCCTCAGCCTCCCAAAGTGCTGGGATTACAGACATGTGCCACTACAATGGGCAGAGGTAATCTGTTACAAAGGAAAGACTAACAGAAAAAAATGTAACAAGATTTTTAATTGTCATCTGCCCTAAGCTATAAGCATCTTAAATACAGGCACCAAGTCCACTTCATCTCTATTCTCATTCAGCCTTGTATTATTTTCTCTCTGGCTATGATGTTCTCCAGTTCTACTATCATTCCACTTGGGACTTACTGTGTTCTTTGAAGCCAATGATTTATATCGTTTATCACTTCTGGAAAATATTCAACTATTATCTCTTCAAGTATTTTCTTCCATCTTCACCATTCTCTTATTATAGAACACTTAAGATGGTTGGTCCTTCTCATCTTAATTTTCATGTCTCTTAAGTGGTCTTTCATATCTTTCAATGCTATCTTCTGGATAATTTCTTCAGATCCATTTTCCAGGTATTTGATTCTCTCTTCAGCCATGTGTAATTTGCTGTTTAACATATCTGCTGCACTTTTAATTTCACTGGCTCTAAATTTAATTGCAGAATTCCAGTTTTAGTTGGCTTAATTTTTACATTTTTTGATATTTTGTTCTTTTTAAATGTTTTCTAATTTTGCTTTAAGTCTTTAATGATTTTAATCATATTTCCCTTAAGGTTATACCTAATAATTCTAATGCCCAAGTTCCAGTGGGATTCAGTTCTGCTGGGGTTTGCTAACTTGCTCATAATAAATAATTCTTTGTATATATTTGTAAATTTTGGATTGTGTGCTCTGCTTTAAGAGGGTTATCTGGGGAAATACCATGTAGCCTGAGTGGCAAGTATGTTCTTCCAGAGTAGTTCTGCAATTGCTTCTGTAAGGTGCCTGGAGTATTATCAATCAAGGAACATACAAGCAGTGTAAATTCAAACTCTAAACATACATGAAGGCAAGCCTGTGGGAATAAATTCCCAGCAAGACCCTCCTCCAAATTAGTGTCCAAGCTAAGAAATGTAAGTTTCCTTATGTTCTTTCCTGTGAAGTACAGGTAGAATTTTTACCCTATCCTTTCAAGTTAGGAAGTAGCCCCTGAGTACACTTTCTGAGGAGATCTCAGCTCCAACACCTCTCTCTCTAAACCCAAGGCCTTACCTCTTGCCCAACGTAGTTATCAAAATCCAAGCACTTTGGTTATAAAGAATAGAAAATTCCTCAGTGCAGACCAAATGTCAGCCCATATGTATAGTTCCAGCTTTCAGTACCCTCTTTGTTTTTGTTCCTTGAAGACTGTCATTACTTTCTTGTAAATACAGCTAGGCAATTAAAAAGCTGTTTGTTACATTTCAGCCAGCTTTCCTAATTATTTTATAATGGAAACTTCTTAGGCTGTGTAGGTTATCATATTTTCAAAAATGGGAATTCCTATCCTGTGATAGTTACTAGCTGTCAAATGACCTTTCAACAAGACACTCAACTGGGACTTTTGGAGTTTTGGGGTGGAATAGTGACAGACTTTTAAAATATGTTTTCCATTGGGTACACATGGACATAAAGATGGGAACAATGGACACTGAGGACTGCAACAGAGGGTAGGAAGGGAAGGAGACAGAGGGATAAGGGTTGAAAAAACTATCTATTGGGTACTGTGCTTACTACCTGGGTGTAATTGTACCCCAAACCTCAGAATCATGTAATATACATTTGTAACAAACCTGTACATGTACCCCCTGAATCTAAAATAAAAGTTTAAAAAAACATTTCTTTTTTAAGACAGGGTATCACTATGTTGCCCAGGCTGAACTGCAGTGGCTATTCACAGGCATGCTTATAGAGCACTGCAGCCTTGAAGTCCTGGCTTTGAGCAATCCTCCTGCATCAGCCTCCTAAGCAGCTGGAACTACAGGTACACACTATCACACCCAACTCATGGTTCCACTTTTATGTTTATGTCCCAAGCATAAATGTTAGCATTAAAACAGAAACAAAGAAAAATTCCAGGACCTGGTATAGTGGCTCATACCTGTAATCCTAGCACAATGGGAGGCTGAGGCAGGTGGACCACTTGAGGCCAAGAGTTCAAGACCAGCCTGGCCAACATGGCAAAACCCCATCTCTACTAAGAAAAAAAAAAAAAAAATTAGCCGGATATGGTGGCACACTGGCACATGACTGTAATTTCAGCTATTCAGGAGACTAAGGCACAAGTCATCTGAACCCAGGAGGTTGAGGTTGTAATGAACAGAGATTGTGCCATGCCACTCCACTCCAGCCTGGGCAACAGAGCAAAACTCTGTCTCAACAAACAAACAAAACTCGAGAGCCTTGGAATTTATTAAATGTCATGTTGGCCAGGCGTGGTGGCTCACAACTGTAATCCCAACACTTTAGGAGGTCAGTGTGGGAGGATCATTTGAGGCCAGGAGTTTGAGACTAATCTGGGCAACATATGAAGACCTTGTCTCTACAAAATAAAATGTTTTAAATTCCATATTATACCACATTGAAATGGCAAAAAAAATGTGTTAGGAAGATAGATAAGATGCTCTACAAATCTTTTTTTTTTTAAGTCATTTTGTTAGTCATTCTACTAGGGGCTGAGAAACGATACAAGGTTTCAAAAAGGAGAGGACCACTGCGCAAGATATCTCCAGTAACACTATTATACCTTCCTCTGATGACAGACCTTAAAGATTTAACAATTTGAATAATTCCTCAATTCCAGTTCTATACATAATAACCTTACATAATATACAAATGTACTGAAATTAAAACACACAGAGGAAATATTTTAAATTTGGAGAACATGTTCCTCAATTTCCTTGTCTACAAAACACAATCATGCATCACTTAACAACAGGGATACATTCTGAGAAATGCCTGTTGGGCAGTTCTGTTGTATGAACATCATAGAGTGTACTTACATAAACCCAGGAAGCATAGCCCACTATACAACTAGGCTGTATGGTATAGCCTGTTACTCCTAGGCTACAAACCTGTATAGCATGTTACTATACTGAATACTGTAGGCAATTCTAACACAATGGTAAGTATGCATGTATTAAACATATCTAAACACAGAAAAGGTACAATAAAAATATGGTATTATAATCTTTTGGGACCACCTTCATACATGCAGTTGGTTGTGGACTGAAATGCTGTCATGCAGTGCATGACTATACGGGTATTTCTTTCTGGTAAAGATGACAAATCATAGTTAGAAAGAATAAGACCTAGTATTTGCTAGCACAATAGGGTGACTACAGTAAAAATGGTTTAATTGTACATTTAAAAATAACTAGCTGGGGGCGGTGGCTCACACCTGTAATCCTAGCACTCTGGGAGGCCAAGGCAGGTGGATCATCTGAGGTCAGGAGTTCGAGACCAGCCTGGCCTACATGGCAAAACCCCGTCTCTACTAAGAATACAAAAATTAGCCAGGTGTGGTGGCACACACCTGTAATCCCAGCTACTCAGGAGGCTGAGGCAGGAGAATCACTTGAACCTGGGAGGCAGAGGTTGTGGTAAGCCCAGATCCTGCCACTTTACTCCAGCGTGGGTGACAGAGCAAGACTCTGTCTCAAAAATAGTAACAATAATAAAGTAAAATAAAAAATAAAAGTAAAAGAGTATAACTGTGCTGGTAAAAAATGATTTAATTGAACATTTAAAAATAACTAAGAGTGTAACTGTGCCACACACAGTTTCTCATGCCTGTAATCCTAGCAGTTTGAGAGGCCAAGGCAGGCAGATTACTTGAGGCCACGAATTCAGTACCAGCCTGACCAACCTGGTAAAACCCCATCTCTACTAAAAATATGAAAATTAGCCGGGCATAGTGGTGCACGCCTACTGTCCCAACTACTCAGGAGGCTGAGGTATGAGAATCATTTGAAATCAGTAAGTGGAGGTTGCAGTGAGCTGAGATTGCACCACTGCACTGCAGCCTGGGCAACAGAGCCAGACTCCACCTCAAAAAAAAAAAAAAAAAAAAGGTAGAATTGAATTGTTTGTAACACAAAGAATAAATGCTTAAGGTAATGGATACCCTATTTACACTGATGTAATTTTACTCATTGCACACCTGTACGAAAATGTCTCATGTCTCATGTAATGCATATATACACATTAACGCATAAATATATACACCTACTATGTACCCACAAAAATTAAACATTAAGAAAAAAGGCAGGGCATGGTGGCTCACACCTGTAATGCCAGCACTTTGGGAAGCCGAGGCGGGTAGATCACCTGAGGTCAGGAGTTCGAGATCAGCCTAGCCAACATGGTAAAACCCCATCTCTACTAAAAATACAAAAAATTGGCCAAGTGTGGTGGTGTGTGCTTGTGATCCCAGCTACTCAGGAGGCTGAGGCAGGAGAATCACTTGAACCCGGAAGATGGAGATCATGCCACTGCACTCCAGCCTGGGCAACAAGAGTGAAACTCTTGTCTAAAAAAAAAAAAATTTTTTTCAGGAAAAAAAGACATATGAGACAGCAAAAAAAGTTGTTCTTCGGAAGATACCTGAGGGTTCCCCCCATGTACTATAAATGACTAATCAAAGTAGAAACAGGAAGAGTAAGTCAAACTACTTTGAAAGTTTACAAGAAAATTTTCAAATGGAGGAAATCCAAAAGGAGACAAGATGGATTTACTTGCATATTTACTGCTGTCTTAATTTCTAGAAACTGTTCCTAGGCTAACTGTTCTACTTACGCACAGGAGACTCTTTTCCCTAATCAAAGATTCTGCTCTCTCTTCATACTAGTAACATACCCTTTTTACTAAATAATTCCTGCCAATATATAAATATCCTACAATCATTCAATAAAATCCATAACCCTGGCAGCTATCACTCAATTTTTCTGCCCTCATTTTATAGCAAAAGTCCTTGAAAAAGTTGTCTATATTTATTTCCACTTCTTTCTGATCTCCTATTTACTAATGAACCCACACTAACCTTACTACAGTCCAATCTCTCCAAAAAAACCCATTATTCTTGAGGATCCCCAAGGCCTGCATCTTGTTACTTTTCACTTATTATCTAAATCAATCTATTAGCCAAATCAGACATACCTGATCACTACTGCTTTCCTGAAACACCTTCCTCACTTGTCTTACAAGGAATTCTGCTCTCCTAGTGATACGGTTTGGCTGTGTCCCCACCCAAATCTCATTTTGAATTGTAACTCCCCCAATTCCCATGTGTTGTGGGAGGAACCTGGAGGGAGGTAATTAAATCATGGAGGCAGGTCTTTCCCATGCTGTTCTCATGATAGTGAGTCTCACGAGATCTGATGGTTTTTAAAACAGAGTTTTCCTGCACAATCTCTCTCTTCTCTTGCCTGCTTCCATCCATGTAAGACATGACTTCCTCCTCCTTGCCTTCTGCCATGATTGTGAGGCCTCCCCAGATGTGTGGAACTGTAAGTCCATTAAACCTCTTTTTCTTCCCAGTCTCAGGTGCGTCTTTATCAGCAGTGTGAAAACGAAGTAATACACCCGGGTTTTCTTATATCTCAAGAGTTCTTTCTTCTCAGTTTTTTCTGCTGATTTCTCTTCATCTCAATCTCTGAATACTGAAGTACCCTAAGAACCAACTGTTATCACTTGTCTCTTCAATATCTACACTCACATTGTGAGTGGTCTCATCTAATTCTATAGCTTTATTTATTTTTTTATTTTTTCGAGATGGAGTTTCACTCTTGTCACCCAGGCTGGGGGGCAATGGCACAATGTAGGCTCACTGCAACCTCCGCCTCCCGGGTTCAAGCAATTCTCCTGCCTCAGCCTCCCAAGTACCTAGGATTACAGGCTGTACCACCATGACCGGCTAATTTTGTATTTTTGGTAGAAATAGGGCGTCACCATGTTGGCCAGGCTGGTCTGAAACTCCTGACCTCAAGTGATCTGCCTGTCTCAGCCTCCCATAGTGCTGGGATTACAGGCCTGAGCCACTGCACCCAGCCATAATTTCATAGCTTTAAATAGCATGTAAATACTATTGATGGCAGCTACAATCAACCTCTCCTTAGTATTTGTCTCATATATCCAACTATCAAACTACCTACCTGACATCTCCAAAGAGACAGCTAACAGTCAACTCAAATGTAATATGTTCTCCTGACCCAATTCTGGACTTACCTTTCTCTTTCCCATCTCAGTAAATGGCATTACTGAGGTAATGCCATTACTTTTTAGTTCAGATTTAGACTAAACAGCTCAGGCCAAAATCTAGGAATCATCTACTTCTCTTTACCTCATACCCTATATCTAATTTACTCACATTAATACCAAAACATATTCTGAATCAGAGCACATTTACCCCTGCCCTCCTTGCTACCACTCTTGCCCCTTTCCCGCTAATTGTCCAGGGAGCTTTTTAGAAAAGACTTATTGAGATATAACTCATAAACCACACAATTCATTCATTTAAAATGTATGTTCAATGGTTTAAGTATATTCACAGATACATGCAACTACCAAAGTCAATTTTAAAACAAATTCATTACCTCAAAAAGTGGCACAGGCTGGGCGTGGTGGCTCACGCCTGTAATCCTAGCACTTTGGGAGGCCGAGGCAGGCGGATCACCTGAGGTCAGGAGTTCGAGACCAGCATGGCCAACATGGTGAAACCCCACCTTTACTAAAAATACAAAAAGTAGCCAAGCATGGTGGTGCATGCCTGTAATCCCAGCTACTCAGGAGGCTGAGGCAGGAGAAACTCTTGAACCCAGGAGGCGGAGGTTGAAGTGGGTTGAGATCACGCCACTGCACTCCAGCCTGGGCGACAAGAGACTCCGTCTCAAAAAAAATTTTTTTTAGTACAAACATTGTAAAAAGCAGCACAATATACCCTTAAGTTATCACCTTTCTATTCCCACCAGACTCCTCCAACCAGCCCTAGGCAACCACTAATTTTCTGTCTCTAAAGATTTGCCTATTCTGAATATTTCATATTCATGAAATTATGTAATCTGTAGTCTTTTGTGACTGTCATTCAGCATAATGTTCTTAAGGTTCATCTATGTAGTAGCATGTATCAGTATTTTATGGCTTAATAATATTCCATTGTATACTACATTTTGTTTACCCATTCAGCAGTTGATGGTTTAGTTCTTTATACTTCCTAGAACTACTATCATTTACAAATTCTTTCATTGCATTTTTGTTGTTGTTGTTTTTCACTTTTCTTGAAATCTTTTTTTCTAAGTAGAGACAGGGTCTCCCTCTGTTGCCCAGGTAGGGGTGCAGTGGTTATGATCACAACGCACTGCAGCCTTGACCTCTCTGGCTCAAAAGATCCTCCCACCTCAGCCCCCAAATAACTGGGACTACAAGAGCATGCCACCACATTCAGCTAATTAAAAAAAATTTTTTTCTTGTAGAGATGGAGTCTCCGTATGTTGCCCAGGCTGTTCTCAAACTCATGGGCTCAAGTGATCCTCTCCCATTTCAGCCTCTCAAAGTGCTGGGATTACAAGCATGAGCCACTGCACCTGGCCCTAGCACAATGTTGAAGATCGGTGGTGAGTGTAGACCTCCTTGTCTTATTCTTAAACTTAGGCGGGGGAAGAATCACTCACCATCAAGTATGATTTTACCTGTGAGCTTTCTGTAAATGTCCTTTATCAGGTTGAAATGTTCCATTGTATTTCTAGTTTGAGTTTTCTCATTTCTTTTTTTCATGAAATGGTGTTAGATTTTCGTCAAATGCTTTTTCTGCATCTACTGAGATGATCATGTGGGTTTTGCTTTTTATTCTATAGATACGGTGTATTACATTAATAATTTTCAGATGTTAAACTAACCTTACATTCCTGGAATAACTCCCACTTGATCATGGTATGTAATCTTTTTTATATTTATATACCAGCTGAATTCACTTTGCTAGTATTTCAAGGATTTTTGTGTCCATATGCATTAAAGACACTGGTGTGCAGTTTCCCTTTGATGTCTTTGTCTGATTTTGGTATCAGGGTAATGGTGTTCTCATAGAGTAAGTTGGGAAGTATTCCCTACTTTTCTATTCCAGAGAAGAGTTTGTGCAGAATAGATATTAATTCTTATTTAAGTATCTGGTAGAATTCAACAGTATAGCCACCTGAGTCCAGGGTTTCTTTGGGGTACTTTTTTGATTACTAATTCAATCTCTTTGTTATAGATCTGTTCAGACTATTTTATCAGTTTTGTTAGTGTCGCTCTAGAAATTTGTCCATTTCATCTAAATTACCTATTTATGGGCACACAACTCTAGTATTCCTTCATAATTCTACGTATTATCAGCAGTATTATTCCCTTTCATTTATGATTCCAGTAAATTGTCTTCTTTTTCTGTGGTTAATCTAATTAAAGTTTTGTCAATTTTGTTGGTATTTTCAAAGAATCAATTTTTGGTTCCACTGATTTTTCTCTACTGCTTTTCTATTCTGTTCCATTAATTTCTGTTCTTTTATTTTCCTTCCTTCTGACTGTTTTAGGTTTAATGTACCTTTCTACCAGGGTCTTAAGGTGGAACGTTAGGATATTAAGTTTAGGTCTTTCTTCTTTCTTAATATAGGCACTTAACAGCTATAAATTTCCCTTAGAACTGTTTAAGCTGTATCCCATAAGTCTTAGTATATTGTATCTGCATTTTCATTCATTTCAAGTATTTTCTAACTTCCTTTTTTTTTCTTCGACTTTTTATTTAGGAGTATGTTGTTTAATTTCCCTGTAGTAGTGAATTTTCAGTTTTACTTCTGTTACTGATTTCTAGTTTCCTGCCCTTATGGTTGGATTAATACTTTGGGTGCACTTGAAAAGAATGAATACTCTGCTATTGTTGGGGTGAGTGTTCTACAGAGATCTGTTAGCTCTAGTTGGTCAACAGTGTCATTTAAGGCTTCTATCTCCTTATTGATTGGCCTAGTTGTCCCCTTCATTATTGAAAGCAGTATATTATAATCTTCAATAATTTTTTTTTAAATGAGACGGGGACTTGCTATGTTGCCCAGTCTGGTCTCGAACTTCTGAGCTCAAGCAATCCACCCGCCTCAGCCTCCTGAATTGCTGGGATTACAGGAGTCAGCCACCACGCCCGGCTAACAATTATTCTTGAATTGTCCATTTTCTCTTCATTTCTGTCAGTTTTTGCTTCATGCATTTTGGTGCTTGGTTATTAGATATGTAATTGTTAGATGTCTGTGATGGACTAATCCTTCTCATTACAAAATGTCATTATTCATATATTACCTCTAGTAAAGTTTTTTGTTTTAAAGTCTATTTTGTCTAAAATCAGAATAGCCAATCCAGCTTTCTTATAATGCTGTTTGCATTATATTTTTCCATCCTTTTATTTTAAATCTATTTGTATCTCTAAACCTAAAGTATATCTTGTAGAGAGCATACAGTTGGATCATATATTTTTATCCAATCTAACAGTATCTCCCCTTTTGATTACACTGCTTAATCTACTTACATTTAGTATTATTATTGATATAGCTGGATTCAGGAGTGCCAACTTTATCATTTTTAGTGTGTCTCTTATCTTTTTTGTGCCTCTATTATTGCTTTCTCTTGGACTTAGTAAATATTTTCTAATATAGCATTTACATTTCTTTGATGATTTTTTTCCACATATATTTTTACTTGTATCCTTGTTAGTTCCTCTAGGAACTTACAATGTACTATTTTTATTATTTTTTTTTTTAAGAGAGAGTCTCACTCTGTCACTTGGGCTAGAATGCAGTGGTGTGACCATGGCTCACCAGACCATCAACCTCCTGGGCTCAAGTAATTCTCCCACCTCAGCCTCCCAAGTCACCTTCTGACTACAGACACACACCACAATGCCTGGCTGATTTGTGGGGGTTTGTTTGTTTTTTGTAGAGATGGGGTTTTACCATGTGGCCCAAGCTGGTCTTAAACTCCTGGCCTCAAGCAAACCACCCACCTCACTCTCCCAAAGTGCTGGGATTACCCATTTTTTTTTTTAATCTTTAAGCTCTGTTGGACTTGAAACAATGCACATCTTATCAGAATGAGCATCTGATTTATACTCACTCAATTCCACTGAGAAATAGAAACATTATTCAAACATAGCTCTATTCCCTTCCCCCTGCCTTTTGTGGTATTGCTATACACATTATATCTATAAATGTTAGAAGTCCAACAATACATTGTCACAATTATTACTTTATATAATTTTATATATACCTTTAAAGAAGTTGAGAGAAGAACCAATGTACATTTACAGCTTTTCTTATATTAACCTTCTTATTTATCGTTTCTGGTTTTCTTCATTTATTCTTATGAATTTGAGTTACTATATGGAGTTATTTCCTAGCCCAAACACAGATCTGTCCCTATCTTATCTCCTTTTTCCTATTATTGGCAAACATATTACATTTCCACATCTCATAGGCCCAACAATATACTATATACATACTATACAGTACTGCAGTAAAATGCAGTAAATATACTAAGATTTATGGGATACAGCTTAAACAGTTCTTAGGGAACTTTACAGCTATTAAGTGCCTATATAGATACACATGATATATACACAACACAAAAGAGAAAAGGAGAAAATATGCATTTATAGTGTTATTACTACATAATTATTTTTACTGGTGCTCTTAAGATTTTTCATGTGGATTAAAATCATCATGTGGAGTAACTTGCTTTCAGCCTGAAGAACTTCCTTTAGTGTTTCTTGTAAAGTGGGTCTGCCAACAGCAAATTCTCTGAGTTTTTACCTCAGAATGCCTTTACTTCAAGGAACCTTCCGTTTTGAATAATAGCTTTGCTGGACATAGAATTGTTGGTTAACAGTTTTTTTGGTTTAAGTGCTTTGAATATGTTGTCCCACTGGCTTCTTGCCTCCATTTTTTTGCTGAGAAGTTAGCTATAAATCTTATGGGCAGGTTCCCTTGTAAGTTGATGAGTCAGTTATCTCTTGCTGCTCTCTCAAGATTTTTTCCTTGTCTTTTAGCATCTTTATCAAGATACTCCTCTTTGTGGATATCTTTGCATCTATCCTACATGGAGTTCATTGAACTTCCTGGATATATAAATTATTGTTTTTAAATAAATTTGGGATGTTTTTGGACATTATTACTTAAAATTTTTTTTCTAGTCATTTCTCTTTCTCCTCTCCTTTTGATACTCCTATTACAAGCATGTTGGTACACTTAATAGTTTCCCATATTTTTCTGAGCCTGTTTTTTTCTACATTGTTTTTCTTCATGTTCTTTGAGTAATTTCTACTGATCTATCGTCAAGTTCATTAACTCTTTCTTTTGCCAGTTGAAATGTACTGTTGTGCCCTCAAGTGAGTTTTTCATTTCAGTTACTGTGATGTTCCATTCCAGAATTTCCATTTGCTTCTTTTTAAAATGATTTCTATCTCGTTATTAATATTCTCTGTTTCATGTGAAACTATCATCACGCCTTCATTTCTACATGATTTCCTTTAGTTTGCTGAATATATTAATAATAGCTACCTTGAAAGCTCTGTGTTAAACTCAACCAGTCACTCTCACAGGCAGTATCTGTAGCTTGCTTTTTTAACGGGATGTCTGGGTCATATTTTCTTGTTTCTCTGAATGTCTTATAATTTTTGGTTAGAAACTAGATACTTGAGATAATATACAGTACCAACACTAAGTACTGGCCTCCCCACTGCAAGATTTGTTATTGTTGATGCTTGTTTATTGGGTGACTGGCTAGTTGATTTTTGTAGATTCCATTGTCTAGTGTTAAGCCTCTGGAGTTGCTCCTCAGGGAGCTCAGACTTGAGATTGCTCACTGTCACCTTGGGATGAGAGTGGTTTGGGCAGGGCTCTCGCTGATTCTTGGTTTCTCTGACCACAACTAGCTTGTTAAATTACACTAATTGCTGTCTGATTCCTGTAATGATTTCAACAATGCACTACAGTATAAACTGTTCCATAGTCTAAGTCAATCAAACTTGGGTATCTTTGAAGTGAAAGTTCCAGAGGTCAAGGGTTGAGATTTGTTTTGACCCTTGGTGATCTCCTCCCAGCTGTGTCTTTCCCTAGTTTCCTCAGGCAAATGAGCACATCTATAGTCAAGCCTAAATGTCCCATCAATCTACCAATCTTCCCCAATTACCTTTCACCACAACCTCCACTATTTTTTAGAGTAACCTTAGGCTTAAACTTTTCTATACTCTGTCGTGCATGAAGCCCATTCCTTTAAGAAGGCTGCTTTAAGGCCAACTTTTCTCTGAAGGTAAAATCTCTGAGACATGGCTTTGGAGCTGGAAGTAGAGACAATGACACACTGTGTGTCACTGAGTGACACCCCAGGGTTAGTTGCTCTGCCCAAAGTAAAGCCTCTGTCCCAGGAGCAGGGGCTGGGCAGAAAAACAAGGCCCCCAACTCTTAGTCACACTTGGCCAGAAACAGGCATGGGGAAGCAGGATGAGAAATAATGATATCTTGCTCCTGCTTTGGAAGATAGCCCAGAATGGGAGCTGATGGGGGACAGGGATTCTTGTCTTCTTCACTGCACCAATATGGAGAAGAGTTACCATCTCTCTCAGCTGGGATAGGGTAAGGAAAGGGCAGGTCTTGTTACCAATAACAGGTTCTTGCCCCTCTGACCAAATTTTATGAATTTTCTTGAATAAATGTTTTTTCATTTGCTGTATTTCCTTTAAAACACTTTCAGAGACCTTAAATGTTTTATTTTTGTAATTGTCACCAGTTCTGCTGAGGAGTAGAACATGCTGTCATCCTACAAGTCCCTCTTAACCAGTGAGCTTTTAAAAATATAAATTAGATCATGATCCCATTCAAAACTCTCCAAAATTTCCACTCTTTTTTTTTTTTTTTTTTTTGTAAAGCCCCACACTTTCTATTAAGCTCCACAGGGTTCTACACAATCCAGCCCATGCCCACTACTGGATCTCATCCTTTACTGCTTTTTACTTTGTTCACTCTGCTCTAACCCCTGTCCTAGCAAGGGTGGTTCTCCTCATGGTCTATTTGCTGCTCTAACTGGAAAGCTCTTTTCCCAGATTTTTCCATGGCCTTCCTCCTCACTTCATTTGGGCCTCACCTCAAATGTCATCTCAAGACCTTCTCTAAAAAAGCACCTGTCATTCACTCTTATTAATTAATTTTTTTAAGTTTTACTGTTTTTTATTTATTCCTCTATATATTTATGAGTAAGAGTAAGGGTTTTTTCTTTTTTGAGACAGGATCTCACTCTGTCACCCGGGCTGAAGTACAGTGGTGTGATCATGGTTCACTGCAGCCTCCACCTCCTGGCCTCAATCAATCCTCCCACTTAAGCCTCCCAAGTAGTGGGGACTGAAGGTGTGTGCCACCACACCTGGCTAATTTTTTAGACTTTTGTAGAAATGGGGTTTTGCCATGTTCCCCAGGCTGGTCTCCAACTCCTAGGCTCAAGTGATTCATTTGCCAAGGCCTCCCAAAGCGTTGGGATTATAGGTGTGAGCCACAACACCTGGCAAGTTTTCAAAATTTTGACAAAAATTTTTTTTTAAAATTATACTTTAGGTTCTAGGGTACATGTTCACAATGTGCAGGTTTGTTACATATGTATACATGTGCCACACTGGTATGCTGCACCCATTAACTTGTCGTTTACATTAGGTATTTCTCCTAATGCTATCCCTCCCTGCTCCCCCCACCCCACGACAGGCCCCTGTGTGTGATGTTCCCCATCCTGTGTCCAAGTATTCTCATTTTGACAAAAATTTTTAAAAGTCAAGGAACAATCATAACGTTGTTCACTGTTTATCCACATATCCTGTTTTGTTATTCTTCACAGCACCTAAATTTACTTGATATATTTATTTTCTTATTTGCTTAGAGTCTATTTCCCCCATTAGAATTAAAGCTCTACACCTCCCCAAACACACAAGCTCTCAGCCATAGGCAGCTTCTCCACAGCCCCAGCTTCGCACAGGCTCCTGGAGGGCTGCCTGGGGGAGGCAGACATGGGAATGCCAAGGTGGCCAGATGGTTCCAGGACTACAATGTCTTTATTTTTAACTGTTTGCCACTGCTGCCCTCACCCCTGCCCGGCTCTGGAGTACCGTCTGCCCCAGACAAGTGGGAGTGAAATGGGGGTGGGGGGAAGCACTGATTCCCAGTTAGGGGGTGCCTAACTGAGCAGTAGGGATAGAAGGTGTGAACCTGGGAGTGCTTTCATAAATTATTTTCCTTGTAGATTTTATTTTTAATTTATCTCTGTGACCTGCCAGGGAGAGGGGAGAGAGAGAGAGATGCTGTTGAGCACATGACAAAATAAAATAAAATGGATGATTCATTCTTAAAAAAAAAAAAAAAGAATTAAAGCTCTAGAAGGGCAGGGAGTTTTGCCTGTGTTGTTCACCACTATATCCCCAGTACTTAGAACAATAATTGGCATATAGTCATTACTTAGTAAACATTTGTTGCAAGAAAAGATGTTAACAGGAATTAAAACATTTTTAAAGCTACTTATATTTTAAATGACAACTTTAACAGATAATCTGTTTTTATTTATATCAATAAAGAGTAGAACAATAATAGGGCATTGGAAAATAAGTAATAGTGGCTGAGAAATTATAAAAAAAAAAATGGCCAGGTATTTAAAGTTGTTTCAATAATCCTAAAACACATTTTCATAAATAGCATCTTTGACCTGCCAGTGCCCTTACATTATGTAAACCAGGACCAAACAAAACAAGTACTTGTAATTCAATGGAAAAGTGAAAACAATACTAAAATGACAAATGTTTATACTATAACCACTAGTTTTGACACTTAGGGGTATTGAAAAATTTAGGAAAAGCTAATCAGAGTGAAAATCTTTAATCAAATACAAACTTCTCACTAAGTGCAAATAAAATTCTTTAAAGAAAAAGAAGTATATTACTTCCATGTTCTCACTTTCCTCCCATATCTGTTTTCTGTTAAGGCCAAGTTTTGCAATGGGCTTAGAAAAGCTAAGCAAAACAATCTTAGGTTAGGGAGTTTTACCTTGAGTCCTGTTTTCTCATCATCACTTCCATTATTTGTAGATGGTGTCTCATCTCCTTGCCTGGAAACCAAGACAAAATCTTCACTATTAAGAGTAGATACTGAGTCTGAAGAGACACTGATTTTTCCAACAGAAGCCTTGTCATCCATAACTCAAGAATGAGTCTCAACACATGAATGATTAAATATTTTTTAATGCCTGAAAAACAAAAACCATAAAGATACTCATATAGAATGTCTGCCAGATATTCAATTACACTGTACTTCTTACACAACATATTCAGAATTTTTTTTTAAATGCTTCAAAAATATTTTCCTAAGACTTTCACTACTTATAGCTTAGGGTTTTTTTTTATTCCAGATAATAAGGGAATTTCATGCTATTCAAGGCCAAGATATTTCAGACTTCAAAAAAATAAATAAAACATATTCCCTTCAGGATAACCCTAACTACTTACAGTGATTTCTTTGGGCTAAGTTGCAATTCAAGTCTTAGCCTCCAAAAATATATAAGTATTAGCCTTCTGTTTTCTACCCTCTAATTTTTTTTTTTTTTTTTTGAGACGGAGTCTCACTCTGTCGCCCAGGCTGGAGTGCAGTGGCGGGATCTCGGCTCACTGCAAGCCCCACCTCCTGGGTTCACGCCATTCTCCTGCCTCAGCCTCCTGAGTAGCTAGGACTACAGGTGCCTGCCACCACGCCCGGCTAATTTTTTGTATTTTTCGTAGAGACGGGGTTTCACCGTGTTAGCCAGGATGGTCTTGATCTCCTGACCTCGTGATCCGCCGGTCTCGGCCTACCGTCTAATTTTTAAAGTTGTACATGTAAATGAAATGGAAAGCACTTAGTTATTGTGAGGGCACAATAAGGTTTTCCTAGCATTATTGATACTTAAATTTAAAATATTAACATGGTTTTAACAGGCCAAATTTCACATTAACACCCAACAGGAAAAATTCAAGGCAGTTAAACTTTAGCATAAACTCTAGAGCTGGGAAATACCTTACAAAGCAAGAAAGGAGAAGTTCATTAAAAACTGCATCTTCCCACACCACAGTTTCTTAGAACTCAGCTCAATATGAACATTACCCAAATAAGGGTTTCATACCAAAAATTCCCAGCAAAAAGTATAAATATGTGTCACTTATGAAAATTCATTCAATTATTTATTGAGTCTTGGAATGAAACTTAAACTCACCATCATTTTAAAACCTAGTTCTGCAAACTTTGTGGCAATGTTTCATTTGGTTGTCACAACATCAACAAAACGATATAACGTTATACTCATTAACAAAAGTAGCTATGGCTCCATGTTCATCTAGTACCTCAAAGATGTAAGGTTCTAAAAATCTGTTTAATTTCTCTGACTGAGAAGTCCTGATTTATGCTTTGGATTTTTAATCATTGACTATATATTTATGGAGCATACACCATGTGTCAAACACAATTTTCCCCTAAAAGGCCCACATATAAACATCTGGCAGGAGAAACTACACAATCCCTGAGTATTATAGTTGGAAGAAAACTTAGAAATCTAAAATCAAGTTGATGGCAGAGTAAAAAGTAGGAAAAAAAAAACTTACAAATCAATACTGTTAGATAAAGAAATGGCAACCCCAAGAGAAGTAAGGTCATTTAACCAGTTAATGGCACAGCTAAGGCTAGAAGCCTGGACTCTCTGCTGCCTTTTATTTAAACTAATTCCCCTGCTTAACAGCTATTACACATCTGCATTTCATAAGACCAAATCTAAATACATAGTATGGCATTCAAAAACATTTCAAATTGTACTTTTGAAAAATTCAAAGAAAAATGATTCACTTAATCCATTCATTGAATACTTATTGAGTAGATAATGTACAAAGAGTAAGCTATGATAAACAAAAGAAAATAGAACCTTGCCCCAAAGTTTATAGTTTAGTAGAGAACAGAAGCAAATCGTACCTAATAAGTACTGATTTAGGGTAAAGAAAATTATGGGAACATGTTGGGAGAAGGACTAACTTAGACCTTTGCTAAGGAAATACACTTTATTCCTTTAGATATTTGCCCTCACAGGATTCTCTTCCTGAAGTGGTTCCCTCACTTTTGTACTTGATCAACTCCAACTCATCACTCATGATGTAAAAATCTCCCTCTCTTAGTAGTCTTCTCAGTCCACTTGCCCGTTCTCACCCCAGAATCCAAAGAACTGTTGCCCTTATATCTGTTCCTACAGCATTTTACATTTGATTTTTCTACAGCATCTATTATGTTGTTTTATAATTTAATGGTGAGTGCCTTTTAATTTGTCACATCTCTATTTCAAAAATGAGGAAATTAAGTCTTAGAGAGATGGTGTAACTTGTTCAATGTAATGTGGTTAGAGTCAAAGTCAAAAATTAAACCCAGTTATCTGACTCCAAAAGGCTATACTCTTTCCACTCGATTATGAAGCTTTTCTAATGCCACAAATTTGGGCCTTGTCCCAAAACACTCAGTATTGGGTAAAGGAGTCTTTATCTTTTTTTTAGAATTTGTACTTCAAGAGAAGTTTTCATGCTCAATCAATTAAGTCTTTTATCCATCTTTTATAATGTGATTACCAGTTGGATGCCAGAGGGCCTGGGAAAGTGGTCTAAAGCTCTGGTCTCAGACACTAACAACTTTGTATACTACTACTCTGGACTCAAAAACAATGTACTTTGGTAATTACACTAAGGAACTGAGAAGATTTGGCAAGCTCAAAGTTCCACCTACTTTCTTTGAGAAGGTGATAGGAAAATACACTTTATAAAATACTTTATTATTTGTTTTGGCAACTGAAAGTAACTGAATCACTCAGCAGGAATGAGGTTTATCAAAACACTAAGTAGTAAAGGAAAAATTATACAATAAGATTCCTTTTCTCTGGCCTCCATAGACAGAAGTGAAGAGGGAGTAGTCCATCAGCTCCACAAACATAGATAAAACCACCCATTCCCTGGCCTCCACAATGAAGAGGTACCCCAGAACTTGCTGCACTTCTGGCAAAATCTAGAGATTCACAACCTCTGTCTCAAGACCATAAGGGATTTCTTTTTAATCCCTACTTACATCAGTTACCATAAAAAGTCCCTTACTCTAATTCTTCATCCTTCAGACTTTAATTCTAATTCCCATTGACAATAAAGTACCAAAATTCCTCCCTCCAACGCCCTGCACTCCATAGAACCTATAACCGCTTGACATATATTTTGGTAATTTAAGTATAATGTAAACTAGAACCTAAGGTTCATGAGGGCAGGCTTTTTTATGTCTGATTAAGTGTTGGACCCCTAGCACCTGTAATAATGCCTGGCACATAGCAGGTGCTCAACTATTTGTTAAAGAAGTAGGATAAATAGCAAATAAAGATGGAAAAGAGCAAGAGCCACCCAAGGAAAAAGTAAGGCCACCTTTTATAAATTGACAAAAAGAACAGAGGTCATATTTGTGATGCTGAAGCACACAATTAGGAGTTAAGAAATACCTAAGTTAAAATACTGGTTCCGGGCGGGCGCAGTGGCTCACGCCTATAATCCCAGCACTTTGGGAGGTCAAGGCGGGTGGATCACGAGGTCAAGAGATCGAGACCATCCTGGCCAACACAGTGAAACCTCATCTCTACTAAAATATAAAAATTAGCTGGGCATGGTGGCGCACGCCTGTAGTCCCAGCTACTCGGGAGGCTGAGGCAAGAGAATTGCTTGAACCCGGGAGGCAGAGCTTGCAGTGAGCTGAGATTGTGCCATTGCACTCCAGCCTGGCAACAGAGCAAGACTCTGTCTCAAAAAAAAAAAAAAAGATACTGGTTCTACTACTAATAGTATGAGCTTGTCACACTGAGCCTCAGTTTCCATAGAGGTAATGTTATACTATCGATCTCATAGAGCTACTGTATAAATTACTAAGGACTATACATAAAACATTTAACAATACACAAAGAACATTATAAGCGCCCAATAGTTACAGCTTTTCAAAAACTAACTTCAAATTCAAAAAAATTTAACAGTTATTAACTGATTTAAGTAATCCAAATTAAAATACTTATACTATCTCTACTTCTTGGCTTATGTCTACAGTGCCTGTATGAGTTAATTTGATTGTTAGTCGGGAAACACATTACTGAGGAAAAAATAAATAAATTAATTTCCTAATTTCACATTCTAAGTTGTTAATATCTAAATAAAAGCAAAATAGTACTTTGAATAAATATCCTTTATGTATCACAGAAAGGAATAAAATGTACACATTTGTATCTCATTTTATCATCCTAACAATTCTGTAAAACAGATAGAATAAGGATTATTATCCATTTGAAATAAGATACATATGAATAGCCTGGTATTTGGTAGGTAAGCACTCACAGTTTGTCTCCTCCTTTTATAGAAGTGATGAGCCTAGATCCTTATAACAAGTCCAATTACCAACAGGGCAGGTTGGTGGATGCAAGTTCAAGGATGCTTTTACTTTTGAGACAGGGTCTTGCTCTGTCGCCCAGGCTGGAATGTGGTAGTGTGATCCTAGCTCACTGCAGCCTCAAACTCCCGGGCTCAGGTGATCCTCCTACCTCCACCTCCTGAGTAGCTAGGACCACAAGTGTGTGCCACCATGCCCAGGTAATTTTTTAAAAAAATTTATCAGCCAGGCACAGTGACTCACATCTGTAATCCCAGCACTTTGGGAGGCCGAGGCGGGCAGATCACGAGATCAGGAGATCAAGACCATCCTGGCTAACACGGTGAAACCCCGTCTCTACTCAAAATACAAAAAAGAAAAAAAAATTAGCCAGGCATGGGGGCAGGCGCCTGTAGTCCCAGCTACTCGGGAGGCTGAGGCAGAAGAATGGCATGAACCCAGGAGGCGGAGCTTGCAGTGAGCCAATATCGCACCACTGCACTCCAGCCTGGGCGACAGAGCGAGACTCTGTCTCAAAAAATAAAAATAAAAAAAATAAAAAATTTAAAAAAAAATTCTCAGCCACCCAAAGTGCTGGGATTACAGGCATAAACTGCCGTACCCAGCCTTACCTCTCTTTTAAAAAAGTCAAGTCACTTGAGGTGACAGACAATTATGTTCACTTATACAGCCTCTTCCATCACACCTAAAAGTTCAATTATGCTTTATTTTCATTATAGCTACTCTTTCACTACTTTTATTCTTACAGAGACATTAAAGATCACTACAGATTTTTATTGCAAATTAGTCCCGTATACCAAAACTCCATGAACTTTTTGCCTACAGTCACTGCTCTGTGCCGTAAGTGCCAATTCTATGCTCAATTATGTACCCCAGCATAAAATGCATCTCCATATTGCTAAATAAAGATTCACAATTAGCCAGGAGCAGTGGCTCATGCCTATTATCCCAAAAACTTGAGAGGCTGAGGTGGGAGGGTCGCTTGAGGCCAAGATTTCAAGACCAGCCTGGGCAATATAGTTACATCCCATCTCTAAAATAAGATATTTAAAAATTAGTCAAGTGTGGTGGTGTGTGCCTGTAGTGCCAGCTACTTGGGAGGCTGAGCCAGAGGACTGCTTGAGTCCAGGGGTTCTAGGCTGCAGTGAACTATGATGGAGACACTGCGCTCCAGCCTAAGTGACAGAGTGAGACCCCATCTCAAAAAAAAAAAAAAATTCACATTCATTCTCAATCTCCTCTTAAGCACTGTAGTTAACAGAGTGAAATGGAAAGAACTGGCCATGATAAAACCTCTTTTAAGAGTCCTTCAAAGGCAGTCGGTTCTTGAACAATCAGTGTTTACTTTTTTAAAAACTTCAACTTTTTTTTTTTTTGAGACAGAGTACTATCAGATATTTGTATTGTTTCTAGTTAACTAACATCTGAGAAGTAACAGTGACATGCAGTGGCATGGATTTGCTAATGTGCAATTAGCAGAGGCAAAACCACCTCCCAGTAAGTGACCTACCTAGCTTAATAAGAGGTGTGGGTGATACTAATAATTGAACCTGACATGCTTGAGACAAAATGTGCTAGTGCCTCATCCAAAGCTTGGTTAACCTTTATTTCTTTGGTTTTCTTGAGATTTTCTTCTTGAAAGAGTAGTATTAATGCCTCCACCTCTACCACTTCAATGGAACTCCCCACTGTTCTAAACAGTCCCTCTCAAAAATACCACCCCGTTACTTCTCACTTTCACTGAACCCCTTAAAAACCATCAATACTACAAAATTTCACAACCCAAAGAATTATTTCTTACTTCCACCTGCTGAAGTAAATGAAAATGCTGGCCATTTTCTTATTCTGAAACTCTTATCCTTTTGCATCCATTTCCTACCACTATCTTTTCTTAGTTCTGATTTAGGTTCCTTTTCTTCTATTTTTAAAATCACATCATCGTCCTTCTTTTCACTGGCTATCTCATTAGCTAACATGGTTACAGCTTTCTATTGTATGCTGATAACACTAGCACTGTCTTTTCTCTTGAATTCCACATGGGTATTTGTGTTATATTTTCTTTTTCTTCTATTCAGTATCAAAGAGTCTGATATGTGCCAGACACCAGGTATAGAATTATGGTGAGGAATAAAAGACACTCCTTACCTTTGACAGGCTTACAGTGGTAGAGAAAACAGACCAGTAAACAGGTAATTATAATATAGTGCTTGTTATAACAGAGGTGTGTAAAGGGTGTTATGAGAATACACAGCAGGGCTCTACTATATGCGTCCTATGGTCATCTCAAAACCAATTCCTTGCAAAACTAAACCATTTAATCCCCACGCGTCAGCAGATTCTTCTTTCTAGATTCTCTATCCTGGTTAACAGCCACAGATTCAAAACAACATCAAAAAAAAAAAAAAAAAAAAAAGAAAGAAAAAGAAAAAGAAAAAAAAGACACCAAACCAAAACAAATCTTGACTCCTCCTTTTCTCACCCTCCCTTGGAATAATGGATTTTAGTTCTAAAACATATCCCAAATATATTCCTTCTTCACTATCCCTCATGTCATTGACTTGTATTTTATTCTCTTTCAACCTGGCTATAACAAGTGTTTCATTCTAGACTCTTCCTAGTCATTGATTATTTAGCCCCCAAAGTTAATTTCTAAAACTTAGATCTGATCATATATCCCATACCTCCCCTTTCCTCAAAACTATTTATTGCTCCTGACTGAAAATACAATAAAATCCAAAATCCTTGTATTATTTAGTTCTTCAAAATCTGGAGCCAATTTCCATTCTAGTCTTATCTTCTTCTGTCACACCATACTATATACACAAATATGTCATGCATTTTAATGCTTTCAAGCCTTTTCATATGCTGCTTGCTCAGCTGGGAATGTGTTTTTGTTTCCGCAATCAGCCTTTCTCCACCAACAGCAACCTAGTGGATACAATCAAGTATTCAACCTCCCCCTTTCCCTTCTGCAGTGTTATTGTCTTCTAGGGCTCCTCAGGCTTTTTGTTTTTTAGTTCATCACAGAATTATAGCATTTACCACACAGTAAAATAATATCAACACTTTTTTTTTTTCCTTTTTTTTTTTTTTTTTTGAGACAGAGTCTTGCTTTGTCACCCAGGCTGGATGCAGTGGTATGATCTTGGCTCACTGCAACCTCTGCCTCCAGAGTTCAAGCGATTCTCCTGCCTCAGCCTCCTGAATAGCTGGGATTACAGGCATGCACCACCACGCCCAGCTAATTTTTGTTTTTGTTTTGTTATTGTTGTTTTTGAGATGGAGTTTCACTCTTGTTGCCCAGGTTGGAGTGCAATGGCATGATCTCAGCTCACTGTAACCTCCGCCTCCCAGGTTCAAGCGATTTTCCTGCCTCAGGCTCCCAAGTAGCTGGGAATTACAGGTGCCCGCCACCACGCCTGGCTAATTTTTATATTTTTAGCACAGACGGGGTTTCGCCATGTTGGCCAGGCTGGTCTCAAACTCCTGACCTCGGGTAATCCACCCACCTAGGCCTCCCAAAGTGCTGGGATTACAGGTGTGAGCCACCGCAGCCAGCCGTAATTTTTGTATTTTTAGTAGAGATGAAGTTTCACCATGTTGACCAAGCTGGTCTCAAACTCCTGACCTCAAATGATCCACCTGCCTCAGCCTCCCCAAGTGCTGGGATTACAAGCGTGAGCCACCGCACCTAGCCCAACGCTTCTTTTCTACTCCGCTATATTGATCAATCCATTCATTCCAGAAGCAATTACTGAGTATAAACCACCATGTCAAATGCTGGGAGTATAACGGGCACAAAGAGTCCCCCAAACTACTTGTGGACAGGGGTCTTATGTTTTACTCGTAGTAATTTCATTTCCTTACTTACGGGCAGTGTTCAATAAATTTGGTTGGTTGAATATACTTCATGGCTGTTTAACTAGTAGGGTCTAAGTAATATGAGGAAAACAAATGACAAACATGCTACTCTACATGCATGTACTGGGGATGTGGACATGGATGAAGACTAAACTCTTCATCAAATCCCCAACTGTCATGATCAAAAAACAGTTAACACAGTCACAAAAAATATACCTTGGGTTCCCTTTGGACCAAACACTAACCACTTCCCTCCCAATCCCCATCATTTTTGTTGCTCAACCAGTGAAAAAATGGGTACAGCTTTAGGGAATCTTAAGCAAGATGACTAAATCATCTTGCTAAATCAAAAGAGAAAACAATACTTATTACTTCTTGAGTGTCAATTATATGCCCAACATGGTACGAACAAGTTTTACTTGCATTATTACTAATCTTCACACCTTGCCAGATGGGTATTAAGTTCATATGACAGACAAACTAAGGCTTGGGCAGGCTGAGTAACTCGCTTAAGTTCAGAGAGAAAATTGTGGAACTTGATCCAAACCCAAGTATCTAGGTGTCTCTGTTCTTTTCTGGATTGCATCTCTCTCCCTCTCGATGTCCCTATCTCCATCCTCTCCCAATTCCAATCCATCCTCTATGCTGCTCCCAGTTGTACCCTTCTAAAACACAAATCTGGTGAGTTTACTCTCTGTTTAGAAAAAGAACAAGACAGGATGCAACAAAAGAATCAAGTCTGAAAGATGCTGTAGCAGGATAATTCCTGTGGGTTTGTAGCTCTTTAAAATTAAACAAGCAGGGTACAAAGAAGCTATAAAAAATCACATTGCATTAGTTTCAGTTTGTGTGTGTGTGTGTGTGTGTGTGTGTGTGTGTGTGTGTGTTTTCCTGGCTCTGAACTTTGTTTCACTGCACTGGTTTTCACATGAATTTCACACAGCCTATCCCTGGAAAGGGTGGGACAAATCAAACAAAACTCAATGGAACACCATCCCTTCTTTATAAAAATAAATTCCTTTCCACCACTACTAACTGCTAAACAATAGATGTCTTTGTTTTCATTCTGACTCTGAATTTTGAGACTATTTCTTTGAATTATTTTAGTGAGCTAAGAGAATCATAATAATTTAAGCTTTCTGATTAATTTCAGGTTACGTTAAAAAACCAAAACCAAAACCAAAAGAATCAAAACAATCATCTTGGGCCTACCTGCACTTAAAGGCAAGAAAAACTAGCTTATCTAAAACTCACGCTTAGGCAAATTTGAGCCTACCGTAACTGTGACAATTTACTTCTTTAAACTATTAAATCACTTTTAGTTCAATTCTACATTAACTAAAAAAGATATCGGAATTAAACAAATACAGGAAATTGTAAAACAAAATAAAACTTTAAAACATCTTTTTTATAAGTTGTAATCTTTTTGCATTGTGATTAAGTAATAACACAAACATTACCATCTTAGCCACGGAAGTGTACAATTTTGTGTCATTAAATACATTTACATTGTCATGCAACCATCACCATCATCTATCCTTGGAACATTTCCTTTCTTAACTCTGTGCCCATTAACACTAATTCCCTATTCTCTTCCTCCTCCAAAAACCACTATTCTACTTTCCATCTCTAAGAAATTGACTACTCTAGGTGTATCATATAAGCAGTGGAATTACACAATATTTATCATTTCATAACTGGTTTATTTCATTTAGTATAAGTCTTCAAGGTTTATTCATATTGTAGCATGTGTCACAATTTCCCTAAGGCTGAATAATATTTCAATGTATGTATGCCACATTTATCCTTCAATAAAAGTAAGTTTCAAAATAATTATAACTTTATAGGGTCTTTAGGGGGGATATCAGGTGTTTTCCATTACAGTTCCATGAGGTAGATGTAAGTAGCTCCATGTTTAAAAATGGAGTTTCTGAGGATAAGCTACTTAATCACTCCTTCTCAGAGACTTGGGATATCCATGTCTTTCTCACCCCAAAGTTCATACTCTCCCCACTATATCTTGATACTTCATACTTCTAATGAAAGGTACAAGAGGTAACAAGTAGGGATGAAATGTGCATAAAACAGAGTTCATTTAACTCTGTTAATTATGAGTGTGATAATGCTGACACCTGAAAAAAATCTTGCCAATGGTTTTCTCATGTTCCCATGGATATTTCAGGAAACACACTTTAATTTTTTCCAGAACTCTACATATGCTGGCTTAATGCCATTTCAACACAATATCTGTGAAACTAAATATTTAAATTGTTATTTGGATTCCACGTCCACAATAGAAGCTATCCCTGGGAACACAGGGAAAGTCAGCTTAATGTTAATGTACTACTCATTCACAAGGTCAGATTATATTCCTGACTTGCTAGTACAGATTTTAAAAACTGTTCAGATTTCTACAGTATAATTTACATTAGCATTTAATAAATGTAAAAATATGAGTATTTTTAAGCAACGCAGGGTTAGTCAAAGACTTTTCCTCTTTTTAGGAAATTAGTCAATATAGTTCCTTCTCATCTACAATAAAGAAAATGAATCTATTCCACTTAGAATATGCATCTGTTTACATTCAGATCTAAAATGTATTATTCACTTCTCTTTAATCTACATGAATTTAAAACTCAGCAGGCAAATCATTCAACAGATGATCAAAGTCTAAGATAAATGCAGAAATATAATTTGTCTTTTCTATGACCTGTTTGATTTTCAGGGGAATGCATGTAGGCAAACCATGAATGTTTGGCAGAAGATACGTGTTTTCTGTGCCTTCCAGTATGCTATCTCGTATTATCCTTCATGATAGTTAAAATATACTCCCAAAGCTGGTCCAAAGACAGTGAGTTATCTCGATTGTTCAGTCAGTTACAGAACAAACTCCTTGTTCTACTCTTTTCCCCGTTCTCACTACTGCACTTTAGTAGTCTTAAAAAATAAAATATATTCCCAAAGGATTCTGCATATCATTTCCTTAACTGATAAAAGATCATCCTCAGAAAATGGAAAACAAAATTATAAACCATAGGTTGTTGGTTAGTTACCAAAATGCATAAATAAGGGAAAAAGGGAGAAAGTTTTAAAACAGTCAAATTGTTGTTAAAGTTTGACTTAGTAACATTATGTTAAAGTTACCACAGAAACTCACTTGCTAATGTACCTTCAGAAATGCCAGATTTAGGTACAGAGAAAAATTTATTTCCACAAAGACTTACAGAACCCAAGGAGTAGTAGTTTATAACACAAATGCTGATGCAACCTTAACAGGAAATACATAACAACTATGCATTAATTCTTGGAGAGGTACACAATTAAGAAGATATATTTCTCATACTTTACAACCAAGATAATACATACATACTATTTAATGTCAGGCAGGAGCTTAAAAGTAGGTTTAGGGCTTTATTTCACTGTATAGTGATCAGAAAAAGGGATTTAGGGGGAAAAGTCTGATAGAAAACAATCTTCAAAAAATTCTCACTGAGTACCTCAGAATATTATGGTTGATTTGGAAAGAGGAGGGAAACTTTCAGGCCACATTGTATAAACTAATGTGTTCAAGACTTGCACACTTCCATATTTGGTCAGTCTGCACATGAAGAGAAACAAGGCTGTTAGGGTCAACGTGAATGGTTACAATGTAAGCTTAAACGTCTATCCAATATTGTTACAAAGTTTCTAAAGAATAATGATCTCAGGATCAACACAAAACAGAGGGGTGAGGGTGGTTGGGATGACTAGGTAACCAGTTTATGCTAAAAAAAAAAAAAAAAGCAACAGCTATGATGTATACATGGTGTTTTTCCAGGCATACTCACGGGCATTAAGTCCTGAGCCTTGAATTTTTTTTCAGTGGGATCTAACTATGTAAACTCAGTAAAACAAGGTAACTACATACAAAGCACCAAAATGTCATGCCAAATTCTGCTTTACGTACCTTAAATGAGCACTTCTTAAATATTTGAGTTCTATCTCCAAGAAACATTATTTAACAAACTATAGGAACGATCCCTGAAGTATAGTCTTGCTAAGAAAGATTATTTAGGCCGGGCGCGGTGGCTTTCTCTTGTAATCCTATCATTTTGGGAGGCCGAGGCAGGTGGATTACCTGAGGTCAGGAGTTCGAGACCAGCCTGGCCAACATAGTGAAAACCCGTCTCTACTAAAAATAAAAAAAAAAAAATTATCTGGGTGTGGTGGTGCGCGCCTGTAGTCCCAGCTACTCGGGAAGCTGAGGCAGGAGAACCTCTTAAACCCGGAAGGCGGAGGTTGCAGTGAGCCGAGATCACGCCACTGCACTCCAGCCTGGGAGGATGCAGTGAGCTGATATCGTGCCGCCACACTCCAGCCTGGGCGACAGAGTGAGACTCCGTTTCAAAAGAAGAAAAAAAAAAGAAACAAACAAAGATTATTTAAGAGTGTTGTCACGTTGGGAGGCCAGAGTGGGAGGATTGCTTGAGGCCAGGTGTTTGATAACAGCTTGGGCCACACAGTGAAACCCAGTCTCTACAAACAATAGCAAAATTCACTGGGTGTGGTCGCATGTGCCTGCAGTCCTAGCTACTTGGGAGGCTGAAGCAGGAGGATCACTGGTGCCCAGAAGTTCAAGGTTGAGGTGAGCTACGACAGCACTACTGCACTCCAGCCTGGGAAAGAGAACAAAACCCTATCTCTTTTAAAAAAAAAAAAAAGTGTGTTGTATTCATTTATTCCACATGCTTGAGAAGTCTACTGATACCTGATTATATTGAAATTACAAAGATAACATTATGGGCAGCCTATGTCAGAACCTTAGCAAACCAGTGTTTTTACAAAGATACTCACCTGTAGCACCAATTTAAACTATTTTCTGAAAACTGTATTCAAAAATTCCTTGTTAAAACTACTGGGAAATAATGAGACCTCCAAAGGAGGCTTTCCTTTAGCTGGAAATATACTGAATAAAAAACAAAAACTTCTTTTTTTTTTGAGACGGAGTCTCACTCTGTCGCCCAGGCTGGAGTGCAGTGGTGCGATCTTGGCTCACTGCAAGCTCCGCCTCCCGGGTTCACGCCATTCTCCTGCCTCAGCCTCCCGAGTAGCTGGGACTACAGGCACCTGCCACCACGCCTGGCTAATTTTTTGTATTTTTAGTAGAGACGGGGTTTCACAGTGTTAGCCAGGATGGTCTCGATCTCCTGACCTTGTTATCCGCCTGCCTTGGCCTCCCAAAGTGCTGGGATTACAGGCGTGAGCCACCGCGCCCAGCCAACAGACTTCTTTAAAAGAAGCTGGGCTACAAAGTTCAGTTAATAAATTGTGTGGAAAACCATGCCCCTCATGTAGATAAAGTGCATAATACAGTTCTCTCAATATGCAGCAGAAAAGGTAGGAAACAGGTGTCTCTGTTCCCACTACATTACTACAACTCTTATAAACTGCAAACAAAATACTATGCCAAAAATGCCAAAATGCACATAGCTGATAGGTTAACTTTCCAAACAAATATATACCTATTAATGTCAATGCGTTAACTGTAAACTGAATCATAACACTCAATTAAAAGAAAGTGTGGCCGGGCGCAGTGGCTCACGCCTGTAATCCCTGCACTTTGGGAGGCTGAGGCAGGTGGATCACCTGAGGTCAGGAGTTCAAGACCAGCCTGGCCAACATGATGAAACCCCGTCTCTAGTAAAAATACAAAAAATTAGCTAGGCGTGGTGGCACACGCCTGTAATCCCAAGCTGAGTCAGGAGAATCAGTTCCTTGAACCCAGGAGGCGGAGGTTGCAGTGAGCCAAGATCACTCCAGCCTGGGCAACAAGAGCACAACTCAGTCTCAAAAAAAAAAAAAAAAAAAAAAAAAAAAAGAAAGTGCACCACAACATGACTATATCTCAGATTTTTTGTTGTTTTTTTATTTTTTATTTTTTGATGGGAACTGGCTGTGTTACCCAGGCTAGAGTGCAGTGGCACCCATCATAGCTTACTGCAGTCTTGAACTTCTCAACTCAAGTAGTCCTCCCACCTCAGACTCCCAAAGTGTTGGGATTACAAGCATGAATCACCTCACGCCACAAATATTTCAACTTTAATTATGAATCTGAGTTAATATCTTGAATTAAAATTACATATGAATTTTAAATGTTACCAATACATAAAAATCAATCATGGATTGAAATTTTATTAATACAAAGTGAACTCTACACAGGAAGATTTATAAAGACTTCTCTTCCCTATTTTGTTTTTTTGTGTTTTTTTTTTTTTTTTTTTGAGACGGAGTCTCGCTCTGTTGCTCAGACTGGAGTGCAATGGCACAATATCGGCCCACTGCAACCTCTGCCTCCCGGGTTCAAGCGATTCTGTTGCCTCAGCCTCCCGATTAGCTGGGACTACAGGCGCCTGCCACTACGCCCGTCTAATTTTTGTATTTTCAGTAGAGACCTGGTTTCACCATATTGGACAGGCTGGTCTCGAACTCCTGACCTTGTGATCCACCCGCCTCAACCTCCTAAAATGCTGGATCACAGGCGTGAACGCACCCGGCCCCTATTTTCAGTTTTCATAAGTAAGCTCTAGTTAAGTCTTCAATACATATTAAATAGCACCTTATACAAACTTGAACTAAGGCAACACGTCCTTCGTTTAAAAAAAAGTTGGATGAACCCTCCTTAGTACCTAAGCTTTTTTTCCCAACTACTTTTCAAACATCAGTTTAATGTTACAAACACAATTCCATTCACCTTCCGTTGTTTTTTTGTTTTGTTTTGTTTTGTTTTTTGTTTCCGAAACAAAAACAGCTGGAAACTCACTTATTGTGTACTTACTACTCCAGGCACACGTTTGTAAATACATGTGAATGGAAATATAAAAGGAATTGTGAAACCCTGTCCCTAACAGGTTTTTTTCCCTGACAAAAAGCCAACGAAAGTCAAAAGACCTCAAATTCAAGTTGGAACATGATTTAAAACTAACGGAGCACTAGTAGCGGGAACACTAGCAGCATGATCACTTAACACGGTCTCCTAGGACATTTGTTTCCAAAAAAGAATTCTCGAGTAACCAAAGGTATGCAGATGCGTGAAACGCAGGAGCAGATGATAAACAGTCTGGATGCAGAAGAGCAGAGACCAAAGTACTACCAGGCAATGGACAGCGAACTCCTGGAAGTCTTGAGGTTATCCTTTGGCTCAACACGTAAAACCCTAAGGGTGCGGATAATCAAAAGACACAGCGATGAGGTACTGGGGTAGCTGCTTCAAGGAGATGAGAAGACTGGGATGCCAAGAACGCTTTAATTGCAGACGGGGAAATGAGACTGAAAGACCAACCTGAGATGGCAAAGCGACAGTGAAAACTAGCAAGTCTTTGAAATTTAGGCGCAGCCCAGGACAGCCTGAGGCCCAGGCTAGCTTAAGTCACAGATACAGGCCTAGTGAGCAATGGGGAGAAACTGAGGCGGGGGGGAGCGGCTGGATTCCCAAATAGGACCAAGCATAAAACATTAAAGTCAAGACACAAACCGGCTTTGCTGGGGGACCAGAGGGAGGGCCAAAAACGCAAGACTCAGAAGACCGGCACCCACACAGACAGGGGGAACCGGTTTGGGCAGGGGCTCCCAGAGCGGCCCAGCCTGCGCATGCGCCCTCTCCCCTCCGTCGCAGTTCCCCCTCCCCCCAATCACGGCTCCCCTCAGAACTCGGCCCGTCGAGGGAGCTGAGAGCAGCTCCACTGGCCCGACCCCGCGGGATGAGAAGACAGCTTGGCTCCCCGCAGGGGCCGTCGGAAAATACCCCTGGGGTTGGTAGGTAGGAGGGTGGGAGGAGGAGGAGGGGAAACACGGCCCTACCCGACCTGCCGTCTCCTCCTCCGCCGCCCGCCGCTCGCCGTCCCGGAGGCTCCGCCGCCTGGGCCTCCCAAACCGCCCTGTCCCCGCCCCCCCACCCCTTTACTCACGTGAGAGCGACTTCTTCCGCCCTCCGCCCCGCCCCCTGCCCCGTCTCATAGGTCTGCGACCATGACGAGCGACCCTATTGGCCCAATACCGGGAAGCGAGGCGGAGCTTCCTCTTCTCCGAGCCCCACCTGGGCTTTCAGCCCGCCTCAGGACTGTGCGCCTGCGCGAAGTGCACTGGCTGTGAGCTGGACCTGGGCTGTCTTGTGTATTTGGAGTTGGACAGCCAACTACGTGACTGCAGCCGGGACTGGGGACGATGGAAGCGGACTGGGTAGTACCTGTTGAGCCTAACAAAGGGTACAACCCCAGAGTACTGGTGCTTGAGCAAGGAATCCCCCTGCTCACCTTTCATGTGCAAGTCCTGTTTGAAAATCAGTACTTCACAGTGTAATAAAATTCACCTGGCATTTACTGAGGGCGCACGGTGTGTCAGGGATTGTGATGGTTCTTTATGTGGCTATCTCATTTCAGCTTCACCACAAACCCGTCAGAATGGTACCATTTTTCTCCTTTTATAAAGTAATTTAGCTTTAGTTACAGAATCCAGTCTAGAAGTCAAAACTTCCGACTGCCAAGTCCTAAAACCACTGGTACAACACAGCTGCCTAAAGGCATTTAAGGCACACAAGAGGACAGAAATGGACAAGGTTACATCAGATTGTGACTCAAAGATGAGATTTTTATTTAAAAATCATTCAAAGGTGAAACACAGCAACAGCAATATAATGAAGTTTAAAGTCCCTGTCCTCAATGAATGTACAATGCAGTTGGGAACAAAAACAATGATTATTAAAGTGCTAGTTAAGTCTTATTTTTAAAGAGACCCTATCTTGTCCAGGATGCAGTGCTGTGGCTATTCACAGACGATCATATCACACTCCACCCTCGAACTCCTGGGCTCAAGCTATCCTACCACCTCAGCCTCCTGAGTAGCTGGGACTGTACATAGGCATGCACCACTGCACCTGGCTCATAAGACTTGATAATTTATAAAATAATTCTACAGCCTCTTCCTTACTCTTCCCCTTTATTTATTCCAACTGGCATATGCTCTTTTCCTGGTGAGTGAGTCGTCTACAGTGTTTTCTGGTGGATAATGCATCCCGATCAACCAGAGAAAAAACAGTGAGAAAAATCTGTGTTCTGTTGCAATCCCTCTGTGATTTGTCTAATACAATAGATGTGGGTGTACCCCTGCAGAAAAATAGTTTCGCTTCCTTTCTCCTTATACAGTTACAAAATATCCATTTCAAGATATTCAAAGAATAAAGTATTAGGGAGAAAGTAAAATCCCCTGAACTCCCAACAAAACCACTTTTAACGTTTTGGTGCCCATACTTTCATGTATTTCTTGATTCATGGACACCCCAAATATTTATGTAAATCTTAACATACATTTTTAAATAAAATTGTACTACACAATCAGTACAACATGCTTTGGAGAATAGACACAAGCTAAAACAACAACAAAAAAAGAAAACATTGCATTTAAAAAAAATTTTTTTTAATAAAAAAGGCCAGGTGTGGTGGCTCATGCCTGTAATTTTAACACTTTGGGAGGCTGAGGTGGGAGGATGGCTTGAGCCTAGGAGTTCGAGACCAGCCTGGGCAACATAGTGAGACCGTGTCTCTATGTTTTAATGAAAAACAAAAAAAAACCATGGCATTCCCAGGGCCAATGTTAATACTTTAGAGTATATCCTTCTGTGTGTGTGTATTTTTTTTTTCAAAATGAGATCACTTTAGTCATCTCCTTTTTCAATTAAAAATATCTACCTTATTTCAGTACATTTTCTTCTCACCTAATTCCTAGATCACATTCACATTTTCTATCCATCTAAAGTTATTTTTACAGTTGGCTTTCTTAACTCAGTAATGTTACAGGAAAATTTCCTCTCACATAATACCTAACTACAATCAAATATTCTGTTGACCAAATTATATTTTTCTACAACCAGTATACCCAAATTATCCAATTCAGGACCATACATTCCATCTGGTTACATCCCTTGACTTTTTAATTATGGCACTTAAAAAAAAATTAAAAGATTCTTGTTCACTGTAGAAATCAGGCCACTTGAAGTGCAAAATGTTTTT
Source organism: Homo sapiens (assembly GCF_000001405.40). Taxonomy (NCBI): domain Eukaryota; kingdom Metazoa; phylum Chordata; class Mammalia; order Primates; family Hominidae; genus Homo; species Homo sapiens. Next base: position 122,938,889 of record NC_000009.12, on the reverse strand, counting down.
ATCTGAGTGGTTGCTTCCTCATGAAGTCATTGAGCTTGTTCCTGCAAGCCTTGTATTTCTTGAACAAGAAAGTTATATTTGAAGACTCAGTGGATTCAAGTCAAACATATCAGACTAGTATACCTCACAAGTGACAGGTTATACTTCATGTTTCATTATATTACATACAACGTTATGAATCTAACATGTTAGATATTATGTTAGATACATAACATTGTATCTACAATAGATATAACATTTATTGTATCTTACAGAGTTATGCTAATATTGACCACTGGATTAGTGATGACATACATGTTGTTTTTATCATCTAATCCATTTTAAAAATAGACTATAGTCTGTTTCAATGCCTACCAATGCTATATATTGATATCCCATTCACAGAAAATGAATTTTGGTTTCCAAATATGCTCAACTTTTTTTCAGTAAGTGACTTTGTACCCAAGAAAATGTGGTTACAGTATATGAATGGAATGTGGGGCTGGTGTGAAATAAAGCAATGTAGTAGGCTGGAGCCAAAATAGGAAGGTCCTTGAATGCTAAAATAAGGAAACTGAAGTTCACTCTATAGACACACGGGTGCCCTTGGATATTTTAAAGGACAGTGACAATATTAGATTTGGGGTTTTTTTAAAGATCACTCTAGTAAAACTAGAGCAGGGAAAAGGGGAGGTTGATAGAATAGTTTGGAGGCTGCCTAAGATGAGGAAGGCTTGAGCTAAGGAAGCAGGAGGTAAAACGAAGGAACAGGGTTCCGCGGGTATTTTACAAAGAAATATATTCAAATTTGCTGGTTCTTTCTTCTGCTCATTCAAATCTGTTTTTGAACCCCTCTATGTAAATTTTTCATTTCAGTTACTGTATCTTTCAGGTCTAGAATTTCATTTCAGCTCCTTTTTTTTCTAAGAGTCTCGCTCTGTCACCCAGGCTGGAGTGCAGTGGTGCAATCTGGGTGCACTGCAACCTCCACCTCCTGGGTTCAAGTGATTCTCCTGCCTTACCCTCCTGAGTAGCTGGGAACACAGGCATGCCACCACACCCAGCTAGTTCTTGTATTTTTAGTAGAGATGAGGTTTCACCATGTTGGCCAGGCTGGTCTCGAACTCCTGACCTCATGATCCACGAGCCTTGGCCTCCCAAAGTGCTGGGATTACCGGCATGAGCCATCACACCTGGCCTCAGCTCCTTTTTATAATTTCTCTTTAATGATAGTCTAATTTTATTCATACATTGTTTTCCTGACTTTGTTCATGTCTTCCTTTAGTCCTTTTTCTGTTTGTTTGTTTTTTTTTGGAGATAGAGTCTCACTCTGTCACCCAGGCTGGAGAGCAGTGGCAGGAACTCAACTCACTGCAAACTCCGCCTCCCAGGTTCAAGCAATTCTCCTCCCTCAGCCTCCTGAAAAGCTGAGATTACAGGCGTACGCCACCATGCCCAGCTAATTTTTGTATTTAGTAGAGACAGGGTTTCACCATGTTGGCCAGGCTGGTCTCGAACTCCTGACCTCAGGTGATCTGCCCACCTTGGCTTCCCAAAGCGCTGGGATTACAGGCGTGAGCCACCCCACGCCCAGCCCTGTTAGTTCTTCGAACGACTTCAAAATAGTTGTTTTAAAGCCTTTGTCTATTAACTCAGACATCTATCTTGGCTTCTGTGGGAATAGTTTGAGTTGATTTATTTTGTTCTTCTGAATTGACCATACTTTCCTGTTTATTTGTATGTCTTGTGATTTTTTTAAAAATTTTATTTTTCAACTAGAGATGGGGTCTCACTATGTTGCCCAGTAACAACCAATTAAGTGGGACTACAACCACATGCCACCACATTTGGCTTCACTTTAAATCCTTATGATTTGTTGTTGTTGAAAATTGAACATTTGAATCTCATAATGTGGTGAATCTGAAAATAAGATTCTCCTGCCCCCATGTTTGCTGGGCTTTTGTAATTGTCTCTGTGCTGGGGATCAGGATCAGCCTCGGGTGAAAGCTTAAGGTTTTCTCAGGTCTTTTCTTAGCCTGTGTCTTTCCCTGGTTATATGCAGTAGCTTTCTACTTTCCCCTGCCTAAGTGATTGCTTTTGAATATCCTAATCCTTCAATATCTGACTCATAAATGGAGTAAAAGGGAAGCAAACAAACAAAACAGGTGCTATTCTTTTAAAACCCTTGGAAAGAGGTTCAGCTGGTGGGGGGTCAAAACAGTGGCAACCTGCCTCTGCACCTGCACTTCAGTCATCAACAACCAGAGTGTCGACAGCCAGTATTTGGAGGACAAAGTTCGTATCGCCCACCCAGCCTCCAGCAAGCCGCACCAGGAATGTGGATACAGCTGCGTGCTACAGGGTTAAGTAACACTGCATGAGTAGCTGGTATCACACTAAAGCTGACAGAGACTGAAATTAACCTCTATTTACCAGCCCAGCTTTCCCTTGGAAGATGTAAGCATTCGAATAGACTCCAGAGTTCCAACATAGTTACTTCAGAGAGTTGCTGCTGGTAGAACTGTTGTCTAGGTGGAGAGGTGGATTCCTTTTGACTCCTACTCCATCTGAAGAATAGGAAGAAAAAAGAATGAAGAAAAGTGAACAGTAAATAAAGCCTAAGGGACCCTGTGGGATACCATCAGTAGGACAAACATAATGAATTGTGGGAGTTCCAAAGGAGAAGAAAGGGCAGAAATAATATTGCAAGAAATCATGGTCAAAACTCTCCAAACTCTATTAACAACATGATATACAAATCCAAGAAGCTTATCAGACTCCTGATAGGAAATACTAAGAAACCACCAAATATATTATAATTAAGCTGTGAAAAGCCAAAAAAAAAGAGAATCCTGAAAGCAGCCAGAGATGAGCAACTTGTCCCATACAAAGGATTGCAATAAGATTATCACCCAATAAAGAATCCTCAGAGGCTCGAAAGAAAGAAAAAAAAAACTGTCATGGAAAAATCTATATCTGGCAAAATTGTTCTTCAAAAATGAGGGTGAAGTTAAGACATTCCCTGATAAAGACAAGCCAAGGGAGTTCGTTACCACCAGCATTCCTGCCCTTCAAGAAATGCTAAAGAGAAACCGACATTTTGAAGTGCAAGTACACTCAATAGTAACTCAAAGCCATACAGAGAAACAAAGATCTCTAGTAAGTCAAATACACTGGCAACTATAAAAGCAATTATTATAATTATGATTTGTAACTCCACTTTTTATTTTCTCTGATTTAAAAGTGAAATGCATAAAAAATATTTATGTTGTCTGGGCGTGGTGGCTCATGTCTGTAATCCCAGCATTTTGGGAGGCCGAGGTGGGTGGATCACCTGAGGTCAGAAGTTTGAGACCAGCCTGACCAATATTGGTGAAACTCCATCTCTACTAAGAATAGAAACAAATTAGCTGGGCGTGGTGGTGGGTGCCTATAATCCCAGCTACTCGGGAGGCTGAGGCAGGAGAATCAATTGAACCCGGGAGGCAGAGGTTGCAGTGAGCTGAGATTGCACCATTGCACTCCAGCCTGGGTGACAGAGCGAGACTGTCTCAAAAAAAAAAATTATGTTATTGGATATACAATGTATAAAATGTTATCTGTGACATCAGTAACAGAAAGGAAAGGGCAGAGCTTTACATGAGCAGAGTTTTTGTATGATATTGAAGTTAATTGGTATCAATTCAAATTAGATTGTTATAACTTTTGGATGTTGAGTGTAATACCTATGGTAACCACCAATAAAATATCTATAGAATATACACAAAAGGAAATGAGAGGGGAATCAAACGTTTCATGATAAAAAAATCAACTAACACTAACACAAAAAAGCAGTAATGGCAGAAATGAAGATTTAAAAAGCATATAAAACACAAATAGAGAAGTGACAGATATAAATCCCACCTTATCAATAATTACTTTAAATCTAAATGGTTTAAACTCTCCAATCTAAAGACAGAAAGGAGTCAAGGTTAAACTCTCCAATCTAAAGACAGAAAGGAGTCAAGTCCGGGCACAGTGGCTCATGCCTATAATCCCAGCACTCTGGAAGGTCAACGCAGGCGGATTGCTTGATGGGACCGCATGCCTGTGGTCCCAGCTACTCTGGAGGCTGAGAAAGAGAATCGCTTCAACCCATGAGACAGAGACTGCGGTGAGCCAAGACTGCGCCACTGCACTCCAGCCTGGGCAACAGAGTGAGACTCTGTCTCAAAAAATAAAATAAAATAAAATAAAATAAAGGCGTCAAGTGTGGTGTTGCACACCTGTAGTCCCAGCTACTTTGAGAGGCTGAGGCGAGAAGACCACTTGAGCTCAGGAGTTCCAGCTTCAGTGAGCTGTGATCATGCCACTACAATCCAGCCTGGGCAACAGAGTGAGACCCTGTCTCTAAAAATATATTTAATTTTTAAAAAGAAAGGGAAAATTAATTTTAAACACACACACACAATCCACATGCTCCAACTAAATGCTGTCTACAAGAGAATCACTTGACATCCAAAGACACAAATAGATTGAAAATAAAAGGTTAGAGGCCGGGCGTGGTGGCTCACGCCTGTAATCCCAGCACTTTGGGAGGCTGAGGTGGGCGGATCATGAGGTCAGGAGATCGAGACCATCCTAGCTAACATGGTGAAACCCTGTCTCTACTAAAAATACAAAAAAATTAGCCGGGTGTGGTGGCACGCACCTGTAGTCCCAGCTACTCGGGAGGCTGAGGCAGGAGAATGGCGTGAACCCGGGAGGCGGAGCTTGCAGTGAGCCGAGATCACGCCACTGCACTCCAGCCTGGGTGACAGAGCGAGACTCTGTCTCAAAAAAAAAAAAAAGAAAAGAAAAGAAAAGGTTAGGAAAAGGGCCAGGTACAGTGGCTTACAACCGCAGTACTTTGGGAGACCAAAGATAGCTTGAGGCCAGGAGTCCAAGAGCAGCCTGAGGAACATAGCAAGGCGCGGTCTCTACAAAAAAATTTTTTTTTCAATAATTCAAGGAAAAAGGGCTGGACACAGTGGCTCACGCCTGTAGTCCCAGCACTTTGGGAGGCCGAGGTGGGAGGTCAGGAGTTTGAGACCAGCCTGGCCAACATGGTAAAACCCCATCTCTACTAAAAATACAAAAATTAACTGGGCATGGTGGCGTGCACCTGTAATCCCAGCTACTTGGGAGGCTGAGGCAGGAGAATGGCTTGAACCCAGGAGGTGGAGGTTGCAGTGAGCCGAGATTGCCACTGCACTTCAGCCTGGGCGACAGAGCAAGACTCTGTCACAGAAAATAATAATAATTTACAAAAAGTAGCTGGGCATGGTGGCAGGCGCCCATAATCCCAGCTACTCCAGAGCTGAGGCAGGAGAATCACTTGAACCCGGGAGGCGAAGGTGGCAGTGAGCTGAGATGGCACCACTGCACTCCAGCCTGGGTGACACAGTGAGACTCCCTCGCAAATAATAATAATAATAATAATAATAATAATTTAATGAAAAAAGATATAACATGCAAATAGTTACTGAAAAAGAGCTGATGTAGTTATACTACCATTAGACAAAATAGATTTTAAAATTTGAAAAGGTTATAAGAGACAAAGACATTATATATTAATAAAAGGCTCATTACAACAAGATTATATAAAAATTATAGGCATTTACCTCGCTAGGAACAGACTCTCAAAATACATGAAGCAAAAATGGACAGAATTAAAAGGAGAAATAAACAGTTCTACAATAATAGTGGGAGACTACAATACCCCATTTTCAGTAACGGGGAGAAGAATCAGATAGAAGATAAGTGAGGAAATAGAGGAACTAAGCATCATAATAAACCAGCTATACTTAAAAGACATATACAGAACATTCCACCCAGCAAGAGCAGAATACACATTCTTCTCTAAAGCACATGAGGTATTCACCAGACTGTATGCCACAATTCAAGTTTCATAATATTTTACAAGATAGATATCATACAAAGTATCTTCTCGGACCACACAGATGAAGTTATAAATTAATAACAGAAGGAAAACTGGAAAAGTCACAAATATCTGAAAGTTAAACAACACTCTTAACAACTGGGTCAAAGAAGAAATCAAGGTCAGGCACGGTGGCTCACACCTGTAATCCCAGCACTTTGGGAGGCCAAGGCGGGTGGATCACCTGAGGTCGGGAGTTCGACACCAGCCTGACCAACACGGAGAAACCACGTCTCCATATCTCTAAATATCAAATTAGCCCGGTGTGGTGGCGCATGCCTGTAATCCCAGCTACTTTAGAGACGGAGGCAGGAGAACCGCTTGAACCCAGGAGGCGGAGGTTGCGGTGAGCCGAGATCACACCATTGCACTCCAGCCTGGGCAACAAGAGCGAAACTCCATCTCAAAAAAAAGAAAAAAAAAGAAGAAGAAATCAAAAGGGAAATTAGAAAATACTTAGAAATGAATGAAAATAACACAACATACAAAAACTTATGAGCTGTAGTGAAAACAGTGATCAAAGTGAAATGTATAGTTGTAAATAACTACATTAAAAAGAGGGAAAGGCTGGGAGCAGTGGCTCACACATGTAATCCCAGCACTTTGGGAGGCTGAGGAGGGTGGATCACTTTAACTCCAGAGTTCAAGACCATCAAGTTTTACACTTACAAATGATTAAAGTAATAAACATTACGCATGTTTTACCTCAATAAAAAGCCCCTCACCACCACCAAAAACGAAAAGAATGGTCAAAAACCAGTAAACTGGATTGGCAAGGAAAAGAACTCTAGAAGGATCCTCAAGTTTTCCGGTCTGGATAGGAGATGAGATGAACTTGAGATCATTAAAAGGTACTTTCACATCAGGACAGCTGGAGATCTCGTCCATGTAGCTGCCTGGGTTGTGAATGGTCAGCATGAAGTAGGTAACGGAAGCCATGGGAGTGCAAGAGTTTGCCCTAGGAAGAACTCCAAGGCAAGAACCCTGAAAAACACATCCAAAAGTGAGGGGAGAGCTTTCTGCTCTTCGGGCTCCCGCGCGACGAGTCTACACCCCTAGGCTAAAAAGACTTACCAAAGTTTAAGTGCAGAGGAGCCCTTCAGGCCCAAGGAGGCAGCGGACCGTCTAGGCCCAGCTACAGAAGAGCCGCTGAGACGGGGGTCCCGAGCAGCGGGTCCCTGCGAGGCGCACAGGGCCTGAGCCACAGACGCTTACGAGCTAAGGCACCTCGGGGTAGTAGGCAGTGAAGCTAGTGCCCAGAGTACGGTGCCCTCCGTCTGCGCCCCGCCCACAACGCAGAAATTCCCTCTCGGGGCCCCTGTTGTCCTCCGAGCCTTCCGATTGGCGGAGAGGACCATGGGACCTGGAAGTTGTCTTTGTCCGGCCAGGGCTGCCCTTCCGGTTCCGTTGGGTCCCCCTTTGGCTCGGGTTCCTTGCCCCTCCCCCTTCCCGGAGCCCCGAGGGGCCGGAGCTCCTGGCGGTGCCGGATCCTGACGGCGGCCTTCCCCCGGGTCTGTAAGTGCGGAGACGGCCGGAGCGGCGGGCTGGGGTGCGGGGTGTCTCAAAATGGAACCCCCCTGGGGCCCTGGATCAACCGGGACCTGCACTGGGATGGGAGCCGAGAGGCTGGCCTAGGCCCCTGGGGACTTGAGGAGCCCTTGGCCCGGCCCACGCTGCGCCCCGCCCCTTTCCCTTCCCTGTGACTGGAGTGGGGAGCCTGAGGATGCCCCTGGGACCGCCTCATAGGACCCCAGCTGAGGGCCCAGCAGTTGGCTTGGGGGCCTGACTCTGGCATCTTATAAGAAGTGCCAGAGGTGAGGCCCTAAGAAAACGAGCCTCGGGAGCCAGCCCAAGACCAGGCATTCAGTGCCAGTCTTTGAGAACCACTGTGAGTGCTAGGTTACCCTTTTGCTGGGGTTTTCCCCTATTTGGCCACTGGTCGCAGCACCTTTTATATTACTGGCGCTATACCAGACACTGGAGATTGGCAAGATATTGTTCCAGTTTTCGGGATTAAGTTTGGGAGCCAGATCTGAACAAATAAGTACTCCTATGTGTATATATATGTATGTATGTATCAGTCACATATGTGTTAATTGCTCAAGGGGCCGTTGCTGAGAAGGCTTTAGAAAGAAAGTGATGTCTGAATTGTACTTGGAGAGAGTAAAGTGTTGAAGAGTTTTTCAGGGAAGACAGTTGCAATACTGTGGAGAAATGACTGAGCATAACTTGTGTGGGAAGAGGAGGAAATGGGGGGACTCCTATGCACAGAATGGATATGAGACTGGGAAAGTCGACCGAGGTCCAGATGGTGAATGGTGTAATCCTAAAGGAGATGGGTAGTTTTTTGAAGAGTTCGGAACAGAATATTGATATGGTCAGATTTGCACTGCAGGAAATCATTTTGTTCTGTAGAAAGCCCATAGAGAAGGGACTTTCTATTAACTGCATTTAGACATTTAGCTAAAAGTTAGGAACGCTTATCGGAGATTCTTTTGAAGGGGTAATGGGATCAGCCTAGTGAGAGGCAAAAAATTCCTGAAATAAGTTATAATGGTGTCATTGGTAAGGAGACAAATATACTGGAGATGATTATGTCAAGACTCCATAATTAACTGAATGCTGAAGAAGTGTGAGGGACCAAATCTAATTCTTAGGTTTTAGACCTCTGAGCTGAAGGATGGTAATGCCATTATCAGAAATAAAGCCATAAGCTTAGTGTAGATTATGAATTCATTTTTTGGACATGTTGAATTAAAGGTCTAATGAGACAGACACATAGAGCTGTCCAGCATGGAGTTGGAAATGCAAATCTTTAGCTCAGCCTAAACATTGTAGCTAGAGGTAAAAGTTTGAGTTATCAGCATAGAAGTGGAAACCATGGCAATAGCTGGCATCAGGAAGAGAATTTTGAAAAATAAGGAAATTTGGGGGGGGAGGGTAATGCTTGCATTTATGAAGCAGAAAGAGGAATTGGAGCTAGTAGTAGTCAGCAGTAGGCAATAAAGTGTAGGAGTGCAGGGTTACAGCAAGCAAGAAGACCCAGAAATCAAGAGAAGGGAATTTCGAGGAGAGACCACTGGATCAATTCATGCAGAGCATCTGGAGACTTGGGGGAGGGGAGAGTATTGCATTTCTTTATGAAGAGGTCATTAGTGACCTTTTAAAAAGCAATTTAGTACAGTGATGAGGTGATACTCTATGAAATATTAGGTACCTCAGCTGGTTTGGTGTTAAATGGGAATAAGGATAGGACACATTTAAAGCATTTCACAAAGAAAATTGACAGGCTTTATTTGTATACCTAACACATGCTTATAGGGTACATACCAGACACTGTTCTAAGCTCTTTAAAAAATTAAATCATTTATTTTCCATAACAACCCTATGAAATAAATTACTATTGATAGATGGGAATATTGAAGCAGAGTGGTTTGAGTTTACACAGAAAGTAGTTGAGCAGGGTTTTGATCCTAGGAAATACGGCTCCAGAGTCCATGGTTTTACCCACTGCTCTATGCAGTGACTGAATATAGGAGCCAAAGGAGTGGGAAACATTTAAGCAAAGAGAGGCTCATTGATAAGAATGGAGAGGCTTGGAAAGAGACCCAGGTTGAGAAGAAGGTAAGTAAAGGATTTATGTTTGATATGTTTTTTATTTCTTTCTTCCTAAGTCCGTTTCCACTCTCTGCCCATTTAGGTTAATTTCTTCCACTTTCATGCTTTCATTTATCACTTACCATCTGTAATCAGATCTTTTCTTCATATCCATCCAGCTCATGAATCCTCACCTTGATGTCATGCAGGCTTCTCTGGCTCAAGACCAGACTCATGATCATGCCCTCCAATATTCCCTGCTTTGCTGAATGACATTCATCAAAGATATCCAGTTACAGAAACCAAATATCTTGGAGTCATCTTGACCCTTTCCCCACATTGGTCACCAAGCCCATCAGTTCTTTGTTGGAAATGTCTCTCAAATCTGTTTCCCCTCTCCATCCATATTATTGTTGTCTCTCTTCAGGCCCATGCCATTCTGTCTTGATCTGTTTAGAGTAATCACATACTAAAATGCTTCCTTGTACTTTTCTCCAAGCCATTCTCCATAAGAAATTTTTTTGGCTTATTGAAGTTTAGACAGTGCATGAGTGCAGGCATCATGCATTTCAAGTGATAGGGAAATAGCCTAGAACAGGTATTTTTGAGTACCTTGAATTGAGATTTAGTTTGGTTAAGTTTGGCCATGGGGATTGGGATTTAGGGATTGTTAACATAGGGAGGTAATAAAACATTGAGAAACAGAAGACAGGCTTTTTGAAAAAAATAGCAAAAAATTGGAGACTTAGCTTTGAAAGAGATACTTACCCTTATACAATTTAGTGAAGCCTCAAAGAACAGACCAGCAAAACAATGGTGGAAAACAGTTCAATAGTTAAGTAATTTGCCCACTTCCACATAACAGTTCAAAAAAAAGAACTAGGCCGGGCGTGGTGTCTCACGCCTGTAATCCCAGCACTTTGGGAGGTGGGAGGCTGAGGCATGAGAATCACTTGAACCTGGGAGGCTGAGGTTGCGGTGAGCCGAGATCACACCACTGCACTCCAGCCTGGGCAACAGAGCGAGACTTGGTCTCAAAAAATGAAAAAAAATCAAAAGAAGAATTAAATCTATATTCATCAACATAAATTGCTTTCAAAAACAATGAGTGAAAAAAGTAAGTTGCAAAACAATATGTATAGTTTATGTATAAGAAACTTAATTACGTTATACTTTTGTGGCTAGACATATAGAAGTATTGTTTTTAAAATGCCAGGAGGGGCCGGGCACAGCGGTTCATGCCTATAATCCCAGCACATTGGGAGGCCGAGGCGGATGGATCACTTGAGGTCAGGAGTTCAAGAACAGCCTGGCCAACATGGTGAAACCCCATCTCTACTAAAAATGCAAAAATTATCCGGGCTTGGTGGTGCATGCCTGTAATCCTAGCTACTCAGGAGGCTGAGGCAGGAGAATTGCTTGAACTCGGAGGTGGAGGTTGCAGTGAGCCAAGATTGCACCACTGCACTCAAGCCTGGGCAACAGAGCAAGACTCCGTTTCAAAAAATAATAAATAAATATATAAATAAATAAACAAAATGCAAGGAGGGAGAGTCAGGAAGGATCAAACTTAAACTGAATACTGAGTGGTAGGCAGTTGAGAAGGGGAATTACATCTAAAATCTTCAAAAATTTTTCAAGAAGAATACATTCTGTATATATTACTTAAAAGTTGAAACAAAAGCTTGATAACTTGGAGAGTATCGTGTCATGAAAGTTACCTAAAAGAAGAACAAGATTAAGGTTTATAGAGAGAAAGGCTGTAGTATAATACAGCCTCTTTAGAAAAAGAACATACCATGTCAATGAGGGACAAAGATTTCCAAGTAGTTTTGAGTGGTAAGTTGAAAGATAAGGGCACTTTTATGAGACAGGTGAGGAAGCAAACTGATACCTAGCTTAAGAATTTATTATACAGATAGAAAAATTTTACTTGCCAGTAGTTATTAGAAGCATTTGAGAAAAGAAACTATTTTCTCACTGCCTGTAGTATAGCAATTTACATTGTCCCACCTGGAATATTCAGTAATTAGTCATTTTTTACTATCCTCATTTGAACAAAGGGAAAATTTCAAATTAGTTATAATTGTGGAAGGATTGTATAAATATAAATGAAGAGGAAGTGAGAATATTCCCATTACATTGATGTTTGAGAAATATCATTCAAAACTTGCTAATAGAAACTCAACAGTATTCAGATTTAATCTCAGTAACTGAGGCAATAGATAATAAAGACCTGAACTATGGCAATGATGTAAGAATGGAGGAGTGAGGAGTTGGTGATCATTCTGAGGAAAGAATCAACAAAATATGATGACTGTGTCTCTGATCTACCTGATCAGTTCTTTACTTTCCTTCAGTTACAAGAAGCTTGACTATAACCTAGAATTATCTGAGTGATTTTTATGATTATTTTGAGTAATTACTGCTATACTTAGAAGTTACCTACAGTTGGGGATTGTGAAATCAAATATATTCATAATTTTTATTGTCTGCTTTATTTGCAAATGGCATTAAGTTTCAGTCCACAAAGATAAATACACAAAAGATGGAAAATAATATAAAGTAAAATAGATGAGAAAGGTATAATAAGGATAAAGGCATAATATGCAATCAGGAATATGACTAATACATATATGCTTGCCATTTAAGTCTTCTAATTTCATGCAAATTTGGCTTGAAGTTATAACTTGTTTTTAAACATAAACCTTTTTTTGAAGCATAACAAAAACAAAAATATACAAGTCATAAGTGTGCAGCTCAATGAATTTTCTTGGCCTGTGTTTGTGATACTGAATGTAAGGAAGGAAATCTGAAGAGTTACACAATTTTTTTTTTTTTTTTTTTTGAGACGGAGTCTCGCTCTGTCGCCCAGGCTGGAGTGCAGTGGCACAATCTCAGCTCACTGCAAGCTCCACCTCCCGGGTTCACGCCATTCTCCTGCCTCAGCCTCCCGAGTAGCTAGGACTACAGGTGCCCGCCACCACTCCTGGCTAATTTTTTTTTTTGTAGTTTTAGTAGACACGGGGTTTCACCGTGGTCTCGATCTCCTGACCTCATGATCTGCCCACCTCGGCCTCCCAAAGTGCTGGGATTACAGGTGTGAGCCACCGCACCTAGCCGAGTTACACAATTATTATCCTTGAGATAAAACTGTACCAGCCAGGTGCAGTGGCTCACACCTGTAATCCCAACACTTTGGGAGGCTGAGGCAGACAGATTACCTGAGGTCAGGAGTTCAAGACCAGCCTGGCCAACATGGTGAAACTCCATCTCTACTAAAAATCCAAAAATTAGGCCTGGCGCAGTGGCTCATGCCTGTAATCCCACCACTTTGGGAGGCCGAAGCAGGTGAATCACCCGGGTCGGGAGTTCGAGACCAGCCTGACCAACATGAAGAAACCCCGTCTCTACTAAAAATACAAAATTAGCCAGGCGTGGTGGCGCCTGCCTGTAATCCCAGCTACTGGGGAGGCTGAGGCAGGAGAATCACTTGAATCCGGGAGGTGGAGGTTGCGGCAAGCCCATTGCACTTCAGCCTGGGTGACAAGAGTGAAACTCTGTCTCCAAAAAAAAAAAAAAAAAAAAATTAGCTGGGCATGGTGGCAGGCACCTGTAATCCCAGCTACTCAGGAGGCTGAGGCAGGAGAATCACTTGAACCCAGGAGGCAGAGGTTGCAGCAAGCCGAGATCACGCCATTGCACTCCAGCCTGGGCAACAAGAGTGAAACTACATCTCAAAACAAGAAAAAAAAAATTGTACCTAGATTAGTTGTTTCATACCTGGATTTTGGCATCATGCAGTGTAAACCACCAGTTCCAGATCTAACACTTAACACTTTCAACCTCCGTTGGGGTTTACAAGTTATTTATGTTTTCTAAGCTTAGTTTCGTCATATACAAAATGTGGGATAATGGTAATACTTACCTGTAGAAATTTTCACGATTAAATGGGTCAATTTATTTATTTATTTATTTATTTATTGTGATAGGATCTGGCTCTTTCACCCAGACGAGTGCAGTGGCATGATCATGGCTCACTGCAACGTCTGCCTCGTGGGCTCAAGCCATCCTCCCATTCAGCCTCCCAAGAAGCTGGGACTACAGGCGCATGACACCACGCCCAGCTAATTTTTGTATTTTTTGTAGAGACGGGGTTTCACCGTGTTGGCCAGGCTGATCTCAAAGTCCTGAGCTCAAGCAGTGTGCCCACTTCAGCCTCCCAAAGTGCTGGAATACAGGCATGAGCCACTGTGCTCGGCCTAAATGGGTCAATTTAGGTATAACATCTATACCTGAAATGTAGCAAGGAAGATTAGGTATCATTTCTCTTATTTTTAAATAAAATTAAGATGGTTCATAAGAAACTTTTTTTAACTATCAAAAAAAATTTTTTTTAAGTGTTTAAAACAGGTTCATGCCTGTAATCCTAGCACTTTGGGAGGCCTTGTGGGAAGACTGCTTGAACCCAGGAGTTTTAGGTTACAGCGAGATTTGATTGCGCCACTACACTCCAGCCTAGGCAACACAGCGAGACCCTGCCTCTACAAAAAATAAAAACATTAGCTAGGTGTGGTGGTGTGCACCTGTAGTCCTGGCTACTCAGGAGGCTGAGGCAGGACGATTGTTTGAGCCTTGGTGCCAAGGCAGCAGTGAGCTATGATTACGCCACTGCATTCTAGCCTGGGTGACAGATGACAGAGTGAGACCTTGTCTCAAAAAAAAAAAAAAAAAAGAAAGTTGAAATTTGGTTTTATATTGCCAAAACTATTTTGGTAACAAACCCTAGAAAGAAAGCTTTCCCTAGGCACTCAAAAGAAGATATCATAATGAAGAGCATCTGTACCATAGCCTAGTAATAATTTCATGGGGGAACATTAAGAACTCATTATTCTTCTGTTTTTTGTCAAATGAGCTGTATAAAGTATAACAAACCATTGGTCATTGCCCTCAAATAACTAACAGTCTATTGGAAAGAGAAACTAGTGAAAGGAAACAATTAAGGGATAAGATGTGTGGCCTGGAAATAAGAATTTATCAGAGAGAGACAATAGAGTGGGCTGACACATCCTAGGGAAAACATCCTTTAAGAAACCAATAAATTTTGCTCACATTCTTAGACTACAGCAGACAGATCAAAGCAAACACTTCCCTGAACTATCTGGTTGGCTGCTGTTGTTGATAATTTTCTTGAGAACTGATGGATAGGAAGCACAGTCATGCATCACTTAACAACTGTGATGTGTTTTGAGAAATGCGTCGTTAGGTGATTTCATCATTTTGTGAATATCACGGAGTATACTTAATGCAAACCTAGATGGTATAGCCTACTACACACCTGGGTTGTATGACACAGCCTGTTGCTCCTTGGTTATAAACCTGTACCACATGTTACTATACTGAATACTGTAGGCAATTGTAACACAATGGTGTTTGTGTATCTAAATATAGAAGAGGTACAGTAAAAATATGGTATTATATTCTATGGGACCATCATTGTATATGCAGTTCATTGTTGAACAAAACACTGTCATATGACACATGACTAAATGAAACTACACTCCAGCTCTTCATCTTTAGAGCAAGGAACAATTGTCTCTGAGGATAGTTGTCTAAAGCATTGTGAGTACTGTCATAATATAGGTAGAACCAATGAATGCTTATTTTGGGGTGTGAGGAGGGAAATACTGATCTGAGGGTTTCATAGGCACCTTCAAAACCAGCTAAATGCTAAAAAAGAATGCCACTTTTGTTTGGCCACTTGAAACAGTCATTTTTACAACTCTGGTTACAAATTGGAACATTCATCACTCCAAATCCAAAATGAGTATTTTAAGCTACTGCAGTTGCTAAAAGTGACCAATGATAATAGTTTTGCTGCTTTAAATTACTGACATTTTCCCTGTATATCTTCTACATTTTCCCTTCATGTTTGATACTCACTGTCTTTTCTCTGATGTTTCATTTGCTTGTCTACATCGCTCCTCTCTCAATGCAGTTTTTGTATTTATTGTGATTATCGGTACATTCAAAATGTCATACAAGGGGAAAGATTATGCTTTGTTTGTGTTTTTATTAATATACTTATTACTTCTTCTTATATTGGTGCCACACCAGTTCCCCCTCCTAAATTTCACCTCTCTTTCTTTTTTTTTTTTCTTTTTTTTTTTTGAGATGGAGTCTTGCTCTGTTGCCTAGGCTGGAGTGCAGAGGCGCAATCTCGGCTCACTGCAACCTCCACCTCCCGGGTTCAAACAATTATCCTGCCTCAGCCTCCCGAGTAGCTGAAACTATAGGCGCCCGCCACCATGCCGGGTAATTTTTTGTGTTTTTAGTAGAGATGGGGTTTCACTGTGTTAGCCAGGATGGTCTGGATCTCCTGACCTCGTGATCCACCAGCCTTGGCCTCCCAAAGTGCTCACAGGTGTGAGCCACTGTGCCTGGCCGGTCACCTTCTTTCAATGCCATTCTCATTCAAATGAACTCCTAAATGTAGAATCTTTACACATTCCTTTTATTCATTCTCTATATCCAGTCAGTTACCAAGTTCTTTGAAATATCTTTTGTTATTTTTCCTTTCGTCTTATTCCCATTTTTATTTCTTTCTAGGCCATCATGGCCTCAGACCTGCAATGCTTCTGCAGACACTAAGCTGGTCTTCCTAACAACAGTTCTTCCTTACCACTGTCAAACTAATCTGATAGGTTCAACTAATGCAAACTGAGCACTTGCTGTGTATTTAGTGCAGTCTTAGGCGATGGGAATACACACTGATTTGAACAGAAGAGGGTTTGGCCAGTAATGGGACAAGCAATGTAGCTGCAATAAGTATAATATAATTCAAAGCAAAAGTAAAGAATATTTTGTCTTAGAAGATGCAAGTTCCCAGCATTAGATGGAGATACTTCCCCCTAATACCATGAAACTTGGAGTTTGGATGGGAAGGAATAAGTATTTAATAAAGTGTGTTGAGTGTTACAGTAGAAGTATGCAATGGGCCCAGAAGAGACAATTCTACTCTATTAAGCGGTCAGGGAAGGGCCTCTCAGAGAAAATAAAGGAGTCACAATTGTTTAGAAAGTGGTGTTTTTGTTTGTTTTATTTTACTTTGTTTTTTTAGACAGAGCCTCATTCTGTCACCCAGGCTGGAGTGCAATGGCACAATCTCGGCTCGCTGAAACCTTCACCTCCCAGGTTCAAGTGATTCTCCAGCCTTGGCCTCCTGAGTAGCTGGGACTACAGGCACGTGCCACCACACCTGGGTAATTTTTGTATTTTTCATAGGGACAGGGTTTCACTATGTTGGCCAGGCTAGTCTCGAACTCCTGACCTCGTGATCCACCCACCTCAGCCTCCCAAAGTGCTGGGATAACAGGCATGAGCCACCATGCCTGGCTTGTTTTTTGTTTTGGTTTTTGTTTTTGTGATGGAGTTTTGCTCTTGTTGCCCAGGCTGGAGTGCAGTGGTGCAATCTTGACTCACCACAACCTCTGCCTCCCGGGTTCAAGTGATTCTCCAGCCTTAGCCTCCTGAGTAGCTGGGACTACAGGCATGTGCCACTACGCCCAGCTAATTTTGTATTTTTAGTAGAGATGGGGTTTCTCCAAGTTGGTCAGGCTGGTCTTGAACTCCCGACCTCAGGTGATCCGCCTGCCTTGGCCTCCAGAAGTGCTGGGATTACAGGCGTGAGCCACCATGCCCAGCCTAGAAAGTAGTGTTTTAAACTAAGGAAACAAGTATCATTAGGTCTGGAGCCAAGAGAGAGCTGTTATGTATCAGGCATTAAGGAATAAGAATAAAACCTGGACTCTGCCATCAGGAGCTGATATCCATTGTTACAGAAGTTAAGATGATAAAGATTGGACTTTGGGGTCCAGATGTGGCCAGGAGAAGCTGGTTGTCTCATCTGACTCTGAACTAAGGGGTTGATTAATACATAAAATTCAGTGAATTTCTTGATGCACTGAGATTATAGAGCTATATCTCAAAGACAGACCTAGCATACCTACCAATCTCATAGAAGACTGGTATATAAAGAGAATGTCAATTCATTATGTCATTAGTTTACAGTGACTAGTGGACTGGAATTATCGTGTTGGCATGGCAAATTTATCTTTTCCCTTGAGAGAGACAAATGGGAAGCCAGGTTATGAGAAAATCATTTATGAGAGTATGGAATCAGAACATGGAGACTTTCACCAAAGGAATTGCTATATAAAGGAATCAGTATGCAGACAGTTTGGGGAAAGATACCTTCTCCATTGTTGAATGGGTTTTTCCAGTGTTTACCTTAATTATGATTGGGTTTCATTAATCAGTTTATATTCAAGAGGTTAGTCTTCATCCAGGAGACAACGGGAAGTCACTGAAGGAGTTTAGGCAGGGGTGGGGTATAATCAGATCTCTGTTTTTGAAAGATGTGGTGGTATGAAAACTGTATTAGAGGGAACATAAGCAGGAAGCCAAGGCAACATTTATGAATCAGTTCTAGTAGTCCACATAATGACTAATGATTGATAAATAGGGATAAAGTTTAAAGAACAAAATCTAATAGGGATTGATTCGATCTATGTTACCGCTACTCAGATTCCCACCATATAGCTCATGTCGTTTTTCTACATCAAGTATCTTATTTTCTTTATAAAGAAGTGTTCCTTAAAACGGAGTTTAGATTTTTCCAGAATGGACAGGACAAAGAACTTTGTCTTTGCCTAAACATTGTCCCGTTAGTTCTGTGACTTTCATTTTATTGCAGAAATACTTGTATGAATAAGTTCATATCAATTTAAACAGAAAAGGGCTTGGCCAGGAATTGGACAAGCAGTGTCAGTGCAGTTGTTTAAAATATAGAGCAAAGAAAAAGAGCAAAGGAACCCATGTTTGCTGTAGGTTCTCTCTTCTTCAGAGACCAGTTTTTACTGAATGATTCCAGAGAGGTGAAAATCTCCATATTAGAGTTCTGAAGTGGGGAGACAATTGCTTTTGCCTTAGAAGAAGCAGGTTCACAGTTTTATATAAAATAAGATAATTATTTCATCTTTACTTGTGTGGGTTATGTTTTAGTTTGCTTTAGAAACCTGATAGAATTCTCATTTGAGAAGTTAAAAGATACTCTTGGACTATCCCAAGCACTATTCTCGTATAAGTATCTTTAAAAGTTGAACGAATGCCAAGCTATTTACACAAATACAAGTCTGCTCTTTAGGTGCAATTGGCACTTGATATTGGTAAGGTGTAATTTTTAACAGCCTTTGAAACCTGTTATAGTGGCTTCCCCTTTCAAGGAAGATTTCATTTGGATACATACAAAACAGATATGACAACACAGATTTGTTTTTGGAAGGTAGATCCAGCTTTCTTAATTGTCTGAGTTTCCTTAAATTCAACCTTTTTACATTTCTGTTCTTTAGGTCTGCCAAAATGTCTGAAAGATCAGATCTCCTTCACTTCAAGTTTGAAAATTATGGAGATTCAATGTTACAAAAAATGAACAAATTAAGAGAAGAGAATAAATTTTGTGATGTTACAGTTCTCATAGATGATATTGAGGTACAGGGACATAAAATTGTGTTTGCTGCAGGTTCCCCCTTCTTAAGAGACCAATTTTTACTGAATGATTCCAGAGAGGTGAAAATCTCCATATTACAGAGTTCCGAAGTGGGGAGACAATTGCTCTTATCCTGTTATAGTGGTGTGCTGGAATTCCCTGAGATGGAACTGGTAAATTACTTGACTGCTGCAAGTTTTCTTCAGATGAGCCACATTGTAGAACGGTGCACACAGGCCCTGTGGAAGTTTATAAAGCCAAAACAACCAATGGATAGTAAAGAGGGATGTGAACCACAGAGTGCTTCTCCCCAGTCAAAAGAACAGCAGGGAGATGCCAGAGGCTCCCCAAAGCAGGACTCACCTTGTATTCATCCATCTGAAGACAGTATGGATATGGAGGACAGTGATATTCAGATTGTTAAGGTAGAATCTATTGGGGATGTATCAGAGGTTAGAAGTAAAAAAGATCAGAACCAGTTTATTTCTTCTGAACCCACTGCTTTACATTCATCAGAGCCCCAGCACTCCCTGATAAATTCAACTGTGGAAAACAGAGTAAGTGAAATAGAACAAAACCATCTCCACAATTATGCCCTTTCTTATACAGGCAGTGATAACATCATCATGGCCTCAAAAGATGTCTTTGGCCCTAATATTCGAGGTGTAGACAAAGGCCTACAGTGGCATCACCAGTGCCCAAAGTGTACCAGGGTGTTTCGTCACCTGGAGAACTACGCCAACCATTTAAAAATGCACAAACTCTTTATGTGTCTACTCTGCGGCAAGACTTTCACTCAGAAAGGCAACCTTCATCGACACATGCGTGTGCATGCCGGAATTAAACCTTTCCAGTGTAAAATCTGTGGGAAAACCTTTTCTCAGAAGTGTTCCTTACAGGATCATCTTAACCTTCACAGTGGAGATAAGCCCCATAAATGTAACTATTGTGATATGGTTTTTGCACATAAACCAGTTTTGAGGAAACACCTTAAACAGCTGCATGGCAAAAACAGCTTTGATAATGCCAATGAGAGAAATGTACAAGACCTCACAGTGGATTTTGATTCTTTTGCATGTACAACAGTCACAGACTCTAAAGGGTGTCAGCCACAACCCGATGCAACACAGGTCCTGGATGCAGGTAAACTGGCCCAAGCTGTCCTGAACTTAAGAAATGATAGTACTTGTGTGAATTGAGTAGGGGCTTCATGCTCACAACTCGAACTGACTGACAATGTGGCAATAGTCTTAGTCTTTTTAGGAGTGATTTTGCTAGTTTGACTTCTCCAAAGCCTCTGTGTAGGTGGTAGGGAGTGAGTCAAAGCACTAATAGACCAGGCAACTTACCACTTGGAGTGGATTTGCCTTACTTTTGCCCTCTCCCATTTTCTGTTTTGAGTTATTTATCTTGTAAAGTCTGTTTTCCTTTCCCAAGGAATAATTCCTTTTGTCTACCTAACATTGACTTATGTCTTAGACTGACACTGTTTTAGGCTTTTCACTAGGCACATTCCGAAGGTACCAACAAGTTAATAACGTCACCTACTCTCCACTAATAGATGCTATGCTAAGAGAAGTGAATAATCTTTCTTTGGTAGAAAATAGGCTGAGATATAAGGTGATATTGCTATTGACCTGAAAATGTGATAGAACTTCTGGTTGCCTATTGATTATTCCTCCATGTCTGATAAATGAATCTGCTTCCTACCATTTGTACTTGTCTTGGAGCTGGCTATAAAGAAGTATGCTGGTTTGTTATGTACTCTTTTCAACAGTATCATAGCCCAACTTCATCTCATTGAATTGTTCACATATACCAGAGTACTCTCTCTTGAGGAACACCTGCAGGCAGATAGTTAGGGATGACCATGAGGAGCATAATCAACAGGGATAGAAGTACACTTATACAACAGCACTTACATGGGCGGTTTCTCTGGTAGCATGTCCCATAAGAGGCCATATGCTTATAATTAATGTGTAACTTGTTGATGCTTTTGAGATCAGGACTGCTCCAGGCACGCTAAAAATGTGCTAAAGTATAGTGGGCTCTCTAAAAAGAGGCTATTTGGGAGTCTCTGAATTTTGTTTCAGAGTTTAGCCATCAGAAAGGTGAGTTTGGCCATCAGAGTTTTGTCCTGTGCACCATAAAAGTCTCTGAATTTTCGTTTCCTCATGTACCTTAATTTCTAAAACGGATGATAAAAGTTAGGTTGGACACAGAAGGGGCAATCAAATTTCTGTATTCAGATACCTCTTAAAGGTACACTGTGCCACCTTGCTGCCTTTGATTGCAAATACAAAGTTAATTTTCAAAAAGGAAAAACAAAACAGCTCTTTTTCCTAAAACACATGTTGTACTTCAGACCTAAAATTCTAAGTCTTATTTGTTTCTCACCCATGAGTTAGATTTAGGTAATAGTATTAGTAGAGTCCTTAGAGAATCTTAAGAGGTCATTTACTCCACCTCTTTCATTTTAAATTGGGGTATCCAAAGCCTGAAGAGGTGGCCTGGCCAATATTGACCAAGGTATAACTAAATATGAGCTAGCATCTTCTTCCTTCTTCTCGCTATCCCTTGGCTTTAAAAGATTTAGTACATGAAGAATAATGCATTAGCAAAAAGCTCCTAGTTTGTGTTTCCCCTTTGTGTCTCCCTGTTGGCTTTCTGAGACAACCTGAATTTTGCCAACAAAATATCGCAGAGGGATTTATATTAATTATTTTTTAGTTAGATGAATATTATATTCTTCCCATCCAAGTGAGTGATTTGCTAGGTTTGTTTAGGGAGGGAAAAAGCAAGAATAATGTGAGAAGAATCTAAATGCGAAGTTGATTTTGTGTGGAAAACTGTTTATTAGTTTCCATCAGGATTTTCTGTTTTTATTTTTGAGCTATGAGAGTGCATGCAGATTTGAAAAATTAGGCTTGCATAGTCAGAGGGGATCTTCAATTGTTATATTTGATACGTTTACATGTATCATTGTTATCATATGTAAATTATCATCATGTGAGTCAGATGTGAAGTATGATTTTTGTCTTTTGTTCAAATATTTAAAATGATAATACAGTTGAGTGGTAAGACTAATAGGTACCTTATGCCTAACATCACTCATTATATGGTCTAATGATGCTTCCTAGCATTGTGATTTTTACATGATCCAGCCAAAGAGTACCAATTCTATGCAATAGTGAGACTCTACCCTGTCAACCAAACAGCATTTTTTGGTATTTTCTGTCAACATCATTTCTTCACAGGGAAATTTCAAGTTGGAGTGCTTCGTTTGCTCACATTCATGTCTTGTTTTTGTTACTGGTTTGAAGACTAAAAGGCACGGGTTCAAATAAGATTGGTCTCTTTGGTTGGAGACTATTTCTGGGTTCATTCAGTTGTTCAAGAAACATTAGTTAAGCACCTACTGTTGCTAGACACTATGCTAGATACTGAGGATAATGAAGGTAAGATTGATATAGTCCCTGCCCTCATGGAGCTTATAGTCTCATGTGGTCTTAGTGAAACAAAGTCTCAATTTGCTTTTATACTAGAAATAATAAAGAAAGCTGCCTTGCTGTATTCGATCAGTTAAAATCAGCAACTTTGTGCTTTTGTATCAGTAAAACATTTAGTTCTCACCTTTTGAAAATGCAAACCACTGAAGTGATTTACAGTCTCCTCCATTTTTGGCTGGAGAGGTGTTCTGTTTCTGTGAGACATTTTTCTAATTTTTGTGGAACTTCACTTTCCTCCTTCTTTGCTTATACGTGTTTGTTAGATTATATTGCAAAGAAGTCAAGTTACTGATATCCAGTATTTTACAGAGGAAGATGACTTTCAAAACTAGTCATATTTCTGTAGAGGAGGAAGATTTTTAAAACCTTTATCATTCAGCATTTGTATTTTATGGATCCCCAGGAGAACTAAAAAGGAGATGACTCTCTACCATAGTTTGGTTTAAAAAAAAATTACTCTGTCAGTTATTTATTTATTATTTAATACTAAACTCCAAACTGAAGTGGCTCTGAGGTAAATCAGATATGATTTTAATTTAAGTTTCTTTATTAGCAGATCTATAAATGGAAGGTGACCAATGTCACTGCTTCTAAAATACTGTCCTAAACAACCCAGAAGATTTTATTTCAGCTCATGAATAGCTGTTCTAAATCTGTTGTATGTTAGACATACTATGAACTACCTCTTCACTTATTATGGGGAAGTTTCCTTAATAAAAGTGTGACGATTAAAGCTCTGGTGTCATTGGTTATTTTCTCACTCTCCCCTCCTTCTATTCTTTTTTAATTGCTTTACTTTGAATACAGGAAGGTCTTCTTTATGTATAGTCTTAAAAATACATATTAAGCATGCTGAGCTTGCCTTCAGAAAAAAATACGAATTAATCAGAAAGTTGTTACTAGATTCATTTACTTCCACGAGAACCTGTTGCTGGAGGAGCAGAGCAACTGCCTTTAAGAATTGGTTCAGAGGCGGCCGGGCGCGGTGGCTCACGCCTGTAATCCCAGCACTTTGGGAGGCCGAGGCGGGTGGATCACAAGGTCAGGAGATCGAGACCATCCTGGCTAACACGGTGAAACCCCGTCTCTACTAAAAATACAAAAAATTAGCCGGGCCTGGTGGCAGGGCATTAGTCCCAGCTACTCGGGAGGCTGAGGCAGGAGAATGGCGTGAACCCGAGAGGCGGAGCTTGCAGTGAGCCAAGATCGCACCACTGCACTCCAGTCTGGGCGACAGAGCGAGACTTTGTCTCAAAAAAAAAAAAAAAAAAAAAAAAAAAGGAATAGAATTGGTGCAGAGGCCGGGCGCGGCGGCTCATGCCTGTAATCCCAGCACTTTGGGAGGCCAAGGCGGGTGGATCACCTGAGGTCAGGAGTTCGAGACCGGCCTGGCCAACATGGTGAAACCCCGTCTCTACCAAAAATACAAAAAGTAGCTGGGTGTGGTGGCAGGCACCTGTAATCCCAGCTACTCGGGAGGCTGAGGCAGGAGAATTGCTTGAACCTGCTAGGCGGAGGTTGCGGTAGGCCGAGATCGTGCCACTGCACTCCAGCCTGGACCACAGAGTGAGACTCTGTCTCAAAAAAAAAAGAAAAAGAATTTCTTCAGTCATATCTTCATTCAGCACAAATACTTGATGCCTA
This sequence comes from Homo sapiens, assembly GCF_000001405.40. NCBI lineage: Eukaryota > Metazoa > Chordata > Mammalia > Primates > Hominidae > Homo > Homo sapiens. The sequence continues at coordinate 122,914,654 of NC_000009.12, read as the reverse complement.
CCAAGTGCTAGACTTCGAGAATACAAAGATCAGTAAGCCACTGTCCTAAATAACTCTGCCTAGATGAGGCACAAATTAATACAGGCGTGTTAAGTGCAATAATGAAGGCAGGAAAAGGGATTACAGGTTTCAAACTGGGAACCAATTATCTTAGGGCAGTTCAGGATGGCTTCAGGATGATGAGATTTATAAACGGGTTCTTTAAAGATACGTTGGGGAAGGCCGGGCTCGGTGGCTCACGCCTGTAATCCCAGCACTTTGGGAGGCCAAGGCGGGCGGATCACGAGGTCAGGAGATCGAGACCATCCTGGCTAACACGGTGAAACCCCGTCTCTACTAAAAATACAAAAAAAAAAAAATTAGCCAGGCGAAGTGGCGGGCACCTGAAGTCCCAGCTTACTCGGGAGGCTGAGGCAGGAGAATGGCGTGAACCCAGGAGGCGGAGCTTGCAGTGAGCCGAGATCCTGCCGCTGCACTCCAGCCTGGGCGACAGAGAGAGACTCCGTCTCAAAAAAAAAAAAAAAAAGCCTGGGGAAAAGGCTAGGGCACGTCAGAGGAAACAGCTGGGCCAAAAGTTTTGGGATGGAGGAACGCATTTAAGTGTGAAGCTAGATCCAGAGGTTGGGGCCATCTCCTGATGGGGCATTATCTAGGCAATCTCGAATACGGATCTTTATGATAGTTTCTGCTCTGCCACCTTTCAAGTTGTAGGTGGCCCCAATAAGGAGAGGAATCGTCCCAGAATAATCCATAAAAGGTCTGGTTACTCTGACAGACGTGCCGTAACCGAACCTCAAACCCCGTCTCCAATTCGGATGTTCAGGAGGACTCACAAAAGGAAATGGCTCGGCTGGGCGCGGTGGCTCAACCCGGTAATCCCAGCATTTAGGGAGGCCGAGGCGGGCGGATCTCCTGAGGTCAGGAGTTCGATACCAGCCTAGCCAACATGGTGAAACCCCGTCTCTACTAAAAATACAAAAATGAGCCGGGCGTGGTGGCGGGCGCCTGTAATCTCAGCTACTTGGGAGGCTGCGGAGCGAGAGTCGCTTGAACCCGGGAGGCGAAGGTTGCAGTGAGCCGAAATCGCGCCATTGCACTCCAGCCTGGGCAACAAGAGCGAAACTCCGTCTTAAAAAAAAAAAGGGATGGTGGGGGAAAACGGCTCGAGTGCCGAAACTGGGACAAGAGAGATGGGGCTTGCCGGCATTCAGGAGCCTTTCTGTCATTCCAAGAGGGGGGAAGTGAGGAAGGAAGACCGTCTCAGAATGTCCTTCCGGGGCGCCTAGAGGGCCCCAGTAAAGAATAAAGCTGGTTGGCACCGGATGTGTTTTCTTCCAGGCTAAGTCCATCTTCCGGCTTGGGCAGACGCTGCCGCGGAATCCTTGACTCTAGTTTTCTGAGTCGGTGAGTGAGTGCAAAGTAGATTCCTCAGGTGGAGGGTGCCTGAGGAAGAGGAGGAGGAGGAGGAGGACAGCTGGGCTCGGCCCCGGAGTGGCTAATCTTGTGCTGCAACCACTGGGCCGACAGGGCCTTGGCCCTTCGCAGGGTTGCCTCCAGAATACCTGTGTGCTGAACCTGGCATCCGGTTTCAGTTCAGCAGATGTTCCCTGAGCTCCTCCTGCTCTGTGTGGGCCCCTGAGCTCGGTGCAGGAACACAGATGCATCAGGCACCATCTCGCGGTGCTCAGAGAGCAGCTGACTCTCTCTGGTTGAAACGGGAGGTGGAGTCATATTAGTTTTACTTGATTTGGGCTTAAAGGAGCCTAATCACTAGCTGAAAAAAGGAACTGGAAACGCGAATGTAAGAAATGTGTATTCGTGTCTTTTTGTCTGGGTAATGATGGAAAAATTTAGTATTGAACGAGGTTCGAGTATGAAAAAGAGAATAGAAGGTGATAAAGCCATAAAGATGGGTTAGAGCCAAATCGTGATGGGTCTCGTATTCTTTCCTAAGAAATCTGGACTGTCCCGGAGGTAGAGAAGAACGATAGAAGATTTAAAGCAGAAAAGGGAAATTAAAAATAAAATAAAATAAGGGTTGTTAATCCTGGTGGCACTCAGGCGGGTAATCTGGCATACAGAAGAGTGTGGTATAAAGAAGACCTGTTGGAAGACATTGCAGTTGTCCAGGTGAACCGGAAGGAGGACCTGTTGTAGTGGTGGGGAGTAGGAAGTTTGGAGATTACGTTAAAGTTGCTAATTGGATATATTATGTTAAATCAACTTTTTGGTGGTCACAGTGCTTATATTGGATATTCAAAATTGATAGATTGTTCTTGACCACAAGGCACACAACATTTAGCAAAAGAAACAAGCTAGAAACTGTTCACTACAATTCATTGTAATGAATGTTGTAACAAAGTTATGAAAAATGTGCTATGAGATCATAGAGAAGTGCATTATAAAGTTCTCGTTTTGAGATGGTGGCATAAAGGTTCATAACACCTACATTAGACTTTGAGTCTTCTTCTTCCTAATTCAGGTTTGGGGTTTTTCGTTTGTTTTCACCATTACAGCATGGGAAAGCATTCCCTATCCTTATTACATCAATGTTTGTGTTTTATTTTGCTTAGATTGTGATCATGGCTGCTGAGTCTGATGTTCTGCATTTCCAGTTTGAACAGCAAGGAGATGTGGTCTTGCAGAAAATGAATCTTTTGAGACAGCAGAATTTATTTTGTGATGTATCAATTTACATTAATGACACTGAGTTCCAGGGGCACAAGGTGATTTTGGCTGCTTGCTCCACTTTTATGAGAGATCAGTTTTTACTCACACAGTCAAAACATGTCAGAATCACCATCTTACAGAGTGCAGAAGTTGGCAGAAAATTGTTACTGTCTTGCTATACTGGAGCACTTGAAGTTAAAAGGAAAGAGCTTTTGAAATACTTGACTGCTGCCAGTTACCTTCAGATGGTTCACATTGTGGAAAAGTGCACAGAAGCTTTGTCAAAGTATCTGGAAATTGATCTTTCTATGAAAAACAACAACCAACACACTGACCTGTGTCAGTCTTCTGATCCTGATGTTAAGAATGAAGATGAAAATTCTGATAAAGACTGTGAGATAATTGAAATTTCAGAAGATAGTCCTGTAAACATAGATTTCCATGTTAAAGAAGAGGAAAGCAATGCTTTGCAGTCTACAGTAGAGAGTCTGACATCAGAGAGAAAGGAAATGAAGTCACCAGAGCTGTCTACAGTAGACATAGGTTTTAAAGACAATGAAATTTGTATCCTTCATGTAGAATCCATCAGTACAGCTGGTGTCGAAAATGGGCAGTTTTCACAGCCTTGTACCTCTTCAAAAGCAAGCATGTATTTCTCTGAAACACAGCATTCATTGATCAATTCTACAGTTGAGAGCAGAGTGGCTGAAGTTCCTGGGAATCAAGATCAGGGCTTATTTTGTGAGAATACTGAAGGAAGTTATGGTACAGTGAGTGAGATTCAGAATCTGGAGGAAGGTTATTCACTGAGGCACCAGTGCCCCAGGTGTCCTCGAGGCTTTCTTCATGTTGAAAACTATCTGCGCCACCTTAAAATGCATAAACTATTCTTATGCTTACAGTGCGGAAAAACATTTACACAGAAGAAAAATCTCAACCGACACATCCGAGGACACATGGGCATACGGCCCTTTCAGTGTACTGTGTGCTTGAAGACATTTACTGCCAAAAGCACACTTCAGGACCACTTGAACATACACAGTGGGGATCGGCCATACAAATGCCACTGTTGTGATATGGATTTCAAGCACAAGTCTGCTCTCAAAAAGCACTTAACCTCTGTCCATGGCAGAAGCAGTGGTGAAAAACTATCTAGGCCTGATCTCAAAAGGCAAAGTCTACTATAATTATAATCACAGACTTGTTATATAAAGTTTGTATTATTCTATTACGCAAGTCTTTCTGTAGAGATGCAGCATTTGTAATATTTCATCCCCCCAATCTTTGTTTCTTATATTTTGTCGGCTTACACATAATCATTCTTTCTGAACTTCTAACAGTTCCAAAGTTATGGGAGGCACAGTAAAGCTGATGGGATTCTGTCTCATCTCATACCTTACATATAAGTCTCAGTAGTATCCCTAGAGAAATAGTGTTCCTCTCTTATATATTCTTGATTCTAGTGACAAAGGATCCAGCAGTATTTGCAGATTCCGATTTGGAGTCTCTAGGTAATTGATTTAAGTATAAAATCCAATCATATAAAAACTTTAATGAATTAGGATAACAAGAAGAGAAAATAAAGGTAAAAACACTATTACCTGTTTCTAGTCACTTTAGAACAGATGGCACTAAAAAAATTTTTTTTTAACTTTTTACCAGCTGTTCTTGGATTCCAAACTAAACACCAAGATACTTTTCATTTTAAAATGTATAAAGTAACAATTCAGATTCACTTGGGAATAGCAGAATTTTTTTATACAGGGTTAATAATCCTTAAAATACTTTTATTTCCATGCCTTATTAGTATACATACTTAAGAAATGGTTCATTGGGCCCGAGTTTCTTGATTTTATTTAATACAATCGGATTTAATAATTTTGTGGCCAGTAAAATTATACCATTGGCATGAAGCTGTGAAAAATGAGAAATTCTACCTTTACCAGGGATATCTGTTCTACTGTTTTAAAAGTTCCTCTCTATTTTATTTTTTATTTAACATGAAGTAAAATTGAAATTTCTTCTTGGTGTATAGTTCTGTGAATTTTAACAGAAAGATTTGTGCACCACTACTGCAGTCGGTACAGAACAGTTCCTTCACTCCCAATAGCTCTCTTATGCTGTCCCTTTGTAGTCAGCTCCTTCTAGCTCTAATCCTGGCAACAGTTCTCCGTCACTATTATTTTGCCTTTTCTGGACTGTCATATAAACAGAATCTTATAGTACGTTCCCTCTTGAAATGCTTTTTCACCCAGCATAATGACTTTGAGGTTCATCCATGTCATTTTAAATTTTGAATTGGCAATATATATTCTAGCTGTTACTAGATGAGCAATTTAAAAAGGTGTAGCTATTAGTGTTGTATTTTTTCATTTACATTAATGTAATTTCCATTCACTATGTGTTGATAAAAATCTTAACCATCCCTAGAGTTTTATATTTCCAAAAATATGCCAAAAGGAAAACTATGACTGTATGATTATTTTAGCGAGAGTCATATTTGAGATGGTGTTCTGAGCCATAGTTCTCTAACATCTCCGTCTACATATAACACAAAACTTTTATAAATTATTTTAACAAAGATTAAAATATACTGCAGGGCAAATAATATTCTCTAAAACACAGGAACTGCTTTTCGTAAAGAAGACTGACTAGATGCATCTTTCTTTGAAGCTGTTCTAGTCCTCCTCTAGTTAACTTAGCTTTATGTAGAATTTCTACTGTATTTAATTTCTATTGAAGCCCTTCTGTATTTTAAAATGTAATATACTTTGTACCATTTATAAAAATTGTGTGATGAATGAATCACATGTTCGTTGTTATAAGTGTTAACCTTTTTTTGACAATTTTGTGGGAAAGACATTCTCCACTGAATTTTAACTTTCCTTGAGACTTTCAAGAATGCAGGTCTCGTTTGATGAAAAAACCGACTTCATAACCCAATGTTACTAGTTAGCGACATTGTGCTGAATTTCTCCTTGAACTTTTTAACTTTATATGTAAAATAACTTTGATCTTGGTCATTTGAAAGATCATTTCCAGGTCTAAAATTCCATGATTTTGTATTTAATTCTTCCTGAGAACAGAAGAGGGGAAAGCAAGAGAGGACGGTTTTGTGTCTTTATGAACTTTGTTACTTAAGTACTCCATTGGAGACATAATTTTTCTAATTAGTGGATCTTTTTCCACTGGAAAGTGTGATAGCTCATTGCTAATTTTTCATTCATAGTTCATTGCTTCCATTTGACCTAAGATTGGCCATTTGTTGGTGTGAAAATATTTTCTTTTCAGAAATAGTTTACTAGTGATTGAAGTACTTTTCTTATTTTTGCTTCCTATTATAAAATGGCGTGGGGGGAAGGGGGAAGGATGGAGATGGGAGGAGAGGGTAAAAGAATAGTACTCTGATTTTTTAAGAATTAGTATCTACTATCTTGGATATTTGAAAAAAAATTGGTTGAAACTATGTTTAAGTTTTATGTGTGCCTTGTAAGATTGTTGTAAAATTTTTTGTGAGCACTTTGAGATTTTTGCTGGGGGAGGGGTGTTTTGTGAAAGTGATGGTTATTATTTATATTATTTATTCCTGTTCAGTAGCACGGAATGATCTCCAAACATTCCTAGGAGAGTGTCTGTTTGCATGATATGTCTAAAAATTTTCAGGAAAATGGAATCTTTTTTTAAAGTTCAGGTATGACAAAGTATAGAATTTATTCATTTAACATATTCACATTTAGTTTATGTTTCTGATATGACAGAAAAATGAAAAGTGTTTGAGTTCAGCCTCTTCATTTACTCCATTTACATATAAAAGATCTTGAAAAGGTAGTTGTTACTTCGTTGTCAGAGAAAAACACTTGCCCTTTTTCCTGGGATGTAACTATCTTACATGTTTACATAAGAAATAATAAACTGGAGGTGGGAATGGAGAACAATGTGTTTTGTCTTCATCTTTGAATTTTAAAGGATACAATTTAAAGGATACAATTTCTCCTGACTATACATTAATCATTCATCTAGCAAATACTTCCTGAGTCCTTACAATGAAATATAAGTTAGGTATACAGACAAAAATTCCTGCTCTTGTGAAACATCTTAGTGAAGGGAGACAAACAGTAAACAAGTAAGTAAAATCCATGTATGTCAAATTTTGAGAAGGAATTTGGAGAAAAATCAGGAATAGGGAGTACCAGAGAAGGGGGATGGAATTGCAATTTTAAATATGGTGGTCAGCGCCGGGCGCCGAGGCTCAGGCCTGTAATCCTAACACTTAGGGAGGCCGAGGCTGGCAGATCACTTGAGGTCAGGAGTTTGAGACAAGCCTGGCCAACCTGATGAAAACCCTTCACTAAAAATACAAAAATTAGCCGGGCATGGTAGCGCTTGCCTGTAATCCCAGCTACTCGGGAGTCTGAGACAGGAGAATCCGTTGAACCTGGGAGGCAGAGGTTGCAGTAAGCCAATATCGCACCGCTGCAGTCAGCCTAACTGAGGGAGCAAGACCCCATCTCAAAAATAAATATGGTGACCAGGACACCTTTGAAAAATCTCGGATTATCAGAAATATATATTCTTCTGTCTAGTGAAATGTAAATATATCCAGTAGAATAGAAAAATTTGGCCTGGACTGGTGGCTCACGCCTGCAATCCCAGCACTTTTGGAGGCCGAGGCAGGCGGGTCTTCTGAGGTCAGGAGTTCAAGACCAGCCTGGCCAACATGGTGAAAACCCGTCTCTACAAAAATACAAAAAAGAAATTTAGCCGGGCATGATGACGGGTGCCTGTAATTCCAGCTACTGGGGAGGCTAAGGCAGGAGAATTCCTTGAACCCAGGAGGTGGAGGTTGCAGTGAGCTGAGATCACACCATTGCACTCCAGCCTGTGTGACAGAGTGAGACTCCGTCTCAAAAAAAAAAATATGTACATATATGTATATATAATGTGTATGTTTATATGTGTATATATACTTATATGTATCTATATATGTGTATATATATTTATATGTATGTATATATGTATATATGTGCATATATGTATATATGTGTGTATATATATATATACACAGTAGGGTGGAAAACAAATATGTACATGTAAATTACCTATCACTGTCCAGTTGAAATTACTGAAACAATTATTGGTTGTTAACAGTTCTCTAGGCCTGGCATATGTTTCATAAAGAGAAGAGAACGAAAAAGATAATGTGTGGAAGAAACGTCTTCGATGTGGCCAATGAATCTTTTTTCAAAAACACTGATTTTTGCCTGTCATTCAGACAAATATAATAGGTAATAACTATATATTTTGTTAAAACTGTAGAAGCAACCTTTCCATATTCTAATTTATCGTAGGTTTACTTCGATATTTTTGTTGTTGGGCATCTGATTTCACATTGGAAAGTGCCTTGAGTTTAATTACAAGTCATGGTCATTTTTTTTCTTCTTTTTTTTGTTGAGACGGAGTCTGGCACTGCCCCCCCGCCTGGCTGTAGTGCAATGGCGCGGTCTCGGCTCACTGCAACCTCCGTCTCCCGGGTTCAAGTGATTCTCCTGCCTCAGCCCCCCGAGTAGCTGGGATTACAGGTGCCCGCCACCACACCCGGCTAATTTTTGTATTTTTAGTAGAGCCAGGGTTTCACTATGTTGGCCAGACTGGTCTCTAACTTCTGACCTGGCGGTCCACCCGCTTCGGCCTCCCAAAGTGCTGGTATTACAGGCATCAGCCACCGCGCCCGGCGTCATGGTCATTTTCTAGCCTACATTCTTTAGTTTCTCATCAGTAACAAGGGGTACATTGTATCTGTCTTCTAGGATCACTTTGCTAATTAAATGAAATGTAAATAAAACTAAAATATTTAAAATTAAATATCACCTAACACAGGACCTGCCTGACACATACTAAGTAGTTTATAAATGTTAATTCTGATATCCCTATTCCAAGTCTGTTTCATCTATAAATTATAAACTGTAAGAATAATTCTTACCTTAGTTCGCTGTGTAAAAAGCTTCAACAAATATTTGAGATATGATGCCAGAATTTGTGCTTAAATTTTTTATTTTTGCCAGCTTTTGAGGAGCTCAGAGCTTTCTTCCCCCCCTCCCCCCCCCACTTTGGACTCTTTGTCTAGAAACAGAGTTTTCTCTTTAATAAAGAAGTGAGATGTGGAAGTGCCTGCCAAATACATGTTTTCTTCTTGTTTTTGTAATGGGGAGATTACTTGACATCTTTGTAAAGGGATTGAGGGATCCTGTCGGCATGTCATCACAGGAGTGTGAAGAAGAATGTGACACAGATGTATCAGATTCTGCTCAATGGATTCCACGCTTTTCACGAAGGGAGTTAAGACACTCGCTCAAACCAGCGTCTAGGAAGCCGGCTCAAGGCGCAGATGAATGTGCAGGGAATTTCCCATCAATCCCTTCGGCTTGCCTAGTCCTTCTCACAGTACCTCCCACAGTGCTCCGGGGCTCCCTTGTCACGTGATCGGGGTGGATCCGCTGAGGCAGAGGGAAGTTGATTCGCAGTTTGGGTGGCTGGGGCTACTACGCTTTCCTTCCAACTCCCGACTCCCGGGCTTGCGTAATCTCGCGTTAAGTGGGGAGTAACTTCTCGCGAGAGCTAGATCGGGATCCCTCCAGGTCCGCCTCCGTGGTGAGGAGGAGGAGGAGGAGGAGGCGGAGGTGGAGGGAGGAGGAGGAGGCCCCGTCGCGGCCTTCGCCGCCGCCAACGGGGCTGTCCCTGTAGCTCCCGATGGAGTTTGAGGTCGTGAAACCTCCGCCGAGCTCTGCCCCGGCGAGACGAGGCGCCTCCGTCGCCAAGCCGCGCCGTCGCGGGGCTCCCGGGAGCGGCCCTTAGCGACCCCGCCCGGGCCCCCTCAGGTAGGGCGGGGGCGGGCACGATGCGGCTCGGGCCCCAGCCCGGGTGCCTGGTCCCCGGCGGTCGGGCGGGAGACCAGTCTCAGCCCTGGGGCCTGTGCGCTGTCGCCCCTGGTGCCTCGAGGGTTGGGAACTGAGGGCCGCACCTGACACTCGGATGGAACCCGGGCCCTGCGGAGGCCCCTCTCTCTGGTAGGGCTTTTTCGATGCGGAGCGACCGGCTCAAATGGCCACCTTCCTTCGACACTGGCCGAGCGGACGCCTCTGACCCCTAACGAACCCACCCAAGCAAAGGCCCGGCTTCACTCTCCCTTTTCTACACCAGTTAGTAAGGGGGTTTGGAAGAGGTCCTCGAAACCAAGTCTTCTCCTAGCTTTTCAGCTTTCTGCCCTGGGGCTTCCCGAGACCCTAGCGTAGAGGGTGGTGGAGGCGATCTGAGTGGTAAATAGGAACCCCGGCCAAACAATGCCCTGGGAGGGCTTAACCTCCCAGGATGGGGACGGCCGGACCTGAGTGGTTGCACAGGGGTTGTGGCTAGGAGCAATGGCATGAAACACAGCCAGGAAATTCTGCTATGGCTTTCTTCTTTCCCTCTCTCATTTTTCCTTTTTGGTGTAGCCTCTTGAGGAGACTCTTCCACCATCTTAGAAGAATGGTAGAAAGCATCTTTGTTTCCCAGAGAAGCAGCTGTACTTTTTTCTATCCTTAGCTTTCAGGATGGGAGAAGATGAGGGTAGCTGTCATTTCCATCCTTCAAATCCCAAGGCAGCCGTTTAAGATACCGGCAGATAAATCCTTCACACCAAAATTGACTCAAGTAATCACTGGCATAAAGTAAATCTAATCCAGTGATTTATTTATATTTTCATAACCCTTGGGTTCCCTTTTTAATTCCTCCTCTCCCCTTACCCACGGCCTTCCTTTTTTTCATTTCTACTCTCCCCCTACCCATTGTGGGTGGGTGAGTTTGTATCCCAAATAAAGTGCTTTAAGTAATCTTTTTTCCAATTTTGTATTGGCCAAACTTTTAAGTTCCAGTAGGAACTTTTGGTTAACCTGAGAAAGCTAACGTTGCTATACCACAGTGGTATAAAGTCACTCAAAAGCAAAGAAACAAATGTTAGCCAGTGCAGCCTTTTAATGGTTAAACATACAAACTTAGTTAAAAGCTTTTTACGATATTAAGAATATTAATAGATTCTCCTTTTTAAAAAACCTTTTAGCTGTCTAAAAAGCTATACCACTGTTGTAGCTTCACATGCCTTTCTTACGTTGTTTACTTCCACGTTCAATTTTTGAAGAAATAGAGGTCGTTACATCCTGTTAAAGACTGCTTTTCAATATTGACATTTTCGTTGATTTGGAGATTAATGTTTTCAAAATTTTAGAGTTTGGAAAATTGCTAGGAGGACAGAATGTGAAACATATTCTAGTTACGTTTAGAAAAAGCAGATGTTATAATTCAAACAGGCACTTGTTCTATGAGGATTTAATTACACTCGTGTTCATTAGTGGATCCTTTGAGTTACCCCTGATCTGTTATTTCTGTTGTGGTAACCTGACATGTAAGAAGACTTACGTCCTTTGTTCATATATTTTTGTTAAATCATACTCTGCTTTTGTAATTTGCTGTCTTCCACTTTGAAAAAACCAAAAATTTGCATTTTGGCAAAGCATTCTTCTTTACACTCAGGATTTTATATTCAAAAGTTGAACTTCTACATTGTTTGCAATAGCTAAGAACGCTAAAAAAAACTTCATAACAAGGTTTTAGTAACTACTTACTGTTTAGTTTGTACCGTGTTGAAGTTTCACTTTTTAGTGATGGAAAAAGGAAGCATGGGTAAAATAAAGCTAGCTGAAAATTAAAAATAAGTTCATGTTTTGCATCCAGTCTCATGAATGTTATGATCAGCGTCTCTAATTTTACTAAAGCTTTAAGTGTAAGTGTGAGTTTTACCTCAATTTCCTGATAAAAGTTCTAAGTATTACTTTATAATTTAAATATTCTAGAGTTGCACTGTCCAGTACTAGCCAGTGGCCACATGTGACAGTTGAAGATTTGAAATGTGGCTTCTGTGAATTGAGATGTGCTTTAGGTGTAAAATACCAGATTTCAAAGACTTAGTACCAAGATTTTTTTTAATATCTCAGTAATTTTAATATTGACAACATGTTGAAATGATATTTTGTATAAACTGGGATAAATAAAATATATTACTAAAAATAATTTTAGCTATTTTAACTTTTTTTTTTTTTTTTTTGAGACAGTCTCTCTCTATCACCCATGCTGGAGTGCAGTGGCACCATTCGGGTTCACTGCAACCTCTGCTTCCAGGTTCAAGCAATTCTCATGCCTCAGACTCCTGAGTAGTTGGGATTACAGGAAGGCACCACTACACCAGGCTAATTTTTGTATTTTTAGTAGAGATGGGGTTTTGCCATGTTGACCAGGCTGGTCTGGAACTCATGACCTCAAGTGATCCACCCACCTCCCGCCTCCGCCTCCCAAAGTGCTGGGATTACAGGCGTGAGCCACCACGCCTAGCCTCTTTTAACCTTTTTTAATGTGACTACCAGAAAATTAAAAATTACTCGGATTATAATGGCTCACATATTTCTATCGGATATTACTGTTGTAGATCAGCATTACTCTTCCAAGAAATATGTTAGTGGAATAAAAGTAGATGTATAAAAACCCAAAACTTCCAGATAGATTATCCTGTTACAATCAGAATAATTAAAGAGCTAAGGACTTTGGTAATATGAAGGATGAAGTTATCCATTGGCTATGATTTGATAGGCAGAAGTAAGTTCTATCTCAAAGAAAGTATTTTTCTCGTCATCACTAATATTAGTTATACTTGTTAAAATAGAAAGTTGGCTGGGCGCGGTGGCTCACGCCTGTAATCCCAGCACTTTGGAAGGCTGAGGCGGGTGGATCACCTGAGGTCAGGAGTTCGAGACCAGCCTGACCAACATGGATAAACCCCATCTCTACTAAAATTACAAAAAATTAGCTGGGCCTGGTGGCGCATGCCTGTAATCCCAGCTACTCCGGAGGCTGAGGCAGGAGAATCGCTTGAACCCGGGAGACGGAGGTTGCAGTGAGCCGAGATCGCGCCATTGCACTACAGCCTGGGCAACAAGAGCGAAACTCCGTCTCAAAAAAAAAAAAAAAAAAGAAGTAGTTATCTCATTATTGCCCTATTAGAATGCATTGAGACTGGGCGCCGAGGCTCATGCCTGTAATCCCAGGACTTTGGGAGGCCAAGGTGGGCAGATCACGAGGTCAGGAGTTTGAGATCAGCCTGACCCACAGGTGAAACCCTGTCTCTACTAAAAATACAAAAATTAACCGGGCATGGTGGTGCGCACTTGTAATCCCAGCTACTCAGGAGGCTGAGGCAGGAGAATCGTATGAAACCGGGAGGCGGAGGTTGCAGTGAGCCGAAATCGCACCACCGCACTCCAGCCTAGGCAACAGAGTGAGACTCCTCCATCTCAAAAAAAAAAAAAAAAAAAAGAATGCATTGGAAGTTATATCTAATATTTATTTTAAAACAGTTCAACCACATAGTGTATTTAAGAAGTAAAATTTGAGTCATATATACTTCACACGTTAACGGCAAAATCACATATTATAGCAGTCTTTTAAATTGCAATTCAATTCCTTTTTCTCCAGTACTGAGTTTCTAGCTTACAGGTTGTTTCCATTGCTGTTTTGGTTTTTACTTGTCTTTTAGCTAGAGATCCAAATTGTGCTTATGCTTTAAATATCATTTTTTAAGAACAAAACTAATTATTTTTAAGTTTTCTAAACGGGGAAGTACTGTGACAGTCCATTTCAGTAGCTTATATTCCTCACATAGGTTAACAAGAATGAAAACAATGGTTTTAATTAGAAGAACTAAGCCCTAAGGTTTACATTTTTATTAAGAGAATTGTAAAATGATGTATACATATATGACAGTTAAAGAAGCATAAACTTTATTCTGGCATTTTAAAATCAGATGCCGTAGACCTGAACTGGCTGCATAATATGGTGGACTAATAAGAGAAAATGAAAGTATTTAGCTGGCTCTTAATAAAGCAGTTTGTAATTTGAATCATATAAGAGATGCCTATTGTGCTTCCTGTTTTATGTGTCAGCACTCATAGCAAGGAACTTACAGTCTGGAAAATTATTTGAGCGAAAAATTGTTTATGGTCCCACCTTTAATTTAGCATTTCTCACTCCTATGCTTTATCTTATTATCCTTTTTCAATTTTTGTAACTGGTAACTAAAATTAGTTAATACAAATAATTAGAATGTTTTTCTTAAGGAATCACTTTAGGTATCTTGAGTTGTAGGCCTTTTAGTCCATTTTATCTCAGTTTGAAATGTTTTGATTATTTGAGAAGAATACTTCAGTAGTAACTATAAATATTCATAGCAATTTAGACTTACATAGACTCAAATAAGTTGCATAAAATGTATTAGTATAGGTCTAGAAGTTTTGCAAATTAATATGTAGTCTTAGTGCTCCATGGTTCATTTATATGCTCTTTAAATTATAAAAACTATAGGATATTTACCATTTTTGGTAGTTACAAAAATATTTTCTAGGTAAATGTTTACAAAGTGCCTGTTTTGAAGGAATGAAGTTTCTTCTATGTTTTAGGTAAAATTTTATATTGATTTATCTTAATTAAGGAATCTAGGATTTACTGATAATATTACTGAAGAAAAACATATTTGGAAAATCAAAGCGTTTCTTACATCTGATCGTATAAGGGAAGTTTAGTTGATAATTTACTGTCAGAAAGCTAGACTCTGACACAGAGAAGAAAATTTGGTAGAGTTATTGCCAAAATTTTGGCAGTGTTTTACCTTTATATCTTAAAGGTATTAATTCAATTTGTGGTAGAAATTAAACTTCTCAGTATTAATTATGTTAAAACCTCTGATGTTTCTATGCTGAAACACACTAAGGACTATTGTAACATAAAACTATACTAAGGACTATTGTAACATAAAACTATTAAGTGTGCTCTGGTATAGTTTGAAACAGTTTAAAACTGTGTAGTAGGTGACAATATGAAAGATAGCATTTTTCTGTATGGTTGAAACTCCCCCACCCCAAGCCCCACACTTATGTGCTTTAATATAAAGCATTTCAGAAAGGCTTTGGAAAACTAAGGAAAAGGTATTTGCTCTTATTTTGTACTACCAGGTGGCCTGTGATACCCTAACCCACAGAATTAACATTTCCAAACAGGTGGCCATTATGAAAAACTACACGCAGTGTCCTGTTTTCATAAATATTTAATCAGTTCAAGTTATTAACTATATTAGGGCTTTCAGTAGATTTAAGATGAAATTCATTCTTCCTCAAAGGCCTTTTCTTGTATAACTCTGCAAACCAGAAAACTGGATGTTAAAAATGTTCAGTAGTTTTAGGGAGTGATATATTCATCTGCTCAGTGCTTATCTCTAAAGTTGGAAGGAAACTAATTGGTTTTTAGATTGATGGCATTAATAGATGTGGTAATTTGAGGATGAAAGTTGTAAAATTATAACTTGGAAGATTTGGTTACTTTAAAGATAACGATATTAGATAATTTGCATTAGAGCTGTTTGAGAAAGTTTGTATAGGGGTGCTTTTTACATAGCAAGCCCTGTAATTCATTTTTACCAAGATTTTTTTTAATCTCTGTTTTTGTGAATATAAAAGCGCAGGGCCGGGCGCGGTGGCTCACGCCTGCAATCCCAGCACTTTGGGAGGCTGAGGTGGGCAGATCACCTGAGGTCAGGAGTTCAAGACCAGCCTGGCCAACATGGAGAAACCCTGTCTCTACAAAAATTAGCCAGGCATGATGGTGGGTGCCGTCCCAGTTACTTGGGAGGCCAAGGCGGGAGAATCACTTGAACCTGGGAGGCAGAGGTTGCAGTGAGCCAAGATCACACCATTGCACTCCAGTCTGGGCGACAGAGGGAGACTCTGTCTCTGAAAAAAAAAAAAAAAAAAAAAAAAAAAACACAATAAAGGCTAATAGAATTTTTTTGTATGTTGGCATAATTGAGAATACTTTCTGTTATATATTTTTTCTCTTTGAATGTGACTACATTTTTAAACATCTAATTTCTGTGGAACTAATATATTTGGGTTGGTAAACATTCCTGTGAAATAAAGTATTAGTTGTTTGATTGCCCTAAATACCTAGATTTCTTGTTCACCAGAGAGCTTTTGTCAGACTTATGTTAAGTCTTGAATTGGAAGATAAAGAAATTCTGGGAAGTTTAGTGTGTTCAAATTAGTATCGTTTTGCTACTAAATCTTTTACTTTACTAAACTTATGGAACTTTTTTTTTTTTTTTTGAGATTAAGTTTCGCTCTTTTTGTCCAGGCTGGAGTGCGATGACGTGATCTCGGCTCACTGCAATCTCCGCCTTCCACATTCAAGTGATTCTCCTGCCTCAGCCTCCCTAGTAGCTGGAATTACAGGCATGTGCCACCACGTCTGGCTAATTTTGTATTTTTAGTAGAGACAGGGTTTATCCATGTTGGTCAGGCTGTTCTCAAGCTCCTGACCTCAGGTGATCCTCCCACCTCGGCCTCTCAAAGTGCTGGGATTATAGGTGTGAGCCACCACGCCCAGCAGGAACATTTTGATCTCAGAAATAAGAAAAATTCTCTCACTGTTTTTTTCTATGTGCCTTTTCAGTTTTTAATCATGCATATATAACTTTTTAGAATAATGTTTTATTCTTCTGTGTCTTCCTCATTGGACTTTACAGTTTTTGGTTATATATATCAATCGCTAAATAATGTAGTTTTATCAGAAGTATTGTATTGAACAATACAAGATATTTAAGACAATTTTTTTGTTTTACTTTGGCACTGTATGTTGTGGTCAGCATTAGTCTTTCATTTATGAACAAACAGCTCTCTTAATCATCTCTCAGTCATCACAGTCTTCTCTTATATGTTGATTTTCAGTGCCTCATTTTGCTTCCTAGCCAAGTCTTGTCAGAGATTTCCTCTTTCAGGTGGCAAAGCTGTTTTCTTCACACTTGAGTCTCTACAATATTGTTTGGATCAGTAGTTTCCAAAGTTCATTAACTCCTGGCCATACTTTATTATGTTTTGGGGTACTGGTTATCCAAGGGAAACACTTTTTTAAACAACAAAACAAAAAAACCGCCCAGCAGTCCAAAGTAATTTGTGTTCCTAAAAATGGAATATGGAAAGTTAATTTGCTTGTTTGATGTGGTCGTTGAGAAAAATACATAAAAGCTTTGATGTTTATTATGTGAGCAACCAATATAAATACAGTTTAGTTGAAAGGAACACTATTAAGGTATTGTTTCCAGGCAGAATTTCAGAAATGTAATTAATTCAGCAAATAGGTTTTTTAAAAAAGACATCCAAAGGTTATAAAATTATTTAGAAGTATTTTAGGTCTGAAGCTGTAATAGTTGACTTAAGCAATTAACTCTTCAAAGGTGAATGATGAATATGTGGTTAATTCATACTTTTGTCCATTTCTAGCTTACAAAACACTACACAGCAAAATAATGATCTGCTAGACTGCTAACCCGAGCATCCAGCTTCCACAATGCCTGTGCAGGCAGCTCAATGGACAGAATTTCTGTCCTGTCCAATCTGCTATAATGAATTTGATGAGAATGTGCACAAACCCATCAGTTTAGGTTGTTCACACACTGTTTGCAAGACCTGCTTGAATAAACTTCATCGAAAAGCTTGTCCTTTTGACCAGACTGCCATCAACACAGATATTGATGTACTTCCTGTCAACTTCGCACTTCTCCAGTTAGTTGGAGCCCAGGTAAGCATTCAAGATTTTACTATAGGTTGGTGCAAAAATAATCACTATTTTTGCCATTATTTTAACGGCTTGTCCAGCCTGCAGGCTACATGTGGCCCAGGACATCTTTGAATGCGGCCCAACACAAATTCATAAACTTCCTTAAAACATTGTGAGATTTTTTTTGTGATTTATGTTTATGTTTTTAGCTCATCAGCTATCGTTAGTGTTAGTGTATCTTATGTGGCCTTTTTTTTTTTTTTTTTTTTTTTTTTAGACAGAGTCTCACTCTGTCACCCAGGCTGGTGTGCAGTGGCGTGATCTGGGCTCACTGCAACCTCCACCTCCTGGGTTCAAGCGATTCTCCTGCTTCAGCCTCCCAAGTAGCTGGGACTATAGGCCCACATCACCATACCCAGCTAATTTTTTTTGTATTTTTAGTAGAGACGGGGTTTCACTATGTTGGCCAGGCTGGTCTGGAGCTCCTGACGTCAGGTGATCCGCCCACCTCAGCCTCCCAGGGTG
Organism: Homo sapiens; assembly: GCF_000001405.40. Taxonomy (NCBI): domain Eukaryota; kingdom Metazoa; phylum Chordata; class Mammalia; order Primates; family Hominidae; genus Homo; species Homo sapiens. The sequence continues at coordinate 122,896,774 of NC_000009.12, read as the reverse complement.
CTAGGACTACAGGTGTGAGCCACTGCACCCAGCCATCTTATGTGGCTTTAATGGCAAAAACTGCAATTACTTTTGCAGCAACCTAATAATTTGTTACATGAAATAGTTATTGAACTTTATTCAGTAATAGGTATATAGTATGTTTAGTGATCATTAAGGTGTAAAAAATAAATTTCAATGTACCTGATTTTCATGATTGTATTCTGCGAAAGATTTTCTTTAGATAATGTCATATCCTTATACAAAACCTTAGATTACATTATAGTTACATATTCAATTCTGTGGCTAAAATTTATGTATATAAGTGATATTGGTGGATAAGAAATATTTTTATATAAGCATATATATTTATTCACCAGGTGATATGAAAAGAAATGTAATCAAAGCTTTGACCAGAAACAGGTTTTTTTGTTGTTGTTGTTACTTTTTTTTACTTCACTTGACTTTTTATATAATAGTGTAAATGAAACAATAAGGTCTATGTAGGGATGTATATATGGAAAACCAAAAACCAATGTGTCAGTAATAAATTCTCCATGATTTCTTCTGAACATGTGTTGTATCAAGCTTGTCTGGCTTTCAGGCCACATGCAGCCCAGGACAGCTTTGAATGCAGCCCAACACAAATTCGTAAAGTTTTTTTTTTTTTTTTTTAACTCATCAGCTATTGTTAGTGTTAGTGTATCTTATGTGTGGCCCAAGACAATTCTTCCAGTATGGCCCACGGAAGCCAAAAGACACCTCTGAGCTATGTGATGCTTTAGTTGAACATTAGGGGGGAAAAAAAAAAGAACATGTGCTATAGAATTCATGTTTGTAATTATTTTATTGAATCAAAGCAAGACTCTAGATTTGAAATAACATATTTAATGAGGGTCTACTTTGCATTAGGTTTGACAGAAAGTATTCAGCATTTATTATTACTAATTCTTACCATAGGTTTTCAGGTAGTTATTATCCCCATTTTACAAGTTAGGAAGAGATGAAATTCTGTACATCATGTGCTACATATTAAAGCCAGAAAGGAATTATTTTTCTGATTTAATAGAAAATCCAATAAACCAAAATACTTCATTCATTCCTTTAGTATCTTGATATTTGAAGTCCTCCTTGTAAAGCACAAAATCTCTTTTCAGTGTTTATAATCAAGTTACACACTATGAAATCAAGGTGCATCTACAATTGATAGTGTATCTTAATTTAATTGCCAGTATATTTTTGTTAATGGAGTATAAAATGTTGCCTCTTGCAAACAACATTTTAGATTTGATAAAATATCATAGACTTTTTGTAAGAATACTAGCTACCACCAGACACAGTGGCTTACACCTGTAATCTCAGCACTTTGGGAGGCTGAAGTGGGCAGGCTGCTTGAGGCCAGGAGTTCGAGACTAGCCTGGACAACATGGCGAAACCCCATCTCTACAAAAAATAAAAAAATTAGTCAGGCATGGTGGTGTGTGACTGTAGTCCCACCTACTTGGGAGGCTGAGATGGTGAGATGGGAGGTTCACTTGAGCCCAGGAGGTCGAGGCTGCAGAGAGCCAAGATCGTGCCACTGCACTCCAGCCTGGGTGATGGGAGTGAGACCCTGTCTCAAAAAAAAAAAAAAAACCTAGCTACCATTTATTTAGCATCTGCTATAGGTCAACAGGTATTGTGTTAATATCATTTGTAAATGTTATCTCAGTTGGTTCTTAAATTGCCTACAGGTCTTTACAGTGTGAATTCTGTTATCTCTTTTACTACTGTTCTTATTCTGCTTAAGCTACACTGGCTTCTTAGCCAGTTCTCAGATATACCAAGTATATTGCCAAGTGATGGCTTTTGTAGTTACTGTTACCTTTGCCTAGAACGTTCAGTCTGTCTCCATTTTCTTTTTTGTTGTTGTTGTTGAGATGGAATCTCTCACTGTCACCCAGACTGGAGTGCAGTGGCGCAATCTCGGCTCACTGCAACCTCCACCTCCCAGGTTCAAGTGATTCTCCTGCCTCAGCCTCCCAAGTAGCTGGGGTTGCAGGTGCGTGCCACCATGCCCAGATAATTTTTGTATTTTTAGTAGAGATGGGGTCTCGCCATATTGGCCAGGCTGGTCTCGAACTCCTGACCTCAAGTGATCTGCCCACCTTGGCCTCCCAAAGTGCTGGGATTATAGGCGTGAGCAACCGTGCCCAGCCTCTCTCTTCATGTTCTTTATTCATTCATATCTCACAGTTCTCAAGGGAGCCAATCCTGACCACCCTAATTAAATTTGTAACCCCTCGCTAGTATTTCCAGTCCCCCTTATCTTTGCTCTATAATTTCACCTCTTGGAACACTACAAATTTATTATGTTTTTAATTTATTGATTGGCTACCTCTTCTCCTCTCCACTAGAATGTGAGCTCCACAAAGGCAAAACATTTTGTCTGTTTTGCTCATTGATATATCCCTGGTACCTATAACTGTGTCCAGTGCATGGTAAGCACTCCATAAATATAATTATTTGTTGAATTGCATTGAACTTTTTTTTTTTTTGAGACGGAGTCTTGCTCTGTCGCCCAGGCTGGAGTGCAGTGGCGCGATCTCGGCTCACTGCAAGCTCTGCCTCCCAGGTTCACGGCATTCTCCTGCCTCAGCCTCTGGAGTAACTGGGACTACAGGTGCCCGCCACCACGCCCGGCTAATTTTTTGTATTTTTAGTAGATACAGGGTTTCACCGTGTTAGCCAGGATGGTCTCGATCTCCTGACCTCGTGATCCGCCTGCCTCGGCCTCCCAAAGTGCGGGATTCCAAGTGTGAGCCACCGCACCTGGCCTGTATTGAACTTTTATAGCGGCACTACAAAATACAGATTTTCATCTTCATTTTGCAGATATGGAAATTATGACTTGGAGCAGTTAAGTAATTTACTCAAGGTCATTCATAGAAGTAGCAGAGCTGCAATTTTTACCCAAGTTTTGACCTTTGAATGAGAACACTCTGTCTTAATAATGCTTATCTTAAGTAAATAATATAGTAAAAAGGTGATAAGTGCTTTGGGGAAAAAAAAACAACTGTGTCTTTTTTTCTCCACTCTTTAATTTTGAAATTCTTTCAGACTTACAAAAAAGTTGCAAAAAATACTATTCAGAGAACTTGTATAACTTTCCACAGCTTAACCTAATGTTAACATCCAACACCAAGAAATTAGCATCGATACAATACTGTTAACTTTCTGCTTCTTTTCTTCCTTCATTAATCCACACAGCTCCTGCTGTTAAGTATGTTATTTTTTGCTGTTGCTGTTATTGTTGTTATTTTGAGATGGAGTCTCACTCTGTCACCCAGACTGGAGTGCACTGGTGCGATCTCAGCTCACTGCAACCTCAGCCTCCCGGGTTCAAGAGATTCTCCTGCCTCAGCCTCCTGAGTAGCTAGAATCACAGGCATCCACCACCACACCTGGCTAATTTTTGTAGTTTTTAGTAGAGATGGAGTTTCACCATGTTGGCCAGGCTGGTCTCAAACTCCTAACTTAAGTTAATCTGCTGGCTTGGCCTCCCAAAGTGCTGGGATTACGGGCATGAGCCACCATGCCCGGCCTTATTTTTGGTTTGTGGAAAGCAGTTTGGCTAGGTGTTTGACTTTAATTTTACTTAAATGGCTTTCATGTATTATCTATGCATGATAATTTTATACTCACCAAGATTATTATCAAGTACATAAATAATAGTTGCATGAGCTGGATGAATGTATTTCTGCAATATTCCTTTTTTTTTTTTTTTAAGGTACCAGATCATCAGTCAATTAAGTTAAGTAATCTAGGTGAGAATAAACACTATGAGGTTGCAAAGAAATGCGTTGAGGATTTGGCACTCTACTTAAAACCACTAAGTGGAGGTAAAGGTAAGTTCATAAAATGCATTTTTACTGATAAGTAGGACTTGGTAGTACATTTACTTTGAATGACTTGATGTGGATACCCTATTAAGTTATGGAAAAGGAGTTTGCTTGAGAAATGCCTTGAAAAATGTATAGACTGAGAAAATTATGTTGTCCTATTTTCTGAAAATAACCAATATTGTTATTAAGAATTCAAGCTAGAGCCGGGCGCGGTGGCTCACCCCTGTAATCCCAGCACTTTGGGAGGCCAGCGCGGGCGGATCACAAGATCAGAAGATCGAGACTATCCTGGCTAACACGGTGAAACCCCGTCTCTACTAAAAATACAAAAAATTAGCCGGGCGTCTTGGCAGGCACCTGTAGTTCCAGCTATTCCGGAGGCTGAGGCAGGAGAATGGCGTGAACCCGGGAGGCAGAGCTTGCAGTGAGCCGAGATGGTGCCACTGCACTCCAGCCTGGGGCGACAGAGCAAGACTGTCTCAAAAAAAAAAGAATTCAAGCTGGGTGTGGTGGCTTCATGCCTGTAATCTGAGCACTTTATAAGGCTAAGGTGGGTAGATTTCTTGAGCCCAGGAGTTTGAGACCAGCCTGGGCAACAAGGCGAAAGCCCATCTCTACTAAAAATACAAAAAATTAGCTGGGCATGGTGACACACGCCTGTAGTCCCAGCTACTGAGGAGACCGGTGTAGGAGAATCACATGAGCCCAGGAAGTTGAGGCTGCAGTGAGCTGTGATCGTGCCACTGCACTCAACCTGGGCAATGGGAGTGAGACCTTGTCTCAAAAAAAAAAAAAAAATTTACCAGAGTCACTGCATCTTGAAATTTGTACATTATTTGAATTCACTGTGTAATAGTGCTGTAACAGAATATTAGTTTTGATAAGTCCTATTAAGACAGCTTCATGTATGCATGTATTCATTCAGTCATTCATTAAATTTTATTGAGCACTTAACAGTGATTAAGGTCACTGCCATCATGGAGCCCACAGTTTACTGGGGGAGATAGATGTACAAGTGTAATAAATTATTTTAAGTCTATGACAAAACTGAAATTTTATCACTGCATACTTAGCACATCATAGGTATAATAAACAATTGTTGAATGATTGAATATATTGAGTATTTTGTACCTGTTGAATGCTTTGCACTGTTGTGTATGTGGCCATAGTGATTTTACTGAGAAACTTATCCCCTGTATTCATTCATTCATTTATTGAACAGCTATCTAAAGAGCGTGGACTGAGAGTGTCAGGCATTCTTCTAGTGCTGGGATACATTAGTAAGCCAAATAATGTGTTTTAAAGGAGTAATGAGTAATCATGTGTGTTGAATGCTGTTGGAAGGTCAGATAAAATAAGGAACTAAGAATTAACTAATTTAACCAATTTAGCAAGTTTGGTCAAGTGATGTGGGAAAAATTTGATTGGGGTGGGTTTCAGAGATTGTGAAACAAGGAATTGGAAGTAGTGAACAGATCAATTGTAGTGATCTACAATTGGCTAAGTAGTTAAGGCACTAGACTAGGAAATAGCGAGTATAGACAACTCTAGAAAATTTGCTGCATAAGAGAAGAAAGAAATGGAACAGAGGCTGGGCACAGAGGCTCACGCCTGTAATTCCAGCACTTTGAGAGGCCGAGGCGGGCAGATCATTTGGGGTCAGGAATTTGAGACCACCCTGGCCAACATGGTAAAACCCCATCTCTACTAAAAATACAAAAAAAATTAGCCAGGTGTGGTGACACTCACCTGTAATCCCAGCTACTCGGGAGGCTGAGGCAGGAGAATTGCTTGAATCTGGGAGGCAGAGGTTGCAGTGAGCTGAGATTGTGCCACTGCACTCCAGCCTGGGCGACAGAGTGAGACTCTGTCTCCAAAAAAAAAAAAAAAAAAAAAAAATGGGGCAGATTTGGTAGGGGAAGCAGGATCAATGAAAATATTTGTATTTTAGATGGATGAAATAACAGCATACTTGTTCTTATTCTGTAATGATGGAAATGTTCAAGTAAAGAGGGAAAATTTGATAATGTGGGAGAGGGGAGAATTGCTGGAGCAATATTCTTACATAGGTACATAGGAGTAGAATCTAAGAGCTTACCATTAAGCAGTATTCTAAATGTCTTATATACAATTAAAAAATAGAGTCATTTTTACTTTTAGGTTAAACTGCTAAAGTAGCTAAAAATTAGGCTTCTTATTACTATAGAATAATAACAAACAGAGACAGAATACTGTTAGAAAAATGAAAGCACATTACAAGGGACTCATTAGGAATTGTGGCTTAATCGTTAAATGCAGATAATGAAAATTGACTTTTATTTTTTATTGAAAAAACTTTAGCTCCCTTTGTTTCCCTTTTCCTAAAGGTGTAGCTAGCTTGAACCAGAGTGCACTGAGCCGTCCAATGCAAAGGAAACTGGTGACACTTGTAAACTGTCAACTGGTGGAGGAAGAAGGTCGTGTAAGAGCCATGCGAGCAGCTCGTTCCCTTGGAGAAAGAACTGTAACAGAACTGATATTACAGCACCAGAACCCTCAGCAGTTGTCTGCCAATCTATGGGCCGCTGTCAGGGCTCGAGGATGCCAGTTTTTAGGGCCAGGTAAGATAGGTTACTATCTTACCTTTTTTATTAGCTATTGGGGCTTGAGGATGCCAATTTCTGGAGCTCGGTGAATCCTGAGACTCAACCCGTCTTTATATGTACAAATCTTGATATAATTAAAGATAAATTTGTTTTTGTTGTTGTTGTTATTGCTGTTTTGTTTTGTTTGAGACAGGGTCTCACTCTGTCACCCAGGCTGGAGTGCAGTGGCGCAGTCTTGGCTCACTGCAGCCTCGACATCCATGCTCAAGCAATTCTCCTGACTCAGCCCCCTAAGTAGCTGGGACTACAGGCACACGCCATCATACCCGGCTAATTTTTCTATTTTTTGTACAGACAGGGTTCCACCATGTTGGCCAGACTGGTCTGGAACTCCTGACCTCAGGTGATCTGCCTGCCCCAGCCTCCCAAAGTTCTAGGATTACAGGCGTGAGCCACTGCACCCAGCCAATATAAATCCGTTTTTATTAATCTTAATTTATATGATAGACAGTGCTTTTGTGTTTTAAAACAAAATTTCTCATTTAAGCTTCAATTGCCATCAAGATAGGCAATATAGCTACAGTTTTACAAATTAGAAAACCAAGTTAGAGGCCTAAGATTGAACACGTAATAAGCCAAAGAAAGGTAAGCTTTTTTTTTGGTCTGAAAAAAAATGTTTAAACTCTTGATCGTTTTTAGGGGATAATTATTTATGATTAGTGTTATCTATGTTCTGTCTTAAAAAATCTTCACCTATACCAAGGTAATGAAGTTCCCTCCTGTGTTTTCTTCTTGAAGGTTTATTGTTTGAACTTTGTGATTTAGAACTACAGTTCGGGTAGAATTTATTTTTGGAAAGGAAACTTTTAATAAGTGATGTTGGGACAACTAGATCAAAATGCGGAAAAAGCAAAATTAGATGCATTTCTTATTCTCTATAAACTATATAAATTACAAACGTCAGAAATCCTTATTAAAAATAAAAATATACTGGTAATAAAAACCAATAAAAGAATATATTTCTTTATAACCTGTGAGTAGGGAACATTTTTCTAACTTTAACTCAAAATCTAGAAACAATAAGGGAAGAAACTGATATTTGACTATATAATTTTGTGTTTAATTTACATCACAAAAAAATTATAAGCAAATGAAAAAGAAGACCAACTGGGGAAAATATTTATAAATTACGTAACAAACATACACAGAGGACTAATATAACTAATATATAAGGTATGTCTAAAAATTCAGAAGAAAAAGACCAACAACCAACTGAAAAATTGACAAAAGATGCAAGAAATACCATTTCTCACCTATCAGATTGGCAGAATCTTAAAGTCTGAAAATATATTCTGTTGGCAAGGGTGTGAGGTACTCTCATCCAGTAGTCATGGGCATGCAAAGTGGTACAGACTTTTAAAGAAAGGAATTTGGCAACATCTGAAAATATTACCTCTGTGTTTACCCTTTGGTCTAGCAATCCCACTTCTAGGAATCTATCCCAAAGAGACAACAGAAGGTACAGAATGCATACAGTTATAAAAGCACTATTTGTAATAGCAAACATCTGGAAACAACCTGAATGCCTATGCGTAATAAGGTACTAGTATAATAAACTGTGGTATATCCTTCCAGTGTAGTACTATGCAGCTGTCGAAAGAAATGAGGAAGAAGTATATATTCTGCTAGGGTGTGACCTCCAGATACGTTGGTAAGTTAAAAAATAAAAGCAAGGTCCAGAATAATTTGCTCAGTATAGTACTTTCTAAGTAAGAGAAGGAGGGAGAAAATCCACTTATTCATTTAAATTTTCCAAAAGAAACAATGGCAAAAAAATAGAAGACTAATACCAGTATGTAGAAGAACGAGGAATCAAGGGAAAGCAGACAGGGACAGAAGCTAGACTTTGCCAACTCTATCTTGTTTTGTACTTTGGAACCACATAAATATTTTATGTAATTATAAAACAACTTTAAATATTTTTTAAATTTAATTAAAAATGATCAAAATAATACCTAAAAATAAAGCTAAAACAAGTTGGTAGCATATTCATTTGAGAATGAATTATTTCAGGTTACTTTAGAACACAGTGTTTTGACTTTTATATCCCTAGTGGAATATATAATAAATCCTAAATTATATTTGTTTGTCATATTGTTCATAATTCTGGTCTTGTTATTTAGAAACTTAAACAGACACACAGTTGGATAAAACAAGCAAGCAAATAATTATGTTAATGCCACCAGAACCAAGACTTTCAGCATTTAAAAAAAAAGATACAAGGCCAGGCGCAGTGGCTCACGCCTGTAATCCCAGCACTTTGGGAGGCCGAGGCGGGTGGATCACCTGAGGTCAGGAGTTCAAGACTAACCTGGCCAACATGGCGAAACCCTGTCTCTACTAAAAATAGAAAAAATTAGCCAGGTGTGGTGTCAGGCACCTATAATCTCAGCTACTCGCGAAGCTGAGGCACGAGAATTGCCCTAACCTCGGGGCAGAGGTTGCAGTGAGCCGAGATCATGCCACTTCACTTTAGCCTGGGTGAAAGAGCAAAACTCCATCTCAAAAAAAAAAAAAAAAAAAAAGATACAAGTATAAAATCAAAGATTTAAGTAAAACTCCTGCAGTCTTAAATTTGAATTGGCAATATTAGTACGGACTCAATTGTTTTTCTAAAAAATGCCAGTGTCCAAGGTCTGTCCACTGAAAATGCTTAGAAGTGATGAATAACCATAACACCCAGATTATGGGCTTTCATATATACCATTTCCCACTAAAAGGAGGCAGGGCTCTTTGGGTAAATGCCTTACTCCAGTCTAGGGTAGGAAGTCTTGTGCTGGGCGGGGAGCAGGGAAGCAAAAAAGCTTATAATCCCAGTACTTTGGGAGGCTGAGGTGGGAGGATCAGTTGACCCCCAGAGAAAGAGAGGAGGGAGAGACAATTTTGTTGAAAGGACAAAAGTTGAACATGAAGGAGCTCCTACTAGATGTAAGTGGGGCAATTTAAACATCATAATGAATGACTCCAAAGGATTGAAACACAATATGTACAAACAATTTCAGGGAGAGTTCTTATATATTGAGGAAAGTTTCCTCTTTTAGCTGAATTCAAACTAATAATACATTTAGAAAATGATACAATTAGAAAAATCACAATTTTACATCCCCAAATGTATTAATGGGCTTCAGCAAGAATTATTTGTGGCTGTTAAACCCATTAGACGAGAGGTTACTGGGGAAATTTATAGCAGATGGATAAAGTCTGAACCCACTGATAAATCTTAGCATTACTAAAAGTGAGGCAAATTTTCCATTATACAAAGTTTTAAGATATTTTAAAAATCTACTTTTATATAGAATTTAAGAATGTTACCTTTAGATATTTCCTGATGTTTACTTTAAGAAGCACTAGACTAGGTGTCACATCTCTTTTGTTCTACAGCTCAGAAACAAAAATACAACCTAACTTAAAAGTGGGTAAATAACTTGAATAGACATTTCTCCAAAGAAGAGACACGATGACTAACAAGCACATGAAAAAACCCTGAGTGTATTTAGTTATTAGGGAGATGCAAATCAAAATCACAGGGACATACTTGTTTATACCCACTTGGCCATTATTTTATTTCATTGTTTTAGAGACAGGGTCTTGCTCCATTGCTCAGGTTGGAGTGCAGTGGCACGCTTATAGCCCACTGTAACTTCGGAACTTCTGGCTTCAAGTGATCCTCCCATCTCGGCCTCCCAAAATGCTGGGAGTGGCCATAATTTTTAAAATGGAACATAACCAATGTTGATGAGAACGTGGAGAATGTGGGCACGTAAAATGGTGTGCTGCTTTGGAAAACAATTTGTCAGTTCCTTAAAAAGTTAAACAATTACCATATGACCCAGCAGTTTTATTCCTAGGTATATACCCAAAAGAATAGAAAACAGGTATTCAAACTAATACTTGTATACAAATGTTTATTGCAGCGTTATTCACAATAGTCAAAAGGTGGAAACAATCCGAATGTCCATCAAGTGATAAATGGATAAACAAAATGTAATGTATCCATAAATAGGCTATTCCTCAGCCATAAAAGGAATAAATACTGATACATGCTGCATGTGGATGAGCTTCAAAAAAACTACGTTAGGTTGGGCACGGTGGCTCACACCTGTAATCCCAGCACTTTGGGAGGCCGAGGCGGGTGGATAACTTGAGGTCAGGAGTTTGAGACCAGCCTGACCAACATGGGAAAACTCTGTCTCTACTGAAAATAGAAAAAAATTAGCTGGGCATGGTGGTGCACACCTGTAATCCCAGCTATTCGGGAGGCTGAGGCACAAGAATCGTTTGAACCTAGGAGGCGGAGGTTGCAGTGAGCGAAGATCGTGCCACTGCACTCCAGCCTGGGTGACAGAGCAAGACTTTGTCTCAAAACAAAACAAAACAAACAAAACAAAACAAAACAAAAAACACGTTAAATGAAAGAAACCAGACAGCCAGCTAGTGTTGCCAGGGGCTGTGTATAGAGTGTATGAACAGTGACTGCTTAATGGTGATGAGTTTCCTTTGGGGTGATGAAAATGTCTTAAATTAGACAAAGTTGATGGTTGTACACATTGTGAATGTAGTAAATACCACTGAATTATGTGGTTAAAATGGTTAATTTTATCTCAATTTTTAAAAAAGTCCTTGCCAGCAGAGAAACCCTGGGAGGCAAAAAAAGAAAAAATTTAAAGAATTTTAAAAGTCCTTGGTTCTATTAGATTGGTGCAAAAGTAATTGTGGTTTTTGCCATTATAGTTCCAATTTTGTTGGTAACTAGATACGTTACCTTGGTTTAATCACTTAACTTCTCTGGACCTCAGTAGCCTCACTTAGAAAAAAGGTTTGTATTTTGAATCTAGATAATCTTTCAGCTCTTAAGCTCTATTGTTTTGATTAATAACCATGTATTTGTAATTTATAATTCTGAAATAATTTCGTATTTACTGAAAAGTTGTAAGAATAATGCAGAGAATTTTTTATATATTCTTTACCGACATTCAGCACTTTCTAATATTTTGCCATATTTGTTATTCTTTCCCTCTCTTCTGAACCATTTGAGAGTAGGTTGCTTGTTTTATGCTCCTTTCCTTTTAATACTTTAAAACTAAAGTATTTAGTTTTCCTAAAAACAAGGATACTGTCTTATGTAACAATATTACATTCATTAAATTTTTAAAAATTAATGATACAATACAGTACTATATACAATTTGTAGTTCATATTCCAGTTTTGTCAACTATTCCAAAAATATCTTTTATAGTATTTATTCAAGTGTGAGATCCAGTTCAAGATCACTTTCTATACGTTTTAGTCATGTCTCTTTTTAGTCGTCTTTATTCTGGAACTGTTCCTCAGCTTTTCTTTGCCTTTCATGACACTGATATTCCTGAAGAATACAGACCATTTGTTTTACAGAATATTTCTTTTTTTTTTTTTTTGGAGACGGACTTTCGCTATGTCGCCAGGCTGGAGTGCAGTGGCGTAATCTCGGCTCACTGCAACCTCCACCTCCCGGGTTCAAGGGATTCTCCTGCCTCAGCCTTCTGAGTAGCTGTGACTACAGATGCACGCCACCATGCCCAGCTAATTTTTATATTTTTAATAGAGATGGGGTTTCACCATGTTGGCCAGGATGGTCTCGAACTCATGACCTCAGGTGATGTGCCCACCTTGGCCTCCCAAAGTGCTGGGATTACAAGCATGAGCCAGCGTGCCCAGTCTCAGAATATTTCTTAATTTAGGTTTGTCTGATGTTCTCCAATGATTAACTTCAGATTATACCATATATCCTTGGCTGTAAAGCAACATAAATGAAATTAATACCTTCTTTGGGTTTTGCATTCAGAGGCTAATATCATTTTTTAAATTATATACAAAATAGTTCTGACAGGCAAAGTAACAGTCTCATGCATGAAAACAATACCATTTATTATAAGCCTACTGTGGGTCCTTTGCATATCATTGTCAGAGTAGTTCTGTGTGTTTAATTTTTTTTTTAGAGACGGAGTCTCGCATTGTTGCTGAGGCTGGAGTGTGGTGGCACGATCTCGGCTCACTGCAAGCTCCACCTCCCAGGTTCATGCCATTCTCCTGCCTCAGCCTCCCAAGTAACTGGGACTACAGGTGCCTGCCACCACGTCCAGCTAATTTTTGTATTTTTAGTAGAGGCGGGGTTTCACCATGTTAGCCAGGATGGTATCGATCTCCTGACCTGGTGATCCGCCCGCCTTGGCCTCCCAAAGTGCTGGAATTACAGACGTGAGCCACCGCGCCCGGCCTAATTTTTATGTATTTGTTTGAGATGGAGTTGGTCTCTGTTACCCAGGCTGGAGTGCAGTGATGTGATCACAGCTCACTACAGCTTCAACCTCCTGGGCTCAAGTGATCCTCCACTTCCGCCTCCAAAGTAGCTGGAACCACAGGCACGTGCCACCATGCCTGGCTAATTTTTTTAATATTTAACATTTTTTTTGTAGAGACAGGGTATCCCTATATTACCCAAACTGGTCTCAAACTCCTGGGCTCAAACAGTCGTCCTGCCTCGGCCTCTCAACGTGCTGGGATTTACAGGCATGAACCACCACACCCAGCTATGTGTTTTATAAATGACTTTTTTTACCTTAACATTATCATCATCTAATTGACTGTTAAATACAGAATATATTTTAAGTTCTGTTAACTTGTGTTCTGATTGGTATTTAGTGGAAAATATGTTTTATTTATGGAAAGTATGTTTTATTTTGCTTGATTACTTTTTAAATTATGTACGTGTGATGTCCTCTTTGTGCTAATTAAATATAAATTATGGGTAATGGGCCACTATAAACTCTAATACCCAAAGATGCCTATGACACACATGATCTGATGGGTTCCTCATTTGTCATGAACTCATGTTCCTTTAATATTTTTAGCTATGCAAGAAGAGGCCTTGAAGCTGGTGTTACTGGCATTAGAAGATGGTTCTGCCCTCTCAAGGAAAGTTCTGGTACTTTTTGTTGTGCAGAGACTAGAACCAAGATTTCCTCAGGCATCAAAAACAAGTATTGGTCATGTTGTGCAACTACTGTATCGAGCTTCTTGTTTTAAGGTAAGCAGTAAGTATCTATGTAAAGACATGCCTGTTTGTGAGACAGAGACTTCCTGAAATTCATGTTACCCAGTCTAGAGGCCCTAGCAATGCAGAATGCTTACAAGAGTTGAGAGGAAACTTTCCTTCTGCATTGATTGCATCTGTGATACCACCTTTTGGTAGTACCCATTACTATCTATTGGCAAAATAAGAGCATATATGTGAAGATGTCAGTAACGGAAAGAACATAAGGAAATCATTTGGTAAACTTGACTCTTATCAAGTAAAAGTGGACTGCAGAAGCCTCATTTCTTTACATTTAGTGTCTTGAAATCAGACTATATTGGAAACTTCATAAGGAGTATGTAAACTTTGTAACCCATTATTATGTTTGTTATCTCATTCTCTGTAGTGATTAGATTAACACCTTTAATCTGAAAATGGCCTACATGTTATCTCAGATACAACCAGGAAATGGAAAGTTGAGGAGATTGGCCCACTCTGCTTTTAGATGTTGTTTTTTGTTTAGTGGAAAGGGTAGAGAAGAACCCCAAGATATTTTAAAATGTAGTTTCATTGTCTAATAGTCTAGCGGGTAGTGACAGATACTGAAAGCAAGCTGAATCCTTAAAGTGTTTTTATGATCCAAGAGTGTAGGTTGCTGGCTGGGTCTTGAGAAAGGCTCATGTACTTGGAAATAGAAAGGCCTATTGGCTTCTATGAAAGTAAAACATTTAAATTTGAAACCAAAGCTTATTTAGGTTATTTTGTTGGTTTTATAGCCCCCAAGAGTGAAAATAGTACAGACAGAAAAATGTTTCTTTGGCAGAACACTTAGTTTGAGATAACAGGTAGTTGATAATAGAAATGTGTTGAAGTGAATTCATTTAACTCCACTAATGAGGCTTGGACACTAGCTGCCTCATAGTCATAGTGTTTAGTTTCATGCTCTTAGGGCAACAATTGAAATTAATCTCTGGTTCCACACACAACCTCACTAGGCCCTGTAAAACTCTGTATCTTTTGAATGTGTAGTTTTTTTTACTACTTAAGTAGAAATTAAAGCTATGTAAATACCCTGATGATAATTTCTCTGGTAGCAGAACATTTCTTCTTTTCATTTTTTTTTTAAAGCAACAGACTTTTGCTCTGTTGCTTAGGCTGGAGTGCAGTGGTGCCATCATAGTTCACTGCAGCCTTGAACTCCTGGGCGTAGGCCATCCTCCTGCCTCAGCCTCCCTAGAAAATTTCTTAATTATCATGTGGTAGTGGTAATATATGCCTACCTATTAGCTGGATTCCTTGCTTGTCTATCTTTATCCTCTACTGTTACCAAAGTGATGTTTTTTAAAGCATAAATCTGATCATGTCACTTCTATGCTTAAAAATCCTCAATCAGCTCTGTGCAGTGGTTTATACCTGTAATCCCAGCACTTTGGGAGGCCAAAGCGAGAGGATTGCTTGAGCCCAGAAAGTCAAGGCTACAGCGAGCCTAGATTGTGCCACTGCACTCCAGCCTGGGTGACAAAGACCCTGTCCTCTCCATCCCCACCCCTGCAAAAAAAGTCAGTGGTTTCACATTCCCTTCATAATAATATCCAAATTCCCTGCCGTAGTATATAATGGCCTGTATTCTTCTCTAGCCTGTATCATATCTTAACCCTATGTGCTCTGCTTTTTCATGTTTCTGTTTCACCACTTGTTTCTCTTTTAAAAATTCTATTTCTCCCCCTTCTCTTTTTTCCTTTTTTTTTTTTTTTTTTTGAGACGGAGTCTCACTCTGTCCCTCAGGCTGGAGTGCTGTGGTGCTATCTCAGCTCACTGCAACCTCTGCCTCCCGAGTAGGTGGGAGTACAGGCGCCTGCCACCACCATGCCTGACTAGTTTTTGTATTTTTTCTTGAGATGGGGTTTCGTCATGTTGGCCAGGCTGGTCTCAAACTCCTGACTTCAAGTGATCTGCCCACCTCGGCCTCTCAAAGTGCTGGGATTACAGGCATGAGCCACCATCCCTGGCCTCCTCACCTTTCTTTGCTCAGGAAACTCCTGTTTATTGTGCACAAATCAATTCATGTAGCTTTCAGCTGGGAGAAGCCTTTTCTGAAATCCCTTTCTTCTCCCTAATTTAATTCCCTTTCCTCTTTGTTGCCATCAAGCCTTATAACTTTTACTATAATTTTCTACTTACAAGTTTCTCTTTCTTACTAGTGGCTGAAATCATTGAAGGCAAGGATTATGTATTTAGTTATGTAAGTTCTGTTTTGTTCCAGAAAGAATTTGTGGTCAGGACATTATCTTATCTTTGTACCTTATTTCTGTGGTGTCTGATATGTAAGTATCCCCCACCCTCCCTGAAAAAGGAATAAACGAATCAGTTGAAGGGAGAAAGCACAGACCAATTCTGATTTTTCTCTTTTCTATTTTTTAGGTTACCAAAAGAGATGAAGACTCTTCCCTAATGCAGCTGAAGGAGGAATTTCGGAGTTATGAAGCATTACGCAGAGAACATGATGCCCAAATTGTTCATATTGCCATGGAAGCAGGACTCCGTATTTCACCTGAACAGTGGTCCTCTCTTTTGTATGGTGATTTGGCTCATAAATCACACATGCAGTCTATCATTGATAAGGTTTGTGAAATTAGAGATGCTGATGTTCTATCATTGCTGTTACATTGAAGAGTATTAGAATATTCTAAAGAGTCTATACACAAACAGTTGGAGATTCCTATGTTTTTAAATGTCAGACTCTTATAAATTATCCTTATTTTCTTTTTATTTTTCTACTTGCAAAATAAAGGGATGCAACAGGGAAACAAATACATGATACTAGCATAAAAGCAGTGAGGCTTACAAAGTCTCAAATTTATCTATATTCTGACCTCAGAGAGTTAATACAGCTTATAAGTTTTCTAAGTGTCTAATGATGAATTTCATAGGGCAGATTCTGAGGTGAAAATTTAATTCATCACTGATACTCCTACTGTGGAATCTGAAGACACTTGAAAACGTATTAAATATGTTGATAAATTGAAAGTATTTGAGTATAAATGTGTCATAAGAACCAAAGTAAAAAGCATTCTCATTTCTGTTTGTTAGCTACAGTCTCCAGAGTCATTTGCAAAGAGTGTCCAGGAATTGACAATTGTTTTGCAACGAACAGGTGACCCAGCTAACTTAAATAGACTGAGGCCTCATTTAGAGCTTCTTGCAAACATAGACCCTAATCCAGGTATGTGGGAATATGCTCAGTTGCTTATATTTTTTTCTACTTTTGAGGTGAATAACACAAGAGAATTACTGCTAACATTCTTCCCCCCCAACCCCCATGCCCTTGGTGGCTTATTTTAGACGCTGTTTCACCAACTTGGGAGCAGCTGGAAAATGCAATGGTAGCTGTTAAAACAGTAGTTCATGGCCTTGTGGACTTCATACAAAATTATAGTAGAAAAGGCCATGAGACCCCTCAGGTAAGTACATTTATTACATTTCTGACTGCTGTTGTCTCTAACTCAGTTTCATCCTGAACATCTTAACCAGCTGTTTTGTTAATTGGACTCCGTATGTGACTCATAAGTTTCTATCATCTCTATTCTTTTGGGAGGAACCCAGTTTTTAGTGTACTTGGTAAACATTTCATAGCACACCAAGAGTTTAGAGGGTATCTTGGGTGTGAGTATACTTTATTGCAGAATATTTTTGACCAAATGTAGATAATTGATTCCAAACGTTTTGTCTCATTCTTTTCTACTGTGGGAAATTGTCATTTTTTTTCTGTATTGAATTTCTATATGTAAATTTATGGAATTTGAATTTTCTTTCTTTTTTTTTTAGACAAAGTCTCACTCTGTCACCCAGGCTGGAGTGCAGTGACGCTATCTCAGCTCACTGCAACCTCTGCCTCCTGAGTTCAGGTGATTCTCCTGCCTCAGCCTCCCAAGTAACTGGGATTACAGGCAAGTGCCACCACGCCCTGCTAATTTTTGTATTTTTTGTAGAGAGGGTTTTACCATGTTGGCCAGGCTGGTCTCAAACTCCTGACCTCAGGTGATCTGCCCACCTCGGCCTCCCAAAGTGCTGGGATTACAGGCGTGAGCCATCGTGCCTGGCCGAAATTTGAATTTTCAAGATACTTTTCAGTGTACTTTAGAAGTTAAGATATAAACCTGGCCAGGCACAGTGGCTCACGCCTGTAATCCCAGCACTTTGGGAGGTTGAGGTGAGTGGATCACTTGAGGCCAGAAGTTCGAGACCAGCTTGGCCAACATGGTGAAACCCCATCTCTACTAAAAAAAAAAAAATACAAAAATGAGCCAGGCATTGTGGTGGATGCCTGTAATCCCAACTACTGAGACGGCTGAGTCAGGAGAATCGCTTGAACCCGGGAGATGGAGGCTACAGTGAGCCGAGATCGCGCCACTGCACTCCAGCCTGGGCGACAGAGTGACTCTTGTCTCCAAAAATATAAAATAAAAAGAAGTTAAGATATAATCCTTTATACTTATAACTTCTATTTAATAAATTATTATGAGCCATTCACTACATTCAATGTTTTACATGTATTATTTCTTATCCTCACAGCCACCTGCAATGTAGTTGCTGTTTCCAAGCTGAAATTCAAAGAGGTTAAATAACATAAGATTGTGCTGTCAGGGGGCTGGGCGCGGTGGCTCATGTCTATAATCCCAGCACTTTGGGAGGCTGAGGCGGGCGGATCACAAGGTCAGGAGATCGAGACCATCCTGGCTAACATGGTGAAGCCCCATCTCTACTAAAAATACAAAAAATTAGCCGGGCGTGGTGGCAGGCGCCTGTAGTCCCAGCTACTTGGGAGCTCTCTGAGGCAGGGAGAATGGCCTGAACCCGGGAAGTGGAGCTTGCAGTGAGCTGAGATGGCGCCACTGCACTCCAGCCTGGGCAACAGAGCAAGACTCCGTCTCAAAGATAAAAATAAAAAATAAAAAAGGTTGTGCTGTCAGTAAGAGCTGGGATCAAACCTACACTTTGTACTCTTCTCTCCTTATTCTTAGAAGATATTATAACTTAAAATATTAAAAACAAATGTTTTCATCCTAGGCTCATAAGAATAAGAATGTCTTAGATTTTGATGCAAATTGTAGAAGTAATAGTGAAATTTTAATATTCTGCCTCATTGTATGAACTCAAATAGTTTAAGCCTGAGAGTTGCACCCTCAAGCTGACAAGTGAATTGGTAATTTTTCACTTCTAGGTGGAATTGTATTCTACCTTTTCTGAGAAAGTTTAAGTAGACAAAGCTTTTGGTTTTTTTTTAATGCTTTTTAAAATTGTTTGATTTTGGTAGCAGAATTTTAAGACAGCAATAAATTGATGAAAAAATATTTTCTTTTTCTGGGCATTCTGTTAACTAATGAATAAATGGACATAACATTTGAACCAGTTTCGAATAATCTTCAGAAGGAATATCTGAAGTGCCAATTCAGGGTTATGTCACATAACTCACAACAGGAAACAATGGAATATTAGTTGTTTCAGCACAAGAATTACTTGTCTAATGTGAAAAAGAATTAAAGGTGTAATTATAAAGTTCTGAACTTCCTAGAGTGAATAACAAATGGAATCTTCACCTTGCCACTCATTGAATGTGTTCCCATTTTTGTAGCCTCAGCCAAACAGCAAATACAAGACTAGCATGTGCCGAGATTTGCGACAGCAAGGGGGTTGTCCACGAGGAACAAATTGTACATTTGCCCATTCTCAGGAAGAGCTTGAAAAGTAAGTGTTGAGAATTCTGTTTCATATGGGTTTAATTTTTGATTTTTATGGGAATGTTATATACAGTCCTGAAGTTTGTGATGACTTTCAAAAATGCAAGTTAAGGGCTGGGCACCATAGCTCATGCCTGTAGTCCCAGCAGTTTGCGGGGCTGAGGCAGGAGGATTGCTTGTGCTCAGGAGTTTGAGACCAGCCTGGGCAAGATAAGGAGACCCCCGTCTCTACAAAAAATTTAAAAATTAGCTGTGTGGCCCACAGTTGTGGTCCCAGCTGCTCAAAAGACTGAAGTGGAAGGATTGCTTGAACCCCATAGGTCAAGGCTGCAGTGAGTGTGTTCACACCACTGCACTCCAGCCTGAGGGACACAGCAAGACTCTGCCTCACAACAAAACATATAAGATCTGGGTACAAGATTTACATAAGTGATTTAGAACTTTACTCAGTGGTCATATTTTGAGACCATTTTATAGCTGGAATCCATATTTATACTGAGCACCTGTGCAGAATGAAAATACTTGCAGTCTTATTTGCTCAGATTCAGTTAAACCTAGCAGCAAAGTCTCAGGCAAAATGGTAAAGCAGATATATATCCTTTTTACGGCTTTTGGTCTTTTTAACATTCTTTTTCCCTGTGTATTCTTTCTCTTCTCCTATGGTTAACCCCTTTTTCTATGTCCCTTTACCCGAGACCTAAAAGTTAATGTATGTAAGGTTTAATACTATTATCCAATTTTTGTTGTTTTGTTTTTTAACTAAGACTTTCATTTTTGAGACCTCACCAAAAAATTGATCCCAGCTTTTCTACTTTCTGCTGGCCAGTGTATCAACTTTTTTTTTTTTTTTGAGGTGGAGTCTTGCTCTGTCGCCCAGGGTGGAGTGCAGTGGCATGATCTTGGCTCACTGCAACCTCTGCCTCCCCTGTTCAAACGATACTCCTGCCTCAGCCTCCCGAGTAGCTGGAACCACAGGCGCCCACCACCATGCCTGGCCAATTTTTGTATTTTTAGTAGAGACAGGGTTTCACCATGTTCACCAGGCGGGTCTCAAACTCCTGACCTCAAGCGATCTGCCTGCCTTGGCCTCCCAAAGTACTGGGATTACAGACGTGAGCCACCACACCTGCCCTGTCTATCAACTCTTTGTGGGCATATTCATTTTGTTTTTAGATACTTTAAACAAACTGAGCTAATTTTCTCCCATACCTCCTCCTCCTGCCTTCCATTGTACTCACCTCGTGTACCCAGTTTAGCCATCCAGCCTGTTATATATGCTGTGTTATAATAATCATATTTGTCAGCTGTCCTTCCTTAGCTTTTTCTGCTTAATCAGTCAAAAAGTTCTGCCAATTCATCTTCCTATATATTTCTCAGTTCTTTATTCTTCTTTCCATCCTTGTGATCCAAGCTGTCATCTCCTTTTCTCGATCCCTTGTTGCCTTCTCACTAGTCTTAAATCTCTCGCTGTCCACCCCTTCTCCCATTATTTCCCTTAAAACAGAAATATTTTAAAAGCACAGATTTACTCATACCACCCTTCTTCACCTAAGCCTTTGATAGCCTCTCATTGTCCTGTAGATTAAGAAATAAAATCTATGTTGTGGCCTCTAAGACCCTGCATCATCTAATCTGTGTCTGCCTTTCTGATCTCATTACACAACACTAATTGTACTCAAGCCACACTGACCTTCTCTCAGTTTGTGGTATGCACTGTGCTCTTTCCCACCTCAGGTCTTTTACATAATGCTGTTACTCCTAGCCTTGCCTTTGAGACCTTTCCTTTGTCTAGCTCATCCTTCGCTTTTTCAGGGTAATTCCCCTGACACTTCATACTAACCAGCTTCCTCTTTCAAACACTTATCACATAAAATTAATTAGTGGCCTGTTTTAGAGCTTGACAAACTTCTTTATGAAGTCCAGCTAGCAAACATTTTTGGCTTTGTGGGCCACAGAATCTGTTACAACCACTCAGCAGTGCCACTGTAGCAAAAAAACAGCCACAGACAATGCATAAATTGGGCATGGCTGTAAACTTTATTTATAAAAACCCTTTACAGAAACTATGGCCCATGATCTGTTTATTAAATGTTTGTCTATCTTACATAAGTGTAACCCCCGTGGACTATATCTTCATTGTTGTCTCCTTTCCTCAGTGGCTAGCTTGGGCACTGTACATAATGAGCTCTACAAGCAGCAGCATTGTGATAGAGAGAAGATAAGTGTGTGTGCAGTGAAAAGAGCAGAAACATGCTTCTCTTCTCAGTTTTTTTCCCCACTTGAAGTGCCTAGAGAAGAGGATTAAGGAGTCCTAAGGAAAAAAGATGCTGTTTGTACCCAATCGAACTAGTTCTATATACAGAATTTCACATCAAGATAATTTGGGAGACTCCAGGAAATACATTCAGCTTGTCCATACCTGAAATAGAGCTTTTTAGCTAAAAGGGGAGCTTTTGAGAAAGTTCGACTAAAAAAGTCAGAGAAGAAACTGTGGTTTCATTGCCATTCCACCCTCAATTAGTGCCCAGGCTGAAAATCCATTTTCTTCTTTCTCATACCTTCAAACAGACTTCACATTCTTCATCTGCAGTACCTAGTTCAGAACTTTATTATATTTTGCCAGACTTGTAATAGTAGCAGTAAAAATAATAATAGCCAAACTAGGTGTAGTGGCTCATGCCTGTATTCCCAGCAGTTTGGGAGGCAAAGGCAGGAGGATACCTTGAGTCCAGGAGTTTGAGACCAGCCTGGGCAACATAGTGAGACCTCACCTCTACAAAAAAATAAACAAAATTGGCTGAGCATAGTGGCATACGCCTGTCATCTTAGCTACTCAGGAGGCTGAGGTGGGAGGATTGCTTGAACTCGGGAGGTCAGGTCTGCCGTGAACTGAGATTATACCACTGTATTCCAACCCGGGCAGCAGAGCAAGACTCTGTCTCAAAAATATAAATAAATAAAAATAATAAAATAATAAATATATAAAATATCACTCATTCAAAAATAATAATAATGGCAAAATTATTGGTCACATTTTTAGTGTTTCACATGGTAATCCAGTTGGTTTTACTGCTTCAGTGGCTTTTTATCCAGTATCTTCCTATATCTCAATCTGTCTTTTCCATTTCCACTATTTTCTTTTTAAAATATGTGTGTCTCCTTTAAATTCTTAATTAGTTCCTCAGTACATCACAGAATCTCATCCTGATTTTATCCTCTAGCTCTACTCTGCCATTTGTATACTTTGTTTTTAAGGTATATTCAATTAATCACTGTTGATTACTATATAAATTTCTTTTACTCTTCTTTTCACTTGTCTATATTGTTTATTCCATATTGTATTATTTTCTCTCTCCTCTTTATCTGGATAACTATTTCTAATCATACTCAGATATTATCTTCCCTCCACAGACTTCCCTAGGCAGTGTTAATTGCATCCTTCACCATGCTGCCATAGCACTCCATACATAGTAGTTTAAAAATTATGGTATAGTTAGCTGGGTGTGGTGGCAAGCACCTGTAATCCCAGCTGCTCGGGAGGCTGAGGCGGGAGAATGGCTTGAACTTGGGAGGCAGAGGTTGCAGTGAGCCGAGATGGCGCCACTATACTCCTGTGTGGACGACAGAGCAAGATTCCGTCTCAAAAAAATAAATATAAATAAATAAATAAAAATTATGGTATAGTTATAAAACTACAGTATTATAATTGTTTATTTACATGTGTGTTTTCACTGGACTTCATTTATCTCATGGGTTATTAATCTTTTTTTTTTCTGGAGACAGGGCCTCACTCTATAGTGCAGTGGTATGATCTTGGCTCACTTGCAACTTCTGCCTCCCAGGCTCAGGGGATTCTCCCACCTCAGCCTCTCGAGTAGCTGGGACCACAGACACACGCCACCATGCCTGGCTAAATTTTTTTTATATTTTTTGTAGAGATGGGGATTCACCATGTTGCCCAGGCTGGTCTCGAACTCCTGAGCTCAATCTGCCCACCTCAGCCTCCCAAAGTGCTAGGATTACAGGCATGAGCCATGGCACCTGGCAAGGGTTCTTCATCTTTATATTTCCTGCATCTAGAAAACACCTGATAACATAAACTCAGTATGTTTATGTGGAGGAGCAAATAATATACAGTTCTTACTTCTTATTTCCAACCAGCTTCACACTCTATTGCTGTTTAAACAAACAGGGATAATACAAAGGATTAGAAAAGTAGGTGATGTGACTGTCCTTTCAGTTTAAAAAATACATATTGCTACCTCACTCTGAGCTTTTTGAGGATAGGCTGTTTGTCTTAGTTCACATAACACCAGAAATTCAGCAAATGTTTGTTCAACTTAAATAAATTAATTTTACCTATATTTTCTTTCTCTATTATACACCCCTCTAACCAAACAAAATGTGGATGCTCAATAATCCCTTCTTAGAATACATATTTATTATATGTAAACATAAAATAAATATGTAGAATAAATATTATGTAAATATGTGGATATGTTTTAGAACTAGGATGTTGGGGTTATGTTCCAAAGAATTGCTACATTCTGGGGAGTGTCAAAAGCGAGGGATCAACCAACTCAACAAATAGTGGCCAGGAGCAGTGGCTCATGCCTGTAATCCCAGCACTTTGGGAGGCCAAGGCTGGTGTATCACTTGAGGTCAGGAGTTTGAGACCAGCCTGGCCAGCATGGGGGAAACTCTGTCTCTACTAACAATACAAAAATTAGCCGGGCATGGTGGTGCACGCCTGTAATCCCAGCTACTGGGGAGGCTGAGGCACGAGAATCGCGTGAACCTGGGAGGTAGAGGTTGCAGTGAGCACCACTGCACTCCAACCTGGGTGATAGAGTGAGACTTTGTCTCAAAAAAAAAAGTTATAAAAGATTATTATATACTGGTTACTATTCAAGATGTTTCTAATGGAAAAAGAGGAACAGTAAACATGTAAATAAGCAATTTTGGCCATAGCAAAGAATTTGGATTTTATTCTGTTTGCAATAAGAAGTCATTTTAGAGTTTTATTTAAATGGAATGATGAAATTTTCATTTTGTCTTAGACATATCACTCTGGTGTCTGCATGGATGGAGACAAGTTAAACTTCTATATTGGTCCACAGGTGGGAGTTTGGTAGCTCGGGTAGGACTATAGCAATGGAAATGATGAAAAGTAGTCATACTTAGGATATATTTTGGAAGTAGAGCTGACAACATGGACCAATTGAATGTGGGCTATAAAGAAAAGAGAGGAATCAAGGATGACTCCAAGGTATGGAGCCTGCATAACTTAGTGGTCTCTTGCTGAAATGGGAAATGCATCAGGGCAGAAAATCAGTGGTTCTCTTGGCCATAATGATGTTTGAAGCTTATTCTATATTAATGCAACAAATAATAATTGGGGGCCGGGTGAGGTGGCTCACGCCTGTAATTCCAATACTTTGAAAGGCTGAGGCAAGAAGATCACTTGAGCTCAGGAGTTTGTGACCAGCCTGGGCAACATAGCAAGACCTTGTCTCTACTACAAAAAAAAAAAATTGGCTGGGCATGGTGACTCACTCCTGCCTGGGTGATGGAGACTCTGCCTTTAAAATAATAATAATAATTGGGCACTTGGGATGTTATGAGACAGTGTATTGTGTGCTAAAGATAGAGAGATGCAAGAAAGGCAAAAGTCTTGTCCTCCGGGGGCTTACATTGTAGTAAGAAGACAGACATGAAATAAATAAATATAGCATAATATCTTGTAATGACAGGCAGTATGAAAAAAAAACACAAAGGAGAAAAAGAGTGATTGAGAAAGGGGAGATCTCTTAGATAGAATAGTGTAGGAAAGACTCTTAGAAGATACAACATTTGGCCAGGCGCAGTGGCTCACGCCTGTAATCCCAGCACTTTGGGAGGCCGAGGCAGGCGGATCACAAGGTCAGGAGATCGGGACTATCCTGGCTAACACGATGAAACCCCCCCCCCCACTAACACGGTGAAACCCCGTCTCTACTAAAAACAGAAAAAATTAGCCGGGCCTGGTGGTGGGCAACTGTAGTACCAGCTCCTCGGGAGGCTGAGGCTGGAGAATGGCGTGAACCTGGGAGGTGGAGCTTGCAGTGAGCTGAGATTGCGCCACTGCACTCCAGCCTGGGCAACAGAGCGAGACTCCGTCTCAAAAAAAAAAAAGAAGATACAACATTTGAGCAGGTAGTCAAAGAAGGTGCCCACGAGAAAAAAAGATAATTACCTCAGTGAAGTCTTAGAGGAAGGCAAATGGGCTTGAGACCTAGGCCACAGGTGGTGAGACTGGCTTTAGTCAGGAACAGGAACTCATTGTCCCTTATCTTTAAGAGGAATGTGGCTACAGGTGCAGGAAGGTTACTGGAATTGGTAGCGGAAAGATAAATTATTCTCCTCTGCTTTCATCTATTTTCGTGGTTAAGTGGGAAACAATATCATCTAGCTGTAGGAGGGGTGGTTGAAAGTGGAAGGGAAAAGGCTATTGGAGATGGGAAAATGAACTTAGTAAAGAAGCGTATTAATGAATTATTTATAATTTTGAAGGGATTATAGACAGCGTGATTGCACAATTTTTCTCCAACATTTAGCTGCTTGGTAGCAGGCACAAAATAAGTAAAGAATTGGATTGAGCTTTTACCAAATGAGATACAGAGGGAGTGGATCAAGGGAGTTAAAAATTATTTACAAGGGAGGGATTAATGGTAGATAGTGGATTCTAAGATGGGTAAGAAGGGATTTAAAAAGAATAGGGAGAGTTACGCATGGTGGTGCACACCTGTAGTCCCAGCTACTCTGGAGGCAGAGCTGGGAGGATCACTTGCATTTAGGATTTAAGGCAGTCTAGGCAACATAGTGAGATCCTGTCCCTGAAAAGGCAGCCTTTAGCTGCCCCAATACTAAGAATTCAGTGTATATCCCTACTTGTCACTTGCTTTACCTCACTTGGTTAAGATTTTATTTCTCCTGACTCTTTTTTGAGAGGTTCATAGTTAAAACTTTATTTTTTGCTTTCTAGAGCAACCTTGTGGATTATCTCAGTTTGTTGTTTTTTTTTTGTTTGTTTGTTTGTTTGTTTGTTTGTTTGTTTGTTTTTGGAGACAGAGTCTTGCTCTGTCGGCCAGGCTGGAGTACAGTGGCACAATCTCGGCTCACTGCAACCTCTGTCTCCCAGGCTCAAGCAATTCTCCTGCTTCAGCCTCCCAAGTAGCTGGGATTACAGGCATGTCCCACCACTTCTGGCTAATTTTTGTATTTTTAATAGAGACGGGGTTTCACCATGTTGGCCAGGCTGGTCTTGAACTCCTGACCTCAGGTAATCCACTCGCCTCAGCCTCCCAAGGTGCTGGGATTACAGGTGTGAGCCACCATGCCCGGCCAAGTTTTATTTTTTGAGGATGGAAAGCAAGGAGACACGATATTCTGTATAGGAACTCTGAGGAAAAGAATAATGAGAGTAGGTTTCAGAGAGAATGTGGAGGAAGGCATAGGGATCTTTGGGCCCCTCCAGACAACCAGATTGTCTTCCTGAAATATAGGTCTGCTCATGCCCTTCTTGAAAGAAGTAATTATTGGTTTTCCTCTTATCTATAAGATGATGTTGGCCAGGCACAGTGGCTTATGCCTATAATCCCAGCACTTTGGGAGGCCAAGGCAGGCGGATCACTTGAGGTCAGGAGTTTGAGAACAGCTTGGCCAACATGATGAAACCCCATCTCTACTAAAAATACAAAAATTAGCCAGGTGTGTTGGCAGGCGCGCGCCTATAATGTGCACCTGTACTCCAGAGGCTGAGGCAGGAGAATTGCTTGAACCCGGGAAGCAGAGGTTGCAGTGAGCTGAGATCACACTATTGCACTCCAGCCTGGGTGACGAGCAAAACTCCGCCTCAAAAAAAAAAAAAAAAAAAAATCGTGTAAACTGGCCATCACCTGTTTTTTTAATATTCTGTTACTTCACTTTTAGCCAGTCTAATCTAGGAGCACTTGTCTTTTATTGAGCATCACCTTCCTCTGCCAATGTGTACATGTTAAAGAGAAGGAGAAGAGAAGGACTGAATAATGAAGTTGTTTATAGATACCAGAGGACTAAAAGGGAAACTATTGTGAAGGCATTGCTTACTACTAACACTTTATATTTAATTACCATATGTTTATATATAACATTAATAACATTACTTTAGGCATATATAATTATGACACCAAATATGTATAGTCTTCTTTCTGTTCGTGAACTTAATTTTTCACCGCTTTAAAAATGTTGTAGGGGCCAGGCATGGTGGCTCACACCCGTAATCCCAGCACTTTGGGAGGCCGAAGTGGGCAGATCACCTGAGGTCAGGATTTTGAGACCAGCCTGGCCAACATGGCAAAACCCCATCTCTACTAAAAATACAAAAGTTAACCAGGCGTGGTGGCAGGCACGTGCCTGTAATCCCAGCTACTTGGGAGGCTGAGGCAGAAGAATCACTTGAACCCAGGAGGCGGAGGTTGCAGTGAGCCGAGATCGCGCCATTGCACTGTAACCTGGGCGACAAGAGTGGAACTTAACCCCCCCACAAAAAAAAAAAAAAAAAACACATACACACACACACACACACACACACACACACACACACACACACACACACACATATAGGAGGGAATATTGTTAAGGATTATATTATAATGAAATTTTGGTGTATACATAGAAACACATTTTCTTTTTATTTATTTATTTATTTATTTATTTTTTATTGATCATTCTTGGGTGTTTCTCACAGAGGGGGATTTGGCAGGGTCATAGGACAATAGTGGAGGGAAGGTCAGCAGATAAACAAGTGAACAGAGGTCTCTGGTTTTCCTAGGCAGAGGACCCTGCGGCCTTCCGCAGCGTTTGTGTCCCTGGGTACTTGAGATTAGGGAGTGGTGATGACTCTTAACGAGCATGCTGCCTTCAAGCATCTGTTTAACAAAGCACATCTTGCACCGCCCTTAATCCATTTAACCCTGAGTGGACACAGCACATGTTTCAGAGAGCACAGGGTTGGGGGTAAGGTCACAGATCAACAGGATCCCAAGGCAGAAGAATTTTTCTTAGTACAGAACAAAATGAAAAGTCTCCCATGTCTACTTCTTTCCACACAGACACGGCAACCATCCGATTTCTCAATCTTTTCCCCACCTTTGCCCCCTTTCTATTCCACAAAACCGCAATTGTCATCATGGCCCGTTCTCAATGAGCTGTTGGGTACACCTCCCAGACGGGGTGGTGGCCGGGCAGAGGGGCTCCTCACTTCCCAGTAGGGGCGGCCGGGCAGAGGCGCCCCTCACATCCCCGACAGGGCGGCTGGCCGGGCGGGGGGCTGACACCCCCACCTCCCTCCTGGACGGGGTGGCTGGCCGGGCGGGGTGCTGACCCCCCAACCTCCCTCCCGGACGGAGCGGCTGGCTGGGCAGAGGGGCTTCTCACTTCCCAGTAGGGGTGGCTGGGCAGAGGCGCCCCTCACCTCCCGGACGGGGCGGCTGGCCGGGCGGGGGGCTGACCCCCCCACCTCCCTCCCGGACGGGGCGGCTGGCTGGGCGGGGGGCTGACCCCCCCACCTCCCTCCCGGACGGGGTGGCTGCCGGGCGGAGACGCTCCTCACTTCTCAGATGGGCCGGCTGCCGGGCGGAGGGGCTCCTCACTTCTCAGACGGGGCGGTTGCCGGGCGGAGGGTCTCCTCCCTTCTCAGACGGGGCGGCTGGGCAGAGACGCTCCTCACCTCCCAGACGGGGTCGCGGCCAGGCAGAGGCGCTCCTCACATCCCAGACGGGGCGGTGGGGCAAAGGCGCTCCCCACATCTCAGACAATGGGTGGCCGGGCAGAGACGCTCCTCACTTCCTAGATGGGATGGCGGCCGGGCAGACGCTTCTCACTTTCCAGACTGGGCAGCCAGGCAGAGGGGCTCCTCACGTCCCAGACGATAGGCGGCCGGGCAGAGGCGCCCCTCACATCCCCGACAGGGCGGCTGGCCGGGCGGGGGGCTGACCCCCCCACCTCCCTCCTGGACGGGGTGGCTGGCCGGGCGGGGTGCTGACCCCCCAACCTCCCTCCCGGACGGAGCGGCTGGCTGGGCAGAGGGTCTCCTCACTTCCCAGTAGGGGTGGCTGGGCAGAGGCGCCCCTCACCTCCCGGACGGGGCGGCTGGCCGGGCGGGGGGCTGACCCCCCCACCTCCCTCCCGGACGGGGCGGCTGGCCGGGCGGGGGGCTGATCCCCCCACCTCCCTCCCGGACGGGGTGGCTGCCGGGCGGAGACGCTCCTCACTTCTCAGATGGGCCGGCTGCCGGGCGGAGGGGCTCCTCACTTCTCAGACGGGGCGGTTGCCGGGCGGAGGGTCTCCTCCCTTCTCAGACGGGGCGGCTGGGCAGAGACGCTCCTCACCTCCCAGACGGGGTCGCGGCCAGGCAGAGGCGCTCCTCACATCCCAGACGGGGCGGTGGGGCAAAGGCGCTCCCCACATCTCAGACAATGGGTGGCCGGGCAGAGACGCTCCTCACTTCCTAGATGGGATGGCGGCCGGGCAGACGCTTCTCACTTTCCAGACTGGGCAGCCAGGCAGAGGGGCTCCTCACGTCCCAGACGATAGGCGGCCAGGCAGAGACGCTCCTCACTTCCCAGACGGGGTGGCGGCCGGGCATAGGCTGCAATCTCAGCACTTTGGGAGGCCAAGGCAGGTGGCTGGGAGGTGGAGGTTGTAGCGAGCTGAGATCACACCACTGCACTCCAGCCTGGGCACCACTGAGCACTGAGTGAACCAGACATCGTCTGCAATCCCGGC
Source organism: Homo sapiens (assembly GCF_000001405.40). Taxonomy (NCBI): domain Eukaryota; kingdom Metazoa; phylum Chordata; class Mammalia; order Primates; family Hominidae; genus Homo; species Homo sapiens. The sequence continues at coordinate 122,866,671 of NC_000009.12, read as the reverse complement.
ACCTCCGGAGGCCGAGGCTGGCGGATCACTCGCGGCTAGGAGCTGGAGACCAGCCCAGCCAACACAGTGAAACCCCGTCTTCACCAAAAAAATAAGAAAACCAGTCAGGCGTGGCGGCGCGCGCCTGCAATCGCAGGCACTCCGCAGGCTGAGGCAGGAGAATCAGGCAGGGAGGTTGCAGTGAGCCGAGATGGCAGCAGTACAGTCCAGCTTCGGCTCGGCATCAGAGGGAGACCGTGGAAAGAGAGGGAGAGGGAGACCGTGGGGAGAGGGAGACCGTGGGGAGAGGGAGGGGGGAGGGGGAGGGGGAGAGGGAGACATTTTCTTAAATGGAATCCAAAATCAAATTGCCAGTCCTTTTGTGTATTAGAGTATTATATCCAATGATCACCATAAATAAAACTCAAAACTTAGTATCAGAAAAATCTTTCATACAAATGTTTTTAACTTTAGGTATAAACTATTCTGAGAACTATAATACAGAATTTCTATTTTTGTGTAATGTTTGTTTAAGAATGAGTTTTTTAAATTATTTTTTTAAATTATATAATCCTTTTACAGTTTGGTAACAACAGAAAATGGCTTCAGCTCTTGCATACCTTTTCTCTTTACTCTGTGTTCTCAACCAAATTTGTTGCCAGTTCCTGTCATTTTTACATAACATCCCTTATATTCTAGTTATACAAAATTTTCAAATGGTCTCTTTCCACTCCCTCAAAAGGTTTTTTTGAATACATTCTTGGACAAAGTGGCATGAGGGGAAAAAAAAATACATATAAACTCGGCTTGCTATATTAATTACATGTATATTATATGTGAATGGCATATATATTTTCATGTGGCATCTGTTGCAGTAGAATTTGATATAGACTGTATTTGATTATTTAGCTGAAGAAACTTTTTGTCAAAACTGTTTCCTCCTTTTTCAATCTATTCCCATTGCCCATTGCCATTTTTTGTCTTGAGTAAGATTTAGTGAAATATTCACCAATCTGTTGATTGTTTTTGAAACAGGTATCGATTAAGGAACAAAAAGATCAATGCCACTGTAAGAACGTTTCCTCTTCTAAATAAAGTTGGTGTAAACAACACTGTCACAACCACAGCCGGAAATGTCATTTCTGTCATAGGAAGTACTGAAACAACAGGGAAAATTGTTCCAAGTACAAACGGAATTTCAAATGCAGAAAACAGTGTTTCCCAGCTAATCTCACGTAGTACTGACAGTACCTTAAGAGCTCTGGAGACCGTGAAGAAAGTGGGAAAGGTTGGCGCTAATGGTCAGAATGCTGCTGGGCCCTCTGCAGATTCTGTAACTGAAAAGTAGGTATTAGGTAAAAATGATTACTGGAAATTCTTTTTCCTTTTTAGAAATGCCTGAGTGTTTTTATTTCTGCTGATGAATACCGGTTAATCAGAATTTTTATGCAGAATATTTTGTGATGTAGAAGAAACACTAAATACTAAAAAATTTGAGTTCTAGTTTGGTTCTGCAACTGAATAGCCCTGTGAACTTGGAAAGTGGGAAAGTGACTTTAACTCTGAGTTTTGTTTTCCTCAACTCTCCCAAAGAGACTGGACCAGAATTGTTTTTTTTTCACACCTTATTTTCTTGAACTGTAGTGTTGATTCCATAGAGGTGCCAGAAAAGAACTAAATAGAAACCTAAGCAGGTAAAATGCTGAGCCTCTAGCTCTGTTTCAGTCAGAGCGCTTTCACTTTATACTCTGTAATGAGGTGTAGCACTTGGCCGGGTGCAGTGGTTCACACCTGTAATCCCAGCACTTTTGGAGGCTGAGGCATGCAGATCATGAGGTCTGGAGATCGAGACCATCCTGGCTGACATGGTGAAACCCCATCTCTACTAAAAATACAAAAAAAAAATTAGCCGGGCATGGTGGCGGGCATATGTAGTCCCAGCTACTCAGGAGGCTGAGGTAGGAGAATGGCATGAACCCAGGAGGCGGAGCTTGCAGTGAACCCAGATCGTGCTACTGCAATCCAGCCTGGGCAACAGAGTGAGACACTGTCTCAAAAAAAAAAAAAGGAGGGGACTCTTTGGAGCCACACTCTCTGGGCTTTCAAGTTCTGGCTCATGGTTTCCCAGCTGTTTGATCTTAGGCCAGTTACTTAATCTGTCTACCTTAGTTTACTCCTTCATAAAACTAGAATTATAATGGTGTCAACTTCATATGTTGGTTGCGAGGATTAAGTGAATTAATACTCCAGTATGCCTTGAACAATGCCTACCAGATAGTAAGCACTCAGTAAATATTTGCTTTATTATTATTATCACCATTAATTGTTACTGAGTGTCAGCATAAGATTTCCTTTGTCAGAGGGTTTTGGTGCCTTTAGAAAAAGGTTTTTAAATTTTCAGATTATCTGAAAAGTTGTTTCCAACTCTAAAATCTTGAGTAAGATTTAGATTGATGAATATTTTAATATTCATCAATATGTTGATGTTCAGATTTTGTTGCCTATAAATAGTCTATCAGTATCTGTTATATGCCTGCTAGGAAAAAAGCATTGTGCTAGGCACATAGCAATCAATGATGGATAGATAAGCAGTAACATTTGCTACTTCTGCAGTCAGCACATGATGGGGGAGATTGTTTATTAAAGGACTTTTACAGGCTGGGCACGGTGGCTCAGGCCTGTAATCCCAACACTTTGGGAGGCCGAGGTGGGCAGATCACCTGAGGTTGGGCGTTCAAGACCAGCCTGACCAACATGGAGAAACCCCGTCTCTACTAAAAATACAAAATTAGCCAGGCATGGTGGCGCATGCCTGTAATCCCAGCTACCTGGGAAGGCTGAGGCAGGAGAATCGCTTGAACCTGGGAGGTGGAGGTTGCAGTGAGCCAAGATCGCACCGTTGTACGCCAGCCTGGGCAACAAGAGTGAGACTCCATCTCAAAAAAAAAAAGGACTTTTACAATCTTCCCTGGGCAAGATTTTAGAAAAGATATATTTGAGAACATGGTCTAGTTAACAAATGTTATTTATGCACTCAATCTTGTAGCTGTTTTTGGCACATGAATACAAGATACTTTGCTTTTAAGGGATTTATGATATAGTTGTGGAGACAGCATTTACACATATGAAACAGTACTGAAGTTGGATTAAAGGACAGGAAAATTTTATATTGCTGGGAGAAATATGGGAAATTACAGAAAAAAAACAACATAACATGGATTAAATCTATCTGTAATTATATGGAATATTGAGGAGACCAGTCTTTTAGATCTGAAGGCTTATATTAGGGACTGGTATAAAATAAGGTTAGATAGGTTGGTGCCAGATTATGGAGACCTTATGTATACATGTTTAGGAAATAAGCTTTTGAAGATTTTTGGCAAGAAAATTTTGTAAAACTGTTTTATATCCATACAATGGAAAATTCAGCCATAAAAAAGGAATGAAGTACTATTATGTGCTACAATATGGATGAACCTTTAAACATTGTGCTAAATGAAAGAAGCCAGATACAAAAGGTCACATTTATGTTAAATGTCCAGAATAGGCAAATTCATAGAGACAGGAAGTAGATTAATGGTTTCTAGGGGTTTAGGGCTGGGACAGGAATGGGGAATGAATGCTAATGGGTACAGGTTTCTCTTGGGGATGATGAAAATGTTTCAGAATTAGTGGTGATAATTGGACAGCCTTGTGAATATACTAAAAATTACTGAATTGTACACCCTAAAATAATGAACTGTATCTCAATTTTTTAACAAAATAGACTAGGGTAAAAACTTTTTTTTTTTTTTTTTTTTTGAGATGGAGTCTCTCTGTCACCCAGGTGGAGTGCAATGGTGCGATTTCGGCTCACTGCAACCTCCACCTGCCAGGTTCAAGCAATTCTCCTGCCTCAGCCTCCTAAGTAGCTGGGATTACAGGCACCTGCCACCATGCCCGGCTAATTTTTGTATTTTTAGTAGAGACGGGGTTTCGCCATGTTGGCCAGACTGGTCTAGAACTCCTGACCGCAAGTGATCTGCCCGCCTTGGCCTCCCAAAAGGCTGGGATTACAGGTGTGAGCCACTGTGCCCAGCTGGTAAAGACTTTTAAAAAATAAATCTAAATTTTTATTGGAACACAGTTGTTCCAGTTGTTATTGGAACACAGGAAAAAGAATAATTCTATGAGAGGTATTGTGGATGGCTTCTTAGAGGTGAAGTGATGATACCTGAGCTATTTCCAAAAGTATGGATAGCAAGGAAGGAAGGGCCTTGTGGATGGAGAAGGCAGCACAGGCAAAATGAATAAGGTGTGAGAGAAGCTGCCATGGAGGAGAGCCTAGAATCCTGAAAGTCATCTAGGATAGTGATCTCATGCTCACTAGGATGTGACTGAAGATTAGCTTTTTCTATAAGTTCCAATTTTTGAGATAGCTTGCATGATTTCATGAGGTGATAAATGTTGACCTTATCATGGATCTTGTTGCCTTGAAGATTAGCTTTTTCTATAAGTTCCAATTTTTGAGATAGCTTGCATGATTTCATGAGGCAATAAATGTTGACCTTATCATGGATCTTGTTGCCTTTTTGTTGATAAGTCTATGAGTTTACCATTTCAAAGTACTAATCCAAATTTTAGGTATATAACATTTTGACATGGAGGGACCAGATAATTTATGTAAAGCACAGTGCCTGGAATAGACTCAAATAACCACTTGATAAATATTAGTTATTGTTTTAAGGAAATCCTAATCATTTTCCTTGTTGTCTCTATTTTACTTTATGTAAAGAATAAGCACAGTCCTAAAATATCTTTATACTCTAAACCCTTACGTTTGTACCTACTTTTATTACCCACAGTTCCTTAGTTATTTTTTACATTTTAATATACAGTTACACATAGAAGTAAACATCTGCTAGACTAATCTGTGATAAACTTAAAGGCAGCCCATATACCTTTTTCTTTATATCCTACCTTTAAAATGATTGTTCTAATTTGAGGAAAAAACCCTCTAATCTGGTTGAGATGCAATGTATTGAGTTCCTGCATAATTAACAAGATCATTTTCTTCACTCATCACATATCTAAAGCTTTGTCAAAATTTGACTAAAACAAGCAAATACAATCAGCAAAATAAATATAGCTACAAATCCAGCTGACTAAGCTTTGGCCATATATATATGGTTTTTTTTCTTTTCTTTTTTTTTTTTTTTTTTTGAGACGGAGTTTCGCTCTTGTTGCCTGGGCTGGAGTGCAATGGCGTGATCTCGGCTCACCACAACCTCCGCCTCCTGGGTTCAAGCGATTCTCCTGCCTCAGCCTCCCAAGTAGCTGGGATTACAGGCATGGACCACCACACCCGGCTAATTTTGTATTTTTAGTAGAGACGGGGTATCTCCATGTTGGTCAGGCTGGTCGCGAACTCCCAACCTCAGTTGATCTGCCTGCCTCGGCCTCCCAAAGTGCTAGGATTACAGGTGTGAGCCACCGTGCCCGGCCGAAATTTGACTTCTTAAAAGGAGTTAAGAAAGCCATAAGATCCTTTCCAGCTGATTACTTAGTGACTCAACCAAGAAAATTCTTTTGTGTTAAAAATAATAATAATAAAAGGTTGGTGTGTTTTGCCTCAATTTAATGAGTTACCATTTCATTCACCCAGCAAGTATTTACTGAGTACCTACTGCATGCCAGGAACTGTTTTATTTGTCTGACAAATATTTACCAAGTGCCTACTCTGTTCCAGGAGCTGTTTTAGGTGCTGGGGATATAGGAATTATCAAAATAAACAAAAGTGGCCTTTCCTCAAGGAGTTCATATTTCAGCTAATCTAACTCCTCATAGAAAACAACTCTTTTCTTACCATGTCTGTTTTCTTTGTCTCAAATAGTTCCACTAATGGACTATATTTTTTCGGTTGAGAACTTGTCGAACAGAATTTTCTTTTTTTTTTTTAACCTTCAGTAGGGAAAAATGTTTGTTTAAAGAATGAGTAATGGCCAGGCACGGTGGCTGATGCCTGTAATGCCAGCACTTTGTGAGGCTAAGGTGGGAGAATTGCCTGAGCCTAAGAATTTGAGACCCTCCTGAGCAACAAATCTAGACCCCGTCTCTACAAAAAAACTAAAAATTAGCCGAGTGTGGTGGCATGCACTTGTAGTCCCATCTGCTTGGGAGGCTGAGGTGGGAGGATTGCTTAAGCCCAGGAGGTCAAGGCTGCAGTGAGCTGTTATTGTGATTATGTCAGTGCACTCCAGCCCGGGTGACAGAGTGACACCCTGTCTCAAAAAAAAAAAAAAAAAAAAGAATGGGTAAATGGTGACTAATGAATCACGTTAATATCTGGGAATCGTTTTTATTCCCTGTGGCCCACACAGGAATATGACATCTGTTACGATGATCACGTGAATTAGCTGTGTAAGGTGGCAGTGAAATTCATTGCCTTATTTGTCAATGTGGCAATGTCTGAAGTGTTTTCTATTAGTGGTTTCAGAATATAATTTTATTAAAAATTTCTAGTAAGGAGGACAGTCATAGACAGTGATTTCTCCTTTGCCCTTTGTTAAATTTTCTCTCCAGTAAAATTGGTTCTCCACCCAAGACTCCTGTAAGTAATGTAGCAGCTACCTCAGCTGGGCCCTCTAATGTTGGAACAGAGCTGAATTCTGTGCCTCAAAAATCCAGCCCATTTCTAACTAGAGTACCAGTATATCCTCCGCATTCTGAAAACATTCAGTATTTTCAAGATCCAAGGACTCAGATACCCTTTGAAGTCCCACAGTACCCACAGACAGGTGAGTAATTTTAGACAATTCTAAGAAAAAAAGAAACATTGTTTCCTTTAGATAAATGAATGAATAGTTCTAGAATGTCTACATTTAAAAAAATTAATCCTTTTGACTATGTGACTCATAAGTTTTTTTCCTTCCCCAAGGATCTGTGCTTCTAAATACAGCTTTAAGGTTGTCATTCCTACAAATCAAATATAATAGGGTCAGGAATGAACTTTAGGGGTTTTCTGTAAGTCCCCTGAAATGATGTAAAAAAATGTTTTATTTATGTATGCTTATGTTCAATTTTGGAAAGAGAGTGAACAACTTACATAGATTTTGAAAGAGGTCTTTAACGTCTGCTCCCAAAAAAGTTAATAAAAATCAATGATATAACTGACTAATCCAAAACCAGTGGCAATAGATGCCCTAGAAGGATATTTACCATCCGTCTGTTAATAGCTCTGTTGTGTGTTTTAAGGAGCACTTTAGCAAAGTGTTGAATGTTAATGATTTTCATATAGTGGTGTCTTGAAAATATGTAGTTTGTGGTCAGGTGTGGTAGCTCACACTTGTAATCCCAGCACTTTGGGAGGCCCAGGAGAATCACTTGAGCCCAGGAGTTTGCGACCAGCCTGGGCATCATAGCAAGACCCTGTCTCTACCAAAAAAAAAAAAAAAAAAAAAAGCCAGGGTATAAAGCTTTATAAAGCAGGGTAAGGTAAGGTTCAAAGCTTATTATATTTTCCTACATTAAGGGCTGCCTTAGATTTAAGCCATTATAAAATGTTGGATTGTACTAAGATTACATTAAATATTCCTCTTTCCAATTTTCAAGGATACTATCCACCACCTCCAACGGTACCAGCTGGTGTGGCTCCCTGTGTTCCTCGCTTTGTGAGGTCCAATAACGTTCCAGAGTCCTCCCTCCCACCTGCTTCCATGCCATATGCCGATCATTACAGTACATTTTCCCCTCGAGATCGAATGAATTCTTCTCCTTACCAGCCTCCTCCTCCGCAGCCGTATGGACCAGTTCCTCCAGTACCTTCTGGAATGTATGCTCCTGTGTACGACAGCAGGCGCATCTGGCGCCCACCTATGTACCAACGAGATGACATTATTAGAAGCAATTCTTTACCTCCAATGGATGTGATGCACTCATCTGTCTATCAGACATCTTTGCGGGAAAGATATAACTCATTAGATGGATATTATTCGGTGGCTTGTCAGCCACCAAGTGAGCCAAGGACAACTGTGCCTTTACCAAGGGTAAGTGAAGATGCTACTATAATGTAGTCATTAACAGCCCAGTGTCTGGAGTCAAACCACCCAGGTATATATCCTGGCTCCTCCACTTACTAATTGTGTGACTTAAGGAAGTTACTTGACCTCCCTATGCCTCAGTTCTTTCATTCCTTTGATGGAAATAATAGTAGTACCTACCTCATAAGGCTGTTGTGAGAATTAAATCAGAAAATCAAACCTCTTAGAACTGGGCCTCATACATGTTAATGCTCAATAAATGTTATATTTGGATAGGAAATTGTTGGGAAAGTAGAAAGAAATCTTAAAAATACAAGGTTAGGACCTTTTTTCAGTATCACCACATACATACAAATGACTTCCCTAAGCAAGAAAAGTGAGTGCTCAGATTCTGCGTTTAACATCAGTTGAATAAATATTAACCTTTTTATTTTAAGTGTATGGAGAATAGACTAGGGTGACTTTCCCTGCTGTATTTTTTTATCCCAACAATATCATAAACTGTTTACATCATTTTCACACAGTTAAATTTATTCACCACTCCCTAGATGATTAAGATTGTTTCTTTTATCCCCCATTAGGAACCTTGTGGTCATTTGAAGACCAGTTGCGAGGAGCAGATAAGAAGAAAGCCAGATCAGTGGGCACAGTACCACACTCAGAAAGCACCTCTTGTCTCTTCAACTCTTCCTGTGGCAACACAGTCACCAACACCACCTTCTCCTCTGTTCAGTGTAGACTTTCGTGCGGATGTAAGAAAGGTTTTAATTACTTAATGTTGCAGGGATAGGTCAAACAGCTGACTTCAAATTACTCATTCAAACCAGGAATAGCTATGTTGGATATTTGCAGTGGTTTGGTGTGCAATTGAGTTTAGTTCAATAAACACTGAATATAAATGCACTACGGCTAGGTGTTATGAGACTCTGAAGACCGTTAAGGCATAGTCCTTTACTAAGAATTCAAAATCTTTCCTATAGTATAATTATTTTATGGTTGTTTTATTAATAGTGTGATTTATATCTATCATTTATTGAGCACCTACTCATGCCAGCACTGTATTAGTACATTTGCATAAAGCTATTTTATTTAATTCTCACAAAAACCTTAGGGGGCAGGTATTTTCCATATTTTACAGGGTAGGAATCTTACAGAAGTTAAGTAATTTGCCCAAGATCTTTCAGCTGTAAATAGCTGGGATATGAATCCTGGGCTGTCTGAGGTATTTCTTCCCTACTTAACAAGAAGTGCAGAAATACCTACAGTATTATTTATGCTCTTTACATCACTGCTAATTATTGTTCTTGGCATTACCAAACAAGTTTGTGTACCAGGATGATTTTAATTTAATCTGGTGTTTTCAGTACTGTTATATTTGGAGAAAACCATTAATTTCTTTTTTAAGTTTCTTCTGGTTTATTCCCCATCCCCAGAAGTTCTGATATTAAAATTTTTAAAATCTTTTCATTATAAAAAATTTCAAACATATACAAGTATAGAGAGAATAATATGATAAACTCCATGTACCCAACACCCAGGTTCCACGGTTATCAACTCAGTCAGTACTGTCTTATTTATACCCCCTCTTCCCCCTGGATTGTTTTGAAGTAATCCTAGGCATTATATTTTTTAACCCATAAATATTTCAATAAAGCATTGAATTTTTAAACTAGATCCAAATAGGTCTTGTCAAACTTAGACTTCTTCAAAGCAGGTAAATATCTTGACAACAGAGTGACAGAGCTGCCACTTGCTTGCTAGATGCCACTTGCTTGCTAGATGCCACTTGTATTTTCTTTTTTGATATACAATTATGCTTCAGGAAATGAGTATTTCCCTGAGACTCCGATCTGCTGAGTTCGACTTGAGAAAAGTTTTTTAACTTTTTTGCCCTTGAGTTTTTTTATCTGAATAATTAGTAAACTAGATTTAATGATTCTTATAACTTTAGTATTCTGGTCCTATAAGTATTCCTTATTCACAGTCCCTTTAAAATTTATTCATTTCCCCTTTATCTCCAGAGCCTCCTTTGAATTCCTTTTGTTCTTTGATACTGCATAATTTATCAGTTATATTCCCTTATTTGCACATGTTCTTTTTCTCAAGAAAATTATAAACTCAGCTTGGTGTAGTGGCTCATGCCTATAATCCCAGCACTTTGGAAGATCGAAGTGGGTGGATTGCTTGAGCCCAGGAGTTTGATACCAGCCTAGGCAATATGGCAAAACTTCATCTCTACTAAAAATACAAAAAGATTGTCTGGGCATAGTGGCGTGTGCCTATAGTCCCAGCTACTTGGGAAGCAGAGCTGGGAAAATCACCTGAGCCTGGGAAGTCGAGGCTGCTAGTGAGCTGTGATCACCCCACTGCATGTTAGCCTGGGCGGTGGGAGTGAGACCCTGTCTCAAAAGAAAAAAGAAAATTATAAACTCCTTTAGGATATGGACTGTGATCTCTGTGTGTATCTATGTATTTGTTTTCTCTTACTTTTTTTTTTCTTGGTGCACCCCATACCATGTTAGTACCATACTATAAATATTTGTTAATTGGTTTTGATAGTATTAGTCAAATGTTCCATATGAGCACTTAAAGGACAAAGTGAAAAGGGAAAGCATGCCATTTTCTATTGTAAAAATACCATTTCTTGCTTATTACAGTTTTTTATATTAGTTATTGAAAAAGTATAATTGTTTGCTATGAAGTCCTCTGAATTCTATAATAGTTACTTTATATTAGTTACAAGCTTGTAAATTTAAGCTTCTTACTAATTGGCTTTATTTATTTTTTTTTAACCAGTTCTCAGAGAGTGTGAGTGGTACAAAATTTGAAGAAGATCATCTTTCCCATTATTCTCCCTGGTCTTGTGGCACCATAGGCTCCTGTATAAATGCCATTGATTCAGAGCCCAAAGATGTCATTGCTAATTCAAATGCTGTGTTAATGGTATGATTTTGCTGGGGTTGCAGGGGTTGGAGGTGAGAGATGATGCATGTTCACTCATGTTGTAGAATGAATGTTTTCTATTCATTCATTCATATTGTTGCCTTATAACTCAGTAGCAGCAGGGTTATATTTAGGTAAGTCTGAAATAAATTATATTTAATATTTAAGTTATTTGAACATTGGTGGTTTACTGGTAGTTTGTTGGATTATCGTTGAGTCTAGAGCTAGTTTTAAATTAACCAAAAAACCTAATTACATGTCTTTTGATAGCATATATTTACTAGCTGAAGTAATTGCCAACAGTCCTTTTATTGATTTTCTTTGGTTTACATAGGACCTGGACAGTGGTGATGTTAAGAGAAGAGTACATTTATTTGAAACCCAGAGAAGGACAAAAGAAGAAGATCCAATAATTCCCTTTAGTGATGGACCCATCATCTCAAAATGGGGTGCGATTTCCAGATCTTCCCGTACAGGTTACCATACCACAGATCCTGTCCAGGCCACTGCTTCCCAAGGAAGTGCGACTAAGCCCATCAGTGTATCAGGTAATCCATTTAGATAATACCTAGCCTGATATGTTCTAAGCACTATGCCTTTTTTTTTTTTTTTTTTAATTGAGACAGAGTCTCACTCTGTTGCCCAGACTGGAATGCAGTGGTGTGATCTTGGCTCACTGCAACCTCCATCCTGGGTTCAAGCGATTCTCCTGCCTCAGCCTCCCAAGTAGCTGGGATTATAGACATGCACCACCATGCCTGGCTAATTTTTGTATTTTTAGTAGAGAGTATTTTGTATTTTAGTTTCGCCATGTTGGCCAGGCTGGTCTGGAACTCCTGGCCTCATGTGATCCACCCGCCTCAGCCTCGCAAAGTGCTGGGATTACATATGTGAGCCACTGTGCCTGTCCTAAGCACTGTGCTTTTTAATCCCCAACTTGTGAAATGGAAAACATTTCCCTCCATTTAACAACCATGGGAAACTCAGAATTAGGTGTTTAACCAGCATCATATGGCTAGTGGGATAAAATACAGATCTATTTTGAGAAGTATACATTCACCTCAGTACACTGATTTTTCACTTTTTTGACCATTGTTTCATTCTACATGTCTGTAGATTATGTCCCTTATGTCAATGCTGTTGATTCAAGGTGGAGTTCATATGGCAACGAGGCCACATCATCAGCACACTATGTTGAAAGGTAACGTTCTTCTTAATTCTATATGATTCTCCATTCTCAGACTTGTATGTATCTTAAGGGTACACATTCTACCCCCAGTTCATGAAATGTGCTTTGCTTGTTGTCTGAGCTATATAACAAATTTCTGAAAAATATTTGCATTTAAATTTGGAACGATGAGTGAAGTTTTCAGGGTTGATCTGTCACATAAAACATATGGTTATTACTGCTTTTGTTGCTTCATTCACTTCACTTTTATTACAATAAACATATTTCTCTTTAAAGGGACAGATTCATTGTTACTGATTTATCTGGTCATAGAAAGCATTCCAGTACTGGGGACCTTTTGAGCCTTGAACTTCAGCAGGTAGGCTCTGTAACTCAGCTATAAATTTTTGAGAAATAGAATGACAGTTGAAAGCTATAGTTGGAAGCTAACTTTTCTTTTTTTCCCTCCTCATATAGGCCAAGAGCAACTCATTACTTCTTCAGAGAGAGGCCAATGCTTTGGCCATGCAACAGAAGTGGAATTCCCTGGATGAAGGCCGTCACCTTACCTTAAACCTTTTAAGCAAGGAAATTGAACTAAGAAATGGAGAGGTAAAGAAACTGAACCTTTCGGCTTCATGCTTAATGTATTTGTTTTCTGCTGCTGCATCTTGGTTATACCATTACTGAGTGCATTTTGGTGTGCCTATCTCTGATGGATGATTGATTGCTTTTAAAACTTATAACAGAAATAAAATTGTAATCCCAGATTTCTTAAATAATTCTTTAACTAGATCATCGGGATTTTTGTTTTTTTGAGATGGAATCTTGCTCTATCGCCTGGAGTGCAATGGCACGATCTTGGCTCACTGCAGCCTCTGGCTCTCAGGTTCAAGCGATTCTCCTGCCTCAGCTTCCCGAGTAGCTGGGATTACAGGCACCCACCACCATGCCCAGCTAATTTTTGTGTTTTTAGTAGAGACAGGGTTTCACCATGTTGGCTAAGCTGGTCTTGAACTCCTGACCTCAAGTGATCTGCTCGCCTCACCTTCCCAAAGTGCTAGGATTACAGGTGTGAGCCCCCGTGCCTGGCTGATCATTGGGATTTTTTACTTTAATTTAAAAGGGAAACCCCAGGTTCCACAGGTATAAAATCAGTATTTTTCTTTTTTTTTTTTTTTTTTTATTGATCATTCTTGGGTGTTTCTCACAGAGGGGGATTTGGCAGGGTCATAGGACAATAGTGGAGGGAAGGTCAGCAGATAAACAAGTGAACAAAGGTCTCTGGTTTTCCTAGGCAGAGGACCCTGCGGCCTTCCGCAGCGTTTGTGTCCCTGGGTACTTGAGATTAGGGAGTGGTGATGACTCTTAATGAGCATGCTGCCTTCAAGCATCTGTTTAACAAAGCACATCTTGCACCGCCCTTAAGCCATTTAACTCTGAGTGGACACAGCACATGTTTCAGAGAGCACAGGGTTGGAGGTAAGGTCACAGATCAACAGGATCCCAAGGCAGAAGAATTTTTCTTAGTACAGAACAAAATGAAAAGTCTCCCATGTCTACTTCTTTCTACACAGACACGGCTACCATCCGATTTCTCAATCTTTTCCCCACCTTTCCCCCCTTTCTATTCCACAAAACCGCCATTGTCATCATGGCCCGTTCTCAATGAGCTGTTGGGCACACCTCCCAGACGGGGTGGTGGCTGGGCAGAGGGGCTCCTCACTTCCCAGTAGGGGCGGCCGGGCAGAGGCGCCCCTCACCTCCCGGATGGGGCGGCTGGCCAGGCGGGGGGCTGACCCCCCCACCTCCCTCCCGGACGGGGCGGCTGGCCGGGCAGAGGGGCTCCTCACTTCCCAGTAGGGGCGGCAGGGCAGAGGCGCCCCTCACCTCCCGGACAGGGCGGCTGGCCGGGTTGGGAGCTGACCCCTCCACCTCCCTCCCGGTCAGGGCGGCTGGCCGGGCCGGGGGCTGACCCCCACACCTCCCTCCCGGACGGGGCGGCTGGCCGGGCGGGGGGCTGACCCCCCCACCTCCCTCCCGGACGGGGCGGCTGGCTAGGCAGAGGGGCTCCTCACTTCCCAGTAGGGGCGGCCGGGCAGAGGCGCCCCTCACCTCCCGGACGGGGCGGCTGGCCAGGCGGGGGGCTGACCCCCCCACCTCCCTCCCGGACGGGGCGGCTGCCGGGCGGAGACGCTCCTCACTTCCCAGACGGGGTGGCTGCCAGGCAGAGAGGCTCCTCACTTCTCAGACGGGGCGGCTGCCGGGCGGAGAGGCTCCTCACTTCTCATACGGGGCGGCTGCCGGGCGGAGGGTCTCCTCACTTCTCAGACGGGGCGGCCGGGCAGAGACGCTCCTCACCTCCCAGACGGGGTGGCGGCCGGGCAGAGGCATTCCTCACATCCCAGACAGGGCGGCGGGGCAGAGGCGCTCCCCACATCCCAGACGACGGGCGGCCGGGCAGAGACGCTCCTCACTTCCTAGATGTGATGGCGGCCGGGAAGAGGCGCTCCTCACTTCCCAGATGGGATGGCGGCCGGGCAGAGACGGTCCTCACTTTCCAGACTGGGCAGCCAGGCAGAGGGGCTCCTCACATCCCAGACGATGGGCGGCCAGGCAGAGACGCTCCTCACTTCCCAGACGGGGTGGCGGCCGGGCAGAGGCTGCAATCTCGGCTTTTTGGGAGGCCAAGGCAGGCGGCTGGGAGGTGGAGGTTGTAGCGAGCCGAGATCACGCCACTGCACTCCAGCCTGGGCGCCATTGAGCACTGAGTGAACCAGACTCCGTCTGCAATCCCGGCACCTCGGGAGGCCGAGGCTGGCAGATCACTCGTGGTTAGGAGCTGGAGACCAGCCCGGCCATCACAGCGAAACCCCGTCTCCACCAAAAAAATACGAAAACCAGTCAGGCGTGGCGGCGCGCGCCTGCAATTGCAGGCACTCTGCAGGCTGAGGCAGGAGAATCAGGCAGGGAGGTTGCAGTGAGCCGAGATGGCAGCAGTATAGTCCAGCTTCGGCTCGGCATGAGAGGGAGACCATGGAAAGAGAGGGAGAGGGAGACCATGGGGAGAGGGAGACCATGGGGAGAGGGAGAGGGAGAGGGAGAGCAAAATCAGTATTTTTCTTAGTTACAGAGTGATTATACAGAAGATGCAACAGATACTAAACCTGATAGGGATATCGAGTTAGAGCTTTCAGCACTTGATACTGATGAACCTGATGGACAAAGTGAACCAATTGAAGTAAGTGCCACAATTAGATAATTGAGAGGCTTTGTTTGATTGAAAATTTATAAAATACTTTCATACTGAAGGATTAACATTTTATTTTCTTAGGAGATCTTGGACATACAGCTTGGTATCAGTTCTCAAAATGATCAGTTGCTAAATGGAATGGCAGTGGAAAATGGGCATCCAGTACAGCAGCACCAAAAGGAGCCACCAAAGCAGAAGAAACAGAGTTTAGGTGAAGACCATGTGATTCTGTGAGTGTTAGACAGAAAATTCATAAACAGTGGGCATAGGACATAATAAAGAGAAAAAAATGCGAAATTAATTTTTGGCTTTATGCTGTGAGGGGAAGACCTTATATGGGCAATGATTTGGTCAATCTGGATTTTTAGGGAAGAAAAAGTAAAATTGAACTAACAAAGCAGTCCATTTTGGTAGCCTGAAACTTGCTTTTTGTTGAGATAAAGTTAATCTGTGTTCCAGCATCAGGTTATGCTTCTTTAATCTGGTTGCCAAATTTCTAGACTACAAAATGGAGAATGACAACCTAGATTAATGGTTTCTCTTTTTGAAAATCATGTTAAGATTTTCTTGGCTAGGCTGGGCGTAGTGGCTCATGGCTGTAATCCCAGCACTTTGGAAGGCTGAGGCGGGTGGATCACAAGGAGTTCAAGAGCAGCCTGGCCAACATAGTGAAACCCTGTCTCTACAAAAATACAAAAAAATTAGCTGGGCATAGTGGCGGGCACCTGTATTCTCAGCTGCCTGGGAGGCTGAGGCAGGAGAATCGCTTGAACCCGGGAGGCGGAGACAGTGAGCCAAGATCGTGACACTGCACTCCAGCCTGGGCGACAGACTGAGACTCCATCTCAAAATTATCTATCTATCTATCTATCTATAGATAGATAGCATATAATATAGTATATTTTCTTGGCTATAATACTGCCATTTTGAATAATTACTGCCAAAAATATGGGCTTAATCTTCAACTTGGTAGTTTGGCCTTAAACTAACTAGTATTTTAATTTTTATCATAACTTTTGGAAAACAGGACTTTTCAAGCCAGGAGTGGTGGCTCACACCTGTAATCCCAGCACTTTGGGAGGCCGAGGCGGGTGGATCATTTGAGGTCAGGAGTTCTAGACCAGCCTGGCCAACATGGTGAAACCCCATCTCTACTAAAAATACAAAATAGCTGGGCGTGGTGGCACATGCCTGTAATCCCAGCTACTTGGGAGGCTGAGGCAGGAGAATTGCTTGAATCCAGGAGGCAGAGGTTGCATTGAGCCGAGATCATGCCACTGCACTCCAGCCTGGGCGACGGAGGGAGACTCTGTCTCAAAAATAGGAAAACAGGACTTTTCTAGTTACTTCTGATACTTCTAGTGATAAAGACATGTCTTTGCTAGAGACTCCTAAAGTTTGCTGTAGCTTTCATTAAATATGTATAGTCACCCTTAACAGTTTGCACTTAAAGCTAATTTGTTTTTAATGTCATTTCTTTTTTCTCAGGGAGGAGCAAAAAACAATTCTGCCGGTAACTTCTTGCTTTAGCCAGCCACTCCCAGTGTCTATTAGCAATGCAAGTTGCCTCCCCATCACCACATCTGTCAGTGCTGGCAACCTCATTCTGAAAACTCATGTTATGTCTGAAGATAAAAACGACTTTTTAAAACCTGTTGCAAATGGGAAGATGGTTAACAGCTGAAAGGAGGTTCATCTTTCAAATTTGTGACCACACCATGGAAGCATTTACACTAGCTTTTTATATATATAATATATATTATATAATGTATATTTTTTTTAAAAAAAAGATATTACTGGGGGCATCCATTTCCTGTGGACTCTTTGATACTTCAAGCCCTCTTGCATTAGCATTATGAAAAAAAAAAAGAAAATTTACTTTACTAGGGTAACATGTTCACTTTCCAGAAATGATTGGAATTTGGACAACATTTAACTTAAGCTTCAAGCAGCTTTTTATGAGTTTGTAGCAATCCGGTGCAGTAACTGAGCCATTTCCTATTTTAAATGGCTTCTATAGAAAATTAACAACTCAGTTATTAAACTAGCAGGATCCTACAATGATACATCTAGTGAAAGTAGACTTAGTTAACTTATTTATTTCTATTTTATGTTTCACTGAGAGAAGTTTCCATCTCATTCCAGCTGCTTTATTTATCTTTTTCATGGAACTTTGCATGGATTTCTTTTTCTTTTTTTAATTTTGAAGAGTGGAGTTAGATGTTCTTACCATAGAATTTTACAGGGTTATATACTAGCATTCTTTACTGCATTATATGTAGGAGTGTGGTGCAGTGCTTTTATCTGTAGCATATAATTTTTTTTTAATTTTCCATTTTTCAAGAGTAGTTTCTGCTTTGTTAATATTTATACACAGGCTACTTGTTGAAGTAATTAATTAAAAATATAACCAAGTGCCTAAGTCTTTCAGCTGATGTACTAGATATTAAATTCTCCTAAGTTATGCAGAATCGTTTTTACAATTTTGATAAATTATGCACTAATGTAATGGCAGTTTTTTAAAATGCAGATTTAAGCCTGTACATTATTGAATCTGATGACTTGGCAAAAGAATCAGGTGCTTTCAGCTTTCTTGAGAAAACCCTGTATGTAGCGTTTGCACTGACTAACAAGATGGTATTGCTGGGTTTTTAATTTAAACTAATTAATTTGGTTGTTCATTGCATTATCTTGGTTAAATATTGTTTATTGTTACTTCATGTTGGGGTTTAGTTTTTCTTGTTTTTTGACTGTTAGGTTGATAAGACTATGAACTGTGTAATAGTAGAACAGTGGCTAACATTTATTCATACTTAAGAACATGAATAATTTCTGCCTTGCTAAAATGTGACTGAAATGGTTTTGACTTGGCATCTGAAAGTATACAATGTGTTCAACAAGTCATGCATCAGATTTGTGGGAGGTATTGTACTGAAACCTAAATTTCAGTCAACATTTGAAAAGAAGAGCTGGGCATTCCTTCCTGGTGATCTTTACCTATAGTTTATCTATCTGTTTTTCTTCTGTTTCTTTAAGATTAGTTTGACTTTTATTATTATTTTTTTAATTAACTTCTGTGAAGTTGTTTACTCTGAAAATTGTACTGGAATATTTTAAGCCAAGCTGATCTTTCACCAGGTGTACTGTATGTAAGGGCTTTTCCTGCTAGCAAGATGCTTAAACAGGATCATGTTATTGGTCGTCTGAGCTATTTAGTTGTTTTACAAAACCACAGCATTGTATCAGATAAGATTTTGATAAAAAGTTTTGTGCACATTTCCAGGGGCGGGAGGGTTGACATTTCCCTGAAATTTCTTGATTAGAATGAGTAAATACTGGTGTTTGATACCTGTCTTAATGAACATGCTCATAAGGTGACTGATAAGTTGTAAATATACCTGAGAAACAAAGGGGTAGTTTTGATATTCTGGTGTCAGTATGGAAGATCTTACACATTTATTTAATACTCAAATGTATGAAGATGTTTGTTTGTAGCATAACAACAGCACAGTAGCCTTGACTTAGTTTCCTTTGGTTAGTACTGTACCTTTTTTGCCATGGCCAGTGCTCCCCATCCCTATGAAGACATTTTATTTATTTCACTCTGTAACCTGAAATGAATAGGAACAAGGGTTTTAAACCATGTTACATTAACTTTTCTGACATTATAAATTAGCCTAGAATATTACAGGAACATGATTGTTATATAATTTATATCAGAACCTTTCTATAAATATGTGCTTATTACATTTGAAATGCTTCCAATGTACTTTATTTGCTGTTTGTAATTCCAAAAAGGATATGCAAACCAGTCTGTCTATTTCATGGATATTTAATAGTGAGATCTTCCATGTTGAAGGTAATGTATTTTTTTTTAAGATTTTAAAATTGCTATTTTGTTACAAAATAGAGACCTATTAACAGTTTGAGAGCTCCTTATGTGCCCTCAGGGAAAGAACCCTCTGTGCAACAGAACTACACAAAACATCTTCAGCACGTTCTGAGGGTGAATATATACTACATAAATTGATCTTGTGTATTTAACCTTATCTTTTTAATTTTAAAATTGAAATTTTGAAACTTGGTTGTGCTCTGCTGGAGGGGGTTGGGATAAACTGCTTAGATGTTTGCCTACTTGTCCAGTGAAATTACATTTGCATCAGTATATGTATATACCTGCCAACCTTATTGGTATGTCTCAGAACATTTATATTAAAATAATGCTTGTCTTGCAGCAGGTGATCCCATAAAACAATAACTCCCTGTTCTTAAAAACTTACTCTCTTTTTCACTAACAACATAGGAATTGTTTCTGTGTTGAGATTATTCTGTGTTGCATCCATTCTCTATGTAGTGGTCACCTTCTGTCTGTCATGGTGGGCTTAATGTGAAGTAAAGCCATTGGTTCTCTGCCACTTTCGAAGAAAGGGCAGTTCATCTGATCCTTCTTCAGAATGGTACCTACTGATATCATCGAGGAAAATGTTACAAATCAGACCTAGGATATGACTTTTTAAAATTGAGGCATTTCCCGTCATTTGGCCTTTTTACCAACAAGATGTGATGTACAAATTTGGAATCAAAGGATACAAAGCAACAAGAGAGGAAATGTGTAATGTGGGTAACCAAACTGCATATGTTACCTATTGTCTAATCAGAAAAAATAGTCTGAGGTCTGGAAAGCAGGAAAGTGGTGGTTATTTTCTTTCATTTTTTGTGTTTTTGTTTTTTAATTTCTAAGTTCCATTCTGAAATCCATGTGCCGCATTCAGTTACTGTGGTTGTAGCATCAGTTTTTTTGTGGTTTCATTTCATTTTATGAATTCAGAGGAAGTTACATATATATTTTTTCTAGTTGGTACCTGAACAAAGCAGATTCCCTTGCCTTTGCTGCCACGTCTTATTTTCAATGCCATGTGATAAACCAGTGTCATACATGAAAGTTGTGCATTGTAATTTTCAAAAAAAAGGGAGTTCATTAGGCCAGTGGCACTGATTTTTCCTTCCCATCATAGCTATTTATTCTAGTAAGAGGATAATAAAAGAAATTTCCTATACAAGAACTGAAATTTTCCATTTGTATGGATCTAGTCACTTTCAGATTTCAATTTGAGGTTAAGTATATAAAGCACATCCCAATTTTATATGCTGCCTTGAGAAAATTACAGGATGCACGGCAATTTGTAGGAATTTCAAATGGGATCATTTAAACATTTGAAAAATTATTTTAAAAACCATCTAGTTTGCTTTTGGATTTTAGACATTAAAGCCTATGTTGTCTTGTTAACAGGGGTGGAATGTATAACCATCAGATTCAGCATGTGATTTCACCTTTGAATCTGAGTATTTCTTCCCTATCTTCTTTGAGTCATTTTTGGAGCAGACTGTCACCAGTATTGATAACTAAGCATTAAAGGGAAAAGTTGCATTGCAACTATGCATTGGTTTCCTGGAAGAACTTTTCTTTTGTTTTAGTGAATGAAGAGGCTTGATGGGATCACTTACTGTAACTCCTTCTACATAAGGACCCCTTCTGCAAGCAGAACACAAAAGAACATGCTCAAGGAGTATCCCATTTTCTGGATAAATTGAAGAAGTTTGCTAGTAATGTCTTTATACTAGCGTCTTCCTTGTATCCCTTTGCTGGCAAGGGAATACAAGGCGTCAAGACCACAGATCAAAACACCCCACATTTGAGTGGAGTCTTATTTTTACTCCAAGAGCAGTTATTCCCTTCTAGTCTAAAATTGGCAGTTTTTTCTTTTTTTTAATAAAATTTTTAAAATATTCCCAAACCAGTGGAACACAGACACTGGCTGCACTTAGTACTGCCAAAAGCCAAGGTCATTTGCACATATTCCATCAACCTGTCGAGAATTAGGCCTCACTTTATAACCCAAGGCATGGAAGTGCATGCATTCTCTTAGCTGGGCAAACAATTATACTGTAGTTGTGATACAACACATGTGGCTTTTATTTGTACTGCACATATCCACTGTACAGCCACTTGGGAGTATCGTGGTTAGCTTGCAGCAACTGCTGTCTGCATTTATACTGTTTATTGCATATTCTTTTCCCTGGAAGTGAAAGAGAAATGTTTTTCTTGTTGCATTGATTACATTTTATAAATTTGCTTAGCTGGAAAGTTTGGGAAAAGAGGCCTGTTTGTCAATTGTACAACCGATTGTGAAGCTCTAGTGTGAATATTTTTACGTCTGTATTAGACATTTTCTTTGCAAATCTATTGTTCGATTGAAATGTAAATGAAATTAAAGATGGTGTACACCCATCATGTAAAAAGCAGGCACCATCTCTAAGATGGATTTAATGCTCATTTTTAAGGCATATACTCAGCTTCTATTTAAAACTATAATTTAAAATAATTCTGTACAATGAAATGGGGAATATATATGGGAATAAATTCTATTCCATTTATTTCAATTTGAATTTCCAAATTGTAATGTTTCCCTTTGTGCTATAGGAATAGGATTAAATGGGGGAAGACTAGGATTTATAAGGCCTGTATATGGGGGGAGGGCAGAGATGGAACAATGAGGGTTGTGATGATAGTGAATAGCAAAGAGTGAATTCTGTGTGTTTTTGCTGTAGCACTGAAGTGAAGAGATATTAGCTTTGGCTGTTCACAAAATAGAGCATCATGATTTTCAGTGTTTGAGAGAAAATTGATGGAAAAAGTTTGCAGTACTTGACATGTATTTGCATGCACAAAATAAAATTATTTGTCCACCTTAAAAGTTGTTTGTTTAATGTCAATATTAAGTTTATGGTATGTTTTAGTTATCTAGATTTTCTTGGCATAGTTTTTGGCTTAACAGAGCTACCAGGTCACTCCTTGAGATTTAAATGATTGCATGCCTCATCTATATATCATAAGGAAGGATTTGAAAGAAATGAATAGACCCAAGGAGGTTGAGATATACCTTAATTCTGTCAAGTCACTTCCTTCATTCAACACAGCACTTTCTGGGTGGGAGATGAGGATGTAGATAGTACTGAGTTTACTGTCTAGTGGAGAAAGTAGGACAGATGCATAACTAATACAAAGCAATGTATCATAGAAGTTTGAAGACAATTCTGTGGACCTCAGGAGAACGCCTTGGGTGGATCTAGACACCATTTTCATTGGGCCTCAAGTGGTTTTATTCATTCATTCAGCTGATATATTTTAAACCCCTGTCTGTGCTGTTCAGTAAGGTTAAAGGTCCATGAAACATGAGTTTCTTCTCTAGAAAATCACAGTATGGAAAATCAGAAGACAGAATAATTCAGTGAGCTATTGTTCTAATGTAGGGTGTAGGGAAACTCCAAAAGAAATTATGGGGTTAGTGGCAGTGGTGAGCAAAAGGAAGTACTTCCCTGTAAAATGACCTCCAGCTATACTTTTAGCTACATAACATCGCACCATGCAGAGGTAAGTAGAGGAAGCACCCTGAGTTCCAACTGTACCTTCACAACAACCCACTCAATCTTGAACTATCATTCCTTGAAGTACTGTCTTGGATAGAAAAGAGGAAAAAACAGGCCGGGCGCAGTGGTTCACGCCTGTAATCCCAGCACTTTGGGAGGCCAAGGCGGCTGGATCACGAGGTCAGGAGATTGAGACCATCCTGGCTAACACGGTGAAACCCCGTCTCTACTAAAAATACAAAAAATTAGTCGGGCGTGGTGGCGGACGCCTGTAGTCCCAGCTACTCGGGAGGCAGGGGCAGGAGAACGGCGTGAACCCGGAAGGCGGAGCTTGCAGTGAGCCGAGATCGCGCCGCTGCAATCCAGCCTGGGCGACAGAGTGAGACTCCGTCTCAAAAAAAAAAAAAAAGAAAAAACAAACTACCGTCCTTTACTTTAGATGTTATAACCCGTATCTTATGTTTGAGATGTTATCTAACTCGCCCAGATGTTGTAACTACAAAGTAGTAGAATCAGAATTCTGATTTGTCTGCCTCTTTTCTACCTCTCAAGGAGGTGGTGGTGGTCATGGTGATCGGAACTTATATTGACCGTAAGTGTTACAATGGAAGAGGTGTTTAAGGAATGGTGCTTCAGTGACTAATAGAGCACTTAATATTTTCTAGAAACAGTTGTAAGTACAATAATATATCACGACTTAGGACCATAAAACTGAGGCTGAGATCTTAAGAGATTTTGCCCAAGGTCGCAGAGGAGGTAGGTAGGGACTTCATGAAGGACAGCAAATACCATTCTAAAGAGACGAGTTATATAATCTAAACAATTTGGGATTTTAGATCCCTTTAGCCATGGGGTGAAAGGTAAAGCTGGAGATAGACCAGCAGGGAGGCCAGGTCAGCAATCTAGGTAAGAAGTATTGAGAGCATGGCCAAGCTGGGACGGAGGAAAAAAAGATGGATTTAAAAAGTAGGAGACAGCAATGGACAGGATTTGTAGTGTAGGAAGTCTATTGGACATCTACCCAATCAATATAGGGGATTAAATTTGGCTTAAAATCCCAGACCCCATTGCTGAGAACAGTCCAATATTTGTAAAACATGTTATATACATCCTAAAGTATGTGACAATGGAGATCAGGAAGGAGGAAGAGGGTGAAAAACCATGGATGGGTGATCCAGGTAAGGGAGAGGAAACTTAAGGAAATGAAATTCCAGGGAGATTTTATTTCCTTTATAATATCTATTGAAATAATTATCATGCACATTAACAAAGTATCCCAGATACCCATGGAATATCTTCATGATTAGATCTTTCACTTCAGGTCTTTATTCAAAAGGCAGATCCAGTGAGAATCAGATGGAGGGTGCCATTTAAAATAGGAATTTAGGGCCGGGCATGGTGGCTCACGCCTGTAATCCCAGCACTTTGGGAGGCCAAGGAGGGCAGATCACTTAAGGTCAGGAGTTCGAGACCAGCCTGGCCAACATGGTGAAACCTGCCTCTACTAAAAATACAAAAAATTAGCCAAGCATGGTGGCAAGCACCTGTAGTTTCAGGAACTCAGGAGGGTGAGGCAAGAGAATCACTGGAACCTGGAATTTGGAGGTTGCAGTGAGCCAAGATTTTGCCACCGCATTCCAGCCTGAGTGACAGAGTGAGAGTCCATCTCAAATTAATTAATTAAAGAGATATTTAAACCCGAGATTTTAGATAAGATCAACTGAAGTTTTTAAAAAAGTTTTATATTTCGAAATAATTGTAGATTCACAGGAAGTGCAAAAATTGTACAGAGGACCATATAGCTTCACACACCTTCTCCAGTGGTAACATGTTACATAACTATAGTTTTTTGTTTTTTTTGTTTTTTTTTTGAGACAGAGTCTCACTGTCGCTCAGGCTGGAGTGCAGCAGTGGCATGATCTGCAACTTCTACCTTCTGGGCTTAGGTGATCCTCCCACCTCAGCCTCCTAAGTAGCTGGCACTACAGGTGCACACAACCACGCCTGGTTAGTTTTTGTATGTTTTGTAGAGATGGGGTTTTGCCATGTTGCCCAGGCTGGTCCCAAACTCTTCAACCCAAGGGTTCCACCCACCTCAGCCTCCCAAAGTGCTAGGATTTCAGCCGTGAGCCACCCAAGCCCAGCCCCTAATTATAATATTAAAACCAGGAACTTGACATTCCTACAATCCAGAGCTTATTCAGATTTCACCGCTTTCCCATGCACTCATTTGCATGCATGTGCATGTTCGTGTGTGTGTAAGTTCTATGTAGTTTTCACATGTAGATTTGTGGAACCACCACTACTATCAAGAGCTGTTCCATCTCCTCAGTGATCCCTCATGCTACCCCTTTATATCACATCCATTTTCCTTGCTTATCCCCATTCTCCCATCCCTAAACCCTGGCAACCACTAATCTGTTCTCCATCTTTGTAATTTTGTCATTTTGGGAATGTTATATTACTGGAATTACACCATATGTAACCTCGAGATTGGCTTTTTGTTTTCACTCAGCATAATTCCCTTGAAATTCATCCAAATGGTTGTATGTATTAATAGTTTTTTTCTTTATGTTGCTGGGTAATATGCCATGGTACATCCGTGGTACCATGGTATACTACATGTATACTACACACCATGGTAATGGTGTCTTTAGCTATTAACTCATTGAAGGGCATTTGGAATGTTTCAAATTTTTGGCTGTTACAAATAAAGCTGCTATGAACATTTGTATGCATGTTTCTGTGTGGACATAAGTTTTTATTTCTGAAGTTTTTTTTTTTTCAGTGAATGAATTGGTATACTTTGTCTACCTCTGAAGGAAATTAATAAATAAGACTATAATAAGGTCTTAACTTGGAAATGGACAAATTCCTTAAAAATACAGTTTACCAAACTGGATACAAAATGAAAATAAAAATTGGAATAACTCTTGTATTAATTATCTGTTGGTATAACAAATTACCGGAAAACTTAGGGGCTTACCAAAAAATGTATCACCTCAGTTTCTGTAGGTCAGAAATCTGGATATGACTTAAATAGGTCCTCTGCTTCAGGGTCTCTCACAGGCTGTAATCTAGCTGTTGGCTGGCACTGCAGTCATCTCACAGCCCAGCTGGGGAAGGATCCGCTTCCAAGCTCACTCATGATTATTGGCAGAATTCATTCAGTTCTTTATGCCCTTTGGAATGAGGACATCAGTTTTTTTGCTGGCTGGAGGCTGGAGGCTACTGATAATGGCTTGGATGTTTGTCCCTCCAAATCTCATATTGTAATGTGGCCTCGTGCTGAAGGTGGGGCCTGGTGGAATGTATTGGATCATGGGGGCAGATCCCTCAAGAATGGCTTAGCACCATCCCTGGTTGATGAGTGAGTTCTCACTCAGTTCATGCTAGATCTGATTGTTTAAAAGAGTGTGGTACTTCTGCACCCCACACACACCTTGGTCCTGCTCTTGCCATGTGATACACTGGCTCCCCTTCGCTTTCCACCATGATTGTAAGCCTCTTGAGGCCCTCAACAGAAACTAAGCAGATGTTGGTGCCATGCCTGTACAGCCTGCAGAACTGTGAACCAAATTAAACCTCTTTTCTTTATAAAGTACCCAGACTCCGTTATTTCTTTGTAGAACAACACAAGAACAGACTAATACAGAACATTGGTACTGAGGAGTGTGGCATTGCTATAAAGATACCTGAAAATGTGAAAGTGGCTTTGGAACTGGGTAACAGGCTGAGGTTAGAAGAGTTTGGAGAGCTCAGAAGAAGACAGGAAGACAAGGGAAATTTTGGAACTTCTTAGAGACTTGTTAAGTGGTTGTGACCAAATTGCTAATAGAAATGTGGATAGTGAAGGCCAGACTGATGAGGTCTCAGATGGAAATAAGGAAGTTATTGAAAGCTGGAGTAAAGGTCAACCCCGTTATGCCCTAGAAAAGACTTGGCTGCATGGTGTTCACATCCTAGGGATCTGTAGAAGTTTGAACTTCAGAATGATGACTTAGGGTATCTGGTGGAAGAAATTTCTAAGCAGCAAAGCATTCAAGATGTAGCATGGTTTCTTCTAAAAGCCTATGATGAGATGCGGGAGCAAAGGAATGACTTAAAGTTGGAAGTTATATTTAAAAGGGAAGCAGAGTAGAAAAGTTTGGAAAATTTGCAGACTGTTCCCTGTGGAAGAGAAAGAATCCAAGCAGGCTGCAGAACTACCACTTGCTAGAGAAATGAGCATGATTAAAAGGGAGCCAAGTGCTACTATCCAAGAAAATGGGAGAAAGACCTGTATTGCATTTCAGAGATGTTTGAGGCAGCCCCTCGAGTCACAGCCCAGAGGTCAAGGAGGAATGAATGGTTTCCGTGGCGAGGCCAGGGTGCTGCTGCCCTGCACACTACTGCCCTGCACCACCTCGGTGGGCTGCTCCAGCTCCAGTCTTGGCTCAAAGGGCCCCAGCTATGGTTCCATCTGCCACTTTGGAGAGTGCAAGTTGCCCTAAGCCTTGGTAGCTTCTAAGTGTTAAGTCTGCAGGCACATGGAATCAAGAGTGAACGAAGCTTGGCAGCTTCCCCCTAGGTTTCAGAGGATTTATGGAAAAGCCTAGGTGCCCAGACAGAAACCAGCTGCAGGGCAGAGTCCCCAAAGAGTTACTCACTACGTCAATGCCAAGGGGAAATGTGAGGTTGGAGGCCCCACACAGAGTCCCCACTGGGTCACTGTCTTGTGGAGCTATGGGAAGTGACTGCCATTCTGTAGACCTGAGAATGGTAGAGCTACCTGCAACTTGCAACCTGAGCCTGGAAAAGTCACAGGTGCCCATCTCCAGCTGGTAGGGGAGTAGCCACAGGGGCTGCACCCTGCAAAGCCACAGGGATGAAGCTAGTCAAGGCCTTGAGAGCCCACATCTTGCACCAGTGTGTCCAGGATGGAAGACATGGAGTCAGGGATTTGTGTGTTTGTGTGTGTGTGTGTGTGTGTGTCTGTGTGTCTGTGTGTATTTTTTGACCTCTGAACTTTTTATTGCCCTCCTGCTCCCCAAAGAGTACCCTGCTTCTGCTGGCTTAATGTCTCAGAATTTTGGTGTCATTGGTCTCAGACACCACTTTGCCATCCACAATCTGGGGGGTGGTGGTCTTTTGGATGTTTTGCATGGAATTCCTGCTGTCCAGGGCATCACCAAGATTGAAGTCCTTGCCATCTTCCAGCAGGCGGCAGTAGGTGGCAATCTCAGCCTCCAGCTTGACCTTGATGTTCAGCAGGGCTTCGTACTCCTGGGCCTGGCACTGCCCCTATACCCTGTGCCAGCTCTGACTCCAGGTGCAGCAGGATCCCGTTGAGCTGCTCCATCTGCAGGGCATAGTGGCCCTCCACCTCCCTCAGGCTGTTCTCCAACCTGGCCTTCAGATTTCTCATTGAGTCCAGGTTGATCTCCAAGGACTGGACTGTACATCTCAGCTCCGTGAGTGTCATCTCAGCAGCTCCGACCTCGGCGGACTGCATCATGACCACTGTGGTGCTCTCCTCAATCTGCTGGGACCACTACTTGTCTAGCTCCTTTTGGTTCTTCTGAGGCCGTTCACTGTATTGGGCCCAGATGTCTGCCATGATCTTGGTGAGGTTCAGAGATTTGGGGGCATCTACCTCCACAGTCAACCCAGAGCTGCAACCTGGGCTTGCAGGCCTTTTACTTTCTCTTTGTGGTTCTTCATGAAGAGCAGCTCCTCCTTGAGAGCCTCGATCTCTGTCTCCAGCTGCAGCTGAGTGACACTGGTGTCATCAGTGACCTTGTGGAGCCCATGGATGTCACTCTGCACAGACTGGCGTATGGCCAGCTCTGTCTCATATTTGACTCTAAAGTAACCAGCAGCAAGACGGGCATTGTCGATCTGCAGAATGATGCTGGCATTGTCCACAGTATTTGTGAAGATCTGAGCCCTCAGGCCCCCGATGGTCTTGAAGTAAAGGCCCCAGTCTCTGGCCTGAGGTCCCTTCTTCTCCAGATGCTCTCAGATTTTGCTCTCCAGCCTCTGGTTCTCAGTCTCCAGGCTCCTCACTCTGTCCAGGTAGGGGGCCAGGTGGCCGTTCAGCTTTGCATGGGCTCCTTCTCGTTCTGGATGCTTCCCATTCCTGCCAGACCCCCGGCCATCCTTGTGGCCACAACCCGGACCCCAAGCCACCCCAGAAGCTAGTGAAGCGGGACATGGAGATCCAGAAACCAGAGCTCCCGCCACCAGCTGGCCTCTCTCCTGACCGGCCAGGCACCGTAGCTGGGCGGCTGGACGGAGCCCAGGGACTGGTAGTTGGTGGAGAAGGTGGAGCGAGTGGTGAAGCTCATGCTGTCTGGAGAGGAGAGAGAGAGGACAGGAGTCAGGCTTTGCTGACCGTATGTGTGTTTTAGACAGGGTCTCACTCTGTTGCCCAGAGCAGTGGCGCAATCATGGCTCACTGCAGCCTTGACCTCTGGGGCTAAAGTGATTCTCCCACCTCAGCCTCCTGAGTAGCTGGGACTACAGGTGCACACCACCATGCCTGGCTAATTTTGTTTTTTTAATTTTCTGTAGAGACAGGTTTCACGATGTTGCCCAGTCTCAAGGATTATTTTGGAATTGTAAGATTTAATATCTGCCCTGCTGAGTTTCAGACTTGCATAGGGCCTGTAGCCCCTTTATTTCGGTCAGTTTCTCCCTTTTGGAATGGGAATGTTTACCCAATGCCTGTACTACCGTTGTTTATTGGAAGTAAATAACTGGTTTTGATTTTACAGGTTCATAGGTGAAAGAAAGTGAGTCTCAGAGAAGACTTAGGACTTTTGATTTGATGTTGGAATGAGTTAAGACTTTGGGGGATTAACGAGAAGGGATTATTGTATTTTGCAACGTGAGGAGGACATGAGATGTGGGGGATGGGTGCCAGGGGAGGAATGATATGATTTGGATATTTGTCCCCTCCAAATCTCATGTTGAAATGTGACCTCGTGTTGGACGTGGGGCCTAGTGGGACGTATTGGATCATGGGGATGGATCCCTCATAAATGGCTTAGTGCCATCCCCTTGGTGATGAGTTCTTGCTCAGTTCATGCTAGATCTGGTTGTTTAAAAGAGGGTGACACCTCCCCTACCCCCACCTTGCTTCTGCTCTCACCACGTGATATGCTGGCGCCTCTTTGCTTTCTGTCATGATTGTAAGCTTCCTCAGGCCCTCACCAGGAGCTAAGCAGCTATTGGTGCCATGCCTGTACAACCTGCGGAACTGTGAGCCAAATTAAACCTCTTTTCTTTATCAGTATCGGTATTTCTTTATGTAGAAATACCAGTCTCAGGTTTTTTTTTTTTTGTTTTTTGTTTTTCTTTTTTTTGAGACAGTCTTGCTCTGTTGCCAGGCTGGAGTACAGTGGCGTTATCTTGGCTCACTGCAACCTCCGCCTCCCGGGTTCAAGCGATTCTTACGCGTTAGCCTCCTGAGTAGCTGGGACTATAGGCGCCCACCACCATGCCCAGCTAATTTTTGTATTTTTAGTAGAGACGGGGTTTCACCATGTTGGCCAGGATGGCCTCAATCTCCTGACCTCGTGATCCACCCCCCTCGGCCTCCCAAAGTGCTGGGATTACAGGCGTGAGCCACCGCGCCCGGCCATCTCAGTTATTTCTTTATAGCATCACAAGAAAGGACTAATACAGCTACTGTTAGTTTCTGGCCACATGAGCTTCTCTGTAGTGCAGCTCACAATATGGTAGAGTGGCTCATCCAAGCAGCAAGCAATACAGGCAACAGAGAGTGAGAGAGAGAGAGTGTGTGCTAAAAAGACGTCACAGTCTTTTATAACCAAATTTTGGAAGCAACATCCCATTACTTTTGTGGTATTCTAATCCTTAGAAGCAAGGGAAAGGGATTACACAGGGCATGAATACCAAGAGGCGGGGAACTTTGGGAGTAGTATCAGTCTGTGTCCAATCAGGAGGTAGAAACTACACAGTACGTTATATGGGGTAAAGCTTAATATAAAGAATCATTAAATGCTAATAAATGACTACCAGCTAAAAGTAAATTCCACATAGTACTCTATAGGTTAGGGAGAGTACCTAAGGAAACACAAACTTGGAAAGGGGTCCACTTCTCAAGGCTGAGGGTCACACCTCGGAGAAGGTATAGTTCAGCCCAGAGGTCCGCTAGTTGGCCCAGGCTGGAACTAGTCACTGGCAGACAGAAAGCTACTCTCCAGGCAGCAGGAGAGGTACACAGGAGCCTGCAGAGAGAGTTGGCTGGTGGGGGACAGGAAACTGGTAGGCGACAGGAAGGAAGCCTTCAGAAAGCTAATTTTCGCATTGAGAGGGCCACAGGAAAATTGTTGCTGGTCTAGACTGAGGTTGCAATGTCACCAAGGGACCATATGTGCTGGACACATGGCTGGGAAAGAGCTCCCCTGGATGTCATTACATCCACATCACTGACCTACCACGAAACTGTGGGAAACAGTAGGAGAGCCCCTCCTCCTGCAATGCCCCTCCAGTGCCCTCTACTGAGAAAGCTCATCACTGTGCTCACTGCAAAGGAGAAATGCTTCACTGAATTCTATCCATTATTGAAGAGCATATATTCAAGGGCGAATTGGGAGCAGAGGGGCAATAAATTGATCATTAGCCTAGGAGCGATTTTAGAAGCTGCCTGCCATAGCCCTATAACTACCAAAGAAATTGAATTAATTATGAAAAACCTTCCCACAAAGAAAACTCCAGGCCCAGATCGCTTCACAGGTTTATTCTATTATTAATAAATATTTAAGGAGAAATAATGCCAATTTTACAGAAGCTACTTCAGAAAGTGGAAGAGGGAACTTACAACTAGTTTTATTAGATAAACATAACCACACAGTACATTACAAAAAAAGAAAATCGTAGGTTAATATCTCTCATGAACATAGATGCAAAAATCCTTAAAATGTTAGTAAATCTAGCTATGTATATCAGGTATAATACATCAAGTCCAAATAGTGTTTATTTCAGGAATGCAAGGTTGCTTTAGCATTTGAAAATCAATCTATGTACTTGACCATATTAACAAAGTAAAGGTTATATTCTATTATTATAAGGTCTCTTAAAATTTAATGGTATTCCGGGCCAGGCGCGGTGGCTCACGCCTATAATCCCAGCACTTTGGGAGGCCGAGGCGGGCGGATCAAGAGGTCAGGAGATAGAGACCATCCTGGCTAAAACGGTGAAACCCCGTCTCTACTAAAAATACAAAAAATTAGCCGGGCGTGGTGGCGGCCGCCTGTAGTCCCAGCTACTTGGGAGGCTGAGGCAGGAGAATGGCGTGAACCCGGGAGGTGGAGCTTGCAGTGAGCCGAGATTGCGCCACCGCACTCCAGCCTGGGCGACAGAGCGAGACTCTGTCTCAAAAAAAAAAAAAAAAAAAAAAAAAAAAAAATTAATGGTATTCCATTCTGATTGGCTTGTAGGAATTAAAATATATATGTACATAAATAAGAAAAAAATTTTTTTTTGAGATGGAGTTTCACTCTTTTCACCTAGGCTTAGAGTGCAGTGGCACGATCTCGGCTCACTGCAACCTCTAACATCCACCTCCTGGGTTCAAGCCATTCTCCTGCCTCAGCCTTCTGAGTAGCTGGGATTACAGGTGTGTGCCACCACACCTGGCTAATTTTCTTTTGTATTTTTAGTAGAAACGGGGTTTTGCCAAGTTGCCCAGGCTGGTCTTGAATTCCTGAGCTCAGGTAATCGCCAGCCTCAGCCTCCCAAAGTGCTCGGATTACAGGCATGAGCCACCGCTCCCAGCCTCAAACATTCCTTAAAAAGAGATTTTACTCCTTAAATGTTAAAGGTGTGGGCTACTTAAAGAAAAAGGTAGTTGCTAAAAGTATTGTTACTAAAACTATAAAAGCAGAGGTTTTCTGATTTTCTTTGATTTCTTAATCAAAACTTTTTTAAAAAGAAATTTAAGGCTGGGTGCAGTGGCTCACACTTATAATCCTAGCACTTTGGGAGGCTGAGGTGGGAGGATCATTTGAGGCCAGGAATTTGAGACTAACCTGGGCAACATAGCAAGACTTCATCTCTACTAAAAAAAAAAAGGGGGCTAGTGCGGTTACTCACGCCTGTAATCCCAGCACTTTGGGAGGCCAAGATGCCAAGATGGGTGAATCACCTGAGGTCAGGAGTTCAGGACCAGCCTGGCCAACTTGGTGAAACCCTGCCCCTACTAAAAATACAAAAATTAGCCAGGCATGGTGATGGGTGCCTGAAGTCCCAGCTACTCGGGAGGCTGAGGCAGGAGAATCGCTTGAACCCAGGAGGTGGAGGTTGCAGTGGGCTGAGATCGTGCCACTGCACTCCAGCCTGGGCGACAGAGCAAGACTCTGTCTCAAAAAAAAAAAAAAAAAAAAAAAGGCCAGGCATGGTGGCTCACGCTTACAGTCCTAGCTACTTGAAGGCTGAGTGGGATGATGGCTTGAGCCCCAGAGGTTAGGCCACAGTGAGCTATGGTCATCCCACTGCACTCCTCCCTGGGTGACAGAGTGGGACCCTGTCTCTAAAAAGAAAAAAAGGGGAAAATAGTAATTTAATTGTTGCTTATAGACAATCCAACATCTAAAAAAATACTCACTTAAAAAATTAAAATTAAAGGCCATATCAAAGATACCACTTTTTTTTTTTTTTTAAGAGGGAGTCTCACTCTATTACCCAGGCTAGAGTGGTGCAATCTCAGCTCACTGCAACCTCCACCTCCTGACTTCAAGCAATTTTCTTTCCTCAGCCTTCTGAGTAGCTGGGATTACAGGTGCATGCCACCATGCCCAGCTAATTTTTATATTTTTAGTAGAGACAGGGTTTCACCGGCCAAGCTGATCTCAAACTCCTGACCTCAGGTGATCTGCCTGCTTCAGCCTCCCAAAGTGCTGCTGGGTTTATAGGTGTGAGCCACTGCACCGGCCAAGATACCACTTTTAAAATTTGAAAACAAATGAGAGAGACAGAGAGAATCTGACTATTATATAAGGAAGTGGTTCTTATCTTTACTGGTTTTCTCTTCATTAATACAAAAAAACGTTGTTTAGGCTGGGTGCAGTGTGGCTCACGCCTGTAATCCCAGCACTTTGAGAGGCCAAGGTGGGCGGATCATGTGGTCAGGGGTTCGACACCAGCCTGACCAACATGGTGAAACCCTGTCTCTACTAAAAATACAAAAATTAGCCGGGTGTGGTGGCGCGTGCCTGTAATCAGGAGCGTGTGCTACTCAGGAGGCTGAGGCAGGAGAATTGTTTGAAACTGTGAGGCGGAGGTTGCAGTGAGCCGAGATCGCACCACTACACTCCAGCCTGGGTGACAGAGCGAGACTCTGTCTCAAAAAAGAAAAAAAAAAGGTTGTTTAATCTGATTTTTAAATAAGAAAGACATTCTGTTGCAACAGATGGAACACCCTGCCATACACACACCACCACCACCACCAGAGAAGGAAAGTTAAGGTGAGAGAGAAAGAAAGAGAAACAAGGGAGGGGAAAGGACAAAAGGAGAGGGAGCAGAAAAGGCACAAGGGAAGAGAAAGGAAGGGAAGGAAAAGAAAAATAAAAGAATTCAGGAAATGAAGAAAAAGAAAGAAAAGACAAGACAGATGGGCAAGCTGTTTATCTCAAACAGTCCTCATATGGTTTGGTGTCATTCAAAATCATCTCTGGACCTTTAATTCTTATAGAAAAAATAAAGTAACAGGACAAATTTGTTCTAAATTTACAAAAATATTGGTAGAAAAAATCTAACATGAGAAACTCATTGTAAGACCAAATCTTGTTTTGCCTCTGTTATGATTTGGAAAAACTGTAAGAGTGGATCAAGTCTTGGAACTCATGCTTCAAGGAATTTAATCATTTATTTTATTTATTTATCTAGCTATTTATTTATTTATTTTTTTGTGGAGATGGAGTCTCATTCTGTCTCCCAGGCTGGAGTGCAGTGGCATGATCTCAGCTCACTGCAACCTCCTTCTACCGGGTTCAGGTGATTCTCCTGCCTCAGCCTCCCAAGTAGCTGGGATTACAGTAGGCATGCTCCACTCAGCCCGGCTAATTTTTGTATCTTTAGTAGAGATGGGGTTTCACCATGTCGGCCAGGCTGGTCTTGAACTCCTGGCCTAAAATGATCTGCCTGCCTCAGCCTCCCAAAATGGTGGGATTACAGGCATAAGCCATCGTGCCCGGCCTATTTAATCACTTATATATGAATTTCATTCAGTTACTTCAAAATTTTAAATATTTTTAAAAATAGCCTATAAATCTGGTTGGATCAAGGTTTCCCTTGCTTAAAGATAAATGCTTTAGCCGTCACAAGACAGCTCATGGGTTGTTTTCCCCACTAGGGAATACCTTTAATATACTCTACTGATAAACAGCCCAACAAAAACCTTACAGTAGCGGTAAAATACCTTTAAAACTATAAATTACATACAGTATGCTCATTAAACAGAAACTTCATTATCCACATCATTCCACATTTCTTTTTTTTTTTTTTGAGACGGAGTCTCACTCTGTTGCCAGGCTGGAGTACAGTGGCATAATCTCAGCTCACTGCAACCTCCACCTCCTGGGTTCAAGCGATTCTCCTGCCTTAGCCTCCCCAGTAGCTGAGACTACAGGCGTGCGCCACCATGCCCAGCTAATTTTTGTATTTTTAGTAGAGACGGGGTTTCACCATATTGGCCAGGATGGTCTTGATCTCTTGACCTCGTGATCTGCCCACCTCGGCCTCCCAAAGTGCTGGGATTACAGGTGTGAGCCACCATGCCTGGCCCATTCCACATTTCTAACAGGAAAAATGAGTGGTTCTGTTGGATATTATTAGATAGCTAACTCATGTACACATATTCCTGACAGATGCAAGCTACATTCCCAACAAAGACATCACTATATCTATACAACCAGGAGACTGAATATATTAAAAGGTCTGAATTTGAGACCAACGTGGGCAACATAGCAAGACCCCATTTCTACTTTTTTTAAAAAAGGTTGAATATGGCCGGGCGCGGTGGCTCACGCCTGTAATCCCAGCACTTTGGGAGGCCGAGGCGGGTGTATCACGAGGTCAGGAGATCGAGACCATCCTGGCTAACACGGTGAAACCCCGTCTCTACTAAAAAATACAAAAATTAGCCGGGCGTGGTGGCGGGAGCCTGTAACCTGGGAGGCGGAGATTGCAGTGAGCCGAGAATTGCGCCACTGCACTCCAGCCTTGGCAACAGAGTAAGACTCCGTCTTAAATAAATAAATAAATAAATAAACCAGTGTCGGGCAGTTCTTTATAGCAGTATGAACTGCCTGACACTGGGTTATTTATTTACAGCAGTATGAAAACGGACTTATTAATACAGTATTCTTGAATGGGTGTGTGTTTGTGTGTGGTATTTTTTGACTCCTCTGAGGGCCTCAGCAAACAGCCTCTCTGAAAACAGGCAGGTACAGAAATTTGCAGACAATTTCAGGTGGTCCTAGAACCACAAATTAAGATCCCCTACCCCAAATTAAGAGCCCTATTTTAAACAGTGTATCTTTCTAGAATATTTTCTATGATTCAATTTACCCAAAGCTTTCTATGAGCAACTTCACGGTTGTGTATTGGATACTTCAACAAGGGCTCAGAATTTGAAATCATTTTAGGTTTTAAAAAAGTTGCAAAAACAGACGACAAAGTATGCCTGAGGAAAAAGAAAAAAAAGTTGCAAAATATCATAGTATGGCTTTACCCTGGAAGAAGAAAACAAAGTTGCAAAAATAGGATAGTGCTTCCCTAGATTCTTCATCTAATAGAATCTCCAAAAGTTCACATCTTACATAGTATAATTATTAAAACTATTGATACAATACTACTAATATGAATTAATAGGCCTTATTCAAATTTCGTCAGTTGTCCCATTCATGTCCTTTTTATTTTTCTTTTTTGAGACGGAGTCTCAGTCTTGACCCCCAAGCTGGAGTGCAGTGGTGCGATCTCAGCTGTCTGCAACCTCCGCCTCCCGGGTTCAAGCGATTCTCCTGCCTCAGCCTCCGAGTAGCTGGGATTACAAGTGTGCACCACCATGCCCGGCTAATTTTTGTATTTTTAGTAAAGACGGGGTTTCGCCATGTTGGCCAGGCTGGTCTCGAACTCCTGACCTCAGGTGATCTGCCCGCCTCGGCCTCCCAAAGTGCTGGGATTACAGGAGTGAACCACCGCACCCGGCCCCATGTCCTTTTTCTATACCAGGAGCCAATTCCGGATTTCACATTACATTCCTGCTCTGTCACCCAGGCTGGCCTCCAAGTCCTGGGCTGAGCGATCCTCCCGCCTCAGCCTCCTGCGTAGCTGGGACTACAGGCGCGCGCCACCACTCCTGGCTGCCGCTTCTTTAAAATGGTGAAACCCCGTCTCTACTAAAAATAGAAAAAATTAGCCGGGTCTGCTGGCGGACGCCTGTAATCCCAGCTACTCTGGAGGCTGAGGCAGGAGAATCTCTTGAACCCGGGAGGCGGAGGTTGCAGTGAGCCGAGATCGCGTCACTGCACTCCAGCCTGGGCAAGAAGAGCGAAACTCCGTCAAAAAAATATATATATATATTTTAATCTATGCCCTGTACTTGAGGGATTTGTGCTCTCGGGCAAATTACCGAACGTCTCTGAGTCACTTTTCCGTCTAATAGACGTGATGCGATGAAGAACCAATAAAAAACACACTTTGAATGGCTTCGGAAACTTCGAAGGGAAGTGAATACATTTTTCTTTTCTTTCTTTCTTTTTTTTTGAGACAGTCTCGCTCTGTCGCCCAGGCTGGGGTGCAGTGGCGCGATCTCGGCCCACTTCAACTTCTGCCTCCTGGGTTTAAGCGATTCTCCTGCCTCAGCCTCCCGAGTAGCTTGGATTACAGGCGTCGGCCACCAGGCCCGGCTAATTTCTGTATTTTTAGTAGAGACGGGTTTTCAACGTGTTGGCCAGGCTGGTCTTGAACTCATGACCTTAAGTGATCCGCCCGCCTCGGCCTCCTAAAGTGCTGGCATTACAGGCGTGAGCCACCGCGCCCGGCCTGTGAATACATTTTTCTTATTGCTTGACGCTGGGTCATACAATTCACTTTTTTGTTGTGCAGATTAAAACCAAAACAAAGCAATTAGGAGAGCGTTGTTGTCGAGGTGTTTTGTTCCAAGGTAGGACCCGTAGCTTCTCCCCTGCCCCTCAGCTGGGAGTAGCGGCTTCTGATTGGACAATGCGCGTCCGCCACGACGCAGGAAGGCCGCCTCATTGGTCCGCGCTGTCGGGCTTCGGCGGCTTTTCTCTTTAGCGCTCAGGGCGCTGACCCACTGCTCTTCCTCTTAAGAAAGTGCTCCATTCCTTCCGGCGCCCGGAGCTGCTGGCCCAAAGGGATCCGGAGCGAGCTAGGGCAGGTAACTGCATTGGGGTCCACCGGGAAGCGGCAGCAGCTGCGGACTACGGGAGGGAGTGGGGTTGGCGAGCTTGGGTAAAACTGCCCCTTCTTCGCTCTGTCTCGACCCCCAAGTTCTCCGCGTCTTCCTCGTCCCCTTTCCTCCTCTGGCCCCACCTCCCCCGGGCCCTTCCAGCCTTCCCCCAAAAGCTCCACACACCCCTCTGCTTCCCGTCCGGGGGCCCCGCCTCCTCTGCTCGCGTCTCCAGGGGGCCCGCCCTCGTCTCCTCCCCGCAGCGGTCCCTCCTTTAGGAGCGCAACTCCTTCCCTCCCCTCCGCCGCTGCTGTGTCCCCCGCTTGGCCCATTCCTGGGCCTTAAGTTTGGTTTTGTTCCTTCTTGGCACCTCCACCTGTCTCTCCATGATCCCTGTCTCCTTTGCATCTGACTGCTGGAGTCCTCCGATTCTCCCGTTGACCCAGGCTGCGAGTTTAGCAAATTGTGCAGCGGCATTGTGCTGGGCTTTGGGGATAGAGGTAGTGACTAGAGGTCCCTACGTTCAAGAACTCCTTGCCCGGTGGGAGAGAGTCACTTTGTAAATGGAGTATGATAGGCCCGGTGATAAGTCTTTAAGGCAGCCGCATTCCTGCTGAATTCTCAAGCAGGCCTCTGGGGGCTAAGCTGCATCTTTTCATCAGAATGCCCTTGGCTACTTCTGATGCAGAAGCCTGGTCCTTTATATTTTTAGTTTTTATTTTTTTTTGAAACAGAGTCTCGCTCTGTCTCCCAGGCTGGAGTGCAGTGGCGTGATCTTGGCTCACTGCAACCTCCGCCTCCCGGATTCAAGAGATTCTCGTGCCTCAGCCTCCTGAGTAGCTGGGAAAACAGACACCCGCCACCACACCTGGCTAATTTTTGTTTGTTTGTTTGTTTGCTTTTACTAGTAGAGACAAGAGTTTCGCCATGTTAGCCAGGCTGGTCTCGAATACCTGGTCTCAAGTGATCCTCCCTCCTCGGCCTCCCTAAGTGCTGGGATTACCTGCGCGAGCCCGGCCATCATAGTCCTTTAAACCCTTGGGAGTTATTAAAATCTTTGTATGGGCCCTTCTTTTAAACTGTCAGAATAGGTAGCGTTTCAGAGACCATCCATCCAAGCCCTCAGGGTGTTGTCTGGGAAGTTGAAGGCTGGTGACAGAGAGTGATTGCCTAGACAAATAGTGACTCAGCATTGTACTCTTGATGCCTCTTTTTGGGGTTTTTCCTGAGGATACTTAAACAATTTTTCAATTAGGCAGCAGTCTTAGCTGGTGGGAAAACTAAAAGCACAGATAAAACCACTAGTCAGTAGATTCCTCCAAGCCAGTGCAGGTGGCTTGTACACTTAACTCAGACTAGAGTAATTTATACCTCAGGCTCTTGGAGTCAGGAATCCCTGGGGTCTGGTCCCAGCTCCGTCATTCGCTGTTAAGCTTGGTGAAGACTCTTCCTTTATCTGAGCTTCAGTTTTACCTTCTGTTAAAGAGTGTGATAAGCCCTAACACACAGGGTAACGGTAGGGATTTGTTAAGATTTTGGTTATGAAAATAATCACTTTAGTGTCCTGGAAATTGTAGGATCTCAGCACAGGCGAGCCCCCTATGCT
The DNA here is from genome assembly GCF_000001405.40 of Homo sapiens. Classification (NCBI taxonomy): domain Eukaryota; kingdom Metazoa; phylum Chordata; class Mammalia; order Primates; family Hominidae; genus Homo; species Homo sapiens. Next base: position 122,826,852 of record NC_000009.12, on the reverse strand, counting down.
TCAGATTCATGTCTGTCTGGCTCAAATCAGCAAAGAACCTGATATGCTTTCTTTTTCCAGACACCATGACCACCCTTGATGATAAGTTGCTGGGGGAGAAACTGCAGTACTACTATAGCAGCAGTGAGGATGAGGACAGTGACCACGAGGACAAGGACCGAGGCAGATGTGCCCCAGCCAGCAGTTCTGTGCCTGCAGAGGCTGAGCTGGCAGGCGAAGGCATCTCAGTTAACACAGGTACTGAGAAACCCTGGGCTCTGGGAACAGGCTTAAAAAATGTACATTAAATACATATTAATTAAATACATATTAATAAATTAATTCTCCTGATCACTTTTAACTCTGGTCCCACTTTCAGAGGTAACCTAGTCTTTTCATTATGTGTGCTTCTAGCCTTTTAGTGCACAATACAAATGTATGTGCATAGCAGCATGGTAATGAACACAGACTGGCCTGGATTTGAATCCTGCATCTCGTATTAACAGTTTGATATCTCATAAATCACAAGTATGAGTATATGGGTAGTGCAAATTCCTAAAAATGGCATATTTACACTTGTACATTTTAATATTGTCAAATTGCTGTCAGTTGAGTTGAGGTGGCAGTAGTTTATAGTTTAATCAGCAATCTGTGTTTCTCCGTACACTTGACCTCCTACTGTGTTATGAAACTCCTTGATCTTTGCTATTGTAGTAATTCATTGTAGGTTTATTTCCGCCCCCACCACCTTTTTTTTGTTTTGTTTTGTTTTTTTGTTTTTTAAGACAAGTTCTCACCTTGTTGCTCAGGCTGGAGTGCCTTGGTGCCATAATGGCTCACTGCAGCCTCAACTTCCTGAGCTCAAATGATCCTTCTGCCTCAGCTTCCATGAGGTTCCTCTCTTAAAAAGCTGGGACCACGTGTAGCTGGGACCACAGGCGCTTGCCACCGTGCCCAGCTAATTTATTTCTTTATTTTTTGTAGAGATGGGGTCTCACTTTGTTGCCCAGGCTGGCCTCACACTGCTGGCCTCAAGCGATCATCTGCCTCAGCGTCCCATAGGCATGAACCAATGCACTGGGCCCATATTTATTTTTAAGAGGGAACCTAAACTTCTTTTCATAATTTTAAGAGAGATTTTTATATCCTTTGCTCATTTAAAAAATTAGGTGTTTTTTTTCTTCTTGGGGAGCTATAAAGGAAATTAATCTGTGATATGAGTGGTAAATATTTCTTTCAGTTTGTTGTTGTCTTTTGACTTTATATTCTTTTGTTCTTTTCCTGGATGAAAAATTTTATTTTTATGTACTTAAAAGTATTTTATAGTTTCTTAATTTTGCATTTTACTTAAAAGGCGTTTCTTCACCCTACTTTATAAAGGGCCTCACTTTGCTGTATAAAAAGGTTCTCCTGGCTGAGCACAGTGGCTCACGCCTGTAATCCTAGCACTTTGGGAGGTTGAGGCGGGTGGACTGCCTGAGCTCAGGAGTTCGAGACCAGCCTGGGCAACACAGTGAAATCCCGTCTCTACTAAAATACAAAAAGTTAGCCAGGTGTGGGGGCATGCGGCTGTAGGCCCAACTACTCGGGAGGCTGAGGAAGGAGAATTGCTTGAACCCCGGAGGCAGAGGTTGCAGTGAGCCAAGATCATGCCACTGTACTCCAGCCTGGGCAACAGAGTGAGACTCTGTCTCCAAAAAAAAAAAAAGATTCTCCTATACTTTTCATTAGTATTTTTGTGATTTCATTTTTTACACTTAAATATTGATTCATGTGGAATTCACTTTGATGCAGGGTGCAGTAGGGCTCCAGTTTAATTTTTTTTTAGATTGCTACTCAGTTGTTTCAGTACTGCTTAGTGAATAAGCCATCTTTATTATCTTGAGATGTCACTTTTATTATGTACTGAATTTCTCTGTTTATGTTGGGTCTTTAGCTGTACTATGTGGTCTCTTCCATTGATTTGTCTTTTACTGGGCTGTGTCATACTGTTTTTAATTATTGTAGTGTTATATTTTAGTATTTGGTGAGGCTAGACCCTCTTCAATTAACTTTTGCTTTATTTTTTCCAAAGGAAATTTAGGAGCCGGACACATATGTGTGTTCATGTATTTTCATTGGGAATGCATTAAATATATAGATTAATTTAGGGATCATTGGCACTTTTGTGATGTTGAGTATGTCTGTTCAGGAACATGGTATTGCTTTTCCATTTATTCAAGTCTTTCAAGTATTTTTTGGGAGCATTTTAAAGTTGTCTTCATATAGATTTGTATATTTTTTTTCTGTGAAACCAATAGACTCCAAAGCTTTAGTGGCTTATGGCAACAAAGGTTTATTTCTCATTCACGTTACATGCAGCCTGTAGGTCAATGGCAGCCCTGCTTATGTTTCGTATGTTCTTTCATCTAGGAGCTAGGCTGAAAGAATAACAGCCTCAGTTTGGCTGTGTCCCTCTATTTAGGACACACCGTTTTCATGGCGAAGCATAGAGAGCAAGAGAGGAGCTGTTGGAAACATGGAATGGCTCATACACGGCATACTTTTTGTTTTGCTCAGACATGGCATACTTCATATTTGCTCACAATCCCATTGGCCAGCAAGTCGCATAGTCAAGCCCAGCCTCAATGGGCTGGGGATATATGTACTCATCCCACAGGAGGTACCACAAGTCACATAGCAAGGTGCAAGGACATATAAGTCCTTCGGCAGCACAGGGCTTGACGGGTTAAGGGTAGCTGGAATAACAGAACAGGTTGTATTACAATCTTGTTATAAAAAAATTGTTATAAAAAATTCAGAGGCCAGGTGCGGTGGCTCATGCCCATCATCCCATAGCACTTTGGGAGGCCGAGGCGGGCGGATCACCTGAGGTCAGGAGTTGGAGACCATCCTGGCCAACATGGTGAAACCCTGTCTCTACTAAAAATACAAATATTAGCTGGGCATGGTGGCGCATGCCTGTAGTCCCAGCTGCTCGGGAAGCTGAGGCAGGGGGATTGCTTGAACCTGGGAGGTGGAGGTTGCAGTGAGCCGAGATCGCGCCATTGCACCCCAGCCTGGGCCACAGAGCAAGACTCAATCTCAAAAAAAAAAAAAAAAATTCAGATAATATAGAAGTACAGAAAGAAAAAAGTAAAAGATCTCTCTCACCAGTTGCTTAGATCCTACTACCTGGAGACAACCACTGTTAACAGCTTACATATCCTGCAAGCTCTTATTCTATAAACACACAAGTGTATATACAAACATGTATGCATATCTATGTACATAAATTATGTATATACATACAGGTCTTTTTTAATAGAAACTAGAGGATTGTACCGTGATATTCTAAATTTTGCTTTTGTAATAACCTCATATATTTGGAATATCTTTAATGGCAGGAAACACAGAGCTGCTTTACTCTAAGAGTTGCTTTATTTTCCTTTGAGTAGGTAGATGATAATTTTTTAAACTCATCTCCTAATGTTGGGCATTAGCTTGGCCCTTGTTGCAGGGTACATCATTGTGTATAGGCCACTCTGCCCTGTGGCAGAGTACACAGAGTCCCTATGATAATTGTGCAGTAGATGGAGCAAGCTTCAGGCAGATGTGAACTCCTACCTACAGATGTCAGCTGGTCCATAATTCCCTGCCCATTCTCCTTGGTCACATCCGTGTTCACCCTACTCAGGCCCAAAAGGTGTGATCAATGACTGGCGCCGCTTCAAGCAGTTGGAGACAGAGCAGAGGGAGGAGCAGTGCCGGGAGATGGAAAGGCTGATCAAGAAGCTGTCAATGACTTGCAGGTCCCATCTGGATGAAGAGGAGGAGCAACAGAAACAGAAAGACCTCCAGGAGAAGATCAGTGGGAAGGTAATTAGCAGTACTCAGGCTTTTCTTAGAGTCTGCTGTGGCTGCTAGAGCTGGGTGAGTGATTCAAGAGGTGGAGGATGCTTGATTTGACCTCCAAGAAGTTGTGCAGTGCAGGAGAAATCATAGAGCCCTGTCAAAACTCAAACCCACCCAGCTTTGGATCTCAGTTCTGCTACTAGTGACTGTGGGAGAGTCTCTTCCCTTCTGAATCTGGTGTTTCAATGGTTAAATGATGTATCCTCCCCGTGCAGGGCTGTGTTGTTAATATGCCCATCACAGTGTCTGGCCCATTGAAAGTGCTCAGTAAATTTTAGTTTCCCTTCTTTTATTGAGGTTTTATCTTGGGCCAGAAATAACCCTCTTAGGGTGGTGGTATTATCCCCTTCTTACAGATAATGGAAGCAATGCTTAGAGGGCATTAGAGGCTTGTTCAGGGCAATGCAACTGGTAAATTCTAGTAGGCGCTAGGGTTCTAACCCAAATACTCCTGTTTCTTCCATGATGTTGCTATTTCATCTGAAGCCTATTCATGAGAATTTATTCTAAGGAGGCATTATAATAAGCAAACAGATACTCTGGAAGATATTTGGAAGTAGGCACCTGATGGCCTTTTTTTTTTTTTTTTTAATAGAGACAGGGTCTATGTTGCCCAGGCTGGTCTCGGAACTCCTGAGGTCAAGGGACCCTCCCACCATAGCCTCCCAAAGTGCTAGGATTACAGGCGTGAGCCGTGGTGCCCGGCCCGTGATGGCCTCTTATCCTATCAGTATTAAAAGGGATTCACTGTTTCTCTGGATGCCCTCTGAGTGTGGACGAATGTCTGTGAGTGCCTGAGATCATTTAGTTATGGCCCAAAGCTAAAATACCACACAGGATCAGGGAGCAGATAAGAGGATTAAGCTGGGAATCATTCACCTTGACCAGGAGGCTGATTTTAGGACATTACACTTAGCCAAAGACTTCAATAGGTCAGAAGAAGCCACTCTGGTAGACTGAGTTGAAGTGGAGGGCTGCAAGATGGGAGGAAAATTGGCAATAAGTAAAATAGTGAACTCAGAATGTTGCTGGTTATGATAAAGTAACAACGTGTTCTGATCTAGTGTGATCTCCCACTCCCTGTTCCCTAATCTATGCAACATTAGGCAGAGTTAGGTTTTATGAGAGGAGCGAGGATGTCTTGCTGCACCGGGGCAGGGGTAAGATGCTTTCGTAGCTTAAGCTGTCTCTTGGGCATTGTGCCTGCTGCTCACAGCTGCTTCCTGATACTGAGGTGAGAGGCCAGAATGAGGCAACATCATATCATCACATGGATCAGTCTTGTGAGAGGCTGTTCCCGTCCTGCTGATTTATCTGCAATAGAACAGAATTGGAAACTGTCTGGCAGAATTAGGGAAGTGATTAAGCAAAGTGACACATTATATATAATTTCATAAAAATATTTGGAAACATGAGGAAATACTTATAATCGTGCTAAGTCTCGAAAGCAGGTTATGGCTTAATTGGTACACCCACAGCTGCTGCTATAAAAGCAAAACTATTTTAGTATGACTGGTAATAAAAATAATTTTTAGAGTCCATATGACTCTGTGTGTGTGTGTGTGTTTGGGGATGGTGTGGGGCAGGGGTTATGAGAGTTTTTTCTAAAATTCTGTAATGTCTTGTTATCTTTCAAAAAAAAAGTAGATAAAATATTGTCAAGACTGACAAAAAGAAATAAGCTCATGAAGTGAGATTATATGATGCTGCCTATTTGGATTGAGAGGAAATGTGATATTGTAGTTAAAAACATGGGTTTTTAAAATCTAGTTTGAGTACTGGTCTTATGCTTACTGGGTGAACTTGTTCAAATAATGTCAAGTTTTGGAACCTCATTTATAAAGTGGGGCTATTAAAAGTCCCTTCCCGATGGAGTTATGGAATTCAGTGAGATATAATGCATGTAAAGTACTTAGCATGGTGCCTTATATATTATCAGCATGTAGTACATGTTAACTGTTTTATTTCTTTTTATTTTTTTGGAGACAGGGTATCACCCTGTCTCCCAGGCTGGAGTGCACTGGTGTGATCTTGGCTAACTGCAACCTCTGCCTCCCAGGTTCAAGTGATTCTTGTTGTGCCTCAGCCTCCAGTGTAGCTGGGACCACAGGTGCACACCACCATGCCCTGCTAACTTTTTTTTTTTTTTTTTTTTTTAAGGAGAGATGAGGCTTTGCCATGTTGGCCAGGCTGGTCTTGAACTCCTGACCTCAAGTGATCCGCTCGTCTCAGCCTCCCAAAGTGCTAGGATTACAGGCGTGAGCCACCGCGCCCGGCCCATATTAACTGTTATCACGAGTGTTCAGTTTTCATATTTATGCTCACTTGCTGGTCCGCCTGCAGATGACTCTGAAGGAGTTTGCCATAATGAATGAGGACCAAGATGATGAAGAGTTTCTGCAGCAGTACCGGAAGCAGCGAATGGAAGAGATGCGGCAGCAGCTTCACAAGGGGCCCCAATTCAAGCAGGTTTTTGAGATCTCCAGTGGAGAAGGGTTTTTAGACATGATTGATAAAGAACAGAAAAGCATTGTCATCATGGTTCATATTTATGAGGATGGCATTCCAGGGACCGAAGCCATGAATGGTTGCATGATCTGCCTTGCCGCAGAGTACCCAGCTGTCAAGTTCTGCAAGGTGAAGAGCTCAGTTATTGGCGCCAGCAGTCAGTTCACCAGGAATGCCCTTCCTGCCCTGCTGATCTATAAGGGGGGTGAATTGATCGGCAATTTTGTTCGTGTTACTGACCAGCTGGGGGATGATTTCTTTGCTGTGGACCTTGAAGCTTTTCTCCAGGAATTTGGATTACTCCCAGAAAAGGAAGTCTTGGTGCTGACATCTGTGCGTAACTCTGCCACGTGTCACAGTGAGGATAGCGACCTGGAAATAGATTGAACTGATAGTCTAGTTGCATAGATTTCTCATTGTTTGGGTTGGAATACACGTCATTGTTTATTTTTGTTCCTTTGTCTTCTGGCTTTTCAGCTGTTCTTTGTAGTCCCTTTTATTATGCATAAAATAAAGAAATTCTTAGATTAAATCAGAATGCTGAATAACCTTGTAGCTAGCAATAAGGTGACTTACAGTTGTATAAACAGGAAGCCAGGCTTTTGAACTGTTTACTTAAGATTCTGTGGTGTGACATCTCTGTTATTGTTTCCAGTCAATATTTACAAAGCATCCTAAAGACAGGGTCTTGGAAATTGTCTTCAGATGATCTTAGAGGTCTCTGCCAAGTCTGAGAGTATAATTCTGTAGGTATTGTGTTATTTGCAACGTAAATAGTGCATTTTCTTAATCAAATGATTGTAAATTATATTTACTTGTAATCAGTTCCATAGCTTTAGACGGTGGTTAGATTTTTTTTTTCCCCACCAGGGTCTTGTTTAAAGGGGTGAGCCACCGCACCCAGTCCTGAGGGGTGGCCTCTGCTGCTGGATTTCATGTCTTCCTCCAGCATGACTAAGTCTGGAACAGCAGGAAGGGTTGATGCTTACTGACCTGGTGATGTTAGAAGACAAGTAGTTTATGGATTTAAACATTAGAGCTGGAGTGGGGCTGGAAATCTTTGTAAAGGAAGTTCTTTCAGTAAGATGCCCCTGCTTGTCTTTGTCTCTTTTTTGTTTAACAAGGTAACTTTTTGTTTAACAAGGTAACTTTTTGTTTAACCTAGATTTTTTTTAAAACTTTTTTTTTTTTTCATATTGGAAAAGTAATTCATATTCAGTAGAGGAAAACTGACCAAAACAGAAGCAAAAATAAGAAAATTAAAATAATCTCTAATCCTACTACCTAGAATAAAACACTATTAATATTTTGGTCTGTTTCCTGCCAAGGTGTTTTCTGTGTATACATGGATATTTTGTTTGTTTTTAAACAAAACGATGGGATCATTCTGAACATACTGTTCTATAGTATGGTCAGCTAATAATATATCAGACCTTTTTTTATATTATTAAATATTCTACAACTTTTTAAAAATGTCTATTAATATTCCATCGTATAGATGTGATATAATTTGCTTGATGGTTGTCTCTTAAAAAGAAAGATAGCAAATACTTTTTTTAAATTACAAAAGTGATAGATGTTCATTGTAGAAAATGTAATAAACACTGTTAAGACTTAAAAGCCATATAATTCCACCAACCAAAATTAATCCCTTTTGTCATATTTCTAGTCATTTTTATAGCCTTTTTTTCTATGTATTTATAATAATTATCATTTGCGTTTTTTTCCTTTTTTTAACTTTAAAAATGTATATTCTAGGGTCAGGGGAAATGTAATCTGGAATTAAATATTAGCCTTAAAATTCACAATTTTGATTTTCCTGGCTTTTCAGGAATTGACTAACTGTAAAAGAGTCTTGAAAGTATTTAGTCAACAAACAGAGTGCATTTTTTTTTTTTTTGACTAAGAAAGCTCGTTGTAGTAGAAAGGGTGGAATGTATTGAAAATTATTAGAAGCAGGGAAGTATTGTTAGTCTAGCTTATTTCCTTTCAGTCTTTTTTCAATATTTTTATAAACATTGAGTACTTACTGAATTTAGTTCTGTGCTCTTCCTTATTTAGTGTTGTATCATAAATACTTTGATGTTTCAAACATTCTAAATAAATAATTTTCAGTGGCTTCATAATATTTCATCATTTGGATATATAATAATTTATTTAACCAGTCTCTTTATTTTTATTTATTTATTTTGTTTGTTTTCTTTGAGATGGAGTCTCGCTCTGTCACCCAGGCTGGAGTACAATAGCGTGATCTCGGCTCACTGCAACCTCCACCTCCTGGGTTCAAGCAGTTCTCCTGCCTCAGCCTCCTGAGTAGCTGGGACTACAGGCACATGCCATCACGCCTGGCTAATTTTTGTATTTTTACTAGAGACGGGGTTTCACCATGTTGGCCAGACTGGTCTCAAGCTCCTGACCTCAGGTAATCTGCCCGCCTCGGCCTCCTAAAGTGCCGGGATTACAGGCGTGAGCACGCTGCACGGCCTAACCAATCTCTTTATATTGGTTATTTAGATTCTCAGTGTTTTGCTGAACACTTAATGCCTTTGTGTTTTGGGCTATATTTTGAATTATTCTCATAGATTTCTAGAAGAGGAATTACTGGGCAAATAGGGACACTTAAAAATAGCTTTTACAAACCATCTTCTGTTCTCATTGAAAATGAGAATATATTATGCACTTACAGGGAACTTGACTTTGCTTTTCAAGAACAGAAGTTCTAAAATACAGTAGGGCTGGGTGTGGTGGTTCATGCCTGTAATTCCAGCACTTTGGGAGGCTGAGGCAGACATAGTGAGGCCTCATCTCTACAAAAAATAGAAAAAATTAGCTGGGCACGGTGTTGTACCTCTAGTCCCAGCTACTTGGGAGGCTTAGTCAGGAGGATCTCTTGAGCCTGGGAGGTCAAGGCTGCAGTGAACCATGATTGCACTCCAACCTGGGCGACAGAGACCCTGTCTCAAAAAAAAAAAAAAAAAAAAAAATTAAAAAAAAGAGTAGACATGTAATGGTAATGGAGAAATCCTAGACTTTTTTTTTTGGAGATGGTGTCTCACTCTGTTGCCCAGGCTGGAGTACAGTGGCACAATCTCAGGTTACTGCAACCTCCGCCTCCTGGATTCAAACGATTCTCCTGCCTCAGCCTCCTGAGTAGCTGGGATTACAGGTGCCTGCCACCATGCCTGGCTAATTTTTGTATTTTTAGTAGAGATGGGGTTTCACCATGTTAGCCAGGCTGGTCTCGAACTCCTGACCTCAGGTGATCACCTGCCTCGGCCTCCCAAAGTGCTGGGATTACAGGCATGAGCCATCGCATCGGGCCGAGAATGTTAGATCTCTTAACTTTGGTGTCGTGGAAGCAGCATGGGCTTTAGAGTCAGGCAGATCTGGGTTCAAATCCTGTCTGGCAGTCTAGTGGTGTAGCTTCTTTCTGGTAAGAAACCTACCTTTCCTGATGCTCAGTTTCCTCATCTGTAAAATGGGAACAAAAATAACCTGTTTTGTGGAGTTGTTCTGTGACGGTGGTTCTCATGTGTGGTAGCTGGGGCAGCACCAGCAGCAGTGGCGGCCTCAGCATCACCTGGGAACTTGTCAGAAATGCAAATTCTCGGGCTTCACCCTAGACCTCCTGAATCAGGAATTCTGGGAATGACTAGGCAAACTATTTTCATGAGCCCTGTAGGTGATTCTGAAGCTTGTTCAAGTTTGAGAGTCACTGACCTATGGATTAAGGTGAGTGAGTGCACCTGTGACAGAACAAGTGCTCACTGCTCTTGGTTTCCTTATTAAAAGAGGGAGGGAGTTGAAATGGGGTAGCTCTCAGATTGCCTCTCTCCTGTTTTATTTTGTGATTCTCCCTTTTAGCCATGGAATTGGGGGAAGGAAAGAGGAACCATTTGTCTATCACAAACTGTCCCAGAGTCTTCCAGATTTCACGTTTGGAATGAAAGTCTCAGGAAGGCACGGACTTTGTTTTCTTCCTCATGTATGGCATAGAGCAGCGGTCCCCAACCCCTGGGCCACAGATCAGTATCGTTCTGTGGCCTGTTAGGAACCAGGCTGCACAGCAGGAAGTGAGCGGCGGGCCAGCAAGCTAAGCTTCATCTGTTTTTACAGCCGCTTCCCATTGCTTCCGTTACTGCCTGAGCCCCACCTCCTGTTAGATCAGCGGTGGCATTAGATTCTCATAGGAGTGCGAACCCTATTGTGAACTGCCCACGCGAGGGATGTAGGTTGTCCGCTGCTTATGAGAATCCAGCACCTGCCGATCTGTCACTGTTCCCCGTCACCCTCAGATGGGACCGTCTAGTTGTAGGAAAACAAGCTCAGGGCTCCCACTGATTCTACATTTTGGTGAGTTGTATAATTGTTATGTATTGCAATGTAATAATAATAGAAATAAAGTGTACGATAAATGCAATGCGCTTGAATCATCCTGAAACTCCCCCCACCCAACCCCAGTCTGTGGAAAAATTGTTTTCCAGGAAACCGTTCCCTGGTGCCAAAAAGGTTGGGGACCACTGGCATAGAGTAAGGGCTTGGTCTCTAGGCACAGCCTGATACTACCTTTGGAAGCAAGATGCTGAATCCCTCCATGCCTCAGTTTCCTCATCTGTGAAATGCTGATAGTAACATGAGTCAATTAATATAAAGTACCTGGAACACACAGAAGTGTTTTTATTGGTCTAGTGCCCACACTGTGCTTGGCACTTGGCAAAAGATGAATAAACATTTAAGAATGAACACATTGACTCATTGAATGGCACATCTTTTCAAAGTAGGAAGTAGTAACTGTTCAAAGGTGTAGAAACCAAGACTTAGCAGAGTTAAGTGACATTTCAACTTATACAGCTAGTGGGCAGGGCAGGATTAAAATCAGGTTTGTGAAGTTCCAACATTTGTACTATTTTCCTGATGTCATATTCTTGATGGAGAAAGCAAACTGATCAAGTGACAATAAAATAGAAACATTGAAAGACAGTGGAGAGAATAGAGGAAGGAAATAAAGAAGATAATTTATTTTTACTCATTTATTTATTTCATTATTTTTATTTATTTTTTTGAGTCAGAGCCTAGCTCTGTCGCCCAGGCAGGAGTGCAGTGGCGTGATCTCAACTCACTGCAACCTCTGCCTCCCGGGTTCAAGCGATTCTCCTGCCTCAGCCTCCTGAGTAGCTGGGACTACGGGTACGTGCCACCATACCAGGCTAATTTTTTTATTTTTAGTAGAGACAGGTTTTTACCATGTTGGCCAGGATGGTCTCGAACTCCCGACCTCAGGTGATCTGGCTGCCTCGGCCTCCCAAAGTGTTGGGATTGCAGGTGTGAGCCACCGCGACCGGCCAAGAAGAGAATTCAAAGAGCGAAAAGGAGTTGAGCTGATGGAGCCTTGGGTCTCTCAATTCTGCCTGTGTTTCAGGCCAGAATCTCCTCCTGTCTCAGCTGTGGCAGTGACCCACAATGTGCCCCTGTTGAGGGGCATCTCCTTCCTACCATGACTCAAGAGAGTCCTCCCTCCCAAAATCCATCTCTTAGGCTCCTTCCTCCACACACTGCCACCCGTGTCCCACTACAAGTGACAGCAATAGGGAGAATAGTTAATGTGGACTCTGGCTCTTTCAGTAACTAGTTAAGTGCCCTCAGATACATCTCTTCCTCTCCTGGGCCTCATTTCCCCATTTGTAAAGTGAGGAGTTGAACTAGATGATCTTTTTTTTTTTTTCCTCCCCCTCGGGACAGGGTCTTGCTCTGTTACCCAGGCTGGAGTGTAGTGGCGCAATCACAGCTCATTGTAATCTTGAACCGTTGGGCTCAAGGGATCCTCTTGCCTCCGTCTGCCGAGTAGCTGGGACTACAGGTGCATGCCACTGTGCCTGGCTAATTTTTTATTTTTTGTAGAGTGGAGTGTCTCACTTTGTTGCCCAAGCTGGTCTCAAACTCCTGGGCTCAAGCGATCCTCCTGCCTCAGCCTCCCAAAGTTCTGGGATTACAGGTGTGAGCCACGCATCTGGCTAGATGATTTCGTCAGATGCTTCAGACTCTCACATTGTATTAGTTAATTATTAATCTTTTATTTGGAAAACGTTGAAACCTATAGGAAACTGAAAAGAATATTACCATTAACATCTGTATATCTTTCACGTGGCTTCATCAAAAGTTGATATTTTGCTGCATTTGTTTATCTCTGTTTTCTGTGGAACTTTTTTTTTTTTTTTGAGACGGAGTCTCACCGTCACCCAGGCTGGAGTGCAGTGGCGCGATCTCGACTCACTGCAAGCTCCACCTTCTGGGTTCACGCCATTCTCCTGCCTCAGCCTCCCAAGTAGCTGGGACTACAGGCACCCACCACCACACCCGGCTAATTTTTTGTATTTTTAGTAGAGACAGGGTTTCACCGTGTTAGCCAGGATGGTCTTGATCTCCTGACCTCGTTATCCGCCCGCCTCAGCCTCCCAAAGTGCTGGGATTACAGGCGTGAGCCACTGCGCCTGGCGGAACTATTGAGATGTAAGTTTGCAGACATCTTGACTTTGCTCCTAAATACTTCACTGACTCTCCTAAGAAAAGGGTCTTGATCCTGTATAACCAAAATACCATTGTTACACTCAAGAGAATAAACAGTAATTCAACAATATCTAAAACACAGTTCATATCAATTTTCTCTATTTGTTCCCAAAATTTCTTTAATATTCTTTGAAAAAAATTCAGGACGCAATCAAGTTCACACATTTCATTTTTGTGACTTTAGTCTCTTAAGCTAGTATAGTCCCCTTGCCTTTGTTCTTGTTTCTCATATCAGTGATTTGTTTTTGAGGCAGGGTCTGGCTCTGTTGCCCAGGCTGAAGTGCAGTGGTGTGAGCTTGGCTCACTGTAATTTCCACCTCCTTGGCTCAAGCCATCCTCCCACCTCAGTCAACTGAGTAGCTGGGACTACAGGTGTGGAACACTGTGCCCAGCTAATTTTTGTATTTTTTGTAGAGACGGGGCCTCACTATGTTGCCCAGGCTGGTCTCAAACTCCTGAGCTCAAGCCATCCACCTGCCTCAGCCTCCTAAAGTACAGGGATTACAGGGTGAGCCACCATGCCTGGCTCATATCAGTCTTTTTTTTTTTTTTTTTCCTGTGGAGATGGAGTCTTGCTCTGTTGCCCATGCCCAGGCTGGCAGTGCAGTGGCATGATCTCGGCTCATTGTAACCTCTGCCTCCCAGGTTCAAGCGATTCCCCTGCCTCAGCCTTCTGAGTAGTTGGGATTACAGGTGTGCACCACCACATGTGGCTAATTTTTGTATTTTTTTTTTTTAGTAGAGGTGGGGTTTCATTATGTTGGCCAGGCTGGCTTCGAACTCCTGACCTCAAGTGATCTGCCGGCCTAGGCCTCCCACAGTGCTGGGGTTACAGGCGTGAGCCATCACACCCAGCCTTATCAGTGACTTTTAACCATTTATTCATTTAGGTGACTGGGGATGGGTCTAAGCCTGGGCATAAGGAAGGGCTAGACCGGCAGCTGGGTCCATCATGCCCAGCCACCTGGCAGCCTGGCCACCCTTCTGCTGAGGCTTTTTAAAGAATCCAGGCCAACTGTCATAAAAAATGCTCCAATTTCTGGCTTCTCAGATTGTTTCCTTATTTCTGGCAATAATACAATCACCAGAGGTGATGTTGTGTAGTTCTTACTACATAAGTCAGGGAGTATCTGATGTCAGCTTGATGATGCTAAGTTTAATCACTTGGTTAAGGTGGTGAATGACAAATCTTCATATAGTAAAATTATTTCCCCTTTGTTAGCAGAAAGAAATCTGTGTTGTGATACTTTGAGACTGTGTGAATATCCTCTTCTTACAATAACGTTTCACCTAATAGTCTTGGCATCCTTGCCTGAACCAAATTATTACATTGGGGGTATGCGTAAAGGTGATTTTCTTTATTTTAATTTCATTTCATTTTTAAGAGACAGCGTTTCACTTTGTTGCCCAGGCTGGAGTGCAGTGGCGCAATCACAGCTCACTGCAACCTCAAGCTCCTGGGCTCAAGCGATCCTCCTGCCTCAGCCTCCCAAAGTGCTGGGATTACAGGCGTAAGCCACTGTGTTTGACCTAGCGTTTGCTTTTTTTTTTTTTTCCAATACATCCTTTTTGGTTCCACCTTTTTGAGCATATAAAACATTTACCCAGTTTAAAAGCCAACAGAATATGAAGTTGTGTTCTCAGAGAAGCCTCACTCCCATTGATTCCCTCCACTCCAAGAATTTATTTTGGATTGTGAATGCTTGTGGTTAAATTTCTTGGTGTCTCTGAGCTGTGATCTCCCAAGTGAGGATAATCATAGCAACTATCTCACAGGGTGGCTGGAAGTGTTCAATGAGCTAAAGTTCTTAGCATGGTGAGGCACCTAGCAAACATTCCTTAGATCCATAGAGGTCATCAGTTTTTTGTTTTTTTTTTTTTAAACTATCCATCCTCTACAAAACCCTGATCCCACTTATTAAAAAAGGGCTTTAAGATCCCAATTCCGGCCGGGCGCGGTGGCTCATGCCTGTAATCTCAGCACCTTGGGAGGCCAAGGCGGGCGGATCACGAGGTCAGGAGATCGAGACCATCGTGGCTAACACGGTGAAACCCCGTCTCTACGAAAAATACGAAAACAAAAAATTAGCCGGGCGTAGTAGCGGGCGCCTGTAGTCTCAGCTACTTGGGAGGCTGAGGCAGGAGAGTGGCGTGAACCCGGGAGGCGGAGCTTGCAGTGAGCCGAGATCGCACCACTGCACTCCAGCCTGGGCGACAGAGCGAGACTCCGTCTCAAAAAACAAACAAACAACCCCCCCCCCAAAAAAAAACCAATTTCCCCTTGTCAACTCAAATAAATCCTATTTATCCTTGAAAATTCAGCTCAAACCTCACATCCTCTCTGGATCCTAAGTCTTTGCTGTCTCTTCAGAGAGAGGCAGTCATACTGTGACATGTCTTCCTACAGGTGATGGCAACACTGGTTAAGAAAATGGGGGCTCAAAACCTGGGTCCATCCAACACTAGCCTTGCCTCCATTTTCCCACCTGTACAAGGGGGATAACAGTAGTTGGGATAAGAGGTCAATGGGGCCGGGCACGGTGGCTCATGTCTGTAATCCCAGCACTTTGGGAGGCTGAGGCGGGCGGATCACCTGAGGTCAGGAGTTCCAGATCAGCTTGACCAAAATGGTGAAACCCCCTCTTTACTGAATACAAAAAATTAGCTGATCATGGTGGCGCACGCCTGTAATCCCAGCTACTTGGGGGGCTGAGGCAAGAGAATCGCTTGAACCTGGGAGGCAGAGGTTGCAGTGAGCTGAGATTGCACCACTGCACTCCAGCCTGGGCAACAGAGTGAGATTCCATCTCAGAAAAAAGGAGGTCAATGGGTTAATACTCAGAACGCACTTTGCACCTTGCTTAACACATAGAAATGTCTCAATAAATTATCTATTGTTGTCATCATGCTATTATTTTAATTCAACTTAAAGAAATATTTAAAGTTTTTCCGAAGTGTGAGATGGGAAATCCTGGTGACTTGAATAGCTCTGTCTCTCTTTTCTGTAGGGTAACTCTGTCTTCAGCGTGTGTGGTAGCCAAAGTTGAACTGGATTTGTTTACAGACCAGACTAGTATTTCCTTGGGGACAGGGACTGTGTCCTGTCATCTCTGATCTCTGATCTGAGCTGGCATCAGTTAATATATGCTCCTTCAGTGGGGAAAATCCCCAAGGCAACATGAGTAGGCTGGAATTCACCACAATAGGGCAGAAGATCATCTCTTATATCATGTTTCCATAAATGTTACATATTTTTAATTAGACGTCTACTACCTATGCTCACTGAGAACCAGGTAACAAACAAGATCAAGTTAAATCCTCAGCCTTGCCAAAGAGGTTGTTACCTCCTGGTTACTTTGCAGAAATGCGGGTTATAATGCAAAATGGCCACGCGGTGGCAGCAGAGGAGAAGGAATGAATTGTTTTGCTCCCATTATGGACGCTGTGCTACAGACTGCAGAGTAGGGGCCTGAGGGAGATACGTAGCACCATGTAAGAATAATGTTAGAGAATTTGTTTTTAGGAATGAGAACGGGAAAATGTTAAATACACACACTTTAAATAATGAGTAACAAAGCAAACAAAATGGTATTTGATGAAGACAACATATATACACTTGACTTTCAGATCATGGTCAACTAAGGGGGAGAAAAAAACAGACAGAAGAGAACAGGAAGGCAGGCGGCACCCACCAGCCCCAAGATGCTGCAAGGTGGGTGACTCGAGGAGACATAGCTTCTTAGTTAAGAGTACAATCTTTGTTTCAAATCCCAATCCCACCATTTGTTTCCAGTGACTTACTACCTGTGTCCCCTAGACCTGTCATAGTGAGAGTAAGGAAGCACTTTGTTTTTCAGTCTGTTGTTTTGTTTTGTTTTGTTTTTTGAAACAGGGTCTTGCTCTGTTGCCAAGACTGGAATGCAGTGGTGCAGCCATAGATCACTGCAGCCTCAAATTCCTGGTATTGTGGGATCTGGCCAGCAGCCTGCAGTGCAACGGGGCTCTCTCTTTGTTCCCAGGTGGATCGGCAGGTTGAGAAATGATAGACACACACAAGATAGTGAAAGCTGAGTCCAGGGGGGGTCACCGCCTTCTGGTCCCGTGGTGCCAACAATGCACTGGATATACCAGCATTTATTATTAAGTTTAGTGACAGCGGGGGTGGGTTAGTGAGGGATTTAGGGTCATTTGATTATGAGGTGAGATGGTCACATGGGGATGAAGTAATAACATTTGTATGTAGAAGTACAGTACATTTGTACGTAGAAGTACGGTATACAGAGATAAGAATTTACAATATAGTGCATGCATCAGTAATTTCTAACAGAGCCTTAAAACAGAAACACAATCTTTCCGTAACCTATGATTAGCAAGCTATTAATCAGTAGTAACAATTGCAACAAAAGCTGGTTACAAACAATCCATAGAAACAGGACGTGAAGCTAGAGAACCGGTTAGACCAGAAATTCTCAGAAGGGAGTATGCCCTAACCCTAAAGAGGCCTGGAAGAGCTGTGGCAAGATGAGGGCATTTATAGCCCTATCTTATCCATATGGACAGGCGCCCCCCCATGCATCCGTTTATAGGCTTTCCACAAGGGTTCCATTCCATTCCCAGAGCTATGAACATCTACTTTTCTGGGATAGGAATCTTGGTGATGTGAAACCTCCCTGACTGCACGTCCATTCATAGGTTCTCTGCAGGGGGAAGCACATCACGCGCTGTTGGCTCGTTCTGGCAGTCCAACCTGGCATTGTCTTTACACAATCCAGCATGCAATTTTGTATTTACAATAATCAGGAGCATTTCATCTTTTATTCTGTAGCAATAGTTTCAGGGGGTCTCCCTACATCCTGGGCTAAAGCAATCCTTCCACCTGGGACTCCCAAAGTACTGAGATTACAGGTGAGAGCCACCATGCCTGGCTTCTAAGCAGTTTATATTTATTTCTTAGATAATTCTCACCACTTCAGAGCTATATTATTTTCCTCATTTTTTAGTTAAATGATTTGCCCAAGGTCAACCAGTTAGTACATAGTAAAGTTAGAACTTAAACCTAGGAACTCAGAGCTCAGAACTCAGAATTTTACCACTGTCTGGGAAGCCTTACCCATGAACAGGCAATAATAATGTTTATCAAAAGAGGCTCTTGGAAACAGTTGAAGGGTGCCTGCCCCATAGTTGGTGTTATGGACTGAACCGTCCCCAACCTAGCCCAAATTCCCAAACCCCCAAAGTGACTGTATTTGGAGATAGGGCCACTGAAGGAGGTAACTAAGGTTAAATGAGTCATAAGGGTGGGGACCAAATCCAGTAAGACCACTGTCTTTAAAAGAAGAGACACCAGAGCTCCCTTGCTCTCTGCATGTGCACAGAGCAGATACATGCTAGGATGCAGCTAGAAGGCAGCTGTCTACAAGTTAGGAAGAGATCCCTCACCAGAAACCAACCCTTATGGCACCATGGTGTTGGTGGACCTCCAGCCTCAAGAACTGTGACAAGATATATTTCTATCATTACTCAGTTTGTGGTATTTTTTTAGGGCAGCTGAGCAGACTACTGTAGTTGGTGGTCAGGAAATGCAGCTCTTACTCTGTGGCTTTGTCTTTGATGTAGCTCTCCCTCTACTCCCAAGGCCTCAGTTCCTTGTCATCATCTTGGTACGCCAAAGAGTTCTCTACCTGCCTGGAAGCACCTCCAGCCCATCCAGCCTTTCCTTATCCCATTTCCTTTTTAAAAAACAATTTTGGCTGGGTGCGGCGGCTCATGCCTGTAATCCCAGCATTTTGGGAGGCCAAGGCCGGTGGATCACCTGAGGTCAGGAGTTTGAGATCAGACTGACCAACATGGTGAAACTCTGTCTCTACTAAAAATACAAACAATTTAGCTGGGCGTGGTGGTGGGCACCTGTAATCCCAGCTACTTGAGAGGCTGAGGCAGGAGAATCACTTGAACCCGGGAGGCGGAAGTTGCAGTGAGCCGAGGTTGCGCCATTGCACTCCAGCCTGGGCAACAAGAGTGAAACTCCATCTCAAAAAAAAAAAAAAAAATGCATTTCCCATGAGCATGTCACATGATTCTCATGCATGATGAGTGGTCTGGAATCAGAACAGGGGAGGGGAGGGCTTTTGCTATCTCTCATTTCTGCCCAGAGCCAGATCTGTGCTCAAATATTAGTTCCACTGATTTTTATCTTGGAGCCTTGGGCAAGTTGCCTCATTGAGTCACAATTTTCTCATCTGTAAAATGGAGACAATAATGTGTGCCACAATGGATTGTTATGAGTATTAAATTGTTATGAGTACAAGGAATGTAAAGCCACTGGCACCACATCTGGCCTGTGCTGAGTTAACTTCCTACCATGTCATTATGGTTTCCAAGGTCTGTGGTGATGTGATTTCGTGATGTGTGTGGGATGGTCTTGGTCATGGTTTCTCCACAACCTGCCAGTTGTTCTGTGGTCCTTGGAGAGAAAATGAAGTAGGTGGTGGTGTCTGTGTGGGTGAAGTTGAGCTCTTTGCCAAACAAATGGTGATTTGATTTGTTTTACTCATGTCATCCTTCCAGTAACCAATGCCTTTCCAGTTTCATTTTTCCTTCTCACCAGAGACTAGCTGAAAATGTTCCAGTCTAAATTGAATCTGTGTGTGGGTTCAATGACAGCCTCCAAAGAAGGCAACCAGGAGAGGAAACAGTGTCTATAGTGAGGACATGGATGTGATCCTGAGATTGAAAAAGGGGAGCTGGGGCCCTTATTCCAGGAGTTCCTAGGCCAGTGGAAAAACCTGACTTTTACCCTCAAAGAATCCCTGGTAGATTGGTCTAGTCTTGCGGGCGGAGACATACTTACATATAAATCCCCAAAAGCAAACAGAGAAAGCAAGTATATGTTGATGGATCAATCAGCCCTCAGGACACTGAAGGGGCTAGCCAGACTGCATCGGTGAAAAAGGCAAATATCAGAAATAGTTATGGGAGCTGCGTCAGTTTGCTATGACGGTGTAACAAACCATCTCAATACTCAGTGGTTTAAAACATGAGTCATTCATTATCACTCATGTGTCAATGGGACAGCTGGGGCTTGGCTGATCTTGGCTGGTCTTTGCTCGTACATCTGCAGGTCAGCTGAGGGTTCTGCTTAGATCACCTTGGCTACAGCAGCCCTGCCCCAGGTGTCTCTCTTCCCTGTCTTGGGACCAGGGGACTAGGTGGACATGTCCTTCTCATGGCAATGAGAGAAACACAAGCGAACAAGCCCAATATCACAGATAGTTTTTTTTTTTTTTGAGTTGGAGTCTCACTCTGTTGCCCAGGCTGGAGTGCAGTGGTGCAATCTCAGCTCACTGCACCTTCCGACTCCTGGGCTCAAGTGATTCTCCTGCCTCAGCCTCCCGAGTAGCTGGGGTTACAGGTGCCCACCACCATGCCTGGCTAATTTTTGTATTTTTAGTAGAGACAGGGTTTCACCATGTTGACCAGGATGGTCTCGAACTCCTGACCTCAGGTCATCTGCCTGCCTTGGCTTCCTAAAGTGCTGGGATTACAGGCAAGAGCCACCTCGCCCAGCCAGTATCACAAATACCTTTCAAGTTTTGCTAAAATCATGCTTCCTAATATCTTACTGGCCAAAGCAAGTTGCGTGGCTGAGACCCCAGTCGTGGTTGGAGGGCAAAGTTACATGGCTCAAAGGTATGGCATCAGGGATGGCTGAGGAACCAGCACAATTGATGTAACCTACCACACTCTGTGAGTTTTCCTTAACTCTCCTCTCCCTTCCAACCCAAGTCATGCTTCCTCTATAGCAGTGGTCCCCAACCTTTTTGGCACTAGGGAAGACAATTTTTCCAT
Organism: Homo sapiens; assembly: GCF_000001405.40. Classification (NCBI taxonomy): domain Eukaryota; kingdom Metazoa; phylum Chordata; class Mammalia; order Primates; family Hominidae; genus Homo; species Homo sapiens. Next base: position 122,806,059 of record NC_000009.12, on the reverse strand, counting down.
GGACAGAGGTGGGGAATGGTTTTGGGCTGAAACTGTTCCCCTCAGATCATCAGGCATTAGATTCTCATAAGGAGCAGGCAACCTAGATCCCTCGCCTGTGCAGTTCACAGTAGGGTTTGCACTCCTATGAGAATCTAATGCTGCCGCTGAGCTGACAGGAGCTCAGGTGGTAGTGCTCACTTGCCCGCCGCTTACCTCCTGCTGTGTGGTCTGGCTACTAACAGGCCATGGACTGGTACCTGTCTGTGGCCTGTGGCTTGGAGACCCCTGCTCCACAGCATGTTGTATCTCTCTTCTGGCTTTGATCATGAACTGTGTTCCTGTATTGCACGTGAGGACAAGGACTTTATTTATAGTCTTAGTGCCTAGTATGGGGGCTGGCACCAGTAAATAATAGTAGATGAGCGAGAGAGCAGAGAACAAAAAGGGAAGGAGGTGGGAAAATATGTGACAAAAAAAGGAGAAAGCAGTACAGGTATGTAAAGGTAAAGGATGTGGAGGAAGCGGGACAGAAGAGCTGTGGATAGAGTGAGTTGGAGGAAGCATCAATGATTCAGAGTGAGCTGAACTGCTTGCTTTGTCAGCTTCTTGGACTATCAATGCTTTTCCAGGATTTGATTTTATTTTGTTATTGTATTTTATTATTTAAGATGGAGTTTCACTCTTGTCACCCAGGCTGGAGTGCAATGGCACCATCTCGACTCACTGCAACCTCTGCTTCCTGGGTTCAAGCGATTCTCCTGCCTCAGCATCCCGAGTGAGTAGCTGAGATCACAGGCACATGCCACCACGCCCAGCTAATTTTTGTATTTTTAGTAGAGATGGGGTTTCGCCCTGTTGGCCAGGCTGGTCTTGAACTCCTGACCTCAGGTGATCCACCCGCCTTGGCCTCCCAAAGTGCTGGGATAACAGGCATGAGCCACTGCACCCGGCCCATTGCTAGTATTTTAAAGCAGTCATTTTTGCATCAAGAAAAAGTCTTTATGTTTTTATTTTGCATCCCTAATGGCTGCATTTTCCCTGTGGAAGCCCTTGCATGAAAGAAGACTTAGGTTCTAGAAATTTTCTTTGTACCCTTAGAAGGAGTAATCAATTTACCATTTGTGATGTGAGCTTTTTTTACTACTAAAATCTCCCCAATTGCTATACCTTTGAAATGAAGGCTGCCTTACTTTACAATGCACAAAGATTACATGACAAATGAGGCTGTAGAGGCAGACTCTGAAATTCTTTTCTTGCAGTGCAATTATTTATTTTTTCTGGCGGAGGTGGTTCACTACACATTATTCTGAATAAACTGAAGGGTTGAAAATATCGGTGCTGGGAGGGTGAGATGAATTGATTCTGAAATGGCCAGAAGTCACTTGAGGATAAACTCAGGGAATGTGGCGGGTGAGAAGAGGTAGATTTCCTCGTGTGGCTCAAAGACCTTGCAAAGAGGGGGTGCAAAAATCCCTGGAGCTGAAGCAGCCTCACTGGAATAAGCCTAAGCTCTTCCAAGGGGACTGCCGGGAAGGGAGTCGGTCATTTGGATATACTTGTTTTATTTAAGGTGTTAAAAATCGGTCTCTTTATATTTCATGTGAAAAAGATCCAGGGAAAACTACTTCAGTGGATTTATGAAGTCTTTTTTTTTTTTTTTTCTTTTGAGACGGAGTCTCTCTTTGTCACCCAGGCTGGAGTCCAGTGGCACAATCTCGGCTTACCGCAACCTTTGCCTCCCGGGTTCAAGCAATTCTTCTGCCTCAGCCTCCCGAGTAGCTGGGATTACAGGCATGCACCACCACGCCCTGCTAATTTTTGTATTTTTAGTAGAGATGGGCTTTCACCATATTGGCCAGGCTGGTCTCGAACTCCTGACCTCGTGATCCGCCCACCTCGGCCTCCCAAACTGCTGGGATTACAGGCGTGAGCCACTGTGTCCAGCCTTATGAAGTCTTTAGTGGCCTCTCTGGGGACAGAGAAAGGATGGATTCCTCATCTTGTCTCCAGATCACTTCATCTTCTAGGGCTAACCAAAGTAAAACAAGAGGTCAGGTCTAGTTGGGGTGGGGTGGGGTGGGACGGTGGTCCAGGGAGCCACATGCCTGGAGACTGGGCTATTGACGCTCCCACCATTCCCTTCTCCTTGTTTTCCCCAGGTTGTCTGGAGATAGATTAAGCATGTAACCCAGTGCCTGGCACAGAGCAAGTGATCAATACACATTAATTAACATTGATTTATGGTGTAGTGAAAAGAGAATGATACCGAGGACAGGAGAATTACAACTTAAATTGGCCGGCAGAAGGAACAAGGACAGGTCTCCTCACTTCTTTGAGAATCAGTTTCCTGATATCCAAAATGGGGGTTTGGCACTGGGCTATTGTGGGACCCGGAAGAGCTTGTGCTTCTGGTCGTGGTGATTCTGTAGAAGGCACTGACCATGCTGAGGCAGAGGTAGCTTGCTGGTCTGAGTCCAGGGACAGAAGCTACCCTGTCGGCAGTGGGGACCAGTGAGAGTTAGCTGCCCCTTCAGTGATGCGGCCTGTTCTTGGGTTGAAATCTGAGCAGAATGGCTGGGGCAGGGCTGGTGGCCTGGAAAACAGGAGCACTAACAACCCCCTGACTCTTCCGTGCCCCTTTCCCCTTCCTGATGCGGATGACTCACCTGGAAGATCATGAGACGCACAAGGCCACAGCACGTCACAGGCATGTTCTCTGTGCTAGGTTCAAGGGACCCAGAGATGCCTCACGCAAGGACCCTGATGGTCAGCAGCTGACTCCAAGCCATAGGGCAGGGCTGGTGGTGCAGGTGTTTCCAGGCACAAGTGAATGTGCATCATGGCCGGTATGTTTTTGAAGCTTTAGAGAAGGCAGAGCGGAGGAAGTCGATCATGGGGCCAGGGGACAAGTTATTGACAGAGTAGCAAGGATCTGGCATCACAGCACAAACAAATAACCTGGGCGTGGGAGGGAGGAAGGGAGGCTGGGAAAGGATGGTCTCTATGTCATGGCAGGGCCAGGCTTTGGGGCACTGGCAGGTTGAACAAGGAAGCCCGAAGTTTGCCACTGACTTTGTGTGATCTTGAGCAGGTCCCTTAACCACTCTGGGCCTCAGTTTCCCCATTTATCAAGTGAAGGTGTTCGGTTTGATCAAAGACCTTTCAAAGTGGGGGTGGGGAGAAGCATCGACGGTGGATTCTGGGCCTCCTTTCACCCTCCCTCATCCACACTGCATGGCTTCTCCCCCACCCTGTTTTACAGATTGTGTTTCTATGTAAATAACGTGTTTTTGTTGTTGTTTTCTGTTTGTTTTGGTTTTTTTTTTTTTTTTTTTTTTTTTGATTAAAGCTACCAGTCTAAAGACCTTTAAGGTCCTTTTTGATCTAAACAGCATAGTGTAGCAGCTCTGGGACTGGGCGGTGGCAGCTCACCTGTGTGATCTGGAAGGGGCTATTGCTAACCTGGCTCTAGGATCGCTGTAGCTCTCTCTCCTTCTCTCTGGAGCAGCGGAATGGGGGTAGGAGTGGAGTTGGGACTAGGGGATGGGGAAGTGGGTGCAGATTTCTTAGAGAAACAGAGACCTAAAAGCTCCTGCCTCACATACCTGTTTGGTAAAAACTTGGGCACCATGAGGCCTTTTCAGACCCCAAAATGTGTCCTTACTTGAGGCAGCGAACCTGCCCTGGTCTGAGACTTCTTCCTGCAAGTGCTTCCACTGAGACACCAAAACCTGGCGTGTGGATTCTATGGGGCCCATTAAAACACACCTGCATGACCCATGTGGCATAAGGGCTTGTTCTGGCTCTGACACTGACTAGGTTACCAGCTTTGAGCCTCAGTTTCCTCATTCATAAAGTGGCAATAAGAGTACCCATACTTTTTGTGGGTAAAAATAAGTGAAGTGCTGGCATACGATAAAGACTTATCCAATGCTTGCTCCATCTGCCCCTAACACCTATGCCTCCTCCTTCTCAGCTTTGCTTTGTTTATTCATGACTGTGCGTGTCCACAACGTGCTCCTTCTACAGAATGCCAGGTGGGGCAGAACAGGTGCCATGATAGCAAACAAGGGAAAGAACAAAGAATTAGAAGAACGGACTTCTTCTAAATGCATGTTAGTATGAACACAGAGTCATTTATTCATATTAGATGTGCAGAGGGCCTCCTGTGTGCCACACTGAGCTCATTAGGAGGGGCTGGCCCTTCACACATGAGTGTGTGAATTTCTCTATTCCAGTCCCAGTTGAGAAGTCAATTTATTTGAGAACACATGGCCATATGACTGAAGAGAAAGTGCTCATCCACACAAGGCATGTTCTGCGGATGTCACACCCTCCTGGATTGCCCTCGGTCTGTAGGAAATGGTGGAATGCATTCTAAATGCCTAAGAGTGATCATCAGAAGAGCATGATGTGGCAGAAGGGGTGCAGGTTTTGCTTTCTAAGAACTGTGTGAATTTGAGAAAGTCACTTCTTTTTTTTTTGAGATGGAGTCTTGCTCTGTTGCCCAGGCTGGAGCTCAGTGGCACAATCTTAGCTCACTTCAATCTTCATCTTTTGGGTTCAAGTGATTCTCTTGCCTCAGTCTCCCGAGTAGATGGGATTACAGTTGTGCGCCGCCATGCTTGGCTAATTTTGGTATTTGTAATAGAGACAGGGTTTCGCCATGTTGGCCAGGCTGATCTTGAACTCTCGACCTCAGGTGATCCACCACCTCGGCTTCTCAAAGTGCTGGGATTACAGGCGTGAGCCGCTGTGCCTGGCTGGAAAGTCACTTCTTATCTTTGAGCCTAAAGACAAATTTTCTTGTGTGTAAAACCGGATCATAATATCTGCATCCTGGGTGGCTGTGGGAATAAAATGAGATCAGGCAAGGATCTGCTTCCGGGCAGGTGCTCAGGAAATGACAGCTGTTATGATTTTTGAGCATAGCAGAGGACAGAGGGTCACGTTCAACAGTTGCCAGTGTGGGTGATGCAGTCTGTCCTCAGTGGGGTCCTGCCCTCAGGAGTCACTAGCTGAGATCCTTCGCCCAATGAGAAGGGCTCGGAGTGCCCCCTGTACATCGCGATTCCAGAGGCTGTAGATGATGGGGTTCAGCATGGGGGTGACTACAGTGTACATGACAGTGGCCACACGGCCCCACTCTGCCTCGCGTCGGGATGTGGCCTGGAAGTAGACTGCAATGACTGTCCCATAGAAGAGGCTCACCACAGCCAGGTGGGAGCCACAGGTGGACACAGCCCGGAGCCTCCCAGAGGCTGAGGGCAGCTGGAGCACGGCAGCTGCGATGGCCCCATAGGAGGCGAGGATGAGCAGGAAGGGAGTGACCACCACTGCGGCGCCCTCGGTGAAGATGAGCAGCTGGATGTGGTGGGTGTCAGAGCACGAGAGCCTTAAGAGAGGCTGGTGGTCACAGAAGAAGTGGGGCACTTGGTGGGAAGCACAGAAGGACAAGCGAGCCATGAGCAGGATATACAGGAGGGAGTGGACGTGGGACACCAGCCATGCCATTCCCACCAGGGCTGCGCACATGGCCCGGGACATCCTCGTGGCATAGGGGAGGGGGTGCCGGATGGCCACGTAGCAGTCATAGGCCATGGCCGCCAGAAGACAGCTATCAGTTACCCCCAGGGCAAAGAAGAAGTACATTTGGGTCAGGCAGCCAGCCAGCGAGATGGAGTGGTCATGGGCCAACAAGTTGGCCAACATCTTGGGCACAGTGACGGAGGCGAAGCAGAGGTCAGCAAAGGACAGGTGGGCCAGCAGGAAGTACATGGGTGCATGAAGGGCTGGACTGGCCTGGATGGCAGCCACAATGAGTCCATTACCCAGGAGGCTGGCCACATACAAGAGCAAGAACAGCACAAAGAGAGGCCGCTGCTGTCCAGGACTTGTTGTCAGTCCCAATAAAACGAATGAGATTCCCTCTGAAGACTCATTGGCAGCCTCCATGGCAGGCTGGTTATTCGCCTGGAACCTGAAGGGCTCCTTTCTATTGATGGGTCACCTCCCCGATGTCTAACGGAAAAGGTGAGGGGATAAATTGTTCAAGGCTTCCTGGCCATGGGAAAATATCAAGAGTTTAGAGTCAGGTAGCCCTGGCCCTAGGCACAGGTATGACTATGGGCAAGTCATTTCACCTCCCTGAACCTTCTTCCTTTCTGGGCCTTAGATTTTCTTTTCTTTTTTTTTTTTTTTTTTTGAGATGGAGTCTTGCTCTGTCGCCCAGGCTGGAGTGCAGTGGCACGATCTCAGCTCACTGCAAGCTCCACCTCCTGGGTTCACGCCATTCTCCTGCCTCAGCCTCCCGAGTAGCTGGGACTACAGGCGCCCGCCATCACGCCCGGCTAATTTTTTTTGTATTTTTTAGTAGAGACGGGGTTTCACCGTGTTAGCCAGGATGTTCTCGATCTCCTGACCTTGTGGGGCCTTAGACTTTCAACCTGCGAAATAAGAGAATTGAAGTAACTCATCTGCAAGGTCACGTCCAACTTTGATAGTTTGTGATTTAAGCAAAAATAGAACAAAAGATATTGCACAAGATGTAGATCAGGGAAGGAGGAAAATATGAAAGAAAAGATGAAACAGAGTGAGGTTCGACACAGAAAGATCTGGCCAATGGACATTTATTTTGGAAAAGAAAAAATGAAACCAAACCAAGATGGAGGAGAGAAACATAAGAAAGAAACTCTAGAAAAAAAATCTGAAGAGCACATATGTTTACATTGAAATGAATATGAACTCACAACACCTAGACACAAATAGTGGAATTTTAGAACACTGGAAATGAAGAGGAGACTCCAGTACTTCCTAAGGGCATGGGGTGCAATGAACTGATGATATCCATGTAATTAGATTGCCATCAAATGTTTCAATTCAACAGTAGATTATAGAACAGTTTAACAATATTCAAATTCTGAAAAAAAGCATTTCGAACTTGGAATTCTTCACTCAGCAAAAATACTACTCAAGTGTGAGTAAAGAATACAGATATTTTCAGACTTAAAACACAAAACAAGGCCGGGTGCAGTGGCTCGTGCCTGTAATCCCAGCACTTTGGGAGGCCAAGGTAGGAGGATCACCTGAGGTCAGGAGTTTGAGACCAGCCTGGCCAATGTGGTGAAACCCCATCTCTACTAAAAAAAAAAATACAAAAATTAGCCAGGTGTGGTGTCACGTGCCTGTAATCCCAGCTACTTGGGAGGCTGGGGCAGGAGAATATCTTGAACCCAGGAGGCAGAGGTTGCAGTGAGCCAAGATCGTGCCACTGCACTCCAGCCTGGGTGGCACAGTGAGACTCCATCTCACACACACACAAAAAAAGAACAAGAGAATCTGAATGACTCCTCATATCCCTGAAAACTTTCCCCATGAAATCAAACACTTACTGAGCACCAAGCAGATGCACATCACAGGGTGAGAAACTCCTGTGGACAGATGGACACATCTGCCCAGGCATAGCGACTTGACTCTTAAGGAGAGAGGCAACTTGTTTTCAATGTCTCAGTTTTTTTCCTGTCTGAATTTCATTGCAGAAATCTTGGGCAATTCTGTAAGAAGAGAATTGAAGTAACTGAGAGGAATTTTAGGGCACAGGTTTGCTGAAGACTGTGCTGAAACCACCTTTACAGGGAAATGATCTTTTAATTTATTTCCACATCTTTCTCTATTAAAAAAAAATCAATGAAGGACCTCCCTACCCTATCGTATTCCTTTTTTCCTCCATTGGTTAAGAAGAATCTCTGGCGTTAGCTTCCTCTAAAGCATCTTTTCTTAAGCCCCTAATTCTTTCTCACTTTCCTGGAGGGGAAGAGGATCAGGATGATTGGGTAGGATGGAAGGGGAAACCTGTTTATAGAATTGCTTTTGGAAAATGGACCTGCTCTGACCTGTGTCTAAATTGGTCCCAAGAAGCGTTCAAATATACAAAGATGTTTGTAGAAACATTCAAATGTAGTTGGAAACGCACATGCAGGCACGCAGACATGTGCATCCTCAAGCTGGTCTCTGCAAATACATAGGCACAATCAGTCATATACAGAAATGTGGAGCCAGCACATGCATTCACAGCAAAGTAGGCAGACAACCATTACCTCAGGATTCAGAAGCCAAGATCGTCATACACATACACACATGGCCAAATGCAATCACAAAATGGCACTAAGGCCAGAGGGTGACAATCATTCACATACTCCTCTTGATGGAGACATAGCGCCATGCACAGCTGCTGTGACCCATCATGCACATTCATGTTCTCATTGACTGCTTACTGTGTGTGAGCACTCTGCCCAGTGCCCATCCATGCATGCCCAGCCACACCCAATCCCCTCAGTGATCATACAATCACATCTTTGCACACAGCCTCACACCTTCACATACACGGCTGCACTCACGTAGGTTCATGGTGGATCATGGCAGAGATGTGCCATGCTAGAGGGGCATATGCACATACACACTGCCTCCTACCCCCTACAATGAAACGATTGTGCAGTGCTGGTAATAATCACAGCCTCGCAAACAGCACATACTCTTATACTCACACATATGACTCATGCACACAGTCACACACAGGAAGACAGATCTGCACACTCTGCAGCCTGGCCCCTTGTCCCCAGGTGTACCCTCTGGGTTCTGCACATCATAGGAACAGCAGCAGGGCCCAGGAGTGGCTTGACACTGGAGGGTCTGAGGAAGGAATGATTGGCCATGCTTATGGGGTTTACAGCCCTGAGAGCACCTTAGCTTTTCCCCAGAGGCAACAACCTCTTCTTGTGGCCTTCATCCCTGGGGCACAAGGCAGCCTGGCTGTGGGGCTTGTTATCCTTCCTCTCTAGGGACCAGTTTGATGGAGGAGGTGACTGGTGCCACCTCCAACTCGGGACATTCAGGAGCCCTGTGTACTGCAAAGCTGCTGCTCCTCAGCCCCTGCCTTGTGAAGATAAGAGAGAAGGGTCAGGCTGACCTCTGAGCCCCAAGTAGAGTGACCTGGGGATCCCAGGGTTTACAGCTGTAGCTTCTGGAGCCAACCCTCCTCTCAGCTCACCTGTCACTGTCACCTCATGGTGGCTTCTTGTAGGATGTGTGGAGTATGGGAGGAATTGTGCCCCTGGTGACTGTGGCAATCACAACTATTATCAACAATCTCAATTTGTAGAGCTGTGTTTGTGGGAGTGATTGTGTCTCTGTGCAACTCCATTTGTCCATGAGCTTGGATGTGTGTCTCAGTGTGCAGCTGCATCTGTGTCTGTGTGGGTGGCTGGACCTATGAGAGTGTTTTTTTTAACAAGGAATGTTTCTTTTTTTAAAAAATTTTACTTTAAGTTCTGGGATATATGTGCAGAATGTGCAGGTTTGTTACGCAGGTATATATGTGCCACGGCGGTTTGCTGCACCTCTCAACCTGTCATCTACATTAGATATTTCTCCTAATGCTATCCCTCTCCTACCCCCCAACCCCTGACAGGCCCTGGTGTGTGATGTTCCCCTCCCTGTGTCCATGTGTTCTCATTGTTCAACTCCCACTTATGAGTGAGAACATGTGGTGTTTAGTTTTCTGTTCTTGAGTTAGTTTGCTGAGAATGATGGCTTCCAACTTCATCCATGTCCCTGCACAGGACATGAACTCATCCTTTTTTATGGCTGCATACTATTCCATGGCGTATATATGCCACATTTTCTTTATCCAGTCTATCATTGATGGGCATTTGGGTTGGTTCCAAGTCTTTGCTATTGTAAATAGTGCTGCAATAAACATATTTGTGCATGTGTCTTTATAGTAGAATGATTTATAATCCTTTGGGTATATACCCAGTAATGGGATTGCTGGGTCAAATGGTATTTCTGGTTCTAGATCCTTGAGGAATCGCCACACCGATTTCCACAATGGTTGAATTAATTTACATTCCCTCCAACAGTGTAAAAGTGTTCCTATTTCTCCACAGCCTCGCCAGCACCTGTTGTTTCCTGACTTTTTTTTTTTTTTTTTGAGATGGAGTCTCACTCTGTCACCCAGGCTGGAGTGCAGTGGCATGATCTTGGCTCACTGCAACCTCCACCTCCCGGGTTCAAGCAATTCTCTGCCTCAGCCTCCCGAGTAGCTGGGATTACAGGCCCCCACCACTATGCCTGGCTAATTTTTGTATTTTTAGTAGAGATGGGGTTTCACCATCTTGGCCAGGCTGGTCTTGAACTCCTGACCTCATGATCCACCCACCTTGCCTCCCAAAGTCAGGGATTACAGGCATGAGCCACCATGCCCAGCCGTTTCCTGACTTTTTAATGATCGCCATTCTAACTGGTGTGAGATGGTGTCTCATTGTGGTTTTGATTTGCATTTCTGTAATGACGAGTGATAATGAGCATTTTTTCATATGTTTGTTGGCTGCATAAATTTCTTCTTTTGAGAAGTGTCTGTTCATATCCTTTGCCCAGTTTTTGATGGGGTTGTTTGTTTTTTTCTTGTAAATTTGTTTAATTTCCTTGTAGATTCTGGATATTAGCCCTTTGTCAGATGGGTAGATTGCAAAAATTTTCTCCCATTTTGTAGGCTGCCTGTTCACTCTGATGATAGTTTCTTTTACTGTGCAGAAGCTCTTTAGTTTGATTAGATCCCATTTCTCAATTTTGACTTTTGTTGCAATTGCTTTTGGTGTTTTAATAATGAAGTCTTTGCCCATGCCTATGTCCTGAATGGTATTGCCTAGGTTTTCTTCTAGGGTTTTTATGGTTTTGGGTTTTACATTTAAGTCTTTAATCCATCTTCAGTTAATTTTTGTATAAGATGTAAAGAAGGGGTCCAGTTTCAATTTTCTGCATATGGCTAGCCAGTTCTCCCAGCACCATTTATTGAATAGGGAATCCTTTCCCCATTGCTTGTTTTTGTCAGATTTGTTGAAGATCAGATGGTTGTAGATGTGTGGTGTTATTTCTGAGGTCTCTGTTCTGTTCCATTGGTCTGTATCCTGTTTTGGTACCAGTACCATGCTGTTTTGGTTACTGTAGCCTTGTAGTATAGCTTGAAGTCAAGTAGTGTGATGCCTCCAGCTTTGTTCTTTTTGCTTAGAATTGTCTTGGCTATATGGGCTCTTTTTTGGTTCCATATAAAATTTATAGTATTTTTTTCCAATTCTGTGGAGAAAGTCAGTGGTAGCTTGATGGGAATAGCATTGAATCTATAAATTACTTTGGGCAGTATGGCCATTTTCACAATATTGATTCTTTCTGTCCATGAGCATGGAATGTTTTTCCATTTGTTTGTGTTCTCTCTTATTTCCAGCAAGGAATATTTCTAATAGGAGATTAGGCCTTTATTGAAGGGGTATATGTTTCTGTGTGTGTACTGCAGTATGAGGGAACTGAACCTGTATGTACCATTCCAGGTGGGAATAGCTTTACATAACACTGTTGGAATAACCAGAAAGAATGATTCTGAATATATAAACTTCCAATGATTTACTATTGCCTCTTGAATAAAGTCTAAATTTCCTACTTAATATTGAAGCCATGGAGTGTTCTTCTCATTCCCTAATTTTCAATCTTTAAACTTCCCTCTACTTTCCCAGCACACCCCCTCAAGCCAGTTAAATTGGTCTCCTTAGAGTCTTCTGCTCATGCTGAGCTTATTTTACTTCCATGCCTTTCTATATACTTGCCCCTCATCCCCCTGGTACAATTGCCTCTTCCCCTCAATTTCCACCCATGTTGCAGGGCCCAACTTATTTTGTGCAATGAGTGCCCCAGTCTTCCCCAGCTTCCTGTCCTCACTGCCTGCTTTAGGAAGTGGTGTTGAAGGGAAATACTTTATCAGAATTGGGCACATTCTTCTGGGCATCTCACTTCAGGAGGGGTGATTTATCTCTCTTCATGCTCCAGGTTGGGCTCTGTTAGTGTTTCCCAATTCTTTCCCCTTCCCTCTTGTTTGTTTTCCTATCTCTCAAGTAGGCCCAGTATAATAGCTTGAAACTTAGTATTTCCTCCAGCTGATTTCTAGGATTTATGTAATTATTGTATCTGGCTGCTCCATGGATACTAAATATGTGGAAGGAGCCATGGCCATCCTGTAGGGCCAAGGTGATGGAAGGGGCCTTATCCGTCTGGAAACTTTTCCACTGATTGTGGCAGCTGCTGTATGTCATGAGAGCCTAAGAACCCACAAAAAAGAGAAAGGACCATAGAGGAGATCTTTGAGTCTAAATGTTGAATTTGGGGCAAGCCTTACATTTGCAGTCCTCAGGTTGCCAACTCCTTTGACAATGACTCCGATTTTTGTTGTGGCACCTGATTTGCTGTGGTGATAGGAGGCAAGAGGAGTTGGGGAACTGGGAGAGGATGGTTGAGCCTTGTGATGAGAGGAGGGGTTTTATTTTATCTAAGTCTTTTCAGAATGTGCTGAATTTGGGACATTGTAAGTTTTCTCTCAAGAGCTGCTTCAACAGGAAATGGGGTGACCAACTATCTCGATTTGCCCAGGACTGAGGGTGTCTTGGGACATGGGACTTGGAGTTTTTTTATTTATTTTTTTATTATTATTATTTTTTGAGACAGAGTCTTGCTCTGTTGCCCAGGCTGGAGTGCAGTGGGTGGCGCCATCTCAGCTCACTGCAAGCTCCGCCTCTTGGGTTCAAGCCATTCTCCTGCCTTAGCTTCCCGAGTAGCTGAGACTACAGGCACCCGCCACCATGCCTGGCTAATTTTTTTTGTATTTTTAGTAGAGATGGGGTTTCACCGTGATAGCCGGGCTGGTCTCAATCTCCTGACCTCGTGATCCGCCCGCTTTGGCCTCCCAAAGTACTGGGATTACAGGTGTGAGCCACCGCTCCCAGCCGGGACTTGGAGTTTCAAAACTGGACTGTTCTGGGAAAACTGGAGTGAGTCAGGAAACCTGTAAAGTTCTCTAAGATTTGAGGAGATGGTCTTGTCCACATTCTTCTCTTTATTAGCCTGGGAACTCCAAGAATGCCATAGTTACCAAGAGGGAGGGTCTTGGTCCTGGCAACAAGGGGCATCTTCTTCCCAGGGAGCCAGGTCGAAGCCTTCAGTTTTCCTGCAGTCTAAGTGGCGCCAGGTGGTTGATTTCTCCTTGAAGGGAGAGTGTAGAGGGGCAAGGCCAGCCCCTGGCTAGGGCCCAAGGAAGAGACTCCATGGGCAGCCTATTGGGTGAAGCATTGTTTGAGTCCCATACCTTTCCCACCCTGGCCTTGCCTCAGCCATAATCAGGGGAACTGGAGGGAGGATCAGGTAGAAGCTGACATTTAAATCTGGCCATGCTCCACCTCTTCTTGGAGGCTCTTGCCTGTAACTCCCAGGGTCTACTCCTGTCTGCTCCTGCAGAGAGAGGCTTCCCAGGCAGAATGCAGTGCCTTAGGACTTGCCTATGTGTAAAAGAGTCATGGAGACAAAAGAAATCTGTCAAAATTGTGAACTCTGGGTGAATAAAACTCCCAAGAGCACTGGGTCTCGGAGGTCCTCCATGACTCAAGGCTTGGGGCAGTGTAGTTACTGTTGCCCAAGAGGTCAGGGTTATGGCATTCCCTCTCCAACTCCAACCCTACCTCAATGCTGGAATCTTAACACCAAACAGTCATGATACTAATCCTACCCAACCACATGCAAATCCAGGCATGCTCATCACTCTGAATGAAACTGAAATTCACCAACAACCAACCCCTACCCTTAGGCTTTAAGTAACATTATTTATAACCCCAACTAAATCTTAAAGTGACCACAAGCATGCCAATTTGATACCTAAAATATTGTTATGCCTAAATTTCATCTGGTTCTGATCCCAGCTTACCTGTAGTAATAACCAGACTGTGACTTAAACTTAGCACAAACATTACCCATACACCAACTTAAGTCTAATGTGAACTAAACTCTAACTCCAATTTAATTGAGTAATACAAATGAAATCCAAACTCCAATCTTATTTAGTTTCCCATTCTAACACTAACCCTAAAATAATTCTAATATGTCTAACAAGATTTATCCAAACTCTTATTTATTTATTTATTTATTTATTTATTTATTTATTTTTTTTACGTGGAGTCTCGCTCTGTCACTCTGGCTGGAGTGCAGTGGCATGATTTTGGCTCACTGCAACCTCTGCCTCCTGGGTTCAAGTGATCCTCCTGCCTCAGCCTCCCGAGTGGCTGGGATTACAGGCATGCACCACCATGCCTGGCTAATTTTTTTCGTATTTTTAGTAGAGACAGAGTTTCACCATGTTGCTCAGTCTGGTCTTGAACTCCTGACCTCAGATGATCTGCCTGCCTCGGCCTCCCAAAGTGTTGGGATTACAGGCGTGAGCCACCGCACCTGGCCCAAACCCTTAAATTTATCCCAAATATACTACTAATAACAACGAGCCCAAATTATAAAATTTACATAATTGTAATTCAATCATAAATTTGCCTGATCATTTCTTAATTCTCCCTAACCCTAATCCTAACCTACCATAACTGAACCCCATCCTTAGCCATAGCCTGAGACCTAATCTTAACCCGATTCTAACTATTCAATCCTAATCCTTTCCTAGCCTCTATCATAAGCCTGAACTAGTCTAACCCTGGCCAAATTCAAATCCAGCTGTTGGGAGTTTAAAAGTGACTTGTGCATGTTCTAGCTATTAAGCCATTTTCCTGAGACGTGGAATACATGGGCCATAGGGGACAGATGTTTCCCTCTTCAGATTCCGTCCCATGCTTTGGTCTAAGTGGATCCTGAAGATGTTCTCCTGGGCTGAGGAGGGCAGGCGCAGACACACTGGCCATGAAGAAGCTTAAAAGGTCAAGAATCTAGGAACACTTGGAACTAACATAGCTCTCACTTGGTGCTTCTGGGGATTAGCCTCTTGTAAGTACAGGTGGCAAATAAGCCTGTATTCCTTTACCTGGTAACATCTAGGAACTTTTATATTACTACTATTTTGAGATAGGTCTTGCTCTGTTACCCAGGCTGGAGTGCAGTGGCACAATCACAGCTCAACGTCAGCCTCGACCTCCTGGGCTCAAGTGATTCTCCTGCTGCAGCCTCCCCAGTAGCTGGCACTACAGGCGTGAACCACCACGCCTGGCTAATTTATTATTATTATTATTATTATTTTGAGATGGAGTCTTGCTCTGTAGCCCAGGCTGGAGTGCAGTGGCGTGATCTCGGCTCACTGCAAGCTCTGCCTCCTGGGTTCACACCATTCTCCTGCCTCAGCCTCCTGAGTAGCTGGGACTACAGGTGTCTGCCACTGCGCCCAGCTAATTCTTTTTTTTTTTTTTTTGTATTTTTAGTAGAGACGGGGTTTCACCTTGTTAGCCAGGATGGTCTCGATCTCCTGACCTCGTGATCTGCCTGCCTTGGCCTCCCAAAGTGCTGAGATTACAGGTATTATTATTATTTTTAACTTTTAAGTTCAGAGGTAGTACATGTGCAGGATGTGCAGGTTTGTTACACAGGTAAATGTGTGTCGTGGAGGTTGGTTGCACAGATTATTTTATTACCCAGATATTAAGCCTAATATCCATTAGTTTTTTTTTTTTTTGCTTCTCTCTCTCGTCCTACCCTCCACCCTCCGATAAGCCCCAGTGTGTGTTGTTCCCCTCTATATGTCCGCATGTTCTCGTTGTTTAGCTCCCACTTATAAGTGAGAACTTGTGGTGTTTGGTTTTCTGATCCTGTGTTAGTTTGCTGAGGAAAATGGTCTCCAGAGCCATCCACGTCCCTGAAAAGGATATCATCTCTTTCTTTTTTGTGACTGCATAGTATGCCATCATGCCCAGCTTATTTTTAACAATTTTTTTTTTTTGTAGAGATGGTGGGGGGGTCTCCCTGTGTTGCCCAGGCTGGTCTTGAACTCCTGCCTTGGCCTCCCAAAGTGCTGGGGTTACAGGCATGAGCCACTGCACCCAGCTGAATATTGAAGAATGTTTTGAATGTTGAAGAACCTGAGGCAGTGCAACAGAAACATTAGCCTGGTCTAGCGTCTGGCTCTAGGTCTAGCCCTAGATGAACCCCAAATCTTTTTCTCCCTGCTATAAGCTTTCATTTCCCTCTTTACTGTCCCTTAAACAATGACATGAGACATCCAAGCCAGAGGAACATCCCATCTTTACCGACAGTGACGGGGCCAGAAAGAGGCCCCGACCTTCCTCATCCCCTCATAGTCAGACCTACCCAGCCTCCCTGGACCAATCACTGGGACCCCTGCCCTGGACAGTGGAATCGGCTCCAGGTCTGCCTGAGGGCCTCCTTGACCTCCTTATTGCGGAGGCTGTAGATGAGTGGGTTGAGAGACGGGATGACCAGGGTATAGAACACAGAGGCCATCTTGTCAGTGTCCAGGGCATAGCTGGAGCTGGGGCGCAGGTACATGAAAATGAGTGTCCCGTACATCATGGCCACGGCTGTGAGGTGGGAACCACCGGTGGAGGCTGCTCGCCGACTGCCCTCGACCGAGCGCATGTGGATCACAGCCCCAGCGATGAAGCCATAAGACACCGTGATAGCTAACACCGTGGCTGTCTGGATGAAGCCACAGATGGCGAAGAGAAGGAGTTCATTGAGACTGGTGTCACTGCACGAGATGGCCAGCAGTGGAGGGATATCGCAGAAGAAGCTATTGATCTTCCGGGAGCGGCAGAAGCTCAGGCGGAAGGTGAGGGTTGTGTGAACAAAGGCACTCACTGCCCCACCCAGGCCTGATGCTCCCAGCAAGGCCAGGCATAGACGCTGCGACATAGCTGTTGTATAGAGAAGTGGGTTTCTGATGGCCACGTAGCGGTCATAGGCCATGGCTGCCAGCAAGCAACACTCAGTATCAGCCAGACCTGCAAAGACAAACATCTGGAGGGCACAGGCTGTGTAAGGGATGGTGGCTCGGGGCAGCAGCAGGTCCACTAGCATCTTGGGGCCGATGGCGGAGGAATAGCAGGCATCCAGCAGGGAGAGGTTGGCCAGGAAGAAGTACATAGGTGTGTGGAGCCGGGCATCCATGCGGATCAGCAGCGCCATGCCCATGTTTCCCAGCAGGCTCACCAGGTAGACAGGCAGGCAGGTCAGGAAGAGGGCCACACGCAGGTCCCAGCGATTTGTGATGCCCAGGAGGACGAATTCAGCAGGGGCAACCGCGGCCCGGGTGAGGTTCTCTGAGTTCATCCTACTGGACAGAGACTGAGAAGAGGCAAAGCAGGAGGGAGATAAGAGCAATGGCAAGGCCATGGCCAGGGAGAAGAAAGCATCCTGTACTGGGAGTTAGGTAGGCTTGGGTTTCAGCTCACCTGTGCAACAAAATTGCTGTGACCTTGAGCAAGCCACGTAACCTCTCAAAACCTGTTTCTAACTCTTAGAAGTCATTGCAGAAGCCTTTTTTTGTTTTTGAGATGGAGTTTTGCTCTTGTTACCCAGGCTGGCGTGCAAAGGTGTGATCTCAGCTCACCACAACCTCCGCCTTCTGGGTTCAAGCGATTCTCCTGCCTCAGCCTCCCAAGTAGCTGGGATTATAGGCATGTGCCACCGTGCCTGGCTAATTTTATATTTTTAGTAGAGATGGAGTTTCTCCATGTTGGTCAGGCTGGTCTCGAACTCCCAACTTCAGGTGATCCGCCCACCTCAGCCTCCTGAAGTGCTGGGATTACAGGCATGAGCCACTGTACCCGGCCCGTCTTTTTTTCTTTTTTCTTTTCTTTTCTTTTCTTTTTTTTGAGATGGAGTCTTGTTTTGTTGCCCAGGCTGGCGTGCAGTGGTGCAATCTTGGGTCACTGCAACCTCCGCCTCCTGGGTTCAAGTGACTCTCCTACCTCAGCCTCCCGAGTAGCTGGGACTACAGGTGCCCGCCACCATGCCCGGCTAATTTTTGTATTTTTTAAGTAGAGGTAGGGTTTCACCATGTTGGTGGTCAGGCTGGTCTTCAACTCCTGATCTCAAGTCTGCCTGCCCCAGCTTCCCAAAGTGTTGGGATTACAGGTGTGAGCCACCACGCCCAGCCTTTTTTTTTTTTTTTTTAAAGAGACACAAGGTCTCACTATGTTGCCCAGGCTGAACTAAAATTCTTGGGCTTAAG
This sequence comes from Homo sapiens, assembly GCF_000001405.40. Taxonomy (NCBI): domain Eukaryota; kingdom Metazoa; phylum Chordata; class Mammalia; order Primates; family Hominidae; genus Homo; species Homo sapiens. The sequence continues at coordinate 122,788,028 of NC_000009.12, read as the reverse complement.
TGATCCTCCTCCCACCTCAGCCTCCCAAGCAGCTGGGATTATAGGCATGCTCCACCACACCCACAGGGGTCTTGTCCCTCTTATTCACTTTTGTGTCTACAGCACTGAGAGCATTGCCTAGCACATAGCTGGTGCTCAAAAAAGATTTGTTAAATGAATGAATGGGATGATATTTAGTGTCCAGCCAATGATTGAAAACTTTGTGACTCTATATGCATTCTCCTCTCCAGTTTTCCAGGTAAGAAAAGAGACAGTGGAATGAGCAGAAATAATCTTCAGATCCAACGGGCACCTGGCCATGGCTTTTGAGGTTTGCTAGTAGGGACATCTTTCCTTTGGAGTAAGATCGGAGAAAGGAGTAGCCTGGTATCTTGCGAAAACAGTGGGGAGTAGAAAGAACAGAAAATGTGAATATATTCCTGAGCTGAATTCTTGGCCTCTCTGAGCCTCAATGTTCTCATCTGGATAATGGGGGAAAGCTGCAAGGATTCGATGAGATAATGCATGTAAAGCTTCTCACACAGGGCCTAGCACACGCAGGCATTTAACAAAGGCCCTGCGAATGGAAATAAATTGAACTGGATGCTCTGGCTCCAAACTGGAAGGAAGCAACTTTATGGCAATCAAAAGTAGTATAATTCCCAGAAAATGCAATGTTGCTTCACACTCCTGTGCCTTGCATTTGTCCTCTTTGCCTGGAACCCATTTCCTCCTTTTGTGTTTGGTAAAAAGTTTCTCCAGTGTGAAGCCTTCCCTGATCTGTCCCTTAAAACTAAACATTTTTCTTGTCTGTGGCCTGCTGCACTGGAGCATACAGTAGTTCCCCCTTATCTATGGGGAATACGTTCCAAGACCCCCTGTGGATGTGTGAAATCACAGATCGTACTGAACCCTATATATGTGATTTTTTTCCCTATACATTCATATCCATGATAAAGCTTAATTTATAAATTAGGCATAGTAAGGGATAACAACAACAATAATAACATAGAACAATTATAACAATGTACTATAATACAAGTTAGGTGAATATGGTCTCTCTCTCTGTCCCTCAAAATATCTTACTTTTATATATATATATATATATATATATTTTTTTTTTTTTTGTTTTGTTTTGTTTTGTTTTGTTTTGTTTTTGTTTTTTTTTTTTTTGAGATGGAGTCTCACTCTGTCACCCAGGCTGGAGTGCAGTGGTGTGATCTCGGCTCACTGCAACCTCCACCTCCTAGGTCCAAGTGATTCTCCTGCCTCAGCCTCCTGAGTGGCTGGGACTACAGGTGTGTGCTACCATGCCCAGCTAATTTTTTTGTATTTTTAGTAGAGATGGGGTTTCACCACATTGGCCAGGTTGGTCTCGAACTCCTGACCTCAGGTGATTCGTCTGTCTCGGCTTCCCAAAGTGTTGGGATTACAGGTGTGAGCCACTGCACCCAGCCTGTTTTTAATAGTTTCGGGTCACAGTTGACTGCAGGTAACTGAAACTGCAGAAAGCAAAACTGTGGGTAAAGGGGAACAACTGCTGTACCTCTCTCATGCTGCTTCACCATTCTATTGCAAATATCTTTTACATGTGTGTCTCCTGTGAACTTTGAGCTCCTTGATTCAATATTCATTCAACAAAGTTTTATTGAGCATTACTGTGTGCTAAGAATGCCCCATAATTCATTTTTGTATCTCCAGGGTGAGGTATATAATCAGAGCTCAAAAAATGTTAGTTGAGTCCATAACACAGTGAACAAGAGTACAGACATTAGCAGCATGAACACTTGCTTTTGAGTCCTAGTTCCACAACTTTCTGGTGTGTAACTTCAGGCAAGTCACTTCACCTCCCTTAACTTTGGTTTTCTCCTTGCAAAGTAGGAATCATAATATCTCTGTGGAGGTTTTTAAGAGGCAATAGGTGTGCAGGAAGGGGCCCGGAGCTGAATAAATTCTTCTTCCCCTCCTTTTAAGAGAAGTTTAGATGTTTGGGACTTACCTGTGCCCAGTGAGGATGGTGAAAATCTCCTACAAAGCACAAATTGGATGAAAAATTTTGACAATATCACGTTGGTGAGGTTGTGCTTGTGGAAATGTAAACTGGGACATTTCCGACCACTGTGCACGCCCCAGTGTCTTAAGCTACTCAGTTTGCTATAACAAAATGCCAATAGACTGGGTGGCTTAAACAACAGACATTTATTTATCATGGTCCTGGAAACTGGGAAGTCTGTGGTTAGCATGTCAGCATGGTTGGGTTCTAGTGAGAGCCCTCCTTCTGGCTTGTAGATGGCCACCTTCCTACTGTATTGTCACAGGTTGGGGACAGAGAGACAGAGAAAGCTCTCTGGTTTCTTATAAGGGTACCAATCCCATTATCATAGATGCCACCATAATGACCTAAATAGTTTTAGACCTAATTACCTCCCAAAGGCTCCTTCTCCAAATACCATCATATTGGGGGTTAGAATTTCAACATGAATTTTTTGGGGATGTAAACATTCAGTCCATAGCACCTGGTAATTCCACTACTTGGTGTTTACTTTTGAAAACCCTCTCATGTATACAGAAGGAGACAAGGGAGCATGCATTCCTGGACTATTTGTAATGGCTAAATAAATGTTAGTCAAACCTAAATGTTTATCAGTAGGCTCATGGGAGTTAAACAGGAATGGAGTCAACCTCTATATAACAATATAGAGAAATCTCAAGAACATATTGAGATCAAAACATAATTTTCAGAAAAAATATACAGATTGATGAAAAAACTCATAACATATGTTTTTTTAATGTATGTGTATATAAGACATACTGCTGTCTGCTCCAAACAGAGATGGGGCTCCAGCTAAAAGACCTGAGGGCATTTCAGAGGATTCCATGGCCTTTGCCCCCTGCTATGTCAGAGCTGATCCTTCTTATCTTTTAAGATTCAGCTTAGGGGTCATCTTTATCTGAGCACCCAACTGCCCATCCTCTCATGCTGGAACTCCACTCACCAGTCTCTCTGCATCATATCATTATTCCATTGTTGTATAATTACCTACATGCTTATCTCCTCTCACCTGATCAAGCATCTTAAGATCTGGGACTGTGCTTAATTCACCCCTCTGTCCATAGGCATACAGGATTTTAGGTATCTTCCTCCTTCTCCTTGGTGTGTCACTGGTGGAGGTCAGACAGCTTCCAGGGGTACAGAAACAGGGAGTTCCAGTTCTACTCAACTACCTGTTCTCCAAGAATGAAGTCTGCTACCTGGCCGAAGTTCTGCACACAGAACCCAGTGGGTGGCCAACCCCTTTGTATTTCAGTCTGTCCACATGGAAAGCAAATGCAACTCACCTTTACCGAGTGAGGAGCAGAGGTGCTTTGAGTGCCTCTCCATTTCTCCATCTGTAAAATAGGGACAACGAGACTTCAGGACTTTTAAGGTACTTTGAATGTTTTGGGTACAAGTACCCACAAACTTCAGTTAAGTAGGTATTGTGGAGTGTGTGTGTTTGCACACACAAAACATAGAATTAATTCTCCATTAACGTCTCTCTCTCTCGCCTCACTACCCAGGAGGAGCAATATTGACGTTCTAGGGTTGTGTACGTCAGTGTGGGACTTGCTAATAAAAGAGGAGGACTCAGGTTTTCATAAGGAGCAACTTCTGCGTTTGCTCTTCGGTGCTAATCAGTGCTAGAAAGGATCTGGAAAACTTCAGGTTCCTGCACTTTTAGGTTCCCGGTTGCCTCTAGTTGACTCTCTTGTCTTTTCAAATCCTTCCAACATTCCTACTTCTGTCTGACTCCGTATTTATCTTTCAGTCCCTGGGATTAAAGCTTATGAAGTCTGTCTATGTATATATTTATGTATGCATGTATGTATGTATGTATTTATCAATCTATCAATCACTTAAATATCAATCCATTTTTAATTATATACTCAACAAGCATTTTTTAACTACCTGTTATGGGACAGGCACTCTATGAGCACAAGGGATACAGATGTCACTATAACACATCTGTTACTGCTCTCACAGAACTTTCAGGCTGGTGGGAAGAGAGAGCTCTCAATCAAATAACCACACACATACAATTACAAACTAACATATATATGATCTGAAGGAGAGGAACACATTTCTCTCTTTCTCCTCAGCTTACTGAATGGCATATGATGCCAATCAATGGAGTGATTGGTAGGCCATTGATTGATTGATGATTGCATGAACAATCTCATTTGATACCTATCACATCCTTATGAAGCAGATACTTTTATATCTACTCATAGATGAAGAAATCCAAGCCCAGAGAAGCATCTTTTACTTTTGAGGGTGATTGTTCCCACCCTCTCCCTTTGTTCCCACCCTCTCCTTTTGGCCCAACAGTGGGCCGCCCACCTGTTGTGCCTCTGCAGTACCCTTGTGCTGGTCCACTTCACTCCAAGGACTGCCATGTCCCTGGTCCAAGCCCCACTCATGTGATCATGAGTGAGCTTCCCAGCTGGTCTCCATGCTGACCACATCTTCCCCTCTCCACTGTGCTTCTCAAGCCTTGTCTAAGCATTTTACTCTGACTGTGCATTAGATAACTCCAAACACTTTGCCAAGGGTCTCCACAAAAACAGTTTTCTAATATTGTTTCTTCTATGCAAGCCTTTGCCCTAGTCCTATCTCCTTATTATTCACTCTTCTCCCCTGTCTTTGATGCTAGGCCTACTTATTACTATCTTTTGAAATTATTTCCCCTGTCTAGAATCCCTTTTTTCCTCTTCTTCCCTGTATTAGTTTGTTCTCATGCTGCTATAAAGAACTGGCCAAGACTAAGTAATTTATAAAGGAGAGAGGTTTAATTGACTTACAGTTCCACATGGCTGGGGAGGCTTCAGGAAACTTACAGTCATGGCAGAAGGGGAAGAAAACATGTCTTTCTTCACATGATTGCAGGACGGAGAAGTGCCAAGCAAAAGGGGAAAAAGCCCCTTATAAAACAATCAGATCTCGGCCTGGAGCAGTGGCTCACACCTATGATCCCAGCACTTTGGGAGGCTGAGGCAGGCAGATCACGAGGTCAGGAGATTGAGACCATCTTGACTAACATGGTGAAACCCCTTCTCCACTAAAAATACAAAAAAAAAAAAAAAAAAATTAGCCAGGCGTGGTGGCAGGCGCCTGTAGTCCCAGCTACTTGGGAGGCTGAGGCAGGAGAATGGTGTGAACCCAGGAGGCGGAGCTTGCAGTGAGCCGAGATCACGCCACTGCACTCCAGCCTGGGCGACAGAGCAAGACTCCATCTCAAAAAAAAAAAAAAAAAAAAAAAATCAGATCTCATGAAAACTCACTATCACGAGAACAGTAGCATGAGGGTAACCGCCCCCATGATTGCATTACCTCCCACCAGGTCCCTCCTATGACACGTGGGGATTATGGGAACTACAATTCAAGATGAGATTTGGGCGGAGACACAGCCAAACCATATTGTTCCCCTATTCAAGTTCCTAGCTAACACTTTTTTTTTTTTTTTTTTTTTTTGAGATGGAGTCTCGCTCTGTCACCTAGGCTGGAGTACAATGGCATGAACTCTGCTCACTGCAACTGCCACCTCCCAGGTTCAAGCAGTTCTCCTGCCTCAGCCTCCTGAGTTACTGAGATTACAGTCACGAACCACCAGACCTAGCTAATTTTTGTATTTTTTGTAGAAACGGGATTTCACCATGTTGGCCAGGCTGGTCTTGAACTCCTGACCTCAGGTGATCCACCTGCCTCAGCCTCCCAAAGTGCTGGGATTACAGGCATGAGCTACTGCACCCAGCCCCTAGCTAACATTTAAGCCCGATTTAATTTGTGTCTTCTCTGTGAATCTATACCCAGCCATTGCAATCTACTTTGGCTTAATATTAAGGGACTTGTGATGTTTTCTGCCACAGTATCACTTTAGTTTCATGCATTCACCACCCCAAGAGGTATTCACTCTTAAAATAAGTTGGATTCTGCAGTCGAACATAGGCTGCCATCAAATGGAGTGGTTATAACACAGTCTCATTGGTTGGAGCCATTAGGAGAGAGATGGAGTTTGTATTAAAGATGATGCTATGACCCCATCCTGTGAGCAAGGCAGACATGGCTAGTCAGTCGTGCTACTCATTCTTACTGAACTCGGACTAGCCTTAGAATCCTTCTTATCTCAGTGCTTGTGGAAGTCACTGCCTGAGGGCTGGGGTTTGTAGGAGAGGTGAAGCATCTTTGTTATCCTTTGGTTAGGTGCATGTCTTCTCTGCAATTCAAACTCCCCTATTTCAATCCTGAGTTTTTCATAACATTTCCCAATGAAAAAAATCTTTAAAAATTAAATTTAATGTTAATAATAAATATGAGTACATCGTTAGAAGTTAGTGTTTTCTACTTTGCTCTCTTTTTGTTATTTATTTTTAGGAGCAATATAATGCACTGTAAAAAATTCAAGAGGCACCAAAGGGTATTTAATAAAAAACAACTCTTCCTCCCACCTTGCTTCTGAGTCCTCTATTCCTGCTCTCTAGAGGGGACAGCTGCTAGCAGTTTCTTGTGTATCCTTCCAGAATTACTTTATAAATGCACAGACATATATGTATATATTTATTTTAAAACTTGTATGTTAGCATATAAATGGAAATGCTAAGTCAAAGAGTATATGTACTTCATTTTGTAGATACTATCAAATTGCTCTTAAATAATGATATACTAATTTATATTTCCACTAGCAATACATAAGAGTACATGCTTTCCAACATTCTCCATAATACTGTTTTCAGACTTTTTGATCTTTGCCTAATGATATATAAAAGTACCTCACTGTAGCCTTAATTTACATTTATCTTATTATGAATGAGAATGAACATTATTTAATAAACTTAAGAATCACTTGTGTTTCTTTTGTGAATTCTCTGTTCACATTCTTTGCCAATTATCTGTTGAATTTTTGGTCTTTGTTGCTATTAATTAATTTATTATTATTATTATTTTTGAGATGGAGTCTCTCTCTGTCACCCAGGCTGGAGTGCAGTGGTGTGATCTTGGCTCACTGCAGCCTCCACTTCCTGGGTTCAAGCGATTTTCATGCCTCAGCCTCCTGAGTAGCGGGGACTACAGACACATCCCACCACGCACAGCTAACTTTTACATTTTTCGTAGAGATAGAGTTTCGCCATTTTGGCTAGGCTAGTCTCAAACTCCTGACCTCAGGTAATCTACCTGCCTTGGCCTCCCAAAGTGCTGGGATTATAGATGTGAACTACCACGCCCAGACTGTTGCTATTAATTTAGAGTACCTCTTTACATTTTGTGGACATTAGCTCTTTGTGATACAAATTATATAATTATATATATATTTCTATTTTGTCATGAGTCTTTTGACTTTATGGTTCTTTTTCTTTATGAAAAGTAAATTTTAATTTATTTAATTGAATTTGTAAATTCTTATTTTATTGGTTTTAGGTTTTATGTTATACGTAGAAGCCCTCTTTCCATTCTAAGATTATAAAAATATCCTCCCATGCTTTTCTTCTAGTACTTTCATAGTTTCACTTTTTTAGATGGTTAAATATTTAGTCTACCTGGAATTTATTTTGTGCTAGTTGTAGTGTGAGGAGCCAACTTAATTTTTTTTTCACCAAAAAATTCAGCAGAAAGAATAGGCTGAAGGTTCCTCAGAGTTCGACATCATGGTAAAATTGTGAGGCATATCCTCCTCTCAGCTGTAAGCTCTGTGAAGGTGGAGGCAGTATCTCTGTTACTGTTATTGCCAAGCACCTGGCACATCATAGGTGCTCAGTGAATTCTTGTGGAATGATGAAGGTCGTTCCCTTATATACTCACTAGAACTGGCTGAAGTGCATTCCATTCTGCAACAGAGAGACTTCAGCCCGCCCACCCTCACCTCTAGGATCAGAGTGACCAACAGTCGAAGGGAATGGAAGGGAGAAGGAAGGAAGGAAGGAAATAAGGAAGGAAGGCAGGCAGGAAGGAAGGAAATCAGGCACATAAAGGCAAAACCTTTCTTCAGCTACAGAAGCAGTCTCAACACAGGCTTCCACTGAGCATGCTCTTCACATTCCTGGGGAAGGAAGAATTATCCTAACTTATGGTGACCGACAGTCCCAGTTTGCCTGGACCTGAGGAGTTTCCTGGGACAAAGGGCTTTCAGGGCTAAAGCTGGAACAGTCCCAAGCAAACCAGGACTCCCCTCCCCTCCCCTCCCCTCCACTCCTTCCTTTCTTTTTAGGTGGAGACTTGCTCTTGCCACCTAGGCTGGAGTGCAATGGCACGATTTTGGCTCACTGTAACCTCCGCCTCTTGGGTTCAAGTGATTCTCCTGCCTCAGCCTCCTGAGTAGCTGGGATTACAGGTGTCTGAGACCACACCCAGCTAATTTTTTGTATTTTTGTAGAGATGGGGTTTCACCATGTTGGCCAGGCTGGTCTCAAACTCCTGACCTCACCCACCTTGGCCTCCCAAAGTGCTGGGATTACAGGCGCAAGCCACCATGCCCAGCCACATGTGCCTGATTTTCTATCTCCTACAAAATTTATGGAGTACAGCCTGGCCCAGTCAGGATCAATGTATGTTGGCTTCTAGCCTTCATTTCTCCCCCGGCTGCTGCTGCCTCTTAAGCATTTTCACTTGGTGGTGCAGCTGGTGGGTGGCATGGCTGGGATTCCCACGTGGTTCTTCTGACCTCAGCTCCAGCTGCCTGTCCCTTTCCTTCCCTGGTTAGGAGTATCTGTCCTTGAAGGTAAGAAACCTGAGTTCCAAAGAAAGAAGAGAAGAGATTTGTCCCAAGAGACATAGTAGTTATGAAGGAGTAGAGTTGGGGCTTGAACTCAGATGTCTCAGCTCCAAATCAAGTTCTTGTCTTAAATGCTCTCTACGTGGAAACCCTGATTAGGTCTCTTAATAGATTACCAAGCTAGTTGTTGCCACTGTCTTTCCTCGGTTGCCACCATCTTTCCTCATCTTTAGATTGAGCAGTTTGGACTGATAAGCAGTTCCCACTCTACTGTGCGGACTGGTGTCATTAGAATTACTACTGGAGCTTTGTGAAAAAATAGATTGCTACACACAGTGCCCAGATATCCTAAACAATTGATGCAGAGTGGGGCTTGGAAATCTGTAGTTGGAAAAAAAATGTTCCAGGTGATTCTGATATGCAGCTGATTTGGGACCCTCAAGCAGTGCTTCCCAACCTTTAGGGTGCATAGGAATCAGCTGGAGATAGTATTTAAATGCAGTGCCTGCCTCAGGACTGCTCTGAAAATTCTGCATTTCTAACAAACTCCTAGGTGTTTGTTGATGCTGCAGCCTGGGCACCGCTTGCATGGTAAGACCCTAGGTGATATTGGACAGTATTTCCAGCTTTGATATCTTAGGATTTCAGCTTTCTGGAGGGTTCCTTAGCCTCTTCCTGCTAGCTTTCTGCTGAACTCTGTCTTGACTTATCCTCTGCTCTCCAGGCCCCACTCTACTCATGAACGCATTTGAGTCCGGTGGGGCTGGCCTCCTGGCATTTCTCAATATGTGGCTTGCCCTTTTCTTAACAAGCCCAAGTCCTTAGGTCATCCTCCCCAGGACACAGACATTTAATATGTCTTGGTTCAGACAGCAGCTGCTGTCATTGCAAAGGCATGTGGTTATTGGATTGTTAGGACATACCTAAATAGTGGAGGTGGGTGGGGAGTTCTTTCAGCAGAGCAGCTTCAGTGCAGCCTGTGGCATGAGACTGGCAGGGGGAGGTAGCAGGGACATGCCCTAGTCCAGAGGTAGTAACAGGGGGACTTATAGTCTTTGTAGCCCCTGAGGGAATGGCTCTTTCTGTTTTCTTCCTGCCTCCTCCTTCCCTTTCCACTGTCCCAGAGTCCATGGAGACTCTCTCCACATCCTTTGGGGACCTTGTGACAGATGGTGGCAGGGGAATGCCGGGATGACTCACATTTTGGTGCCTGGGGAGGTTGGAGAAATTTGGCTGAGTGGGTCCCCAGGCTCTGTGTGGGGAAGACAATCATATTCCTCAGTGACAGGAATCCTTCTGGCTCACCTTCCTCATCCATTCTTTAGGACTCTGTCTTGTATGTATTTACTTATTACTATGCACTAGAATCTTTGAAACCCTTCTGCACAAACCCACATTCTTCTTGCGATTCTCCTAATATGTCACAGTGGTCCTCTTGCCTGAAATGTCTTGCCCCTTCCTTGTCTACCTGGTACTGTTTGTTGCAAAACAAGCTCAAATACTACTATCTGCAGGAAGCCTTCCTGCCTCTGCGACAGGAGTACTCTTTCCCTTGTGCATCTTTGAGATGTGTATATAGTAGTATGAATCTGACGTAAGGAAACAGACGATTGTGTGTGATGCTGTCCTAGACTAACAGCAACCTGAGGCCAGGGCTCAGCATGGAGTAAGCGCTCAGGAAAGTAACTCTTGGAGACAGGCCCAGGCTTAGGCGATTCTTAAAAGCTGTGAGGATTAAAAACTACTTGTAATGTCCATCTAGGATTGAGAACTACTCTCCAAGAGATCAGAATGGATGGCTAAGTGGCTCAGGCTGTGGGGAATAAATGACTATGGGGTGGGAAGCTGCAACCTGGCTAACTTGTCCTTTACGTTAGCAAAATGTTCTTTAGTTCATGTAAGTAGCATTTATTATATTCTACTATGTTCTGGGCTTAAGTTTAAGAGCTTGGAATACAACAGTGAACAAGCCATGGTCCTTTTTTTTTTTTTTTTTTTCATAAAGCCCGCAGGGAGAGTCAGAATTAACTAAACAAAAGTGTGGGGGAAAGTGTGTCAGGTGGGAATAATGGCACGCGGAAAGGCCTGGGGGTGGGAATGCAGATGGCGCATTTGAAGACTTGAAAGAAGACCAAGTGGGACGGGAGCTCAGAGAATGATGGAGAGAAAGGTGTGACTGACCGTAGAGATTTTTCATTGAGACTACAAATAAAATCCTAAGCACCCCCAACCAGCTGAACGGACCCCCTTCTTGGCCAAGGGGATCCCAGAGAAACCTTAAAAGGTTCAGGCCATGATGGGACAGGAGGTAGGACATGCCTCATTATACCTCCTTCCTTTTGTGGTTTAGACACAAAATGACCAGCATTAATGTTAAAATAGAGGTCACAAGATTGAGGCAACGGACTCTGCGGCAATAAGATACAAACTTATAAACGAGACTTAAGGCTACGCCGGGCAGGAGTTAAGTCCCTTGAAAGAATAAACTATGTTCTAACTGCCACAAGGTTTTTCTTTTTCTCTGGCAGCTGAACAAGCACTGGCCTCAAGATAAGCAATATTAAAACAATTGCAGCTCCACCAACCGCTTAATGCTGGCTGACTGACCTCCCCTTCCACAAGCCGTAACGACAACTTTGATTGGACAAAAGACTGATTTCAGTAATTTTCTCCAGATAAAAGAATACCAACCATGGACTGGTTCTGGCCAGTCCATGGAGGCTGCACACTGAATGCCTTCATGTCCCTGCTTCACTATTTTTTCTTTAAACAGAGACAGGGTCTTGCTCTGTCGCCCCGCCTAGAGTGCAGTAGTGTGATCATAGCTCACTGTAGCCTCAAAGTCCTGAGCTTAAGTCATCCTCCCATCTCAGCCTCCAGAATAGCTGGGACTATAGGCACGTGCACCGTGCCCAGCTGATTTAATTTTCTTTTTAATTTTTAGAGATGAGATCTTACTATGCTGCTCAGGCTGGTCTCAAACTCCTGTCCTCAAGCCATCCTCCCATCTCAGCCTCCCAAGAAGCTCCGATTGTAAGCATGAGCCATTGTGCCTGGTTTACTATTGGATTTTTTTTTTTTTTTTTTTTTTAAAGACGAAGTCTTGCTCGTCATCCAGGCTGGAGTGCAGTGGTGTGATCTCAGCTCACTGCAACCTCTGCCTCCTGGGTTCAAGCGATTATTCTGCCTCAGCCTCCTGAGTAGCTGGCATTGTAGCAGGATGAGCTGCAGACAAAACCTCTCAGACACCAAGTTGTAGAAGGAAGGGCTTTATTCAGCTGGGAACATTGGCAAGCTACTGCCTTAAAATCCGAGCTCCCCGAGTGCACAATTTCTGTCCCTTTTAAGGGCTCACAACACTAAAGATTTTACATAGAAGGGTCGTGATTGATTTGAGCAAGCAGTGGGTACGTGACAGGGGCTGCATGTACTGGTGGTCAGAGAGAAACAGAACAGGGCAGGGAGTTTCACAATGTTTTTCTATACAATGTCTGGAATTTATGAATAACATTGGTTTCTAAGTTATGAGCTGACTTTTAACTACTGGGTTTAGGCCAGGCAGGCCCAGGCCTGGTTTCGGGCCTGGCGCCGGGCTGCCTGTCTTTGGTTTTACTTCCTTGTAGTTTTTTCTTAAAACAGGTACTGAGTATAAAACAATATAAGATAATATGAGAGGGTCTTTCTCTTCCTTCAGCATTAGAGGTGACCGACATCACAACTGGCTAATTTTTGTACTTTTAGTAGAGACAGAGTTTTGCCATGTTGGCCAGGCTGGTTTGGAACTCCTAACCTCAAGTTATCCACCTGCCTTGGCCTCCCAAAGTGCTGGGATTATAAATGTGAGCCACCACACCTGGCCTTACCATTGGAATTTTGATGAAGATTGGATTGACTCTGTAGGTTGCTGTGCATAGTATGGACATCTTAACAATGTTAATTCCTCTGGTCCATAAAAACTGGGTATCTTTCCCTTTATTTGTGTCTTTTTCAATTTCTTTCATCAATATTTTGTAGTTTTCAGTGTACAGGTCTTTTATCCTCCTGGTTAAAATGATTCCTATAGATTTGATTGGTTTTGATGCTATTGTAAATGGGATTATTTTCTTTGTTTTTTTTTTTTTTTCAGATAGTGTATTGTTAGTGTATAGAATGCTACTGATTTCTGTGTGTTGATTTTGCATCATGCAACTTTAATTAATTTGTTCATTAGTTTTAATCATTTTTCATGGATTCTTTAGGGTTTTCTGCATATAAATCTATGTCATCTGTGAACAGAGACAATTTACTTCTTTCTTTCTGATTTGGATGACTTTTACCTCTGTTTCTTGCCCAGTTGCTCCAGCACTATGGAGCTGTTAGAGAAAAAGGATACTGGTTATTTACCTTAGAGGAGAAGAGAAGAGTAATAATTGGCAGGAGGCAAGAGGAAGAGTTTGGTAGGGCTGGCAATGTTCTACTTCTTGTGTGAGAAGTGATATACAGACATTCATTCTGTAATATTAATAATTCACTGGGCAATTACTTATGTTTTCTGCAGTTTTCTATATGTATCTTTACTTCATTGATTTCAATAACCACATAATGAGATACTGCTACACACTACCATGATGTCCACAGTTCTGACATCCAAAATGAGATTCATTTAGATTGTTGTATAAAGCTGTAGTTTGTTCATTTTCCTTGTTGTGAGATGCTCTGTTGTATGGAGATATGATGTATTATTCATCCAGTCTATTGCTGAAGGGGCAGCCAGTTTTTGGCCATTAGAAGTAATACCTGATGGTCATTCTTGTGTGTGTTTCTTGGCACACTTGGGTACTCTTTTGTTGGATATTTACATATGAGTGGAATCTCTGGATTTTAGGATGTCCCTATCTTCAATTTTAGTATATATTGTACTGCCAAACTGGCTTTCAAAGAGATTGCACCAAATTATAGTTCTATCAGCAATGTATGAAAATTCTAGTTGCTTCACATCATCTGTGACACTTAGTGATGTCAGTCTTTTTCATTTTAGCCATTCTGGTGGGTGTGTAGTAGAATCTTCTGATTTTACAATGAGGATTTTTGTGATTACTAATGATATTAAGCCCTTTAATGTTTTCTAGACATTTAAAACTTTTTTTGTATTTCCTTTCTTATTAACTTTTATTTTAGATTCATGGGGACATATACAGGTTTGTTATATAGGTAAATTATATGTCATGGGGGTTTGGTGTACAGATTATTTCATCACCTAGGTAATGAGAATAGTACCCAATAGGTAGTTTTTTGATCCTCCCCCTCCTCCCAACCTCCACTCTCAAGTAGACCCTGGTGTCTATTGTTCCCTTTTTTGTGTCCACGCATACTCCATGTTTAGCTCCCACTTACAAGTAAGAATGTGTGGTATTTGTTTTTTTGTTCCTGTGTTAGTTTGTTTAGGATGATGACCTCAAGCTCCCTCCATGTTGCTGCAAAGGACATGATCTTAGTCTTTTTCACTGCTATGTAGTATTCCGTGGTGTATATGTACCACATTTTCTTTATCCAGTCTACTGTTGATGGGCATTTATGTTGACTCCATGTTTTTGTTATTGTGAATAGTGCTGCAATGCACGTGTCTGTATGGTAGTACGATTTATATTCCCTTGGGTATATTTTCAGTAATGGGATTGCTAGGTCGAATGGTAGCTCTCTTTTAAGTTCTTAGAGAAATATTTAAACTGCTTTCCACAGTGGTTGAACTAGTTTACATTCCCAGCAACAGTGTATAAGCATTCCCTTTTCTCTGCAACCTTGTTGACATCTGTTATTTCTTGATTTTTAAATAATAGCCATTCTGACTGGTGTGAGATGGTATCTCACTGTGCTTTTGATTTGCATTTCTCTAATGATTAGTGATGTTTAACATTTTTTCATATGTTCATTGGCCACGTATATGTCTTCTTTTGAGAAGTGTCTGTTCATATCCTTTGCCCATTTTTAATGGGGTTGTTTGTTTTTCACTTGCTGATTTGTTTAAGTTCATTATAGATTCTGGGTACTAGACCTTTGCCAGATGCATAGTTTGCAAACATTTTCTCCCATTATGCAGTGTGTCCATTTACTCTGTTGATAGTTTCTTTTGCTGTGCAGAAGCCCTTTAGTTTAACTAGGTCTCATTTGTCAATCATTATTTTTGTTGTAATTGCTTTTGTCGTTTTCATCATGAAATCTTTGCCAGGGCTGATGTCCACAATGGTATTTCCTAGATTTTCTTTTGGGGTTTTCATAGTTTTGGGTTTACGTTTAAATCTTTAATCCATCTTGAGTTGATTTTGTGTATGGTGAAAGGAAGGGGTCTATTTTCAATCTTCTGCATATGGCTAGCCACTTCTCCCAGCACCATTTATTGAATAGGGAGTCCTTTCCCCGTTGCTTGTTTTTTGTCAACTTTGTTAAAAATCAGTTAGTTGTAGGTTTGTGGCTTTATTTTGGGTTCTCTATTCTGTTCCATTGGTCTCCATATCTGTTTTTGTACCAGTACCATGCTCTTTTGGTTACTGTAGGCTTGTAGTATAGTTTGAAGTCAGGTAGTGTGATGTCTCCAGAATTGTTCTTTTTGTTTAGAATTGCTCTGTCTATTCGGGCTCTTTTTTATTCTATATGAATTTAGAATAGTTTTTTTCTAATTATGTGAAAAATGTCATTGGCCATTTGATAGAAGTAACATTGAGTCTATAAATTGCTTTGGGCAGTATGGCCATTTTAACAATATTGATTTTTTTTCTATCCATGAACATGGAATGTTTTTCCATTTGTTTGTGTCATCTCTGATTTCTTTCAGTAGTGTTTTGTAATTCTCATTGTAGAGATTTTTCACCTCCCTGGTCAGCTGTGCTCCTAGGTATTTTGTGTGTGTGCGTGTGTGTGTGTGTGTGTGTGGTGATTGTGAATGGGATTGTGCTCTTGATTTGGCTCTCAGCTTTGACATTGTTAGTGTATAAAAATGCTACTCTTTTTGTACATTGATTTTGTATCCTGAAACTTTACTAAAGTTGTTTATCACTGCTGACATTTTGTTAATTGTTTTTCTACTCTTTTGTAGTTGCTTTCTTCCTTTCTTAATCTCCTCCTTCCTTCTTTTATGATAGAATGATTTTTTTTTTGTAGTGGTATGCTTTGATTCCTTTCTCTTTCTCTTTTGTGTATTGACTACATGTTTTTTCTTTGTAGTTACCACAAGGCTACACAAACCCTTTTATAATTATAGTAGTCTATTTTGAAGCTTATGACAACTTAACTTTTACTACATATGAAAACTTTACACTTTATCTTTTCTCCCCATACTATGTTATTTTTTCTTCAATTTTTATATTAAGTTCCAGGGTACACATGCAGGGTGTGCAGGTTTGTTACACAGGTAAACGTGTGCCATAGTGGTTTGCTGCACAGATCAATCCAACACCTAGGTATTAAGCCCAGGATGCATTAGCTATTCTTCCTGATGCTCTCTCTCCCCCTGCAGCCCCTGAGAGGCCCCAGTGTGTGTTGTTCTCCACCCTGTGTCCTTATATTCTCATCGTTCAGCTCCCACTTACAAGTGAGAACATGCAGTGTTTGGTTTTCTGTTCCTGCATTAGTTTGCTAAGAATAACAGCTTCCAGTTCCATCTATGTTCTTGCAAAAGACATGATCTCATTCTTGTTTATGGCTGCCCAGTATTCCACGGTGCATATGTACCACATTTTCTTTATCCAGTCTATCATTGATGGGCATTTGGGTTGATTCTATGCCTTTGCTATTATAAATAGTGCTGCAGTGAACATATGCATGCATGTATCGTTATAACAGAATGATTTATAGCCCTTTGGGTATATCACCCATTAATGGGATTACTGGGTCAAATGGTATTTCTATTTTATTTTATTTTATTTTTTTGAGACAGAGTCTCACTCTGTTGCCCAGGCTGGAGTGCAGTGGTGAGACCTTGGCTCACTGCAACTTCTGCCTCCCAGGTTCAAGCGATTCTCCTGCCTCAGCCTCCAGAGTAGCTGGGATTCCAAGTGCCTGCCATCACGCCTGGTTAATTTTTTTTTTTTTTTTGTATTTTTAGCAGAGATGGGGTTTTACCATGTTGGCCAGGCTGGTCTTGAACTCTTGACCTCAAGTGATCCACCTGCCTTGGCCTTTCAAAGTGCTAGGATTACAGGCGAGAGCCACTGCACTCAGCCTAAAATGGCATTTCTGCTTCTAGATCTTTGAGGAATTGCCACACTGTCTTCCACAATGGTTGAACTAATTTACATTCCCATGAACAATGTAAAAGCATTCCTTTTTCCAAGCATCTGTTATTTATTGACTTCTTAATAATCATCATTCTGACTGGCGTTTTTGCATCCAGGAATTTTTCCATTTCTTCTAGATTTTCTAGTTTATGTACATAGAGGTGTTTATAGTACTCTCCAATGGTTGCTTGTATTTCTGTGGGGCCAGTGGTGATATCTCCCATATCATTTCTGATTGTGTCTATTTGAGTCTTTTCTCTTTTCTTCTTTATTAGTCTAGCTAATGGTTTATCTATCTTATTAATTTTTTCAAAAAATCAGCTCCTGGGTTTGTTGATTTTTTTGAAGGGGCTTTTGTGTCTTTAACTCCTTCAGTTCCCCCCGATCTTGGTTATTTCCCATCTTCTGCTAGCTTGGGGGCTGGTTTCATCTTGGTTCTCTAGTTCTTTCAGTTGTGATGTTAGGTTGTTGATTTGAGATCTTTCTAGCTTTTTGATGTGGGCATTTAGTGCTATAAGTTTCCCTCTTAACACTGCTTTAGTTGCATCCCAGAGATTCCAGTACATTGTCTTTTTGTTCTCATTAGTTTCAAATAACTTCTTAATTTCTAACTTAATTTCATTATTTACACAGGGGTCATTTAGGAGAGATTGTTCAATTTCCATGTAGTTGTGTGATTTTGGGTGAGTTTCTTAATCTTGAGTTCGAATTTAATTGCACTGTGGTCTGAGAGACTGTTATGATTTCAGTTCTTTTGCATTTGCTGAGGAGTGTTTTACTTCCAATTATGTGATCAATTTTAGAGTAAGTGCCATGTGGCAATGAGAAGAATGTATATTCTGTTGTTTTGGGGTGGAGGGTTCTGTAGATATCTATCAGGTCCACTTGATCCAGAGCCAAGTTCAGGTCCTGAATATCTTTGTTAATTTTCTGTCTTGATGATCTGTCTAATATTGTCAATGGGGGTGTTAAAGTCTCCCACTGTTATTGTGTGGGAGGCTAAGTCTCTCTGTAGGTCTCTAAGAACTTGCTTTATGAATCTGGGTGCTGCTGTATTGGGTGCATATATATTTAGGATAGTTAGCTCTTCTTGTTAAATTGAACCCTTTACCATTATGTAATGCCCTTCTTGGTCTTTTCTGACTTTTACTGGTTTAAAATCTGTTTTGTCAGAAACTAGGATTGCAACCCCTGCTTTTTTCTGTATTTCATTTACTTGGTAGATTTTCCTCCATTCCTTTATTTTGAGCCTATGTGTGTCTTTGGACAAGAAATGGGTCTCTTGAATACAGCACACTCATTGGTTTTGACTCTATCCAGCTTGCTGCTCTGCGTCTTTTAATTTGGGCATTTAGCCCATTTACATTTAAGGTTAATATTCTTATGCATGAATTTGATCCTGTCATTATGATGCTAGTTGGTTATTTTGAAGAATTGTTTACGTAGTTGCTTCATAGTTTCACTGGTCTGTGTACACCAGGCAGGCCTGGTGGTGACAAATTCCCTCAGCATTTGCTTGTTAGAAAGGATCTTATTTCTTCTTCGCATGTGAAGCTTAGTTTGGCCAGATATGAAATTCTGGGTTTGAAATTGTTTTCTTTGAAAATATAGAGTATTGGCCCCCAATCTTTTCTGACTTGTAGGATTCCCACTGAGAAGATCACTGTTAGTCTAATGGGCCTCCTTTGTAGGTGACCTGGCCTTTCTCTCTGGTTACTCTTAATATTTTTTCTTTCATTTTGACCTGGGAGAATCTGATGATTATGGTCTTCAGGTTGATCTTCTTGTGGAGTATCTTACTGGGGTTCTCTTGATTTCCTGAACTTGAATGTTGGCCTGTCTTGTGAGGTTGAGGATGTTCTCCTGGATAATATCCTGAAGTATGTTTTTCAACTTGGTTCCATTCTCCCCATTTCTTTCAGGTACCTTAATCTACCATAGATTTGGTCTTTTTACATAATCCCAACTTGGAGGTTTTGTTCATTCCTTTTCATTTTTTCCCCTATATTTTTTTCTGCCTCTCTTGTTTCAGAAAGACAGTCTTCAGGCTCTGGGATTCTTTCCTTCACATGGTCTATTCCGCTATGGTTACTTGTGATTGCATTGTGAAGTTCTCATTTTGTGGTGTTCAGCTCCATTATATCAGTTATGATCCTCTCTAAATGGGCTATTCTGGTTAGCACCTCCTGTATTGTTTTATCATGATTCTTAGCTTTATTGTTATTATTATTTTTTTGCAATGGGTTAGAACATGCTCCTTTAGCTCAGAGAAGTTCATTATTACCCACCTTCTGAAGCCTACTTCTGTCAATTCAGCCATCTCAGCCTCAGCCCAGTTCTGTGCCCTTGCTGAAGAGGTGTTGTGATCATTTGGAGGAGAAGAGGCACTCTTGCTTTTTGAGTTTTCAGCATTTTTGCGTTCTTTCTCATCTTTATGGGCTTATCTACCTTCAATCTTTGGGTTGCTGACCTTTGAATGGGGTTTTTATAGGGTCTTTTTGTGATATTGTTGTGCTTTTTGTTTGTTTGTTTTTCTTTTAATAATCAGGCCCTTCTTCTGCTGTGGTTTGCTGGGGATCCACTCCAGACCCTAATTGCCAGGCTGCAAAACAGCAAAGATGGCCACCTGCTCCTTCCTCTGGGAGCTCCATCCCAGAAGGGTACCAACCCAATGCTGGCCCAAACACTCTTATAGGAGGTGTCTGGAGACCCCTGTTGGGAAGTCTCATCCAGTCAGGAGGAATGAGATCATGGATCTGCTTAAAGAAGCACTCTGGTCCTTGGTGGAGTGGGTGTGCTGCACTGTGGGAAACACCCCTCGAGACCACCCAGGCTCTCCAGAGCCAGCAGGCGGAAAAGGCTAAATCAGCTGAACTGCAGAGACTGTGTGGCCCACTCTCCTCCCAGGAGCTCTGTCCCGGGGAGATCAGACTTCTGTCCATAAAACCCTGGCTGGAGTTGTTGAAATTCCAGAGAAGCCCCACCTAGTGAGGATAAATGGATTGGGATTCCACTTAAAGTAGCAGTCTGACTACGATCTGCCACAGCAGCTGCGCTGCACTGTGGGGAATTCCTCCCTGTCTGGACTGCCCAGAACTCCCTGGAGCAGGAAGGCCAGGACATGTGACTTGAGCACAGAGATGATGGTTGTCCCTCCCCTCCAGGAACTTGGTTGTCTCAGGCAGTCCCCAGCCTGCTACCACTGGCTAGCAGGAATTCCAAGCCAGTGGGTCTTCACTTGTGAGGTGCCATGGGAGTGGGACCCACTGAATGACTCCACTTGGCTCCCTGGCTTCAGCCCCCTTCCTACAGGAATGGAAGGGTCTCCTGCCTCACTGGAATTCCCTGGGTGGAGTATGCAAAAACTCCCACATCTTTGTGCATGCCTGAGTGGCTGCCCAGAGTCTACACAGCTCTGTGCTTCAGACCCAAGGCCCTGCTGGTGTGGGCTCACAAGGGGATCTCCTGATCCATGGGCTGGAAAGATCTGTGGGGAAAGTGTGGTTTCTTGGGTGGGGTTACACAATCACTCACTGCCTCCTTTGGCTGGTGGTGGGAGCTCCCCTTGCAGGCATCACATCCATCCATTCACGGTTGACAGGAAATCAGAGATGGGATTGAAGCCCTCACCATTGCTGAAATGTTTCATTCAGAAACTGGAATTGTCAGCAAAATCTCCTGGGACACTGTGGAGTCTGAGGAGGGAGTGGGAGCGCTGCTTCCATGCCTGTGGAGGTGGTGCCAGCAGCACCATGGTCCTTGACACTGCTGCCACTGTCCCTGGCTTGCTCACTTGCTGCATGCTGTGTTCCTCTTGCAAACTTTTGGGTTCTACCGAAAATGGTCTCTCAGTGCAAACTAAGGTGTTTTCCCATATTATGTTATTGATGCTACAATTTAAATCTTTTATATATTGTGTATTCATTACCAAATTATTGCAGCTATGGTTATTTTTAATACTTCTGTCTTTTAACTTTTTTTAAAAAATTTAAGGTTAAAGGTGATTTATGCACTACTATTATAGTATTGGTGTACCTTGGATTTGACTATATTCTTACCTTACTGTTTGTTGTTAATGTTCTTTCATTTCAACTTGAAGAACTCCCTTTAGCATTTGTTGTAGAATGAATCTAGAATGCCCACAACTTCTGTTGTCTGGGAATATCTTTATTTCTCCGTTGTTTCTGAATATACCAGCATCATGTGTAGTATTCTTGATTGGCAGTTTTTTTTCTCTGTGCACTTTAAATATATCATTCCATTTTCTTGTAGCCAGAAAGATTTCTGCTGAGAAATTAACTTACAGTTTTATGGAGTTTCCCTTGTATGTGATGAGTTCCTTTGCTTTGCTCCTTTTCAAAACTGTCTCTGTCTTTGACTTTAAAAAAAATATTTCCATAGGTTTTTGGGGAACAGGTGGTATTTGATTACATGAGTATGTTCTTTAGTGGTGATTTGTGAGATTTTGGTCACCCATCACCTGAGCAGTATACACCAAACCCAATTTGTAGTCTTTTATCCCTCACCCCCATTTGTCTTTGACTTTTAATAAATTGATTCTAATGTGTCTCTGTGAAGATCTCTTTGTATTTAATTTATATGAGATTCTTTGGGCTTCACAGATTGGAATGTTCTTTCTCTCTCCAGATTTGGGAAAATTTCCATCGTTTCTTTACATAAACTTTCTGCTCTTTTCTCTTTTTCTGCCCCTTTTGTGATTCTCATAAGCCATATATTGGTTTGCTTGTTGGTGTCCTATAAATCCCATAGGCCTTCCATCCTCTTTTAAATCATTTTTCTTCTGACTGGATAAATTCAGAGGATATTATCTGGATAATTTCAAATGACCTGTCTTTGAACTTACTAATTATTTATTCTGCTTGATTGAGTCTGCTATTAAAGCTCTTTATGAAATTTTTCAGTTCAGTGATTGTGTTCCTTAGCTTCAGAATTTTCATTTGGCTGTTTTTTTGTTTTTTTTTTTTTTTTTTTTTTTTTTTTTTTTTTTTTTTTTTTTTTTACTTGTTATCGCTGAATTCTACTTTTATTTATTTATTTTAATTATACTTTAAGTTTTAGGGTACATGTGCACAACGTGCAGGTTAGTTACATACGTATACGTGTGCCATGTTGGTGTGCTGCACCCATTAACTTGTCATTTAACATTAGGTATATCTCCTAATGCTATCCCTCCCCCGTCCCCCCACCCCACAACAGGCCCCGGTGTGTGATGTTCCCCTTCCTGTGTCCATGTGTTCTCATTGTTCAATTCCCACCTATGAGTGAGAACACGTGGTGTTTGGTTTTTTGTCCTTGTGATAGTTTGCTGAGAATGATGGCTTCCAGCTTCATCCATGTCCCTACAAAGGACATGAACTCATCATTTTTTATGGGTGCATAAAAATATACATTGTATTCCATGGTGTATATGTGCCACATTTTCTTAGTCCAGTCTATCATTCATGGACATTTAGCTTGGTTCCAAGTCTTTGCTATTGTGAATAGTGCCGCAATAAACATACGTGTGCATGTGTCTTTATAGCAGCATGATTTATAGTCATTTGGGTATATACCCAGTAATGGGATGGCTGGGTGAAATGGTATTTCTAGTTCTAGATCCCTGAGGAATCGCCACACTGACTTCCACAATGGTTGAACTAGTTTACAGTCCCACCAACAGTGTAAAAGTGTTCCTATTTCTCCACATCCTCTCCAGCACCTGTTGTTTCCTGACTTTTTAATGATTGCCATTCTAACTGGTGTGAGATGGTATCTCATTGTGGTTTTGATTTGCATTTCTCTGATGGCCAGTGATGATGAGCATTTTTTCATGTGTCTTTTGGCTGCATAAATGTCTTCTTTTGAGAAGTGTCTGTTCGTATCCTTCACCCACTTTTTGATGGGGTTGTTTGTTTTTTTCTTGTAAATTCGTTTAAGTTCATTGTAGATTCTGGATATTAGTCCTTTGTCAGATGAGTAGATTGCAAAAATTTTCTCCCATTCTGTAGTTTGCCTGATCACTCTGATGGTAGTTTCTTTTGCTGTGCAGAAGCTCTTTAGTTTAATTAGATCCCATTTGTCAATTTTGGCTTTTGTTGCCGTTGCTTTTGGTGTTTTAGACATGAAGTCCTTGCCCATGCCTATGTCCTGAATGGTATTGCCTAGGTTTTCTTCTAGGGTTTTTATGGTTTTAGGTCTAACATTTAAGTCTTTAATCCATCTTGAATTAATTTTTGTATAAGGTGTAAGGAAGGGATCCAGTTTCACCTTTCTACATATGGCTAGCCAGTTTTCCCAGCACCATTTATTAAATAGGGAATCCTTTCCCCATTGCTTGTTTTTCTCAGGTTTGTCAAAGATCAGATGGTTGTAGATAAGTGGCATTATTTCTGAGGACTCTGTTTGGTTCCGTTGGTCTATATCTCTGTTTTGGTACCAGTACCATGCTGTTTTGGTTACTGTAGCCTTGTAGTATAGTTTGAAGTCAGGTAGCGTGATGCCTCCAGCTTTGTTCTTTTGGCTTAGGATTGACTTGACCATGTGGTCTCTTTTTTGGTTCCATATGAACTTTTAAGTAGTTTTTTGCAATTCTGTGAAGAAAGTCATTGGTAGCTTGATGGGGATGGCATTGAATCTATAAATTACCTTGGGCAGTATGGCCATTTTCACGATATTGATTCTTCCTACCCATGAGCATGGAATGTTCTTCCATTTGTTTGTATCCTCTTTTATTTCATTGAGCAGTGGTTTGTAGTTCTCCTTGAAGAGGTCCTTCACATCCCTTGTAAGTTGGATTCCTAGGTATTTTATTGTCTTTGAAGCAATTGTGAATGGGAGTTCACTGATGATTTGGCTCTCTGTTTGTCTGTTATTGGTGTATAGGAATGCTTGTGATTTTTGCAGATTGATTTTGTATCCTGAGACTTTGCTGAAGTTGCCTATCAGGTTAAGGAGATATTGGGCTGAGATGATGGGGTTTTCTAGATATACAATCATGTCATCTGCAAACAGGGACAATTTGACTTCCTCTTTTCCTAAATGAATACCCTTTATTTCCTTCTCCTGCCTGATTGCCCTGGCCAGAACTTCCAACACTATGTTGAATAGGAGTGGTGAGAGAGGGCATCCCTGTCTTGTGCCAGTTTTCAAAGGGAATGCTTCCAGTTTTTGCCCATTCAGTATGATATTGGCTGTGGGTTTGTCATAGATAGCTCTTATTATTTTGAGATACATCCCATCAATACCTAATTTATTGAGAGTTTTTAGCATGAAGTGTTGTTGAATTTTGTCAAAGGCCTTTTCTGCATCTATTGAGATAATCAGGTGGTTTTTGTCTTTGGTTCTGTTTATATGCTGGATTATGTTTATTGATTTGCATATGTTGAACCAGCCTTGCATCCCAGGGATGAAGCCCACTTGATCATGGTGGATAAGCTTTTTGATGTGTTGCTGGATTCGGTTTGCCAGTATTTTATTGAGGATTTTTGCATCGATGTTCATCAGGGATATTGGTCTAAAATTCTCTTTTTTTTGTTGTGTCTCTGCCTGGCTTTGGTATCAGGATGATGCTGGCCTCATAAAATGAGTTAGGGAGGATTCCCTCTTTTTCTATTGATTGGAATAGTTTCAGAAGGAATGGTACGAGATCCTCCTGTGCCTCTGGTAGAATTCAGCTGTAAATCCATCTGGTCCTGGACTTTTTTTCGGTTGGTAAGCTATTAATTCTTGCCTCAATTTCAGAGCCTGTTATTGGTCTATTCAGAGATTCAACTTCTTCCTGGTTTAGTCTTGGGAGGTTGTATGTGTCGAGGAATTTATCCATTTCTTCTAGATTTTCTAGTTTATTTGCATAGAGGTGTTTATAGTATTCTCTGATGGTAGTTTGTATTTCTGTGGGATCGTTGGTGATACCCCCTTTATCATTTTTTATTGCGTCTATTTGATTCTTCTCTCTTTTCTTCTTTATTAGTCTTGCTAGCAGTCTATCCATTTTGTTGATCTTTTCAAAAAAGCAGCTCCTAGATTCATTGATTTTTTGAAGGTTTTTTTGTGTCTCTATTTCCTTCAGTTCTGCTCTGATCTTAGTTATTTCTTGCCTTCTGCTAGCTTTTGAATGTGTTTGCTCTTGCTCCTCTAGTTCTTTTAATTGCAGAGCTAGGGTGTCAATTTTAGATCTTTCCTGCTTTCTCTTGTGGGCATTTAGTGCTATAAATTTCCCTCTACACACTGCTTTGAATGTGTCACAGAGATTCTGGTATGTTGTGTCTTTGTTTTCATTGGTTTCAAAGAACATCTTTATTTCTGCCTTCATTTCGTTTTGTATCCAGTAGTCATTCAGGAGCAGGTTGTTCAGTTTCCATGTAGTTGAGCGGTTTTGACTGAGTTTCTTCTTCTTTTTTTTGTTTTGCCTATACTTTAATTTACAAGGCCACATACCGAATGACTGAAATGTACATAAACATTCTTTTATGATAGACCAGAACCTCTACATTATCATGATTTAGAAAAAGAAAACACATGCAAAATAGTGTTAAGAGATTTTCTGGCCTGAAATTACAAGACTAAGTATGTGTGTACATGCGTGTGTACATATATTTAAATCATTTTATTCTCATTTAATCCTTTTGGCTGAACTTTATTCATATATTATCTGCCCTTCTTCTTATAGTCTCTCTCATGAAAGACATCATTATCCAGTCATTGAAGCCAAACTTCCTTCACCAGCCCCCAATCTCTAGACATCAAGGGTTAACAAGACATCTTCCTAAATTTCTCTGGAATTAAGCTCTTCTCTGTTAGAATTTCCTTTCCAAGTCCATTTCTTCATAAATCTGGCACGTGAGATTTGAATTGCTCTGCCGCAGTTTTCTCTTCTTTAGTCAGTGGTGACAGATCCAGGTCTGTTTGCTTCTGTAGTTTTTGTATCACATTCATAGTTTTAGTCATACCAGCACAAATGCGGCTCTTAGTCTCTTTCTGCTCAACAGCAACTGGTTTAAAGCGGGCATACAAAGTTTGATATTGAGACTTTATCACTGACAATTCCTTTAAGAGTGTAACTGGATTTTTCTCACTTGCTGAATCAGGATGATTAGTCTTGATTTCATATTCCAGCCTGTATTGAATGTAATCCAGATCAGACTCAGCTTTCTGGAACATCAGTTCCAGCTTATCGACCTCCGCCTCCATGTTAATAGTTGACATTCCTCCGACTGAGTTTCTTAATCCTGAGTTCTAGTTTGATTGCACTGTGGTCTGAGAGACAGTTTGTTCTAATTTCTGTTCTTTTACATTTGCTGAGGAGTGCTTTACTTCCAACTATGTGGTCAGTTTTTGAATAAGTGCGGTGTGGTGCTGAGAAGAATGTATATTCTGTTGATTTGGGGTGGAGAGTTCTGTAGATGTCTATTAGGTCTGCTTGGTGCAGAGCTGAGTTCAATTCCTCGATATCTTTGTTAACTTTCTGTCTTGTTGATCTGTCTAATGTTGACAGTGGGGTGTTAAATTCTCCCATTATTGTTGTGTGGGAGTCTAAGTCTCTTTGTAGGTCTCTAAGGACTTGCTTTATGAATCCGGGTGCTCCTGTATTGGGTGCATATATATTTAGGATAGTTAGCTCTTCTTGTTGAATTAATCCCTTTACCATTATGTAATGGCCTTCTTTGTCTCTTTTGATCTTTGTTGGTTTAAAGTCTGTTTTATCCAAGACTAGGATTGCAACCCCTGCCTTTTTTTGTTTTCCATTTGCTTGGTAGATCTTCCTCCATCCCTTTATTTTGAGCCTATATGTGTCTCTGCATGTGAGATGGGTTTCCTGAATACAGCACACTGATGGGTCTTGACTCTTTATCCAATTTGCCAGTCTGTGTCTTTTAATTGGAGCATTTAGCCCGTTTACATTTAAGGTTAATATTGTTATGTGTGAATTTGATCTTGTCATTATGATGTTAGCTGGTTATTTTGCTTGTTAGTTGATGCAGTTTCTTCCTAGCCTTGATGGTCTTTACAATTTGGCATGTTTTTGCAGTGGTTGGTACCGGTTGTTCCTTTCCATGTTTAGTGCTTCCTTCAGGAGCTCTTTTAGGGCAGGCCTGGGGGTGACAAAATCTCTCAGCATTTGCTTGTCTGTAAAGGATTTTATTTCTCCTTCACTTAAGAAGCTTAGTTTGGCTGAATATGAAATTCTGGGTTGAAAATTCTTTTCTTTAAGAATGTTGAATACTGGTCCCCACTCTCTTCTGGCTTGTAGAGTTTGTGCCGAGAGATCAGCTGTTAGTCTGATGGGCTTCCCTTTGTGGGTAACCTGACCTGTCTCTCTGGCTGCCCTTAACATTTTTTCCTTCATTTCAACTTTGGTGAATCTGACAATTATGTGTCTTGGAGTTGCTCTTCTCAAGGAGTGGCATTCTCTGTATTTCCTGAATCTGAATGTTGGCCTGCCTTGCTAGATTGGGGAAGTTCTCCTGGATAATATCCTGCAGAGTGTTTTCCAACTTGGTTCCATTCTCCCCATCATTTTCAGATACACCAATCAGACGTAAATTTGGTCTTTTCACATAGTCCCATATTTCTTGGAGGCTTTGTTCGTTTCTTTTTATTCTTTTTTCTCTAAACTTCTCTTCTCACTTCATTTCATTTATTTGATCTTCCATCACTGATACCATTTATTCCAGTTGATCAAATCGGCTACTGAGGCTTCTGCATTCGTCACGTAGTTCTCGTGCCATGGTTTTCAGCTCCATCAGGTCCTTTAAGGACTTCTCTGCATTGGTTATTCTAGTTAGCCATTTGTCTAATCTTTTTTCAAGGTTTTTAACTTCTTTGCCGTGGTTTCGAACTTCCTCCTGTAGCTTGGAGTAGTTTGATTGTCTGAAGTCTTCTTCTCTCAAGTCGTCAAAGTCATTCTCCATCCAGCTTTGTTCTGTTGCTGGTGAGGAGCTGCATTACTTTGGAGGAGGAGAGGCGCTCTGATTTTTAGATTTTCCAGTTTTTCTGCTCGTTTTCTCCCCATCTTTGTGGTTTTATCTACCTTTGGTCTTTGATGATGGTGACGTACAGATGGGGTTTTGGTGTGGATGTCCTTTCTGTTTGTTAGTTTTCCTTCTAACAGTCAGGACCCTCAGCTGCAGGTCTGTTGGAGTTTGCTGGAGGTCCACTCCAGACCCTGTTTGCCTGGGTATCAGCAG
Organism: Homo sapiens; assembly: GCF_000001405.40. Lineage (NCBI taxonomy): Eukaryota > Metazoa > Chordata > Mammalia > Primates > Hominidae > Homo > Homo sapiens. The sequence continues at coordinate 122,759,870 of NC_000009.12, read as the reverse complement.
CAGAGGCTGCAGAACAGTGGATATTGGTGAACAGCAAATGTTGCTGCCTGATCGTTCCTCTGGAAGTTTTGTGTCAGAGGAGTACCTGGCCGTGTGAGGTGTCAGTCTGCCCCTACTGGGGGGTGCCTCCCAGTTAGGCTAGTCGGGGATCAGGGACCCACTTGAGGCAGTCTGTCCGTTCTCAGATCTCAAGCTGTGTGCTGGGAGAACCACTACTCTATTCAGAGCTGTCAGACAGGGACATTTAAGTCTGCAGAAGATTCTGCTGCCTTTTGTTTGGCTATGTCCTGCCCCCAGAGGTGGAGTCTACAGAGGCAGGCAGCCCTCCTTGAGCTGCAGTGGGCTCCACACAGTTTGAGCTTCCCGGCTGCTTTGTTTACCTACTCAAGCCTTGGCAATGGCGGGCACACCTCCCCCAGCCTCGCTGCCGACTTGCAGTTTGATCTCAGACTGCTGTGCTAGCAATCAGTGGGGCTCTGTGGGCATAGGACCCTCTGAGCCATGTGTGGGATATAATCTCCTCGTGTGCCGTTTGCTAAGATGGTTGGAAAAGTGCAGTATTAGGGTGGGAGTGACCCGATTTTCCAGGTGCCATCTGTCACCCCTTTCTTTGACTAGGAAAGGGAATTCCCTGACCCCTTGTGCTTCTCGGGTGAGGTGATGCCTCTCCCTGCTTCGGCTCACACTTGGTGCGCTGCACCCACTGTCCTGCACCCACTTTCCGACACTCCCCAGTGAGATGAACCTGGTACCTTAGTTGGACATGCAGAAATCAGCCATCTTCTGTGTCGCTGATGCTGGGAGCTATAGACTGCAGCTGTTCCTATTTGGCCATCTTGGCCCCACCCCCCAATATTGTGTATCTTAGCATTGTATGGAACTGTATATGCTGTCACCTCATTAGGATGTAACTTTTGGAAAGCTGAGACTACCTCCTCTGTATCCTTACCCTTTATTATTCCTAGAAGAGTTTATCTCAGCATATATTAAGTTCTAACTATGTTCTAAGCTCTGTCCTAGCCTCAGTGGAGAAGAAAATCAAATGAGAAATGTGCTTCTGGCCAGGTGCAGTGGCTCTTGCCTGTAATCCCAGCACTTTGGGAGGCGGAGGTGGATGGATCAGCTGAGGTCAGGAGTTCAAGACCAGCCTGGCCAACATGGTGAAACTCTGTCTCTACCAAAAATACAAAAATTGGCTAGGCATGATGGCACATGCCTGTAGTCCTAGCTACTCAGGAGGCTGAGGCAGAAGAATCAATGAACCTGGGAGACAAAGGTTGCAGTGAGCCAAGATCATGCCACTGGTGGCTCACACCTGTAATCCTAGCACTTTGGGAGGCTGAGATGGTCAGATCGCAAGGTCAGGAGTTTGAGACCAGCCTGGCCAATATGGTGAAACCCTGTCTCTACTTAAAAAAAAAAATGCGAAAATTAGCTGGGTGTGGTGGTGTGCAACTGTAGTCCCAGCTACTAGGGAGGCTGAGGCAGAAGAATCGCTTGAACCTGGGAGGTGGAGTTTGCAGTGAGCAGAGATTGCACCACTGCATTCCAGCCTGGGCGACAGAGTGACACTCAGTCTCAAAACAAACAAAACAAAACAAACAAAAAAAAGAGAAATGTACTTCCTAAGTTCCCAGCAGGTATATAGTATTTAGATACTGACCATCTAGGGCTCTCCCTTTGTAATCTTTGCCTATAGAATATAAATACAATATTACATAGTAATCACAAGCAAAACTAGAATCACCCACCTCTGGGTTTGAGTCCTAGCTCTTCCACTTGTTATCCTGGGAAAGGAGACTCAGTTTCTTCATCTGTGAAATAGAGTTTCACAGAGTTTCTCAGTGTGTTATTGTGAGAATTACATGCAATCGAGCATGTAAACCTTTAACTTGATGTCTTAAGAAGCACTCAAACAATGCTATTATTATTGATGATGATGATAATGAAGAAAGGAAAAATGCGAAAAAATAGCACTTATCTGATGGCCAAAATGTTTGCTAGCCATTGAGTTTAAAATAGCTTGATATGGTAGAATCACAATGGATAAGATTCTACAAAACTATTCCTGTATGGTGAATTGAATTAGGACACCCACAGAGGGGTCAAAGGTAAAAAAAAAAACTGTAAAAGGACTATTTTTTTTTATTGGAACTGACATTTTATCATCCCAGCTTCCATAATTCTCAGCAACTGTTTATCTACCTTTCATCCAGGATGCATTTTTCCCATGTGAAACTTGCATAGATTACTTGTTCAGGGGAACCAAAGGTTAAATGCTTCCAGTTTGTGGAAGAATGCAGAGTCACTGATACCTGGATGGAGACTTGGGGGAGTGTTCCTTTGTTCGTTTTGAGAGTTTCTTCTTGATCTCTGTGCAAAAATTATTTCTTCCAGGCTTCCACATTTCTCCCTGCTTCTCTTTACCTCCTTGGCTCCTTCACTTGTTCTTCTCCCACCTCCCTATATAAAACTTGGTCTCAGACATTCATTCCTACCATGTATGATTTATAACTTGGCAAGTGACTCCTCTTCCTAGGTTGCATATTTTAAAGGTTACTGATGACTTCAGTGAATTCTCTAATATTAGAATTTTAGTTAGAGATTTTTGGAAGCATGGGGGACTTCCAGGACCTTATAGAATAAGGATGAGTTTACAATCAGTTTTTTACCCACTGAGAAAAGATGATAGTAGAGGCTGGGCACAGTGGCTCAAGCCTATAATCCTAGCACTTTGGGAGACTGAGGCGGGTGGATCACCTGAGGTTGGGAGTTCGAGACCAGCCTGACCAACATGGAGAAACCCTGTCTCTACTAAAAATACAAAATTAGCTGGGCAAGATGGCGACTGCCTGTAATCCTAGCTACTCAGGGAGCTGAGGCAGGACAATCGCTTGAACCTGGGAGGCAGAGGTTGCAGTGAGCTGAGATTGCACCATTGCACTCCCAGCCTGGGCAGCAAGAGTGAAACTCCATCTCAAAAAAAAAAAAAAAAAAGAAAAGATGGGAGACGTATTGCTAATATGATGTGTGATTTATTAAACACTTTATTATAACCATTTCAAATAAAAGTATAGAAAATAGTATAGTGTAATTGAACCCCATGACACATCACCTAGCATAGTAATTTAAAAAATTATTTCAATCTTGTTTGATCTATATGCCTCCTTCCATTTATTTGCTGGTGACTCTTTTAAAGCAAATTGCAGATATCGCATAAATTCATTGACCTACTTCAGGATGCATCTTTCAGAAATGAGAATTTAAAAATAAAAATATCATTATCCCTGAAAATAGTGGCATTAACTCATTGATATCATCTAATGCCTAAACCATATTCAATTTTTCTTGTCTTAAAAATTACTCTTTTCAGTTGATCTTTTCAAATCAGACTCCAAGTAATGTCCACATGTTACGTTTTTGTCATTGTGTTTTTTAATATATACCAGCCTCCTACCTTTTTGGTTATTATTTATTGGTACCCTATTATTAGTAATATTAAAATTAGCTGGTAATTCTCTACCTCTTCTCTGCCTCTCTCAAAATACCTGACTTAATACTTCTTAATTCCAAGTTAATAATTAATAGGCAATAAGTAAGCTTATTTTATTTTTTATATCCTCCTCTCATTATTCCCACATTTTGTTTATTGTTGTATGTAACTATATAGTCAGAGCATTTATCCATGAACAGTATTCTCTTACCTTGTAACCATCATTTAATGTTAGTTCTACAGTTAAATATATGCTTACTGTTTATCAACAGTTCTTAAGTTGATGTCTCTCCAGTCATTTTGGTTGTCTAAAGCTTGTTCTATGGTAAGTTCCTTAAGAGTTCTTGAATAGTGAAAGTGGCCCTTATATTTGAAAGTAATTTTAGTTGGATATGAAATCTTGACTCATCTATTCTTTTCTTGAGGATCTTAATATATTATTCTGTTGTTTGCTGTTGTTCTCATAATGTGTTTAAAGATAGGCCCTGTACTTTCTAAGATATCTGGCTTTGTTCCTCTTATTCATTTATGTCTCTAACTTTCCTTTTATTCCTAGATTTTTTTTTTTTATCTTGGTAAACCTTGGCTCTATTTTCTGATTTTATCCTTGGTGTGGGATTTGTACTGGAAGAGATTATTGGATGAGTAGCTTTGTGAGGTAATAAGGCCTAGACTGCTCCAGCATCACCAGGGCTTACTAAGGCCCCATTGAAATGACAGTAGAATGGACAAAACCCTTTCAGTCTCAGCTTCTGTTCTCAAATTGGCTCAGCACAAATTCCTGTGAGAAGTTACCAATTAATTTTTTTTCCCATTTTCAGCTCAGGCAGATAGTGTTGGTTGCCTCTGTTTCTTCTTGCTCAGATCTGACACCATGTGGGTCATATAGCTTTTGGTCTTTTGTTGCTACCTGCTTGTATTTTGGGCATTATAGGGATGTTTTGTGTCTTAAGAATTGTTATTCTTGTACTATTCTAGTTGTTTTACCTTTCTTTTATCAGACTATTCAGCGGGATTCAAACTTAAGCCACTACCAGAAGTCTAACAATCAAAAAATTCATAGATTGTTTGAGGATCTACTAATTGCAGAGAGGAGAGAAGGACTGGGGCAAAAAGACATTTAAAAAATATTGGGCTAAAAGTTATCAAATGTGAAGAAAAAAATCTATCCATAGATTTAAAAGCCTTAATAAACCCCAAGTAGGATAAACACAAAGAAATCCATATGTAATCAAATTGCTAAAAACCAAAAAATAAAACCAGTCAGAGCAAAAAGACGTATCACCTATAGGAGGACTAAAGATAAGACTTACAACTGATTTCTCTTTGAAAATAATGCAAGTCATAAGACCATGGAACAACATTGACACAGATTATAATCATTCTCTCCATTCTCACCTTCACTCATTCCTTAACACATCACAATCTGGCTCGTTTTCCATTTCTCCATTGCACATTCACCAAAGTTATGAATCACCACCATGTCACTAAAGCCAATGGACAACCTTCAGCCTTATTTTGTTAAACTGTCATCATATTTTGATACCAGTTAATGGCTCCTGCCTCTTCAAATTTACTCTTCTCTTGAATTCTATGACTACTCCTTTTAATTCCTCTTTGATAATGTTTTCTCTATTAGATTCTTCAATGCCAGAAATACTCTGCCCTCTTCCCTACTTTTTTCTTGGGTCTCATGCTACACACTCTTCCTAATTGTCATCACTTACTCTGATAAACAGGTAAAATATGTTCAGTGAACTGAATTCCCCTTATTTCAGTATTGAGCTAAATCTCAAATATTTGTATATATGTAATAAGCTTACATTGGAAAAACCCAATACATTTTTTTAAACTTTTTGTGTTTTGTCAACAAATGAGAGACCTATGGTATTATTTCTCTATTGTATTCAGCCAGCCTTCTGGATACCAATATGGTGAAACAAGGAGCTGGCAAGGAGATTCCTTGTCTACTCTCAAGGACTATGTAGCAGCATTTGAGACAATGTGACAAGATGTCCAGAGGCCTGTTGAAATCCCTCCCTGTGATTATATCTACCTTCATAATCTATTTATTTCCTCTTACTCATGCTTATTAGTGACTTTCTAGGTTGACTTCTGGACTCTCTTGATTGGACAGCAAAAATCTTACTACACTTTGTAGATACTCCTTGCTCATGGCAGTTCTTTCCTTCTGAAGAGTGACAGGATGTCTTGTGGGAAGTAGCTTCATATTTTGACAGAGAAAACACTCCAGCTCTGACTGAGAAGTTTAGGACTTACCTGAGGGTCAGAGTAGGAACTCTTTCATCCCAAAGTGCACTCTCGTGGTTAATTGTTATCTAGAATTTCCTTTTCTTTACACTTTTGGTAATATCTCTAGGATTATTCATAAAACATCTTTTATGATTTTTTTTTGCCATGCATTTGTTGAGAAAAAGAAGTCTGGGGCTGATGGCAATGTGAGATCAGAAATATCCATCTGACAAAGGTCAAATATCCAGAATCTACAAGGAACTTAAAAAATTTACAAGAAAAAAATAAACAACCCCATTAAAAAGTGGGCAAAAGACATAAACAGACACTTCTCAAAAGAAGACATTTACGCGGCCAACAAACATGAAAGAAAGCTCAACATCACGGTCATTAGAGAAATGCAAATCATAACCACCATGAGATACCATCTCATGACAGTCAGAATGGTGATTATTAAAAAGTCAAGAAACAACAGATGCTGGTGAGACTGGAGAAATAGGAACACTTTTATACTGTTGGTGGGAATGTAAATTAGTTCAACTATTGTGGAAGATAGTGTGCCAATTCCTCAAAGACCTAGAACCACAAATACCATTCAACCCAGCAGTGCCATTACTGGATATATACCCAAAGGAATATAAATTATTCTATTATAAAGATACATGCACACGTATGTTCATTGCAGCACTATTCACAATAGCAAAGACATGGTATCAACCCAAATGTCCATCAATGATACACTGCATAAAGAAAATGTGGTACATATACACCATGGAATACTATGAAGTTATAAAAAGGAACAAGATCATGTCCTTTGCAGGGACATGGATGGAGCTGGAATCTATTATCCTCAGCAAACTAACACAAGAACAGAAAACTGAACTCTGCATATTCTCACTTACAAGTGGGAGCTGAACAACGAGAAAACATGGACAGAGGGAGGGGAACAACCCACACTGCGGTCTGGGTGGGAGTGGGGAGGGAGAGCATCAGGATAAATAGCTAATGCATATGGGGCTTAATACCTAGGTGATGGGTTGATAGGTGCAGGAAACCACCATAGCACACGTTTACCCATGTAACAAACCTACACGTCCTGCACATGTATCCTGGAATTTAAAATAAGTTAAAAAAAAAAAAGTAAGTTAGTGTTCTCAGGACTAAAGAACTTAATTGGATTTATAAGTTAATGGTGGCATAATTAATGAATTTGTTTATTTAATGTATATGTAATATACATATAATTTATGAATAGATTTATTTAATATAGATATTCCTAACATTCTGAAGTAGCTAATTGAACTTGGTTGAGCATGAGAAAACTATGGCACATAAATTGAGTAAGTGGAAATGGTACATATCTTCTAGGCCAGCATCCCACAAACCAAATGATCAGTGAGAGATAGTGGTGAAAACCAGGTGTGCCTGTACAAACACGAAGGTTATTGCTTTGGGTTTCTTTCCTGGCTTTCTGGTTACTCCCTTATAATTAGGAGCACGTAGTGAAAGCACTAGCAGGGACCTTGATGTCGGAACCTAGGTGTCCCTGTATTTCCTTGGACACCATTCACCTCTTACTAAATCTTTAAGGCCAAAAAACTTGTATTCAGCGTCAGGTCCTGCCACACAAGCTTGTGACCTAGAAAAGCTGATGGTTGTGGGAACTTGATGAAATAATTGAAGCAGAAAAATCCCAGACAGTGTGTAAGTGTTACATTACTATTGTTATTGACAATAACACAATCCAGGAGAACTGATGAAGCAACTAATTCACACTGATGTGTTTGTATGTTAATATAGTTGGGTAGTAGTAATGAATGCGGTTTATCAAATACTTCTGGCTTTCTAAAATCTTAGAGGGACATAGTTGGATTGTGCCTCCTGGCTGCCTTGCGTTTGGGTGGGGTCATGAGAGGTGTTTTAGACAATAAGTTATGGTCATAAGAGGTGAGGGTCACTTCTGGGCCAGAGTTTTTAACTGCCAGTGTGAAACCTCCAAGAGCCTTTCTCAGCTTCTGGCAGAGTGATGATTAATGTTTTCAGTGGTGACTGCTCCACGATCTTGGGTCTCTGCATGTTGAAAATAAGTAGCACACTTACACTTTTCTATGGTGGACCTACAATGTGAATGAGAAATAAACCTTTGGTTTTAAGGTCCTAAGACTTTGAGGTTGATTGTTTCCATAGCACAACCGAGCTTTTTCCTAACTGATACATTAGCTTTTTCTAGGATACAAAATGCAGCTTGGTGAGGATGCTGGATGTATGAAGGGAAGAATTAAGAGGGAAGGGAAAAGAAATCGGGTACTGAGCCTTCACACTGTCATGAAACTTAAGTGTTGGTGGGGGGGAGAATAAATGCATTTTGTAGATTCTTCTATCTTTCCAGCCGTATTCTCCTTTCTCTCAAACTGATGAAGCCTCAGCTTTTCATTGTCCCTCAAACACATTGCAGTGCTTATTGTCTCCACATGCTTGGGTGGTTTTCACTATTTGAAATGCTTTGCCCATTTCTTCATCTTTTGAAACTTCCTCTTTCAAAATTCAGTCCATCCTTCAAGATGCCATTCCTTCAAGAAGTCTTACCCAATGACCTATCAAACCCATGTAGTTTCTTCTTCTTAAAACTAATGAGTTTTATAAGTCGTGGTGGCTCACCCCTGTAATCCCAGCACTTTGGGAGGCTGAGGCAGGAGGAACCCTTGAAGCCAGGAGTTCAAGACCTACCAGGGTGAGATAACATGACCTTGTCTCTACAAAGAAAAAAAAAAAAGTCGAGTGTGGTGGCATGTTCCTGTAGTCCCAGATACTTGGGAGGCTAAGGCAGGAGAATCACTTGAGCACAGGAGTTAGAGGCTGCAGTGAGCTATAATCGCACCATTGTACTCCAGCCTGAACAACACAGTGAGATTATGTTTCTAAAAAAAAAAAAGCCACGCACACACAAGAACAACCCCCCTCCGCCAAACAAAAAACTAACAGGATTTAAACTCCTTGACTGCTAGCCATTGTCAGGCTTATAGACAAGTTATTTGGAGATAGCTTTATTTCTCTATATGATTGCCAATCTATTGAGGATGCAATACTCAGCTTTCAAAACCTGAAACCTTTTCCTGAAATCTGGATTCCTAACAGTACCTAGCCTGAGACTGAATATGTATTTGGTTAAGATCATGCATAGAAACTAATTGTTTTGCTCCTAGGTCAATTCTCTTATTGGTATCCAACACCACTTTTCATGACCTCTTTGAGTGCCACGTGGAAAATAGTTACTAAGGAAGAATAACCTGATAATCTCTTCGATCATGTCTTAATTATGACACACCAACATTTTGTTCCTTTTACCGGTAAATTCTGTCCTGTAATTTCTTCAAACCCCTCTTCATATCTTTGTTCCTCAGGCTGTAGATGAAAGGGTTCAGCATGGGTGTCACTACTGTGTACATAACTGTGGCTACCCGGTCCCTAACCACTGAGTACATGGACAGGGGCCTAAAATAGACATAAATAATACTCCCATAGAAAAGGGCTACTGCAGTGAGGTGGGAGCCACAGGTAGAGAAGGCCTTCCACTTCCCGGCTGCAGAGGGGATTCTGAGCACAGTGACCATGATTCGCAGGTAGGAGAAGATGATACACAGGAAGGGGGTCACAATGACAGCTAAGGTCTCAGTCATCACCACCATCTGGCTGGAGGATGTGTCAGAGCAGGAGAGCTTTAGCACAGGCTGGGTGTCACAGAAAAAGTGCTTAATGATGTGAGAGGCACAGAAAGACAAGCGAGACATAAGTAGCACGCGGAACAGGGAATGTAGGTGGGAGATGCTGCAAGAACCCAATAGCATGAGCAGGCAATGCCGTGGTTTCATAACCACATCATAGTGTAAGGGGTTGCAGATGGCCACCAGCCGGTCGATGGCCATAGAGGCCAGCAGGTAGCTGTCAGTGTTCCCAAATGCCATAAAGAAGTACATCTGGGCCAGGCAGCCCACATAGGAGATAACCTTTGTCTCTGATAGAAAATTCACCAGCATCTTAGGCACTATGACTGTTGTGAAGCAGATATCCATGAAAGACAAGTTGCTGAGAAAAAAGTACATAGGGGTGTGGAGCCTGGGGTCAGAGTAGATGGCCGGGATGATGAGCACATTCCCCACCGCAGCGAGCAGGTACATGATGAGGAAGATGGCAAAGAGAGGTTTCTGCAGCTGAGGGTTGGAAGAGAGGCCCAGGAGGATGAAGCCTGAGGTGCTGCTGCTGTAGTTCTTTATCTCCATGTCTCTGGACTTCCTGGATAGGGTTTGGAGAAGCAGTGGGAGAGATGTAAAGGGCAGTTTGACCAAGACAGCTTCTTTCATAAGCTTAAGCCTGTAAAAATAGCTCATAGCCCTTTGTTACGGTTGTTTTTTTTTTCTTTGAGACGGAGTCTCGGTCTGTCGCCCAGACTGGAGTGCAGTGGCGTGATCTCAGCTCACTGCAAGCTCCGCCTCTCGGGTTCATGCCATTTTCCTGCCTCAGCCTCCCGAGTAGCTGGGACTACAGGCATCCGCCACCACGCCCGGCTAATTTTTTTGTATTTTTAGTAGAGACGGGGTTTCACTGTGTTACAGTTTTAAAAAATATTTACTTTAAGAAACCATGGAGAAACAGGTAGTAAAAATCCAACAAGGGAACAGTTAAAATTATCCAGGCTGCCTCCTAAACTAGAAACTGAAGATTTTCAATTTTCCATTCCATGCTCATGGATCAGGAGAATTAATATAGTTAAAATGACCATACTGCCCAAAGCAATCTACATACTGAACATAATCCCTATCAACGTAGAAATATCATTTTTCACAAGATTAGAAAAAAGCGATTCTAAAATTCATGTGGAACCCAAAGAGCCAGAATAGCCAAAGCAATTTTAAGAAAAAAGAACAAAGCTGGAGGCATCACATTACCTGACTTCAAAATATATTACAAGGCTATAGCAGCCAAAATAGCATGGTGCTGTATAAAAACAGACACACAGATCAATGGAACAGAATACAGAAAGAAATAAATCAATATATCAAAGGGATACCTGCACTTATATGTTTATTGCAGCACTGTTCACAATAGCAAAGATCAACCTAAGTGTCCATCAATGGATGAATGAATAAAAGAAGTGGTGTGTGTACGTATACGTGTACACACACACACACACACAATGGAATACTGTTTAGCCATGATAAATAATGAAATCGTGTCATTTGTAGCACTATGGATGGAACTGGAGGTCATTATTCTGAGTGAAACAAGCCAGGCACAAAAATACAAATATACAAATAAAAAAATATAAAATCAGAAAACACTAATATCACATGTTCTCACTCATAAGTGGGTGCCACAAATATATACATAGGATCATTGTGAGTGGAATGATGGATAATAGAGACTCAGAAGAAGTGGGGGTCAGGAGTAAAAGGGGAATGAATGATGATAAATTGCCTCATGGGTACAATGTATGTTATTTGCATGGTAGACACCCTAAAGACCCTAACTTGACCGCTGCACAATGTATTCATGTAACAAAACTGTACTTGCACCCCATAAACTTATACAAATGAAAGATAAAGATTTTTCCATGTGTTCTTCGGAACTTCTAAGTGGCCTAATTTGCCTGAGTTCTTCTCATTTCCCTTTCTGAAGTTTCTTTTTAGGTTGTCTCTTGACCAACTTCTTAGCTTCTTTTTTTTTTTGTTCCAGAGGAAGTGGTTTCTGGGTCCCACCTTGAATGAGGATACTTTCATTCAGGGTATCTCCATGAATGACACCCTTTCATTCAGGGTCCTCTCCTGCTCATAGTTCTGGAGGTGGTGATGATAGTTGAGATAGTACAATAATGAACATCAGAATTAATCAATGCTCCTTATTGTCCACAGAATTCAGATGAGCCTTCCTTAAGTCTTCAGAGCAAAGCCTGCTTAATGCCTGTTTAAACCTTTCTGTTTGGTTAATATGATGTGGATACTTTAATTTTAAGCGTTTGGTCCAAAGATGTCACTCAAAATAGGAGTACTACCAGGAATAGCCTATGTTACTGTGATTAGTTTTTAAAGTATGTTAACTTTTCTGATTATAAAATTATAACATCCTTTTTCTAAACATTCAAATATTACAGGATTATAAAACTTTGATCATTAAGAGTCTTATTCTACCAATATCATGAAAAGAGCAGAAAAGGATGGCTCCTGTTACCACTATTAAGCTATACTGTTGATATAGTGGTCTCAATCAGTGAAAAAGTAAGAATTAAAAGACATAAACATTAGAAATGATGAAACTGTCCACCTAGAAAATCCAAGATAATCATCTGAAAAAATTTAAAATCTATGAAGACTTTACCAAACTAACCAGATAAAATTAAATATACAAATATTAATACTTATATTAGAAAAATGTAATTTGGAAAACATTTCAATTGACAGTGTTAAGAAAGTCTAAAAAATACTTAGGAGTAAACCTGAGCAATAAAAATAAATGAGTAAGATTTATCTGAAGAAATTGTAACAGAACACAAAATGAAGATCTAAATAAACAGAGATATTTGTATCAATATTTTAAAAATGTTAATTCTTCTCAAATTAATAAAATTCAATGCACCTCTAATAAGACCCCAGGGGAATTTTTAATGAAACTTGTGAAAGTTTTTCTAAAATTCACCTAGATGAATAAATGGCTAAGAACAGATGAAATAATTTTGAAAAAAATTAGAACAATTTCAGGGAACTTTTCTAACCCCAATCAAATTACATAATAGTGAAAAACAAGATAATGGCACAAACAGAGAAAAACAAATCAATGGACCACCATAAAGAATTTTGTAGATCTGTATTTATGCATACATATATATAGGTAGATATATAGAGACAGTAATTTATCTGCAACTTAATATATAGTAAAACTTAATAGCATCAAAGAAAGAATGGAATATTAATGATATTTGTCACAATTGGTTGAACACTTGGAAAGTATAAGGCTAGATTTCTATCTAACCCACACATAGAAATAAAACCCAGATAAATGAACAACCTAAAAGTTAAAAATCCAAACTACAAAGTAAGTTTGAGCCAAAACTAAAGGAGCACATTTTTACAGTCTCAGGATGGAAATGTCATTCCAAGCAAGAAATGAAATGAAGAACAAGAATGACAAAATAACCCACTTAAAAATTTGAAAATTATACCAAAAGAGATCATAGGCAAAGCTAAAATAGAAACTATTGACTCAATGAAAATATTTGCAACACAGTTACCAAATAAAATGTATGACAAGATGATCAGCATAATTGATAATCAGAAAATGTGGACTGAAATTCAATTCTCACTCATCAGTTTTATGCAAATTTTTTTGACATTATACAAAGGGAATTAGATCCTCATGTATACTAGCAGTAAGAGAGTAAATCAGTGTTGACCCTTTGGTAGTCTCCATCAGAACTGAAAATCTGCACTTCTTTGTCCAATAATTTTACTTATGAAAAGCTATCCTTTAAAAATAGTAATATTTGTATATCAAAATATATGTACAGACATTTTATTGTGATGTTGCTTACAATAGCAAACTAAACATAATACAACATAACAAACAAAACAACCACAGAGGAAACAGAGTATTCACAAATAGGTGATTTATTAAACAGTTTATAGTATATTTTTATTACTCAACGTCATGCAGTCTCTAAAGAAATAAGATGGGTAATGTTAGCCAATATTTATTAACACCTGATATATGCTACACACTGAGTTCAGTGCTTTGCAAAGCTTTTATCATTTTATTTTCTCCAAATCCTATGACATAGACATTATTATAATTACAACTTACAGATATAAATTTAGAGTGTAGCAAAATTAAGTAATTTACCAGATCCCGCAGGGAGTAAGTGGTAGAGCTGGAATTTGAATTCAGGCAGTCTGATAGCACAGACAACACAAAATGTCATAGACATTTTGTTATGTGACAAAAACAAGGTAGAGAACAATGCCTAAAGAATAATCCCATTTTTGAGTTGAACAAAGAGAACACATGGACACAGGGAGGGGAACATCACACACCAGGGCTGTCGGGGAGTGGAGGGCAAGGGGAGGGAGAGCATTAGGACAAATATGTAATGCATGCCAGGCTTAAAACCTAGATGACAGTTTGATGGGTAAGGAAACCACCATGGCACATGTATACCTACATAACAAACCTGCACATTCTAGGACTTAAAGTATAATAATAAAAAAAGAATAATCTCATTTTTGTAAAGAAAAGTATTTTTTTTAATGTGTTTGTTGTGGTGTGGAAAGAGTCCTTAAAAAGTGTTTATGTGTAATGTGGTTACCTTCTGAATTTTCATACTTAACTTTATATTGTATTGTCTGTATTTAAAAACAAAGGTGTGTTTGGCTGGGTGCGGTGGTTTACGCCTGTAATCCCAGCACTTTGGGAGGCCGAGGCGGGCGGATCATGAGGTGAGGAGATCAAGACCATCCTGGCTAACACGGTGAAACCCCGTCTCTACTAAAAATACAAAAACTTAGCTGGGCGTTGTGGTGGGCGCCTGCAGTCCCAGCTACTCGGGAGGCTGAGGCAGGAGAATGGCTTGAACCTGGGAGGCGGAGCTTGCAGTGAGCCGAGATCACGCCACTGCACTCCAGTCTGGGCGACAGACCGAGACTCCATCTCAAATAAAAAAAAAAAAAAAAAAGGTGTGTTTATTTATAGTCATTTCGTAATTTAAAAGGTTAAATTTCCTATAATTCCACTGGAATTGTGTGCATATTTTAAAGATCTTTTTCTCTGCATAGATCTATATACACTGCATATAGGAATGAGGTTAAATGGTTCATTATGCTTCCGCTACCCCAAGAATGTTACAATGGATATTTTTTGTCTGTATATACATATTTCTCACCCATGAGATAATTTTTACAGCGTAGAATAGATCTTGAGATATGGAATGCTAAAATGGAGTTTATAAATCTTGAAAATGTCAATAGATATTAGCAACATGAGACACATAACTTTCATCTCACTCTTAGGCAATGTACTTATTTAACTCTTTGGGTTCGTTCCACATTTCCTTCTCTGTATCTTTTAGCTTCACCCCTGGGACACAGTTTATCCTGGTGGTAAAGGGCTATCTCATCACCCTTGGCTTGAACTTGGAATTTTCCAAATTTATGAGATTTTTCTCAGGGGCAGTAACTTAGCTCCTTCCCATTTAGCTGGATTTGACAGCATCATGTATTTTCCTCATGCCTCGGGCAAGTCATTTCACTTCCAAATAGATGATGGTGCACACATGTATGCTTGTGTGTGTGCCACTTTCTACCCTGCCTAGGAGCTGTCAAATGACAGTTGAGTGAGTGTTTGGCAAACTCTACTGCAAGTGATTAGCATAACTGCTCATACAATAAGCTAGAGAAATGACATTTTAATGATGGGTCTTGCCATCAGGTGGTGATTGGGAAGGACCAGGAGAGACTGGGAGTCTTTCTAAGCCTTCTAAGTCACATCATTTCACTTTAAAAGGTATTTACTCCCTTCCTTGACAGACAGGAAATGTGGATTATTTCTATACTTCTAAACTTTCTCTATTAAAATTTTTACATTATGAACATTTGTCATCTCAGGTTGTTTTTCCTTTTCTTGTTTACTCATCACTTATGCAGGGTCCTTCTCTTGGCCCAATGAAACCAGGGAGTACACATTGTCAGCCCAAATGAAACCAGGGAGTACACACTGACAGCCCAAATGAAACCAGGGAGTATGCACTGACAGCCCAAATGAAACCGGGGAGTACACATTGTCAGCACACAATGCACTTCCCAAATTGGGATGCTGGGTGGGCAGTATCCTGGTGGAAAGCTACTTGTTATCCATGCACCTACTCCCCTGAATGAGCAAGGACAGTAGAGAATTGACTAAACTGGAAAAATGCAGCTAACATTTATTAGACAGAGTCTGTGCTTACCACTTGTTTCATTTAATCCTCACAATTACACTACGTTTGAAGTACCATTATTTTGCCCTTTACAACGAAGGAGACTGAAGTTCAGAGAGTCACAGAGCTGGTGAGTGGTGTATCTAGGGTTCAAACCTGGGCACACTGACTGTAAATTATGTGTTTTAAACTGCTCTATCACACCTCTTCCCCAAACTGTACATGTGCAGTAGAGAACTAAGCTGGTGTGTCCTCTGTCAACAGAGGCCATCTTATTGCCAAGTGCCTTCAGCCTCCTTGCTGACCCACTCCTTCCACCCTATCCTTTGCTCCTACATATTGGGATCCTTTTGATTTCCTTCCTTCCTACACGCATTTCTGCCTCCAATTCCACAAAGCCATGTGTTCTTCTCTGTTTCTTGCCTTCAGAGATGACAGGCTATGACTTAGGACTACAGCTTTGTCAGATCTTGAATAAACAACAGCCCTCTGATTTTGCAACATCAACACCTGACCTTAAGATCTCTGGATGTCTTCTGGGTCCACGTTTTGGGATTCCAGCCTCTTCTTGCTTACTGTCTTTTCTCTTCCAGCAGTAAGGCAAGCAGATTGGCAGTGTTGGGTGCATAGACCCCCTACAGAGATATGTTCCACTTGGGGATTCTGCAGGTCCTTTCTAGGCTGGCTTCTTCTCTTTTCAGTTCTCTGAAATGTCTTCTTTGTCAAATTAGAGGTTTACCTCATGTCTCTTGCTTCAGAGAAGGTGGTATCTCAGCCTAATTTCTTATTTCCTACTTAGTTTAGGTTGAAAGTTCTTCTGGGCACTGTAGGTCCCTCAGATCAATAATTGAACCCAGTTCATCCAGCTCAGGTTGTCCTCAGCTAGCTTCTGCCCCACTTTTGTTTCTGTCTTTCTTCTCCTGGGAATCACTGATTTTCTGGATGCCTACCTCTGCTTCTCTCTCTCAATAATTCAATGAATTAAACTCTCAAGCTATTAGTTCTTCCTGGTGCCTCCCCTACCTGTGATCAGCCAGTATTTATAAGTGCAACTGCTAATACAGCTATTACAGATTAAGTATCCCGAGTCCTAAGGAAGGGGCTGTGGATTCTCAGAGAGTTTTGCTCAGATGTCATGAGGTTTTAGACCCCTCTGCCTTTCACCTTCATCATTTTAGCATCCTAGGAAAGCGACTGTTCAATTTCCGTGATTCTAGAGACAAGGAGCTCACAATATCTGGAGGGGCCCAGTCCTTGGGTGGAACACCTCTGGGTTAGGAAATTCTTCCACATCACGAGTGGAAGTTTGCCTTTCTGTTATTGCTAGGTACTGCTCGACAAACTTGACATACACTAAGTCATTTAGTCTTTACAACAACTCCATTTTACAGATAACACAAATGAGGTACAGAACTGAAGTGACTTGCCTAAGAACACACAGCCAGAGGGTGGTGGATTACATTCCCAGAGTGTGTGCTCTCAGCCTCTGCATTGCCCTATCTTGTTCACTTGTTCCTCTGTTGACCTGGTTTCCTGGAGGTGATAACTCTGTGGCTCTTGAGTTGCAGAATGTTGGCTGTGCCCTTTGAGGACAGGAGAAAGTGTCTTGAACAAAGTAGATATTTCAAATATTTGATATTTGACCAAAAAGAGAGAGAGGAAAAAATATAGAGAAAGACTGTGTTTCCTGGCTTTTGAGATGGAGGAGAGAAAAACAGGATAAGGAAAAGGGAAGAAGATCACCTGAAGATATTGACTCCACAGTTCCCATTATCAAGTCCCCTCAGTGTGCCTACCTGTGGGCTTGACAAAGGAGATTCAGGGGCCTAAAAAGACTTCGGGATCTGCCATGGGGTTAAGATCAGGCTCTGAATCTCTGAAGGAGGCTTCTTGAAGTACAGATCGAGCCTCAGAAATGTGATAGTTCTTCCTTATCTATGGTGGGAATTGTAATAAAAAGGGAGACACAGGCGCCTGTCGTCTCTGCATGCCAGAGCCCTGTGAGGATTGGTCCTGTGGTCTTCCCAGGGAATTGCAGGGGCGGGGTTGGCGGGGAACATCACTGATGCCCTCACTGAGCTCTGTGGGAAAACTGGGCTCCAGAGATGTAGCTTCTTACACCTGGGAAGGGAATTAGAGCCATGTAGCAGTAAGGGTGATGTGTGCATGCACACATGTATGCATATATGTTTATGCATATGTATGTATTCGATGTACATATGTGTACTCTTGTGCATATCTGTGTTTATGCTTATGTGCACCTACCTGGAAGGAGAGGTAATGGCCTCTGATATCGCTGAGGTTTTGTGTCTGCATGTGTGACTGTGTCTAGGTGCACCTGTAGTGTTATTGGAAAGGGGTTGGAGGTGCAGGCCCAGGAGCCAGACTAATTGGATTCTGATGCTGACTCGCATCTTACAAGCTGTGTAGCTTTTGCAAATACTACACAGGTTTCTGAGCCTTAATTTGTTTTGTTGTGTCTGCCTTTCTTAAACATTTTGTTACTTCAATGTCTTAAGCCAGACTAGTCATATTTGAATCCCAGTTCCCCCAGTTACCAAATGGGTGAATTTGGGCAAGTTATTTAGCCTCACTAACCCACATTGTCCTCATCTGTAAATGGCACAGTAATCATAAGCTTTAGAAAGATATTTCCTTTTTTCTGCTTTTTCCATTCAAATAGATTTTATTTTTTTAGAAGTTTTACATTCACAACACACTTGATCAGAGAGTAAAGACGGTTCTCATTAATTCCCTGCTCCCATATGGACATAGCCTCTCCCACGATCTACCCACTGCTAGAACATAACATTTACTACAATTTATAAGCTTATACAATGGTCCCCAACTTACGATGGTTCATCTTAAAATTTTTCTTTATGATACTGTGAATGATCCATGTTCAGTAGAAACCGTACTTCAAGTACCTATATAATCATTCTCTTTTTTCACTTTCAGTACAGCATGCAATTAATTACATGAGATATTCAATGTTTTGTTATAAAGCAGGCTTTGTGTTAGATGATCTTGCCAACTGTAGGCTAACGTATGTGTTAGCACATTTAAGGTAGGCTAGGCTAAGCTATGATGACCGGTAGGTTAGGTGTATTAAATGCATTTTTGACATATGATATTCTCAATTTACAATTGGCTTATTGGGGTATAGCTCCATCATAAGTGGAGGAGCATCTGTATTGACATATCATTATCACCCAAGACCATAGTTTACATTAGGGTTCACTCAATGTTATACATTCTACAGGTTTTGACAAATGTATAATGACAGGTACCCACTGTTATATAGTATCATATAGAATAGTTTTACTGCCCTAAAAATCCCGTGTGCTTCACCTGTTCATCCTTCTCTCCCTCTAGCCCTTAGCAACTACTGATCTTTTTACTGTCTCCATATTTTTGCCTTTTCTAAAATGTCATTTAGTTGGAATCATGCAGTATAATTGATTTTTCACCTTGGCTTTTTTTCATGTAGTAATATGCATTTAATGTTCTTCCGTATCTTTTCAATGCTTGATAGCTCATTTCTTTTTAGCACTGAATCATATTTTATAGTCTAGAAGTACCACAGTTTACTTGTTCACTTACATGTCGAAGGACAACTTGGTTGCTTCCACGTTTTGGTGACTATGAGTAAAGCTGCTAAAACGTCTGTGAAGGTTTTTGTGTGAACATAAATTTTCATCTTATTTGCATAAATACAAAGGAACATGATTGCTGGATCATATGGTAAGAGTATGTTTAGTTTTGTGAGAAATTGTCAAACTGTCTTCCAAAGTGACTTTGTCATTTTGCATTCTCACCAGCAATGAAGGAGAATTCCTGTTGCTCCACGTCTTTATCAGCATTTGGTGTTGTCAGTGTTCTGATTTGGTCATTCTAATAGCTGTGCAGTGATATCTCATTGTTGTTTTCATTTGAATTTCCCTAACGACACATGATGTGGAACATTTTTTATATGTTTGATAACCATCTGTGTGTCTTCTTTGGTATGGTGTCTGTTTAGGTCTCAATTGAATTACTCATTTTCTCGTTGTTGAGTTTTAAGAGATCTTAGTATATTTTGGATAATAGTCCTTTACCAGATATGTCTTTTGCGAATATTTCACCCAGTCTGTGGATCGTCTTCTCATTCTCTTGAAAGTGTCTTTCTCAGAGTAGAAGTTTTTAATTTTAATTAATTATACCGTATTAATTATTTCTTTCATGAATCTTGCCTTTGGTGTTGTATCTAAAAAGTAACTGCCATACTCAAGGTCATCTGGGTTTTCTCTTATGTTCTCTTCTATGAGTTTTATTGGTTTACATTTTGCATCAGGGCTATGATCCATTTTGAGTCAATTACTGTGAAGAGTGTAAGGTCTGTATCTAGATTCATTTGTTTTGCATGTGGATGTCCAGTTGTTCCAGAACCAGTTGTTGAAAAGCCTATCTTTTCTCCATTATATTACCTTTACTTCTTTTGTCAAAGATTAGTTGACTATATTTTTGTGGTTTTCTATGGTTTGAATCTTTCAACTCATGTTGAAATTTAATCCCCAATGTGACACTGTTGAGAAATGTGGCCTTTAAGAGGTAAATGAATTAATTCATTCATGGATCAGTGGGCTAATTGATTGATGGGTTATCACAAGAGTGGGACTGGTGGCTTTTTAAGAAGAGGAAGAGGCACCTGATGTAGGATGCTCAGCTCCCTTGCCCTGTGATGCCCTGCATTGCCTCAGGATTCTGCAGAGTCCCCACCTGTGAGAAAGCCCTCATCAGATGTGGCCCCTCGACCTTGGACTTCTCAGCCTCCATAACTGTAAGAAATAAATTCATTTTCTTTGCAAATTACTGAATTTCAGGTATTCTGTTATAAGCAACAGAAAACAGATTAAGACATGGATCTATTTCTGGGTGAGCTTCAATTTTTACTTTTGTAAAAAGATATAAGTAAGAGGGTGGGGGTGAGATAAGTGGTAAGTCAGGATCTGAACTCTGGTGTAGAGGTGAAGAGGTGAGCTTTGAAGACACATTATCTCACATTGTATCCCAGCTCTAGCTCACCAGCTGTGTGACTTTGGGTAAGTTCTTTAACCTCTAGGCATGGTGAAGCCATGGAATGCATGGAAGTTTTTGTTTGTTACAGGGCATAAAATGGAGAAGGTGGATGTCAGGTTAAGATAATGGGCTTTGGAGTTAGTGCCTGAGTTTAAATCTCTGCTTACCACTTACTAGTTGTATGACGTTAGGTAGATAGCTCTGTGCCTCAGTTTCCCCATTTATAAAATGGAGATAATAATGACCCTGACTTCTTTATCTTATTAAATAAGGTTTTAGTTTTGCAGTAGTTAGACTGCTTGGTGCCAGGATTAGCTTCAAGAGTGTACTTCCTGTGTTCAGAAGGGCCCAGGGCTTGGTTTAATGCTCTTCTGTCACTGTCCTAAATTTCTTAACACTCTTTGAACCAGGGAATGGGTCTCACATTTTCATTTTGCACTGGGTCCTGAAAACTACCAAGAAAGGGAGAGAAAGCAATTCCACATAAAGGCAGGCTTGATCTTCAATATAAGCTGCTCCTCTGCTGAGGGGTTTGAAGAAATCTCTGACAGAGGCTACAGTTACATTAACTGCTACTTTTACAATCAAGTCTGGCTCTGACTTCTATGAATAAAGTTTAGAGGTTCAGGACAGATTTGAAAACCAATTCCTCCCAGACTGTCTTCTCAATCTTCCCCATCATTGTGGTGCTCTCTTATTCCCTCTTTTGCTCTCTGTCTCTCTCTGGCTGGAGGAGGAAGTTCAAGGCTGGTAAGGAAGAGACATGATATCAGGGACTCAGGCTGTCTCTGTCTTTTTCCTCTACCATATGTAGCTCCCATTCCCAAAGCTGCTTCATAGTACAGATCACTGCTGGAGTTCTTGCCATTGCATCCACATTCCGAGCAGTAAAAAGGAGGAAAGCGAGGAGAAAAGAGAAGCCTCTCCCTTTTAATAGTTTCCAGAAACACTTCAGAACTCTTCTGCTTACATCTCATGGATCAGAACTTGGACACATGGCCACATCTAGTTGCAGAGGAGGCTGGGAAATGCTGTTAGCTAGGCAGCAATATACCCAGCTCAAAAATGGAGGTTTCAGAAAGAAGGGGAAAATGGATATTGGAAAAAGTTAACATGCAAATATTATTTCCTTGGCTAAAAAATTCATTTTGCTGTTCTCTATTTCATTTATTTCTGCCTTATCTTTATTATTTCTTTCTGTGAGCTTTGGATCTATTTTGCTATTCTTTTTCTAGTTTCTTAAGGTGTACAGTTATTAATTTGACATCTTTCTTTTTTTAATGTAGGGGTTTATTGCTATACATTTCACTCTCCGCACTGCTTTCAGTACATCCCATATGGTATGGTTTGCTTTTGGTATGTTGTGTTTTGCTTTTATTCATTTCTTAGTATTTTCTGATTTTCCTTGTGATTTCTTCTTTGACCTATTGGTTGTTTAAGAGTGCATTGTTTGCGTACATTTATTGCGGCACTATTCACAATAGTAAAGACTTGGAACCAACCCAAGTGTCTATCAATAATAGACTGGATAAAGAAAATGTGGCACATATACACCATGGAATACTATGCAGCCATGAAAAAGGATGAGTTCATGTCCTTTGCAGGGACATGGATGAAGCTGGAAACCATCATTCTCAGCAAAATATCACAAGGACAGAAAACCAAACACCACATGTTCTCACTCATAAGTGGGAGTTGAACATGGATAAAGGGAGGGGAACATCACACTGGGGCCTGTTGCCGGGTGGAGGGCTGGGGGAGGGATAGCATTAGGATAAATACCTAATGTAAATGATGAGTTGATGCGTGCAGCAAACCAACATGGCACATGTATACCTATGTAACAAACCTGCAC
This sequence comes from Homo sapiens, assembly GCF_000001405.40. Lineage (NCBI taxonomy): Eukaryota > Metazoa > Chordata > Mammalia > Primates > Hominidae > Homo > Homo sapiens. The sequence continues at coordinate 122,737,256 of NC_000009.12, read as the reverse complement.
GTTGTGCACAAGTACCCTAGAACTTAAAGTATAATAATAAAAAATTCAAACCCTAAAAAAAGAGTGTTGTTTGATTTCCATATATTTGTGAATTTTCTAGTTTTCCTTCTGTTGATTTCTAGCTTCATTCCATTGTAGTCAGAGAAGATACGTGTGATTTAAATTTTTAGAAATTTATTGAGACTTGCTTTCTGACCTAACATATGATCCATGTTATGACTATCCTTATGACTAAAGGATGTTTTAGCTCAAAGATGCCCCAAGATGTTTTAGTGTGAAAGTGGATTTTTCCTGGGGCTACTGAGCTGAAGAGAATTTGAAGAGTGTGAAAGCCATGTTCCTCTGCATGTGGGGAAAGCATGTGCAGGTGGAGAGAACAAGCCAATATGCAGAGAATTTGAAGAGTGTGAAAGCCATGTTCCTCTGCATGTGGGGAAAGCATGTGCAGTTGGAGAGAACAAGCCAATATGCAAAGAGACACAAAGGGGAGCAAATAGGGGGAAGAGAATGGCTGAGGTGGCCCTCAGTACCAGTCATTCTTAAGTCCTGCCTCACTCCAGACCTATTCCAGTCACATGAGACAATAAATCCTCCTTTCGTCTTAAATTATTTGAACATAGGGCTTCATCGTTTGCTATAAAAGAGCCCTGCCTATTGAAGTTATCATCTTCCATTTCTGAGAGTAGGGACCACATGACACTTAAAAAGTTTTTTTTTGTCAGAGATAGGTTTTCCCTGGAACTAAATCGCAGAAAGAGTTTATTACTAGATTTCATACTGAAGGACATCAAATACACAATGCATGTCTTGTGTGTCTGTATAGCTCTTTACAGCTCACAAAATTCTTTTGAATCCATTAGCTTTTCTGAGCCTCACAATCTCTCTGAGATGTAGATTTTACTTCCCCAGTTGTACAGATGAGAAAAACTGAGGCTGGGCGAGACAATCTGGCTTATCTACATGGCTGCTCAGCAGTGGCACCGGTCACTCTTCCCAGGTTCCAGGGATTCTGATGTGGACACCTTTGGATGGTTATCATTCTGCCTACCTCAGTCAGTATTTTAGCCAACGAAGAAATGAATCAAAGTAAAGATCACAGGACTGGATGGGGAGAGTGGTACAGGATTACCCTGATGGAAGAGGGAGGGGAAGACTAAAACCAAATGCTTGAAGGAGTGTACTTGAAGAATATAAATAGTTCAATGGGGGAAAAATGAGGCAGTGGAAGTACGGGTATGGAATGAGGGGAAAGATGGGCCCCTAGGTTGATTCCATGTCTTTGCTATTGTGAATAGTGTTGTGATGAACATAGGAGCACATGTGTCTTTTTAACAGAATGAATTATTTTCCTGTGGATATATAACCAGTAGCGGGATTGCTGAGTTGAATGGTAGTTCTGTTTTAAGTTCTTTGAAAAATCCCCAGACTGTTTTCCACATTGGCTGAACTAATTTACATTTCCACCAACCACGTGTGAGCATTCCCTTTTCTCTGAAGCTTCGCCAGCATCTGTTATTCTTTTACTTTTTAATAATTGCCATTCTGAACTGGTGTCAGATGATATCTCATTGTGATTTTAATGTGCATTTCTCTGATGATTGGTGATGTTGAACATTTTTTAATATGTTTTTTGGCCACTTGTATGTCTTCTTTTGAGAAGTATTTGTTGAGGCAGGAGAATGGGGTGAACCCGAGAGGCAGAGCTTGCAGTGAGCCAAGATCGTGCCACTGCACTCCAGCCTGGGTGACAGAGCAAGACTCCATCTCAAAAAAAAAAAAAATTTAAACTTTTATTTTAGGTTCAGGGGTACATGTGCAGGTTTGTTATATAGGTAAACTCAAGTCATGAGAGTTTGTTGTGCAGATTATTTCATGACCCAGGTACTGAGCCTAATATCCAATAGTTATTTTTTCTGCTCCTTTCGCTTCTCTGGCCCTCCACCCTCAGGTAGGCCACAGTGTCTGTTGTCCCCCTTTTTGTGCCTATATGTTCCCATAATTTAGTCCCACTTAGAAGTGAGAACATGTGGTATTTGATTTTCTGTTCCTGTGTTAGTTTGCTAAGGATAATGACCACCAGTTCCACATGTGTTCCTGCAAAGGACATGATCTCATTCTTTTTTATGACTGCATAGTATTCCATGGTGTATATGTACCACATTTTCTTTATCCAGTCTGCCATTCATGGGCATTTAGATTGAGTCTATGTCTTGGCTATTGTGAATAGTGCTGCAATGAACATACACATGCATGTGTCTTTGTAATAGAACAATTTATATTCCTTTGGGTGTTTACTCAGTAATGGGATTGCTGGGTTGAGTGGTAGTTCTGTTTTTAGGTCTTTGAGGAATCACCACACTTCTTTCCACAATGGTTGCACCAATTTATACTCCCACCAACAGCGTATAAACATCCTTTTTCTCTGCAACCTCACCAGCATCTGTTATTTTTTGACTTTTAGATAATAGCCATTCTGAATGGTGTGAGATGGTATCTCATTGTGGTTTTCATTTGCATTTCTCTAATGATCAGTGATGTTGAACTTTTTCCATATGTTTGTTGGCTGCATGTATGTCTTCTTTTAAAAAGTGTCTTTTCATGCTCTTTGCCCACTTATATTTTTTGAAATAAAGCAAGTTTATTAGAGTAGCAGTGTGCAGCAGAATGGGTGTTCCGTAGACAGATCAGGGCTATCCCATAGGTGGGGTGGCCCAGTGTAGCAGCAGCAGCAGCAGCAGCAGAAGCATACAGCAACAGTAGCTGTCCAGAGCAGCAGTCCCTGTAAACTGCTGGCTTTTTGCCCACTTATTAATGGGGCTGTTTTTTTTTCTTGTAAATGTGTTTAAGTTCCTCATAGATGCTGGATATTAGACCTTTGTCAGGTGACTAGTTTGCAAAAATTTTCTGCCATTCTATAGGTTGTCTGTTTACTCAGTTGATAGTTTCTTTTGCTGTGCAGAAGCTCTTTAGTTAAATTAGATCCCATTTGTCAGTTTTTGCTTGTGTTGCAATTGCTTTTGGCATCTTCATCATGAATTCTTTGCCCATTCCTATATCCAGAATGGTATTACCTAGGTCATCTTCCAGAGCTTTTATAGTTTTGTGTTTTACTTTAAGTCTTTCATTCATCTCGACTTGATTTTTATATATAATGTAAGGAAGGGGTCCAGTTTCAATCTTTTGCATATGGCTAGCCAGTTATCCCAGCACCATTTATTGAATAGGGCATCCTTTCCCCATTGCTTGTTTTTGCCAGCTTTGTTGAAGATCAGATGGTTGTAGGCATGCCATCTTATTTTTGGGCTCTCTATTCTATTCCATTGGTCTGTGTGTCTGTTTTTGTACCTGTACTATGTTTTTTTGGTTACTGTAGTCCTGTAGTATAGTTTGAAGTCAAGTAGCATAATGCCTCAAGCTTTGTTCTTTTTGTTTTAGGATAGCCTTTGCTATTTAGGCTCTTTTTTTGGTTCCATGTGAGATTTAAAATAGTTTTTCCTGGTTCTGTAAAGAAGGCCATCAGTAGTTTGATAGGAATAGCCTTGAATCTGTACATTGATTTGGACAGTGTGGCCATTTAAACAATGGTGATTCTTTCCATCCGTGAACATGGAATGTTGTTGCATTTTCTGTGTCATCTCTGATTTGAGTAGTGTTTTGTAGTTCTCATCGTAGAGATCTTTCACCTCCCTGGTTAGCTGTATTCCTAGGTATCTTATTCTTTCTAGGGTGATTGTGAATGGGACTGCATTCCTGATTTGGCTCGCAGCTTGACTGTTGTTGGCGTGTAGGAATACAAATGATTTTTGTATGTTGATTTTGTATCCTGAGACTTCACCAAAGTTGTTTATCAGCTTAAGGAGCTTTTGGGCCAAGACTGTGGGGTTTTCTAGATATATAATCATATTGTCTGCAAACAGGAATAGTCTTCTTCTGTTCCTTCTTGGATGCCCTTTATTTCTTTCTCTTGCCTGATTGCTCCGGCTAGGACTTGCAATACTATGTTGAGTAGGAGTGGTGAGAGACGGCATCCTTGTCTTGTGTTGGTTTTCAAGGAGAATGCTTTCAGCTTTTCCCATTCAGTATGATGTTTACTATAGGTTTATCATAGATGGCTCTTATTATTTTGAGGTATGTTCCTTTAATACCTAGTTTATTGAGATGTAACAACTCTTTGTACATCTGGTAGAATTCAGCTGTGAATCCATCTGGTCCTCAGTTTTTTTTTAGTTGGTAGGCTATTTATTACTGATTCAATTTTGGAGCTTATTACCAGTCTATTCAAGGATTCAATTGCTTCCTGATTCAGTCTTGGGACAGTGTATGTGTTCAGGAATTTATTTCTTCTAGTTTATATGTATAGACCAGGTTACAGTATTTGCTGATGGTTGTTTGTATTTCTGTGGGATCAGTGGTAACATCCTATTTGTCTTTCCTAATTGTGTTTATTTGAATCTTCTCTCTTTTCTTCTTTATTAATCCAGCTAGTGCTTTATCTATTAATTCTTTTCAAAAACTCAACTCTTGGACTTGTTGATCTTTTGAATGGTTTTTCATGTCTTAATCTCCTTTTGTTCAGCTCTGATTTTGGTTATTTCTTGTCCTCTACTAGTTTTGGGGTTGGTTTACTCTTGGTTCTCTAGCTCTTTTAGTTGTGATGTTAGGTTGTTAACTTGAGACCTTTCCAGCTTTTTGATGTGGGCATTTAATACTATAAATTTCCCTCTTAACACTGCTTTAGCTGCTTCCCAGAGATTCTGGTACGTTGTATATTTGTTCTCATTAGTTTCAAAGAACTTCTTTATTTCTGCCTCAATTTCACTATTTTCCTGAATATCATTCAGGAACAGGTTATGTAATTTCCATATAATTGTATGGTTTTGAGCAATTTTCTTAGTCTCAATTTCTAATTTGAATGTGCTGTAGCCTGAAAGAGTGGTTGTTATAATTTCAGTTCTTTTGCATTCGTGGAGGATTGTTTTATGTCTCAATTTTAGAGTATATGCCATGTGGTGATGAGAAGAATGTGTATTCTGTTATTTTTGGGTGGAGAGTTCTGTAGATGTCTATTAGGTCCATTTGATCCAGTGCTGAGTTCAAGTCCTGAATATCTTTGTTAATTTTCTGCTTTGATGATCTATCTAGTACTGTCAGTCGGTTGTTGAAATCTTCTGCTATTATTGTGTGGGAGTCTAAGTCTCTTGGAAAGTCTCTAAGAACTTACTTAATGAATCTGGGTGATCCTGTGTTGGGTGCATATATATTTAGGACAGTTAGGTCTTCTTGTTGAATTGAACCCTTTACCATTATATAATGCCCTTTTTGTCTTTTTAAAATCTTTGTTGGTTTAAGTCTGATTCATCCATAATTAGGATTGTAGCCTCTGCTTTTGTCTGTTTTCCATTTGCTTGGTATATTTTTCTCCATCCCTTTATTTCGAGCCTATGAGTGTGATTGTGTGTGAGCTGGGTCTCTTGAAGACAGCATACCATAGGGTCTTGGCTCTTTATTGAATTTGCCATTCTGTGCTTTTTAATTGGGGCATTTAGCCCATTGACATTCAAGGTTAGTATTGATATGTGTGGATTTGATCCTGTCATCATGATGTTAGCTGGTTGTTATGCTGATTTGTTTGTGTGTTTGATTTATAGTGTCACTGGTCTGTGTACTTTAGTGTGTTTTTGCAGTGTGTCTGGTAACAGTCTTTCCATATTTAGTGCTTCCTTCAGAAGCTCTTGTAAGGAAGGTCGGGTGGTAATAAATTCCCTCAGCATTTGCTTTTCTGAAAAGGATCTTATTTCTCCTTTGCTTATGAAGCTTAGTTTGGCTGGATATTAAATTCTTGGTTGGAATTTCTTTTCTTTAAGAATTTTGAATATTGCCCCCAATCTCTTCTGGTTTATAGGGTTTCTGCTGAGCATTCTTCTGTTAGTCTGATGGGCTTCCCTTTGTTGGTGACCTGACCTTTTTTTCTTGCTACCTTTAACATTTTTTCTTTCATTTCAACCTTGGAGAATCTGATGATTACGTGTCTTCGGGATGATCTTCTTGTAAAGCATCTTCCTGAGGTTGTCTGCATTTCCTGAATTTGAATGTTGGCCTCTCTAACTATGTTTGAGAAGTTCTCATGGATTATATCCTGAAAAATGTTTTCTGAGTTGCTTCCATTCTCCCCATCTCTTTCAAGGAAACCAATAGGCAGTAGATTTGGTCTCTTTACATAATCCCATATTTCTCAGAGGTTTTGTTCATTTATTTTCATTCTCTTTTCTCTATTCTTGCCTGTCTTAGAAAGCTAGACTTCAAGTTCTGATATTCTTTCCTCTGCTTGGTCTATTCTGCTATTAATACTTGTGACTGCATTATAAAATTCTTGTAGTGTGTTTTTCAGCTCTGTCAGGTTGGTTATATTCTTTTCTATACTGACTATTTTGTCTGTCAGCTCCTGTATCATTTTATTGTGATTCTTAGTTTACCTGGATTGAGTTTCAATACACTCCTCCATCTCAATGATCTTCATTTCTATCCATATTCTGAATTCTATTTCTGTCATTTCAGCCATCTTAGTCTGGTTCAGAACCCTCGATGGAGAGCTAGCATGGTTGTTTGGAGGGAAGAAGGCACCCTGGCTTTTCAAGTTGTCAGAATTCTTGTGCTGGTTCTTTCTCATCTTTGTGGGCTGATGCTCCTTCAATCTTTGAAGCTGCTTTCCTTTGAATGGTTTTTTTTTTCTTTTACCTTATTTAATGACCCTGAGGGTTTGATGGTGGTATAAGGTGGCTTCAGTTGACTGGCTTTGTTTCTAGAAGATATTAGGGGACCAAGGCTCAACTCCCCACTCCTGGACTGCATGCTCTAAATCTGGGGGACTGGTATTGGACCCTGACTTTGTTCTTGGTTCCTTGAGGTTAGGAACCCAGTGCACTAAGGCTGAGATGCTCCTGTACCACTGGTCACTACACCTCTATGGATGGTGCCAGCCAAAGCATTTCATGGGTGGTGGCAGTGGGATCCATCCTTGTTCGCATGTGCCAGCAGCAGCAGCAGCAGTGTCATATGGCAGGGTGCGTGATCATTGTCTGTGGCAGAGTACTTGCAGGTTCTGGGATGCTGGCCGCCCAGGCCTAGATTGCTCTGACATCATTAGACATTCACTATTGTTGAATGGGCAAAACCCTTTTAAGCCTTAACTTCTGTTCCTAAATTGGCCCACAACAAATTTTGGTGAGTACTTGCTAATTAATACTTGGGTTTTTCCTATTCTCAGCTCAGGTAGATACTGTTGGTTGCCTCTGTTTCCTCCTGCGCAGATTCTAAAAACATATGGATCATGTAACTGTTGGTTATTTGTCTCTAGCTTCCTGTATTTGGGGATTTATGGGAATTCTTTGTGTCTTCAAGTTGTTCTTGTTTTAGTGTTCTAGTTGTCCCATTTTCATGAGGCTACTTAGAGGGATTAAAAAATCTAAGCTGCCCTCCAAGGTCTAACAATCATATAATTAGAGCCCCACAAAGAGAGGAGAGAGTTTGGGGCAAAATGATATTTGAATAAACATTGGACTAAATTTTTCCAAATGTGAAGAAAAATATCTTTCCAAGATCCAAGAAGCTCAATAAACCCCAAGCCAGATAAACATAAATAATTCCATATACAGCTGAGCTATAGTCAAATTGTTAAAAACCAAAAATAAAATCAGCCAGGACAAAAAAACAATTTACCTAAGAGGGAAACAAAGATAAAAATGATAGCTGATTTCTCTTTAGAAGCAATGCAAGCCACAAAACAATAGAACAACATTGACACAAATTATAATCACTGTCTCCAGATTCTCACCTCCATTTATTCCTTAACATATTCCAATCTGGCTCCTTTTCCATTTCTCCATTGCCAATTCACCAAGGGCATCAATGACCACCATATCATTAAAGCCAATGAACAATCTTCAGGCTTACTTTGCTTATTAAACTTTCATCATATTTGGTCACTTATTAATAGCCCCTGCCTCTTGAAGCTTCCTCTTTTCTTGGATTCTGTGACTATTCCTATTAAGTCCCCCTCAATAATATATTCTCTATCAAACTTTTCAATGCCAGAAATACTTTTTATTCTTCTCTCACATTCTCCTCAGAACTCATGCTACACAGTGTTCCTAGTTGATATCATTTGCTCTAATAGACAGGCAACATATGTTCAATGAGCTGGATTTTTTTTTTAGTTCAGTATTGAGCAAAATCTCTAATATTTATGTTTTTGAAATGAACTTGCACTAAAAGGACTCAATACATTTATAATTCTTTTAACAAAGGACAGGCTTATAGTATTATTATTCTATTGTATTCTAGCATTCCACCTGATGTGGCAAGATGCTCAGAGGTCTGCGTAGACCCTTCTTCTGATTATATCTACCTTCAAGAAAGATTTTTTTTTCCTCTTACTGATGCTTATTAGCACATTTCTGAGTTAACATCTGGGCTCTCATGTTTGAAAAGAAAAAATCTTATTAAAGTCTTCAGATGCTTCTTACCCACTGACAGTCCCTTATTGTGACTTGGGGAAACTGGCATCATATCCTGACAGAGAATCCTCCAATTCCAACTGAGAAGTTTAGGATTTACCAAAGGGGTAGACTGGAAACTTTTTTTATCCCAAAGTGCTATCTCATGGTCACTTGTTATTTAGAATTTCTTTTAGTTTGAATTTCTGGGAATATCTTAAAGTTTTTCATTAAAAAAAATCGTGATTTTTTTTAGTGGCCATGCACTTGTTGAGGAAAAAAAGTCAGGCCGATCTCAGAACTGAAAAATAAAAGTTATGATTCTTGGGGTCAAAGGGCTTAATTAGCTTTAAAAATTATTGTAGGCTGTAATTAGTGAATTTATTTATTAATATATGCCAGGAATTCTCACATTCTAAAGTTGCTATGGCACTTAGTTGAGTATGAGAAAACTATGACATATAAATAAAGGAAATAGAAAGTAAATATGTCTTCTAGGCCAGCATCTCAAAATCAAGTGATTGGTGGGAGATAGTGGTAAAAGTCAGGTGTGCTTAAACGAATACAGAGGCTACTGCAAATTAGCTTTTCTGGCTTGCTGGTTACTTCCTTATAATTAGGAGGATTTAGTGAAAAGGGTGACAGGAATGGAACCCTGATGTTGTAGGCTAGGTGTCCCTGTGTTCCATAAGACCGTTACACACCTCTTGCTATATCTTTAAGGCCAAAAGACTTGTATTCAACTTCAAGTCCTGCCATTAACAAGCCTGCGACCCAGAAAAGCTGGTGGTTGTGAAAACTTGCTGAAATAATTGAGGCAGAAATTTTCCTACATGACTATTTTTATTGACAATAACATCATTAGGGAGGATTAATAAAGCACCTGATGTACATTGATATGTTTGTGTGTTAATAGAGCTATGTAGCAGTCATTAATGCTATTCATCAAATACTTCTGCCTCTCCATCTTAGAGGCACCTGGTTGGATTGTGCCTTCTGGCTCCCTTGTGTTTGAGTGGGGTCATGGGATGTGTTTTGGACGATAAGTTATGGTCAGAAGTGGCGTGGGTCACTTCTGGACTAGAATATTTAGTTGGCAATGTAAAATCTTCCAGTGTCTTTCTCAGCTTCTGACAGAATGATGATCAATGTTCACAGTGGTGCCTGATCTACCATTTTGGACCCCTGATTGGTTAAAATGAGCAGCATCCTTATATTTTTCTATGGTGGATGTTTAGGGAAAATTATAATAACCTTTAGTTTTAAGATCCAACTGGAGATTGTTTATTTCCACAGTATATCCTAGCTTATCCTGACTGACAAACATGGCTTTTTCTAAGATATAAAGGGTAGCTTAGTGAGGATGCTGGACATAAGAACAGAGGAATTAAAAAGGAATGGGATCACTCAGCCCTGGAATTTGAGGTACAGTGAGCTATGATTGTGTCACTGTACTCCAGCTTGGGTGACAGAGTGAGACCCTGTCTCTTAAAAAACAGAAGGGAACCAGCCTGGCCAACATGGCAAAACCCCATCTCTACTGAAAGTACAAAACTTAGCTGGGCATGGTGGCACATGCCTGTAATTCCAGCTACTAGGGAGGCTGAGGCAGGAGAATTGTTTGAACCCAGTGGGCAGAGTTTGCAGTGAGCTGAGATCTCATCACTGCAATCTAGACTAGGCATCAGAGCAAGACTCCATCTCAAAAAAAAAAAAAAAAAAAAAGAGGGAAAAGGGGTAGGGTACTGAGAACTCATACTGTCATGACACTTTGGTGTTGGGGGGTGGAGTAAATATTCTTTTTGGATCATTCTATCTGTTCGATTGGATTGTCCTTACCCTCAAACTGAATAAGACTCACAGGGTTTTTCAGTGTTTCTAAAAAATATTCCAAAATGTATTGCCTCTGTGTGCTTGGCTGGTTTTTACTATGTGAAATGCGTTGGCCATTTCCTCATCCTTTGGAACTTCCTTTGTCAAAATTCAGTCTATTTTAAGGATAAGCTTATGTCACTTTTCCAAAAAGTTCTTTCCAATTTCCTACCAAATCCATGTGGTTTCCACTTCTGAAGACTAACAGGATTTATAACTCCTTGACTGGGACCCATTGTCAGGCATATAGAAGACGTATTTGTAGAAAAGCTTTATTTTACCATATGGAAGCTAGTCTATTGAGGATAGCTGAAGTGGTTTTCCTAAAATATGGATTCCTATCAGTACCTAGCCTGAGATTAAATATGTATTTGGTCAAAGTCATGGATAGAATCTGAGTGTTTTTCAAAAGCAGTGGCAACAAAAGCCAAAATTGACAAATGGGATCTAATTAAACTAAAGAGCTTTTGCACAGCAAAAGAAACTATCATCAGAGTGAACAGGCAACCTACAGAATGGGAGAATTTTTTTTTTTGTGATGGTGTCTCGCTCTGTTGCCCAAGCTGGAGTGCAGTGGCACGATCTCGGCTCACTGCAATGTCTGCCTCCCAAGTTCAAGCAATTCTCCTGCCTCAGCCTCCCGAGTAGCTGGGACTACAGGTGCACACCACCATGCCCGGCTAATTTTTGTTTTTGTATTTTTAGTAGAGATGGGGTTTCACTGTGTTAGCCAGGATGGACTTGATCTCCTGACCTCATGATCTGCCCGCCTCAGCCTCCCAAAGTGCTGGGATTACAGGTGTAAGCCACAGTGCCTGGCCCAAAACGGGAAAAAATTTTTGCAATCTATCCATCTGACAAAGGGCTAATATCCAGAATCTATAAGGATCTTAAACAAATTTACAAGAAAAAAAACAACCGCATCAAAAAGTGGGCGAAGGATATGAATGGACACTTCTCAAAAGAAGACATTTATGCGGCCAGCAACATATGAAGAAAAGCTCATCATCACTGGTCATTAGAGAAATGCAAATCAAAACCACATTGAGATACCATCTCATGCCAGTTAGAATGGGGATCATTAACAAGTCAGGAAACAACAGATGCTGGAGAGGATGTGGGGAAATAGGAAGGCTTTTACACTGTTGATGGGGATGTAAATTAGTTCAACCATTGTGGAAGACAGTGTGGCGATTCCTCAGGGATCTAGAACCAGAAATACCATTTGACCCAGCAATCCCATTACTGGGTATATACCCAAAGGATTATAAGTCATTCTGCTATAAAGACACATGCACACGTATGTTTATTGTGGCACTATTCACAATAGCAAAGACTTGGAACCAACCCAAATGCCCATCAATGATAGACTGGATAAAGAAAATCTGGCACATATACACCATGTAATACTATCCAGCCATTAAAAAAAGGATGAGTTCATGTGCTTTGCAGGGACATGGATGAACCTGGAAGCCATCATTCTCAGCAAACTAACTCAAGAACAGAAAACCAAACACCACATGTTCTCACTCATAAGTGGGAGTTGAACAATGAGAACACACGGACAAAGGGAGGGGAACATCACACACTGGGGCCTGCCAGGGGGTGGGGAGCTAGGAGAAGGATTGCATTAGGAGAAATACCTAATGTAGATGACAGGTTGATGGGTGCAGCAAACCACCATGGCACGTGTATACCTATGTAATGAACCTGCACGTTCTGCACATGTATCCCAGAACTTAAAGTATGTGTGTATATATATATGTGTGTGTGTGTATACATATATATATATATATATATAAAGAAACTGAGTGTTTTGCTCCCAGGTTAATTCTCTTACTGATATCCAACACCACTTTTCATGACCTCTTTGAATGCCATGTGGAAAAGGGTTAGGAAGGGAGGATAAACTGATAATAATCTTTTAGGTCATGTCCTGATTTTGACATGCCAACATTTTGTTCTTTCTATGAGTAAATTCTGTGTCTTAATTTCTTCAAACCCCTTTTCATATCTTTGTTCCTCAGGCTGTAGATGAAAGGGTTCAGCATGGGTGTCACTACTGTGTACATAACTGTGGCTACCCGGCCCTTCATCACTGAGTACATGGACAGAGGCCTAAAATAGACATAGATGACACTCCCATAGAACAGGACCACTACAGTGAGGTGGGAGCCACAGGTAGAGAAGGCCTTCCACTTCCCGGCTGCAGAGGGGATTCTGAGCACAGTGACGATGATTTGCAGGTAGGAGAAGATGGTACACAGGAAGGGGGTCACAATGACAGCTAAGGTCTCAGTCATCACCACCATCTGGCTGGAGGATGTGTCAGAGCAGGAGAGCTTTAGCACAGGCTGGGTGTCACAGAAAAAGTGCTTAATGATGTGAGAGGCACAGAAAGACAAGCGAGACATAAGTAGCACGCGGAACAGGGAATGTAGGTGGGAGATGCTGCAAGAACCCAATAGCATGAGTAGGCAATGCCATGGTTTCATAACCACATCATAGTGTAAGGGGTTGCAGATGGCCACCAGCCGGTCGATGGCCATAGAGGCCAGCAGGTAGCTGTCAGTGTTCCCAAATGCCATGAAGAAGTACATCTGGATCAGGCAGCCCACATAAGAGATAATCTTTGTCTCTGATAGAAAATTCACCAGCATCTTAGGCACTATGACTGTTGTGAAGCAGATATCCATGAAAGACAAGTTGCTGAGAAAAAAGTACATAGGGGTGTGGAGCCTGGGGTCAGAGTAGATGGCCAGGATGATGAGCACATTCCCCACCGCAGTGAGTAGGTACATGATGAGGAAGATGGCAAAGAGAGGTTTCTGCAGCTTAGGGTTGGAAGAGAGGCCCAGGAGGATGAAGCCTGAGGTGCTGCTGCTATAATTCTTTGTCTCCATGTCTCTGGACTTCCTGGATAGGGTTTAGAGAAGCAATGGGAGAGATGTAAAGGACAGTTTGACCAAGACAGCTTCTTCCCCACCTCAAATCTATTTTAAAAATCTTACTGCTATTATACTTCGAAAGAACATTTAATTCTGAAACTACATAGAAACAGATAGTAAAATTCAACAAAAGAAAAGTTAAAGGATGCCAAGCTGTCTTCTAAATTAGAAACTAAAGGTTTTCCATGTGCTCATAGGAACTTCTATGTGGCCTAATTTGTTTGAGTTCTTCTCATTTCCTTTTGTAAAGATTATTCTGAGGTTGTTTCTTGACCATCTCCTTAGTCTTATTATTGTCTTTTTTGTCCCGGGGAAGAGGTTGCTGGATTCTACTTAGAATTAGAATGCTGTCATACAAGGAATCCCTATGAATGAAGTTATCTCTTTCAGCATTCTCTCTTGCTCATAGGTCCATAGATGGTAGTAGTAGTTGGGATAGAACAAAACTAAGCAACAGAATTAATCAAGGCTCCTTGGTAATTGCAGAATTCAGATAATACTTTCTTTCATCTTCAGAAAAACATTTCTAATGTTTATTTAAGCATTTCTCTTTGGCTAATATGATCTGATGCTTTATCATCTTTTGGCCCAAGGATACCAGTTAAAATTAGAGTACTCCCAGAAATAGCCTATGTAAGCAAGATTAGTTCTTTGAATATATTAATTTTTCTGGTTAAAACACTATGAAGTCCTCATTCTCAACATTCAAATATTGCAGGACTATAAAACATAGACTGTAAGAGTCCTATTTCCACCAATATCATGGAAAGAGAAGGCAAAGATAGCCCTATGACCAATATTAAGCTACATTGCTGAGATGGTTGACTGAGTGAGTAACAAAGCAAAACTAAAGCATCAGGAGGCATAAACATTAAAAAAGAAGAAAATGTCATTTTTTTGTGGCACGATTGTGTACCAAAAAATTCAAGATAATTATTTGAAAATCTTTTAAAACCTATGGCAATTTCACCAGTGGCCAGATGCGCTATAAAACTAAAAGTATTAATTATCTTTCTGTATTAGACAAATGTAATGAAGAAAAGGTTTCAATTGATAATGGCAAGAAAGTCTAAGTGATACTTAGAAATTAACCTGAGGGACAAAATAAAAGAATGAGTAAGACCTATCAGAAGAAACTATAATAGAACACAAAATGAATATCTGAATATGTGGAGAACTATACTCCTGAAAAGGAAGACTATATTTTAAAATATGAATCCTTATTAATAAAATTCAGTGTACTTCTAATAAGACCTGAAGGGAATTTTTAATGGAAGTTGAAAAGATTATTCTAAAATTCATCTAGAGTATTACATGGCTAGAGACAGACAACATTATTTTGGAAACATTAGAATAATGATGGGAAACTTTTTTAACCCCACATAAAAGCACAGTATATTGATAATCAATAAGATAATGACACACATAGGGAAAAATAAAAAACTGACCAATATAAAGCATTTTGTATATCTATATGCCTATATTTAGATCATGATCTATATTAAACTTAACATATAATAAAGATTTATTTCATAGCAATGGAAAAAGAATGGGCTATAAAATAAATGCTATTTATGACAACTGGAACATTTGGGAAAAAATAAGCCTAAACTTCTTTGTAACTCACAAATAAAAATAAGTTATCAGATTGGCACTACATTTTTGGGGATCATATCCAAAGGAAAATAGACCTTCACATATGCTGAAAGTGTGAATCAGTGTAGGCCTTTTGGCCATCTCTGTCAAGAGTTGGAAATCTGCATCTCTTTATCCAATGATTCTACTTATAGCACTCTATCCTTTAGAAGTAGTCATATTTGTGTAGTACACAGTATGTGTTGCTTGTAATACCAACCAAACCAACCAAATAAACAAAGCAACCCATAGAGGGAACAATCTCAATATGCACATGTAGGTGAAAGACTAAACAATTTATGGTGCAGTTCCTGTTACTCAATAGCATGCACTCTCTAAAGAAATAAGATGGTTCATGTTAGCCAACAATTATTAGCACTCAGTACATGCCACATACTGAGCTAGGTGCTTTGTCTGTTTTTAAAAATCACTGTATTCTCCCCAAATCCTAAGTGATAGGCACTATATTCCAATTTTATAGATTAAAAGTTAGAGTTTAGCCAAGTTGAGTAACTTACCAGATCCCGCCATGAGTAAGTGGTAGAGCTGAAATTTGAATTCAGGCAGTCTGATGGCAGAGCTGGAGCCATTTATTGCCAAGTGATGCCATCACTATTATACCACTGTTTGATGTTTTACTAAGTGACAAAAGTAAGTTGCAGAACAATGCATATAGAATAATCCTATTTTTGTAACAAAAAATAACTCTTATATATTGTGTTTACTTTGGTGTGTGTGTTTATGTGTATATGGCTGCCTCTTGAAGTGGGTTGGTGTGAGAAGTAACTTCCACATTTAACTTTATATTACATATATATTTATTTATTTAATGGACAAAAGTTGTATATATCTATAGTGCACAACATGATGTTTTGAAATATGTATACATTGTGGAATGGCTAAATTGAGCTATTTAACATATGTGCTCTCTCACATAGTTATCATTTTTTTGGTGTGGTAAGATTATATTGCTTGTATTTAAAAATAATGAACACGTGATTTTTTACATGAATTTTATAATTAAAAGGGTGAAAGTTCTGAACAATTTCATCCCCCAGCCAACTTTTTCTCTCCATAGATCTATATGCACACTATATATTGTATTGGAGCCATACTATCCCCCACAGACTGTTACAATGGATGTTTTTGTGTGTATTGCACTCATCAGATAATTTCTAAGGCGTGGAATAGATTCTGAGATACAAATTGCAAAGTTGGAATTTATAAACATTGAAAATCTTAATAGATACTTACAACCCGAGATAACTACCCTTCATCCTACTCCTGGGGAATGTATCTATTTGACTCTCTGGACTCTTTCCCCAGTTTCTTCTCTGTCTCTTTCAGCCTCACTCCTGGGACATTGTGTTTGCTGGGGGTGAAGGGCTATGATTTCCTTTGGACTTGAACTTGGAGTTTCTAAGATCAGTGTGATGTTTGCCTCAGAGGTAGTAGCTTAGTCCCTTCCCGTTTAACTGGATCTGACAACATTGTATATTTTCTCATGTCTTGGGCAAGTCATTACAGTTCTGTATATCTATTAATAAGATGGGGTGTGTGTGTGGGGTAGAGGCTGATTTTTGTGTGTGTGCTGTTCTTCCCCGCCTGCCACTGTCATTTGGAGACTCAAGTGACAGTTGAGTGACAGTTTGTCAAACCCTAATACACGTGGTTAGTATTATTGCTCAAACAATAAGCTAGAGAAATGACATTTTAATGATGAGTCTTGTTAGTGGTGGGAAGAACCAGAAAGGCCTGGGAGTCTTTCTAAGCCTTTTAACATCACACTCTGGGGACTGTTGTGGGGTGGGGGGAGGGGGGAGGGATAGCATTAGGAGATATACCTAATGCTAAATGACGAGTTAATGGGTGCAGCACACCAGCGTGGCACATGTATACATATGTAACTAACCTGCACATTGTGCACATGTACCCTAAAACTTAAAGTATAATAATAATAATAATAATAAAGAAAATTAAAGAAAATGTCAGGATGCCAATTCTACATGTACTCACTGAATTAAATATGCCATTAAAATAAAAAAAAAGAAATGTTGAGGGATTTAATAAATATAAATTTCTATAAGGTTTAAAAAAATCACATCATCTCACCTGAAAAGGTATTTACTCTCTTCCTTGATAGACAGGAAATGTGGACTATTTCTATACTTCTCATCTTTCTCTATTGGAATTTTCACATTGTGGACATTTGTCATCTCAGGTTATTTCTCCTTTCCTTGCTTCCTCATCATTTGTGTAGTGTCCTTCTCTTAGCCACTGGTCCACATGAAACCAGGGAGTACACACTAGCAGCAAGTATGCACTTCCCAAATTGGATTAACAATGCTGGGTGGGCAGTGTGCTGGTGGAAAGCTACCCATTATCCATGCTTCTGCTTCCCTAAATAAGCAAAGACAGTTGGAAAGTGACTAAACTGGAAAAATGCAGCTAACATTTATTAGACAGAGTCTGTATTTAACATTTGTCTCATTTAATTCTCACAATAACACTATGTTTTAAGTACCACTATGTCCCTCTTTATAACAAAGGAGGCTGAAATTCAGAGAGTCACAGTGAGTGGTATATCTAGGATTCAAACCCAGGCACACTGACTGCAAATTATGTTTTAAACTGCTCTATCACACCTCTTCCTCAAACTGTACATGTGTAGTAGGGAACTAAGCTGGTGTGTCCTCTGCCAACAGAGGTCGTCTTATTGCCAAGTGCCTTCAGCCTCCTTGCTGACCCACTTCTTCCACTCTATCCTTCGCTCCTACGTATTGGAATCCTTTCAATTTCCTTCCTTCCTACTCCCATTTCTGCTTCCCATTCCACAAAGTCATATCCTCTCCTCTCCTCCTAGACTTCAGAGAGGACAGGCTATAGGGGACTTTGGACCTCAGCTCTCTCAGATCTTGAATCAACAACAGTTCTCTGATTTTGCAGCACCAGTACCTGACCTTAGGATCTCTCCTGGGCCCATGTTTTTATTTTTATTTTACTTTATTTTATTTTTGACATGGAGTTTTGCTCTTGCTGACCAGGCTGGAGTGCAATGGCACGATCTCAGCTCACCACAACTTCTGTCTCCCAGGTTCAAGCGATTCTCCTTCCTCAGCCTCCCAAGTAGCTGGGATTATGGGCATGTGCCACCATGCCTGGCCAATTTTGTATTTTTAGTAGAGAAGGGGTTTCTCCATATTGGTCAGGCTGGGGTCAAACTCCTGACCTCAGGTGATCCGCCTGCCTCTGCCTCCCAAAGTGCTGGGATTACAGGCATGAGCCACCACACCCAGCTGGGCACATGTTTTTGAAAATCCAGCTTCTCCCTTTCTACTCTCTCCTCATTGGGAGTCTGAGAATACCTTGATACCTTAAGGTACCTGTAAGACACCCGGATTGGCAGTGTTGAGTGCATAGGCCCCTTTCAGCGGTATGTCCCATTTAGGGATTCTGCAGGGTTATTTTTAGGTTGAGTCTTTCTCTTTTCAGTTCTCTGAAATCTCTGTTTTCTGCCTAGTTTTTACTCCTCTATTAGATTAGAGCTTTACCTCCTGTCTCTTGGCTCCAGAGAAGGTGGTATCTCAGCCTAATTTCCCATTTCCTGCTTAGTTTAGGTTGAAAGCTCTTCTGGACATCTTAAGTCCCTCAGATCCGGGATTGAACCCAGTTCCTCCGGCTCAGGCTGTTCTCAGCTAGATTCCACTCCACTGTTGGTTTTGTCTTTCTTCTTGGAATCACTAGTTTCTGGGATGCCTGGCTCTGTCTCTGTCTTTCTCAATAATTTAATGAGTTAAAATTTCAAGTTGTCAGTTTGTTTTCTGGTGCCTCACGTACCTGTGACTAGTCGGTATTCATCAGTGCAGCTGTAAACGCAGAAACGACAGGCTACATATCCTGGGTCATAAGGAGGAGTCTAGCAATGTGGATTATCGGGGAGCTTTGCTTGCCTTGGAGTCACAGGGCTTTAGATCCCTGTGCCTTCCACCTTTGCCTTTTCAGCATTCCGGAGATAGGGAGCTCAGAATATGCAGAAGTGGCCTAGTTCCTCATGGAACAGATCTATTAGGTTGGTGCAAAAGTTATTGCGGTTTTGTCATTGATGAGGTTGGCTCCGTAGAAGGTGGTATCTTAGCTTAATTTCCAATTTCCTGCCTAGTTTAGCAGGAAAAAACAAAACAAAACAAAACTCCGTGACTATCCACACCCCCCACCAGACTGGCATATTTATTAAATTTGATGAACTTATTTTGATACCTTAAGGTAGTAGAAACGAGACATCTCCAAAATTAACTGTGCTACAGAAATGTGAGGGTGAAATGTGAATCTCCAGGTCATCTCATCCACCCGTGAGTCCCCAAGAGATTGTCTAGTTGCTCGAATATCTTCTCTGCTGGAGACACCATGTTCCTTCACTGACATAGTTTTCTCCTTACCTATCTGGTCCTCTGTGCCTTGTGGCACTCCCTAATCTTAAATCCAGCCTGGCATATTCCCTCACAACCATTTCTGATTCCCATGGTGAGTAGAGCACCTTATAACTGGGTTTTGCTATGGCTATTCCACTGAACACAGGGCTGAAAGTCAGGGGACACGTTTCTGGTTTCAG
Organism: Homo sapiens; assembly: GCF_000001405.40. Classification (NCBI taxonomy): domain Eukaryota; kingdom Metazoa; phylum Chordata; class Mammalia; order Primates; family Hominidae; genus Homo; species Homo sapiens. Next base: position 122,717,700 of record NC_000009.12, on the reverse strand, counting down.
CTCCGCCATGAGTTCATGGAGTCCTATCCCATAGCAATCTGCCTCATTTCTATGCTAGTAATGGCAGGTTGTTCAGATGAATTACCTTGCCCTTCCCAGATTTAAAATTCTAGATTCTAGGCAAATGAATGATTAAAATATGCCTATTGAGATTCCTTTTGTGAATAATTGCCTTTGCTCGGTCTCAACATACCTTTGGTAGCCATCAGATCCACCAGAGGTACTTCAACTGGGATTTGCTGAAAACAAATCTTGTCTTCCTCAGCTGAGCTGAGAAAGCCCCATCTGGTTGTTTCTGGTCTAGAGATACCCACTTTATTACAGCTCCTTCCCATGAATAGTCTCAATTATGGTAATGTAATGGGTAGCAATTAAACAGCACTTACACATGGAAGCACTGCTCTAAGAACCTTATATACATGAAGTCATTTAGTTTCTACAACACTCCATTTTACAGGTACCAAAAGTGAAGTACAGAGAAGCAAAGTGACTTGCCTAAGGACACGCAGCCAGATGGTGGTAGATTCCAGCTCCAAGTGTGTGCTTTCAATCTCTTTATTGTCCAGACGTTCTTGTTTATTTGTTCCTCTGCCAACTCAGTTTCCCTGGAGGAGATAGTCCCGTGGGTCTCAGGTTGCAGAATGTGGGCTGCACCCTTTAAGGGCAGGGACTAATGACTACAACAGTGTCTTGCATAGAATAAGTACTTTAAATGTCTGATATTTTATCAAAGGGAGCAAGAAGAAAAATATAGAGAGAGACATTTCCTGGTTTTTGAGATGGAGGAAAAAAAATCAGGAAAAGGGAAGAAGATTATATGAAGATATTGATCCCGGGGTTCCCATTGCCAAAGACCTCTCAGCCTGCCTACCTGTGGGCGTGACAGGAGATTCAGAGGCCTGAATAGGCTTGGGGGCTGCCAGAGGGTTACATTTGGGCTCTGAGTCTCTGAAGAAGGTGGCCTCTTGAAGTGCAGATATAGCCTCAGAAATGTGACAGTGCTTCACCTACAGTGAGAAATGATGAGTTAATGGGTGCAGCACACCAACATGGCACATGTATACATATGTAACAAACCTGCCGTTGTGCACATGTACCCTAAAACTTAAAGTATAATAATAATAAAATAAAAAAAAAGAAAGGGAGATCCAGGGGCCTGTCCTCTATGCATACCAGTGCCCTGAGGGGATTGGCGCTGTGGTCTTCCCAGGGGTGAAGAACATTACTATGGGGAACCTAGGTTCCAGAGGTGTAGCCTCTTACACCTGGGAAGGGAATTAGAGCCATGCAGCAGCAGGGGTGGAGGTTTGTTCAAGCACATATGTATACCCTATGCACATGTGTGTTTCCATACACATGTGTGCACCCTATATAAGGTGTTTTTTTCATGCACATGTATACTCTACATGTGTGTGCCTACTCTAGCTACATGCATGTACTCTTGTGCACTTCTGGGTTTACACTTGTGTGTGCCTACCTGGAAGGAGAAGTGATGACCTTTGACATCCCTAAGGTTCTGTGTTTGCATGTATGACTGCATCTGGATACACATGCAGTGTTGTGGGGAAGGGGTTAAGGTACAGGCCCAGGAGCCAGACTGACTATATTCTGATGCTGGCTTGGCATCTTATGATCTATGCAGTTTTGCAAATAATTAACCTTACTGAGCCTCGATTATTTTGGTTTCATTTGCCTTTCTTAAACATTTTATTACTTCAATTTCTTTTTTTTAATATTTGTTTTTCTTTTTTTATTATTATACTTTAAGTTCTAGGGTACATGTGCACAACATGCAGGTTTGTTACATATATACATGTGCCATGTTTGTGTGCTGCACCCATTAACTCGTCATTTACATTAGGTATATCTCCTAATGCTATCCCTCCCCCCTCCCCCCACCCCACAACGGGCCTCGGTATGTGATGTTCCCTTCCCTGTGTCCATGTGTTCTCATTGTTCAGTTCCCACCTATAAGTGAGAACATGTGGTGTTTGGTTTTCTGTCCTTGCGACAGTTTGCTGAGAATGATGGTTTCCAGCTTCATCCATGTCCCTACAAAGGACATGAACTCATCCTTTTTTATGGCTGCATAGTATTCCATGGTGTATATGTGCCATATTTTCTTTATCCAGTCTATCATTGTTGGACATTTGGGTTGGTTCCAAGTCTTTGCTATTGTGAATAGTGCTGCAATAAACATACGTGTGCATGTGTCTTTATAACAGCATGATTTATAATCCTTTGGGTATATACCCAGTAATTGGATGGCTGGGTCAAATGGTATTTCTAGTTCTAGATCCTTGAGGAATTGCCACACTGTCTTCCACAGTGGTTGAACTAGTTTACAGTCCCACCAATAGTGTAAAAGTGTTCCTGTTTCTCCACATCCTCTCTAGCACCTATTGTTTCCTGACTTTTTAATGACCGCCATTCTAACTGGTGTGAGACGGTATCTCAATGTGGTTTTGATTTGTATTTCTCTGATGGCCAGTGATGATGAGCATTTTTTCATGTGTCTATTGGCTGCATAAATATCTTCTTTTGAGAAGTGTCTGTTCGTATCCTTTGCCCACTTGGGGTTGTTTGATTTTTTTCTTGTAAATTTGTTTGAGTTCATTGTAGATTCTGGATATTAGCCCTTTGTCGGATGGGTAGATTATAAAAATGTTCTCCCATTCTGTAGGTTGCCTGTTCACTCTTATGGTAGTTTCTTTTGCTGTGCAGAAGCTGTTTAGTTTAATTAGATCCCATTTGTCAATTTTGGCTTTTGTTGCCATTGCTTTTGGTGTTTTAGTCATGAAGTCCTTGCCCATGCCTATGTCCTGAATGGCATCGCCTAGGTTTTCTTCTAGGGTTTTTATTGTTTTGGGGCTAATATTTAAGTCTTTAATCCGTCTTGGATTAATTTTTGTATAAGGCATAAGGAAGGGATCCAGTTTCAGCTTTCTACGTATGGCTAGCCAGCCAGTTTTCCCAGCACCGTTCATTAAATAGGGAATACTTTCCCCGTTTCTTGTTTTTGTTAGGTTTGTCAAAGATCAAATGGTTGTAGATGTGTGGTATTATTTCTGAGGGCTCTGTTCTGTTCCATTGGTCTACATCTCTGTTTTGGTACCAGTACCATGCTATTTTGGTTACTGTAGCCTTGTAGCATAGTTTGAAGTCAGATAGCATGATGCCTCCAGCTTTGTTCTTTTGGCTTAGGATTGTCTTGGCAATGCGGACTCTTTTTTGTCTCCATATGAACTTTAAAGTAGTTTTTTCCAATTCTGTGAAGAAAGTCATTGGTAGCTTGATGGGGATGGTGTTGAATCTATAAATTACCTTGGGCAGTATGGCCATTTTCACGATATTGATTCTTCCTGTCCATGAGCATGGAATGTTCTTCCATTTGTTTGTGTCTTCTTTTATTTCATTGAGCAGTGGTTTGTAGTTCTCCTTGAAGAGGTCCTTCACATCCCTTGTAAGTTGGATTCCTAGGTATTTTATTCTCTTTGAAGCAATTGTGAATGGGAGTTCACTTGTGATTTGGTTCTCTGTTTGTCTGTTATTGGTGTATAGGAATGCTTGTGATTTTTGCAGATTGATTTTGTATCCTGAGACTTGCTGATGTTGCTTATCAGCTTAAGGAGATTTTAGGCTGAGACGATGGGGTTTTCTAAATATACAATCATGTCATCTGCAAGCAGGGACAATTTGACTTCCTCTTTTCCTAATTGATTACCCTTTATTTCCTTCTCCTGCCTGATTGCCCTGTCCAGAACTTCCAACACTGTGTTGAATAGGAGTGGTGAGAGAGGGCATCCCTGTCTTGTGCCAGTTTTCAAAGGGAATGCTTCCAGTTTTTGCCCATTCTGTATGATATTGGCTGTGGGTTTGTCATAAATAGCTCTTATTATTTTCAGATACGTCCCATCATACCTAATTTATTGAGAGTTTTTAGCATGAAGCATTGTTGAATTTTGTCAAAGGCCTTTTCTGCATCTATTGAGATAATCATATGGTTTTTGTCTTTGGTTCTGTTTATGTGATGGGTTACGTTTATTGATTTGCTTATGTTGAACCAGCCTTGAATCCCAGAGATGAAGCCAACTTGTTCGTGGTGGATAAGCTTTTTCATGTGCTGCTAGATTCAGTTTGCCAGTATGTTATTGAGGATTTCTGCATCAATGTTCATCAGGGATATTGGTCTAAAATTCTATTATTTTGTGTGTCTCTGCCAGGCTTTGGTATCAGGATGATGCTGGCCTCATAAAATGAGTTAGGGAGGATTCCCTCTTTTTCTATTGATTGGAATAGTTTCAGAAGGAATGGTACCAGCTCCTCTTTGTACCTCTGGTAGAATTCGGCTGTGAATCCATCTGGTCCTGGACTTTTTTTGGTTGGTAGGCTATTAATTCTTGCCTCAATTTCAGAGCCTGTTATTGGTCTATTCAGAGATTCAACTTCTTCCTGGTTTAGTCTTGGGAGGGTGTATGTGTCCAGAAATTTATCCATTTCTTCTAGATTTTCTAGTTTTTTTACATAGAGGCATTTTTAGTATTCTCTGATGGTAGTTTGTATTTCTGTGGGATCGGTGGTGATATCCCCTTTATCATTTTTTATTGCATCTATTTGATTCTTCTCTCTTTTCTTCTTTATTAGTCTTGCTAGCGATCTATCAATTTTGTTGATCTTTTTGAAAAACCAGCTCCTGGATTCATTGATTTTTTGAAGGGTTTTTTGTGTCTCTACCTCCTTCAGTTCTGCTCTGATCTTAGTTATTTCTTGCCTTCTGCTAGCTTTTGAATGTGTTTGCTCTAGCTTCTCTAGTTCTTTTAATTGTGATGTTAGAGTGTCAATTTTGGATCTTTCCTCCTTTCTCTTGTGGGCATTTAGTGCTATAAATTTCCCTCTACACAGTACCTTAAATGTGTCCCAGAGATTGTGGTATGTTGTGTCTTTGTTCTCACTGGTTTCAAAGAACACCTTTATTTCTTCCTTCATTTTGTTATGTACCCAGTAGTCATTCAGGAGTAGGTTGTTCAGTTTCCATGTAGTTGAGTGGTTTTGAGTGAGTTTCTTAATCCTGAATTCTAGTTTGATTGCACTGTGGTCTGAGGGACAGTTTGTTATAATTTCTGTTCTTTTATATTTGCTGAGGAGAGCTTTACTTCCAACTATGTGGTCAATTTTGGAATAGGTGTGGTGTGGTGCTGAAAAGAATGTATATTCTGTTGAGTTGGGGTGGAGAGTTCTGTAGCTGTATATTAGGTCTGCTTGGTGCAGAGCTGAGTTCAATTCCTGGATATCTTTGTTAACTTTCTGTCTCATTGATCTGTCTAGTGTTGACAGTGGGGTGTTAAAGTCTCCCATCATTATTGTGTGGGAGTCTAAGTCTCTTTGCAGGTCTCTAAGGGCTTGCTTTATGAATCTGGGTGCTCCTGTATTGGATGCATATATATTTAGCCTAGTTAGCTCTTCTTGTTGAATTAATCCCTTTACCATTATGTAATGGCCTTCTTTGTCTCTTTTGATCTTTGTTGGTTTAAAGTCTGTTTTATCAGAGACTAAGATTGCAAGCCCTGCTTTTTTTGTTTGTTTGTTTTCCATTTGCTCGGTAGATCTCCATCCCTTTATTTTGAGCCTGTGTGTGTCTCTGCCCGTGAGATGGGTTTCCTGAATACAGCACACTGATGGGTCTTGACTCTTTTTTTTATGTTTCTATAAATTATTCTGCTCAGATTTTCTTTTTTTTAATTAATTAATTAATTAATTTTTTTATTGATCATTCTTGGGTGTTTCTTGCAGAGGGGTATTTGGCAGGGTCACAGGACAATAGTGGAGGGAAGGTCAGCAGAAAAACAAGTGAACAAAGGTCTCTGGTTTTCCTAGGCAGAGAACCCTGCGGCCTTCCGCAGTGTTTGTGTCCCTGGGTACTTGAGGTTAGGGAGTGGTGATGACTCTTAAAACGAGCATGCTGCCTTCAAGCATCTGTTTAACAAAGCACATCTTGCACCGCCCTTAATCCATTTAACCCTGAGTGGACACAGCACATGTTTCAGAGAGCACAGGGTTGGGGGTAAGGTCACAGATCAACAGGATCCCAAGGCAGACTAATTTTTCTTAGTACAGAACAAAATGAAAAGTCTCCCATGTCTACCTCTTTCTACACAGACACGGCAACCATCCGATTTCTCAATCTTTTCCCCACCTTTCCCCCCTTTCTATTCCACAAAACCGCCATTGTCATCATGGCCCGTTCTCAATGAGCTGTTGGGTACACCTCCCAGACGGGGCGGCTGGCTGGGCAGAGGGGCTCCTCACTTCCCAGTAGGGGTGGCTGGGCAGAGGTGCCCCTCACCTCCCGGACGGGGCGGCTGGCCGGGCGGGGGGCTGACCCCCCCACCTCCCTCCCGGACGGGGCGGCTGGCCTGGCGGGGGCTGACCTCCACCTCCCTCCCGGACGGGGTGGCTGCCGGGCGGAGACGCTCCTCACTTCCCAGACGGGGTGGCGGCCGGGCAGAGGCTGCAATCTCGGCACTTTGGGAGGCCAAGGCAGGCGGGTGGGAGGTGGAGGTTGTAGCGAGCCGAGATCACGCCACTGCACTCCAGCCTGGGCGCCATTGAGCACTGAGTGAACCAGACTCCATCTGCAATCCCAGCACCTCGCGAGGCCAAGGCTGGCGGATCACTCGCGGTTAGGAGCTGGAGACCAGCCCGGCCAACACAGCGAAACTCCGTCTCCACCAAAAAAATACGAAAACCAGTCAGGCGTGGCAGTGCACGCCTGCAATCACAGGCACTCGGCAGGCTGAGGCAGGAGAATCAGGCACGGAGGTTGCAGTGAGCCAAGATGGCAGCAGTACAGTCCAGCTTCGGCTCGGCATCAGAGGGAGACCGTGGAAAGAGAGGGAGAGGGAGACCGTGGGGAGAGGGAGAGGGAGAGGGCGGGTCTTGACTCTTTATCCAATTTGCCAGTCTGTGTCTTTTAATTGGAGCATTTAGCCCATTTACATTTAAGGTTAATGTTGTTATGTGTGAATTTGATCCTGTCATTATGATGTTAGCTGTTTATTTTGCTTGTTAGTTGATGCAGTTTCTTCCTAGCATCAATGGTCTTTACAATTTGGCATGTTTTTGCAGTGGCTGGTACCAGTTGTTCCTTTCCATGTTTAACAAATCTCTCAGCATTTGTTTGTCTGTAAAGGATTTTATTTCTCCTTCACTTATGAAGCTTAGTTTGGCTGGATATGAAATTCTGGGTTGAAAATTATTTTCTTTAAGAATGTTGAATATTGGCTCCACCCTCTTCTGGCTTGTAGAGTTTCTGCTGAGAGATCAGCTGTTAGTCTGGATGGGCTTCCATTTATGGGTAACCCAACCTGTCTCTCTGGCTGCCCTTAACATTTTTTCCTTCATTTCAACTTTGGTGAATCTGACAATTATGTGTTGCTCTTCTCGAGGGGTATCTTTGTGGCATTCTCTGTATTTCCTGAATTTAAATGTTGGTCTGCCTTGCTTGGTTGGGGAAGTTCTCCTGGATAATATACTGCAGAGTGTTTTCCAACTTGGTTCCATTCTCTCCATCACTTTCAGGTACAGCAATCAGACATAGATTTGGTCTTTTCACATAGTCCCATAATTCTTGGAGGCTTTGTTCATTTCTTTTTACTCTTTTTTCTCTAAACTTCTCGCTTCTTTTCATTCATTTGATCTTCAATCACTGATACCCTTTCTTCCATTTGATCAAATCGGCTACTGAAGCTTGTGCATGCGTCACGTAGTTGTGGTGCCATGGTTTTCAGCTCCATCAGGTCATTTAAAGTCTTCTCTACACTGTTTATTCTAGTTAGCCATTCTTCTAACCTTTTTTCAAAGTTTTTAGCTTCTTTGCGATGGGTTCGAACATCCTCCTTTAGCTCGGAAAAGTTTGTTATTACCAATCGTCTGAAGCCTTCTTCTCTTAACTCATCAAAGTCATTCTCCATCCAGCTTTGTTCCGTTGCTGGCGAGGAGCTGCGTTCCTTTGGAGGAGAAGAGGCGCTCTGATTTTTAGAATTTTCAGCTTTTCTGCTCTGCTTTTTCCCCATCTTTGTGGTTTTATCTACCTTTGATCTTTGATGATGGCGATGTACAGATGGGGTCTTGGTATGGATGTCCTTTCTGTTTGTTAGTTTTCCTTCTAGCAGTCAGGACCCTCAGCTGCAGGTCTGTTGGATTTTGCTGGAGGTCCACTCCAGACCCTGTTTCCCTGGGTATCACCAGTGGAGGCTCAGTTGGAAATGCAGAAATCACCCGTCTCCTGCATCGCTTATGCTGGGAGCTGTAGACTAGAGCTGTTCCTATTCAGCCATCTTGGAACCTCCCTATTACTTCAATTTCTTAAGCCAGTCTGCTTATATTTGAATTCCATTTGCCTCAGTTACTAAATGAGTGAATTTGGGTAAGGTATTTAGCCTCACTAGCCCACATTGTCCTCGTTATGTATAAATAGCACAGCAATTACAACTTTTAGATAGATATTTCTTTTTTCTGTTTTTATTCCTTTCAAAGGTACATTATTATTATTATTATTGAGAAATTTTAGGTCACAGAAAAATTGATCAGAAAGTACAAGGGGTTCCCATACCTCTTGCTCCCACACACGCAGTTTCCCCTACTATCAATGCCCGCCATCAGAGTGACGCATTTGTTACAATTGATGAACTTATTTTAACACATCATTATCATCGTAGTTTACATCAGGATTTACTCTTGGTGCTGACCATTCTATGGGTTTTGAAAAACATATGTCATGTATCTGCTATTATAGCATTATACAAAATAACTCTATCATCCTAAAAATCCTCTGTGCTTCACCTGTTCATCCTTTCCCCCAAACCTCTGACAACCACTGATATTCTTAGTTTTGCCTTTTCCAGAATGTCATATGGTTGGAATTATACAGTATGATTGATTTCTCAGATTGACTTCTTTCACTTACTAATATGCATTTAAGGTACCTCCATATCTTTTCATGGTTTGATAGCTCATTTCTTTTTAGCACTGAATAACATTCTGTTGTCTTCATGTACCACAGTTTATTCCCTTACGTACTGAAGGACAACGTGGTTGCTTCCGAGTTTTGGCAGCTATGAATAAAGCTGCTGCAAATGTCTTTGCAGGTTTTTGTGTGGACATAAGTTTTCAATTTATTTGCATAAATACCAAAGAGGATGATTCTGGGTCATATGGTAAGAGTATGTCTAGTTTCATGAGAAATTGTCAACTGTCTTCCAAAGTGACTATAGAACTTTGTGTTCTCACTAGCAATGAATGAGATAGTCTTGTTGCTCTACATCATTGTCAGCATTTGGTGTTGTCAGTGTTCTTGATTTGGGCCATTTTAATAGCTGTGTAGTGGTGTTTCATCGTTGTTTTAATTTGCATTTTTCTAACAACATATGTATGGAGCATTTTTCATATATTTACTTGCCATCCGTATATCTTCTTTGGTGTGGTGCCTGTTTAAGTCTTCTGGCCATTTTTCAATTGGGTTACTCATTTTCTGATTGTTGAGTTTTAAGAGATCTTTGTATATTTTCGATAATAGTCCCTTACCAGATATGTCTTTTGCAAATATTTTCACCTAGTCTGGGGATTGTCTTCTCATTCTTTTGAAAGTGTCTTTCTCAGAGTAGAAATTTTAAATTTTAATTAATCATACCTTATCAATTATTTCTTACATGGATGTTGTCTTTGGTGTTGTTTCTAAAAAGTTATTGCTATACCCAAGATCATCTAGGTTTTCTTTATGTTATCTTCTAGGAGTCTTATTATTTTACAGTTTACATTTAGATCTATTATCTATTTTGAACGAATTATTGTGAAATGTGTAAAGCCTGTGTCTAGATTCATTTCTTTTTGCATGTGGATGTCCAGTTGTTCTGGCACCATTTGTTGAAAATACTATATTTTCTCTGCTGTCAAATGTGTTTTCTCCTTTGCCCCTGATCAATTGACAGTATCTATATGGATCTATTTCTTGGAGAGCCTCTAGCCTCTATTTTTACTTTTATAAAAAGGGACTAAAAATAAGAATGTATTCATGGTGAGGTAAGTGGTAAGTCAGGATCTGAACTCTGGTATAGAGGGTAAGAGGTGAGCTTTGGAGACACATTATCTCACTTTGTATCCCAGCCTTACAATCACTAGCTGTGTAACTTTGGGGGAGTTCCCTGATCTCTAGGCAGATAGGAATGGTCTTGAGGTTGTTACGATGTTTGGTGAAGGTGTGGGAAGCATGGAATTTTGGGTTTGTTACAGGGGCAGAAAACTGGGACAGAGTGGAGAAAGGCAATGTTAGGTTAAGAGAATGGGCTTTGAAGTTAATGCCTGTGTTCAAATCCCTAGCTGCCACTTACTAGTTGTATGACATTAGACAATTCACTAGATAGCTCTGTGCCTCAGTTTCCCCATTTATAAAATAGGTGCAATAGTAATCCTGATCTTATTATCTTATTAAATAAGGCTGCAGTTGTAGTTTAGCAATTAGATTGCCTGGTATCAGCACTAGCTTTATGGGTGTGCTTCCTGTGCTCAGAAGGGCCCAGAGCTTAGTTTAATGCTCTGCTGTCTCTGTCTTAAAACTCTTAATACTTTTTGAACCAGGGAATGGGCTTCACATTTTCATTTTGCATTGGGTCCTGGAAATTATGTACCGAGTCCTGCCTGGCACATAGTTTCCACTTAATAAGCATTAATGATGATAATGATGATGGTGTGAACGTCCCCATGCTATTCAGTACCTACTTCCTGCCCATTCTTATTCCCTACTCCAACATATTGAGTTCTATAGGGTTAGTTGATGGGGACTCTGATGCATCTTGAGAACAGGTGTTGACGTGTTTGGTTCTATGTCCCCACCCAAATCTCATGTTGAATTGTAATCTCAAATGTTGGAGCTGGGCCTGGTGGGAGGTGGTTGGATCATGGGGTGGTTTCTCATGAATGGTTTAGCACCATCTTCTTGGTGCTGTTCTTGTGATAGTGAGTTCTCACAAGATTGGGTTTTTTAAAAGTGTGCAGTGCCTCCCACCTTGCTGTCTGTCGGACCTGCTCCTGCCATGTAAGAGGCCTGCTTCCACTTTACCTTCTGCCATGAGTACAAGCTCCCTGAGGCCTCCCAAGAAGCATATGCTGCCATGCTTCCTGTACAGCTGTGGAATCATGAGCCAATTTAAACCTTTTTTCTTTATAAATTATCCTGTCTCGGATATTTCTTTATAGCAGTGAAAGAACGGACTAATACAGAAAATGCTCTGCTCCCTGTATCCCAGCCACTCCAGCTCCAGTCATGGCTCAAAGGGTCCTAGGTACATACAGCTGAAGCCACTGCTTCAGAAGGTGCAAGCCATAAGCCTTGGTGGCTTCCATATGGTGTTAAGCCTGCAGGTGCACAGAGTGCAAGAGTTGAGGCTTGGGACCCTGCACCTAGATTTCAGAGAATGTATGAAAGAGCCTGGATGTCTAGACAGAAGCCTGTTACAGAGGCGGAGCCCTCATGGAGAACCTCTACTAGGGCAGTGCAGAGGTGAAATGTGGGGTTGGAGCCCCCAGACAGAGTCCCCACTGGAACACTGCTAGTGGAACTGTGAGAAGAGGGCCACCAGCCTCCAGACCCCAGAATGGTAGATCCACCTGCAGCTTTCACCATGTGCCTGAAAAGCTGTAAGCACTCAATACCAGTCCTTGAGGCCAGCTGCAGGGACTGAACCCCGTAAAGCCACAGGGGTGGAGTTGCCCAAAGACTTAGGGGCCCACTCCTTTCATTAGTGTGCCCTGGATGTAGGACATGGAGTCAAAAGAGATTATTTTGGAACTTTAAGATTTAATGACTGCCCTGCTTGGTTTTAGGCTTGCATGGGGTCTGTAGCCCCTTTCTTTTGGCCTGACTGGCACTATCATCTGCCCGATCATCAAAACCAGGAAGTTGGAAACAGCCCTTAAATGTTTTTCTTTTTTCTTCTTCTTTTTTTTTTTTTGAGATGGCGTCTCCCTCTGTTGACCAGGCTGGAGTGCAGTGGCACGATCTCAGCTCACTGCAATCTCTGCCTCCTGGGTTCAAGTGATTCTCCTGCCTCAGCCCCCTAAATAGCTGGAATTACAGGTGCCCGCCACTATGCCTGGCTAATTTTTGTATTTTTAGTAGAGACAGAGTTTCACCATGTTGGCCAGTCTGGTCTCAAACTCCTGACCTCAAGTGATCTGCCTGCTTCAGCCTCCCAAAGTGCTGGGATTACAGGCATGAGCCACTGTGCAAGGCTGCCCTTAACTTCTCATTGCTAGCTTCTCTTCCCCCCACTTAATTAATAACTAAATCTGATCAGAGCTTCCTCCTTAAAATTTCTCACGTCTGTCTCCCCTGTATGTCTCCACTGCCACTGCCCTAGCTCAGGACTCAATGTCTTTGTTTTGGTGTATTACCTAAAACTCCTAATAAGTCTAATTGCCTCTACTGTCTTTTGCCATATGTCATTCAGTCCTAGCTAGAAAGAGATGGAACATTCCAAATGAGAAGATTGATGAAGGGATTATTTTCAAAAGTGGGAGTAGGGTATAAGGAAATTTTCAAGGGATAATGTAGTACTCTTGGGCTGGCAACAACAGAGAGTCATTACACCCCTAGACCTGAAGGGAAAAATCACAGTGTGTAGATCTCAGAACGTGAACAAGGTGGCCACATGGAGAAGGTTGCCTGATAGGAGCTGTGGCCTTCATCAGATGGATACAGGTAACTCACTGTGACCAGCAAAAAGGAAGTTGATGGAATAAATACTCTGATTGTTCCCACCTCCCTCCCTCAGGATCTCTTACCAGTACCTTGCATTGCCTGGAGGGAAAGGGAGCCTTCTGAAACATGTCTCAACCTTATGAAACACAGAGCAGGGTGGACACAAGTGGAGAGCAGGGTAAATGGACAAATGCACTCTATCCTTTCAACCCCATTCTATCTTCCATCTGGTGACCAGAGCGATCTTTTTAAGTTACAAAAAATTTTGTTATAATTTGGTCCCTTCTCTGCTCAATGTCCTTCAAATTCTCTCCCTTGTCGACATCCTGTGTTTTCAAAGCAAATTGTCATGGTATGTGATGGTTCAGAATTAACATGGAGGAGTGTCAATTTTATTCATTTTTTAAAGAGAGACAAGGGAAGTACTGTCTTGTATTTATGGCATGGAATGATAACTTTGCATGAATTTTAGTGATAGAACATATATAACCCAAATGTTTACAAGTTCTTCATCTATCTGTAGAGTTGCTCCTCCTTTGAAATGTCCACTTTCCTGGGTCAAGCCCCCAGGTTCTGTGACTGAATATCCCCACTGGTCTCCCCATGAGTGTGTCTTTTTACTGCTGTTGCAGTTCTTTTTAGTTGGCTTCACCACAAAGTGAGATCGAGGCCACCTCCCTTTATTCCTCAAGACACACCCTGATCAAGGCCATGTGTTAACACAGTGGTCTCCAACCTTTTTGGCACCAGGGACTGGTTTTGTGAAAGAAATTTTTTCCACGGATGGTGGGAGGAAGATGGTTTTGGGATGAAACTGTCCCACGTTAGATCATCAGGCATTAGATTCTCATAAGGAGCAGGCAACCTAGATCCCTTGAGTGCATAGTTTACCATAGGGTTCGAGCTCCTTTGAGATCTAATGTGGCCGCTGATCTGACAGGAGGCAGAGATCAGGAAGTAATGCTCACTTGCCTGCCACTCACCTCCTGCTATGTGGCCTCCTGCTGTTCCTAACAGACCACAGATTGGTACCGGTCCATAGCCCAGGTGTTGGGGACCCCTGTTAACAGACTCTACCAAGACTTAAAAGTAACACAAGGAAATCACAATGCAGAGAACACAAAAGCAGACAGCAGCTCTCACTGTCCCTAGATGCACTGGCAGTGCCCTCTTTATTAAAGGAAACTCATTCTGATCTTTTCTTATCCTGGCAGGATAATCTTAAGGCACATTGATCTCACCCAGAGGAGAGTTTTCTTTTCCATAGTCTCCTTTTCTCGAGTTCAATTCTCTAACAACCTATTTCTGGACACATTAAAGGACTGTAGGTTTGCCAGATTTAGCAACTGTGGAAAGGTTCTAATACCAATAATTTCTTTAGAGATGCCACAATCCAATGAAAACAGTCATTTACATTATTTAACAAAATGCATACTATCTCAATCTGAAACTCTGTAATTATTTCCTGGTTCAGGAATCACAGAGCAATTAAGAGGTATTCTACTTATAATTTGGTAATTTTTTTTTTGATGGATTCTTGCTCTGTTGCCCAGGATGGAGTGCAGTGGCATGATCTCAACTCACTGCAACCTCTGCCTCCCAGGTTCAAGCGATTTTCTTGCCTCAGCCTCCTGATTAGCTGGGATTACAGGCACCTGCCACCACGCCTGGCTAATTTTTATATTTTTAGTAGAGACAAGGTTTCACCATGTTGGACAGGCTGGTCTCGAACTCCTGACCTCAGGTGATCCACCCACCTCAGCCTCCCAAAGTGCTGGGATTACTGGTGTGAGCTACTGTGCCCAGACCATAATTTGATGATATTAAAATGCCTCACTTAGAATAGTCTCTCCCAAAAGAAAATTAACAGCAAAGCCCCATAAGTCACTGAGCCTCATGTTGCAATCTGATGAACACTGCTATCTTCCCTGAAGGTTATGCATTATGGAAGGGCTGGAGCCATCATTTAATTTAAAATTTTAATATAACACAAGTAATACTCTACACACATGCTCACAGTGCAGATGGGTAAAGATTGTTTTATTCTTCTTTGTGTCTCCTTTGGGGTTGCCTATAGCACTTATAAATGTTGATTGGACCAATTAGTGCAATTTTGAAAAACTGAACATAAGGAAATTTTTAAAAACTGTTTACTATTCTGGAAAGAAGTTTGGCAGTTTCTTAAAAAACTAGACATGCAACTACCATGCAACTCAATGATTATACTCATGAGCATTTATCCCAGAGAAACAAAAACTTATGTTCATACAAAAACCTATATACAAATGCTTATAGCAGCTTTATTCATAATGTTCCTAAATTGGAAGTAGCTCAGATGTCCATTAATGGGGGAATGATTAATGAAATTGTGGTACATATATACCATGGGCTACTACTTGGTAATAAAAAGGAACACATTATTGATATACACAACAACCTGTATTACTCTCCAGAGAATTATGCGAGGTAAAAATAGCCAATTCCCTCTTCCCTGGAAACCACCATTTTATTTTCTGTTTCTATGAATTCGACTATGTATTTTAGATATTTTATGGGAGTGCAATCATATAGTATTTGTCTTGAATTACTTTTGTGTTATTCTTTTGTTTTAATTTCTAAAGTAATTACAGTGTAGACAGAGAATGTGGCTTGTATGATTTCTGGAATTCATGATTGGAATTTGTTTAGATTTTCTTTATTACCTAATACATAATAATTTTGTAAATATTTCTCATGTATTTGAGAGGAACATATTTCTGTTGAATACAAATCTTTATTTTTATTAAATCAAACATACTAAATATATTTCAAATTTTTACATATTTACTTAATTTTGTTTGACTTCATTTAATGATTTCTGAAAAAAGAAAATGTCTCCCATAATCATGGGGGATGTTTAATATCTCCTCCCTTCCTATTCATTTTTGTTTTGTATATTCTGGTTTCAAAATAATTTTCTATGAAGACTTTGAAGACATTACTTCCGGTATCCAGTGTTGCTGGTAGGGATTCTGACATTCAGCTGATTCTCACTACCGTGTAATTAAGAATAAAGTAGAACTCAGAAGACATATATTATTATTAGGAAATAAAAACAATAAAAACAAACATTTAATTAAAGAAACAAGGAATGAACAATAAGATAAACCTCAGTAGATTGTAAGAAGAAATTAATGTTTAAATGCAAAATTAATGAAATAGAAAATAAAAATGTTAGATCCAATTAATAAACCTAAGCTGTTTTTTGAAAAGATCGGTAGAGTGGTCAAGCCCTTAGTAAGTATGAATTCATAAAAATGAGAGAAGACTAAAATAAATATTATTAAGGATAAGAAGAAAAGATAAAATAAAAAAAAACTGTGTACAATTCCCTGATGAATTTCTAGTAAAATATAAATAATTGAAATGGTCAAAAAAGGTGAAAATCTGGAGAGTCTGGTTAATTATGGAGGCTTTAACTGGCTAGTTTAAAAATTTTAACTATTCAATATTAGTTAAATTTTGAAATGGTAACCATAAGCTCTTTGTAAATACACATGAAAAGATAGTATCATTAGGAAAATGCAAATCAATACCACATGAGATACTATTTCACACTCTTTAGGATGGCTATAAGTTTTTTAAAAAAGGAAGATGTTGAGAAAGTGGAAACCTAACACAATGCTAGTAGGAGTGTAAAATTGTACGGCTGATTGGTGGTTCTTCAAAAAGTTAAATGTAGAATTACAATATGACCCACAATTCCATTTCCAAGTATATACTCAGAGGAACCGAAAACAGGTGGTCAAATAAATACTTGTACACAAATGTTTATATCAGCTCTATTCATGGGAGCCATAAAGTGCTATCAACCCAAATGTCCATCAACTGAGAGTTAGATAAACAAAATGTACTATATCCATTCAATGGACTATTACTTGCCATAAAGAGGAATAAAGTACTGATACATAATATACCATGAATTAACCTCAAAAACAGTAAACCAAGTGAAAAAAGTCAGACACAAGAGGTCATGTATTGTAGAATTCCATTTATATGAAATATCCTGAATAGGTAAATCAATAGAGACAGAAAGTCGATCAGAGTGCTTGCCAGAGGCTAGGAGGAGGAGGAATTGGGAGGGCGACTACTTTTTTTTTTTTTTTTTTTTTGAGATGGAGTCTCACCTAGCTCTGTCGCCTGGGCTGGAGTGCGGTGGCGTGATCTCGGCTCACTGCAACCTCCGCCTCCCAAGTTCAAGCGATTCTGGTGCCTCAGACTTCTGAGTGGCTGGGATTACAGACACCCGTCACCATGCCTGGCTAATTCTTTTGTATTTTTAGTAGAGACGGGGTTTTGCCATGTTGGCCAGGCTGTTCTTGAACTCCTGACCTCAGGTGATCCGCCCACCTCAGCCTCCCAAAGTGCTGGGATTACAGATGTGAGCTACTGCGCCCGGCCAGAGGGTGACTACTTAATGAGAAAGGTGTTTTCCTTTGGGGTGATTACAAATATGGAACTAGAGATGCTGATTGTACATTGGGAATGTGCTAAATGCCACTGAATTGTACACTTCAATATGGCTAATTGATATTATGTACATTTTACCTCAATAAAAAACTTACAGATAAAGACACATGCCTATATAGTTTTACCAGTGAATTCCAGCAAACACCAAGAAATGGATAATTCTAACGTCGTATAAATTGTTTCACAGCATAGAATAAGAAGGAGAGCTTCTTAACCCATTCAGCAGACAAGGAAAACATTAAGAAAGAAAACAATAAGACTGTCTCACTTAGAAAATCATATGCAAATTTTTACTATATCAATAAACATTTACATTACTTATATTACATATGTTACATATATAATATAAATTATTAAAGAAATAAAAAAATACATCATGACCAATTAGAGTTTATTCTAAGAATTCAAGAAAGGGTCAGCATTAGAAAATCTGTTATTGAATTTTACTACATTAGCAGATTACGGAAGAAAAACCATAAGGCTTCTTAATACATGTTAAAAGATTATTAAATTTAATACAATATCTGATTAAAAATTCTTAATAAGTTAGAAACATAATGAGACTTGATAAACTTGAGGTTAAAAAAAAAAAGTACAGCAAACGTCATAGGTAATGGTGAAATACCAAAGAAATCTCACTGAAGTCAGAGACAAACATGGCCCATATATTGCAGTTATTCAACATTTACCAGAAATGTTGTCTAATACATCAAGATAATTCAATACAATATAATCACCAATTATTTATTCAGTAGTATTTTTCTCTACCTTTTAGAGGGACTAAAAAAGAATAAGGCATAATTATTGAAAAAGAAGCAGGGAAAACACTTATTATTATAGATAATATGATTGCCAAAATAGCCAACAGAATCAAGTAAAATATTATTAAGTTTGCTAGGAGAGTTTAAGAAGTTTATTTAGGCCAGGTGCTATGGCTCATGCCTGTAATCCCAGCACTGTGGGAGGCTGAGGTGGGCAGATCACTTGAGGTCAGGAGTTCCAGACCAGCTTGGCCAACGTGGCGAAACCCTGTCTCTACTAAAAATACAAAAATTAGCCAGACGTGGTGGTATATGCCTGTAGTCCCAGCTACTTGGGAGGCTGAGGGATGAGAATCGCTTCAACCTGGGAGACAGAGGTTGCAGTGAGCCAAGATCAGGCCATTGCACTCCAGCCTGGTAACGGAGTAAGGCTGTCTTAAAAAAACAAACAAATAAAACCTACTTAAACTTTTATGTTTACTAAAACAGAATCAAGTAAAAAATTTTTTTAATTTGCGAAGATAGTTTAAGAAGTCTATTTGTCCACTTATGTTTACTAAAAGACATAAAGGAAGGTAATGGCTAACATTTATTAAAATGTACCACGTTCCAAGCATTCTTGCAGGTCCTTTACGTAAATTATCTCATTTGACCTTCACAACAAACCAACAAAATAGGTACTTTCATTATTAACCTTTTTTTTAAATTTATTTTTTTATTATACTTTAAGTTTTAGGGTACATGTGCACATTGTGCAGGTTAGTTACACACGTATACATGTGCCATGCTGGTGTGCTGCACCCACTAACTCGTCATTGGGGGGAGGGGGGAGGGATAGCATTGGGAGATATTATTAACCTTTTACAGAAGAGGAAACTTAGGCTGGGTAATTAGTGCAAGGTTGAGCTGGTATTAACGGCAGAAAGAGGAGTCAAACCCAGGTAGCTTGGTTCCTTATCTCATGCTCCTTCGCAGTTCTGTATATTGCTTGGTGCTAGCAGAGATCACCAATTGGTCACATAATCCATATTCCTGGATAGGAAGATAGTATAGTAAGAAATGTTGGTTCTTGGCCAGGTGACTTACAGGTGACTAACACCTGTAATCCTAGCCCTTTGGGAAGCCAAGACAGGAGGATCACTTGCAGCCAGAAATTGGAGACCAGCCTGGACAACACAGTGAGATGTCCAACTCTGTTTTTAAAAAAGGTTGATTCTCCCTAAATTAATACATATATTCCATATATCCTCACAAAATGTCAATAGGAATACTATTCAGCTTTTTTAAAAGTGGGATTATTTTTATTTTTATTTATTTTTCATTTATTTTAATTTTTTATTTCAATAGTTTTAGGGGTACAAGTGGTTTTTGTTACATGAATGAATTGTGTAGTGGTGAAGTGAAGTCTGGGATTTTAGTGCACACATCATCTGAGTAGTGTACATTAAACTTAATAGGTAGTTTTTCATTCTTTACCCCATTCCCATCCTTCCCACTTCGGAGTCTCCAATGTTCATTATAACAATCTGTAGCTCAGCTCCCACTTATAAGTGAGAACATGTGTTTGGTTTTTGATTCCTGAGTTACTTCAGTTACAATAATGGCCTCCAGTTCCATCCAAGTTGTTGCAAAAGACATTATTTCATGCTTTTCTATGGCTAATATTTAATGGGGTATATATATTATATATATATATATAATTTTCTGTATCCATTCATCAGTTGATGGGCACTTAGGTTGATTCAATATCTTTGCAATTGTAAATTGTGCCGTGATAAGCATATGTGTGCAGGTGTCTTTTTGATATGCTGACTTGTTTTCCTTTGGGTAGATACCCAGTAGTAGGATTGCTGGATTGAATGGTAGAGCTACTTTAGTTCTTTGAGAAATACTCATACTATTTTCCACAGAGGTTGTACTAATTTACATTCCCACCAGCAGTGTATAAGCATTCCCTTTTTACCACATCTGCACCAATATCTACTACTTTTTGACTTTTTAATATTGGCTGTTCCAGCTGGAGTAAGGTGGTATCTCACTGTGGTTTTAATTTGCATTTCTCTGATGATTGGTGGTGTTGAGCACTTTTTCATATGTTTTTTGGCCATTTGTATATCTTATTTTAAGAAATGTTTATTCATAGGCCTGGCATGGGTGCTCACATCTGTAATCCTAGCACTTTGGGAAGCCAAGTTGTGTGGATTGCTGGAGCTCATGAATTTGAGACCAGTCTGGGCAACATAGCAAAACCCAATCACTACAAAAAATACAAAAAAAAAAGTAGCCAGGCATGGTGGCGCATGCCTGTAGTCTCAGCTATTTGGGAGGCTGAGGTGGGCGGATGGCTTGAGTGTGGGGGGCAAAGGTTGCAGTGAGCCAAGATCACGCCACTGCATAGAGCCAGACCTTGTCTCAAAAAAACCCAAACAGTATGTTCATGTCATTTACTCACTATTTAATGGGATTATTTGTTTTTTTTCTTGATGACTTGTTTGAGTTCCTTGTAGATTCTGGATATTAGATCTTTGTTGAATGCAGAATTTGCAAATCTATTACAAAGTTTGCCAAGGAGAGAAAATGTGCAAAAGTAATAAAATAATTTTGAAAAATAAAGCAAAAGAAAACAATGAGAGTGGATTTTCCTTCTCAGTCAGAAAAACATGCAATAATGCTATGTTAATTAAAATAATATAGTATTGGTACAGAAATAAACAATTCATCTGATGGAACAGAATAGAATCTAGACACAAACCTATACAAAAAGACATTTAGCTTTGTGAATGTGACAAGAAAGAAAATTGTGGGACAATTGTATATTGAACTGAAAGAAAATAAATTTAGATCTCTACCTAATACCATCTGTAAAAATAAATTCCAAATGTATTCAGACATCTAAAAGGAAAAAAATGTATAAAATTATAACAAGAAAATACAGGAGAATACTTTTTGTAATCTTGGGAATGAAATAACCCTTCCTCAGCAAAATAGAATCCCCAATGCTCTAAATTAGAAGATTGACAGATTTGACTATGTAAAAGTGAAAATGTGTGTGACAAATGATGCCATGAAAAAAGTTAAAAGAGAAGCACAAGGATTAGAAAAAAAAATTTGACACATATGTATGATGTATCCATAGGGGATTGTTTCTAGGACCCCTGTGGATACCAAGATCCATGATACTCAAGTTCCTTTTATAGAATGGCATAGTATTTATATATAACCTATGCACATCCTCCAGTATAGTTTAAATAATTCTGGATTACTTATAATACCTAAGGTAAAATAAATATTGTATAAATAATTGCTATACTGTACTGTTTATTTGTATTCCTTATTGTTGCAATATTATTTTTTCTAATATTTTAAATCCATGATTGGTTGAATCCACACATGTGGAACCCACAGATATGGAGGGCTGTATGCACAGCAGACAAGATTACTATTCATATAATACAAGGGATTTCAATAAGTCAATATGGAAATTATTAATATTCCAAGTTGTGGTAGAGACAGTAATGTTTAACAAATATTGCATGTGAAAACTTACATTTCTCACTCTGCAGTTTTGAGTGAATACATAACTACTTCTGTCCAAAGAAATATGAATTTAAGTGATGTGTGTTATTTCTGGGTTAAGGCAAAAGAAACCCACATGCAATTCTCCAGTCTGTTTTTCTCTGCTAAGGAGTCTGTATGATTTGGATATGCAGTGGTGGACCTCTATCAATGTGGCTTTCTCTGAGTCACTATCCATAGAGCACCCCTGATGACTCACAGTGGACACATAGTGTGAGCAAGAAATAAAGTTTTATTGTGTCAAGATATTGAGATTTTAGGATTAATTTGCTACTGCAGCATATATAGTCTAGTCTGGCTAATGCGTCAATAGAAAAATGAGAAAAAATATAAACAGATATTTCCCAGTGGAAGAAAGAAAAATGACCAATAAACATTTATAATAATATGCAAATTAAAGGAACAATGAAATATTATTTTTTGATCAGTATACTGGAAAAAATGAAAGATGTTGATACTATAGAGTGTTGACTGAGGAAACAGGTGCTGTCACACACTAGATTGACATAGAAATGCCTTTTCTGAAGGATAATTTTATGGTATCTAGGAACTTCTACTTTTATGTATGTATATAAAGCATAGAATATATTTGAACTATATATATCGATATATAGTTATATATATAGATATATATATATAGATATATAGTTATATATCGATATATATACAAGATGTTCACAGCAGCTTTGTAACAGAGAGAGAGAAATTATTGATATGTCCAATAATAAAGGAATGTTTAAATAAATTATAGTAGCTTCATATTATAAAATATTGTTAAAATCCTAGGATCCAGTTAAAGACAACAGTGTAGACTGTAGATACTAGTGACTTGGAACCATCTCCAAGACATCTTATTAGATGAAAATTCAAGTTGCAAAATAATATATTTATACTGTGTGATTTCAAGGCTGTTAATATTTATATTTGCATATATAAAGATATTTTTATACGTAATGGGTTTGTGGGTGGGAATCAAGAGATACTTTTAGGTTTTACTTTATAACTTCTGTTTGAATTATTTCACAACTAGACTGTATTCATGTGTTATCTGTGGACTTAGGGGAATAAAGGAAAATAGAAACACGTAAGACCAAAAAAAATGAATTAAATCATTTTTAACATAGTGCTTTCTTTATGTCCTTTCTCAGTATCAAATATTGATTCATAAAATCTAAGAAAAAGCCAAAAGAAAACCCCCAAAACTTATGATAGATAAAAATAGACCCAGGAGATAAGGGAAGGACGTCATTCATTTGCTTAACCCTAAACTCGCAGCATTGGCGCTGTCAAATTACACAAGCCAATAGGGACCCTCTAAAGAAATCCCAACCTTGGCTGCGCATTGGAATCACCTGAGAGGTTTAAAAATACTGATACCTGGGTTGCCTCCTTAGAGATTCTGATTTAATTGGTCTAGGGTGTGGCCTGGGCATCGGAATCTTCTGTGAAGCTTCCCAGATGGCTAAATGGGCCAGAGGAGGCTGAAAATCCCTGCCTTAGATAAAGTAGACACCATTACCAGGGTTTTAAATTAGGAGATCAAAAGGAATAGGGGAATCGATTTGTATCCCTGAAAAATGATGTTATTCAAAGAACACATGAAAAAATGGCTCTGACTAAAACTGGTTTAAATATGCTATCTCTCTCAAACTGGTTATTCAGCAGCTCTCTCCAATGCTGCCCTGGAGGACTGACCTCAGATGGGGGCAGGCAAAGCCTCTTAGTTACGGCATCGTCTTTCCCCTTTCTTTTTTTTTTTTTTTAATTATACTTCAAGTTTTAGGGCACATGTGCACAATGTGCAGGTTAGTTACATATGTATACATGTGCCTTGATGGTGTGTTGCACCCATTAACTCGTCATTTAGCATTAGGTATATCTCCTAATGCTATCCCTCCCCCTTCCCCCCACCCCACAACAGGCCCCGGTGTGTGATGTTCCCCTTCCTGTGTCCATGTGTTCTCATTGTTCAATTCCCTTTCTAAAATCAAAGTAGAATATGGACCCTTGAGAGCAGCCCAAGGGAAAAGTCGGGAGGCCTCACTCATGATGCTGTGTCAGAAAAGTTTCTGAGCCACCGTCATTGCAGAAGGTGCCTCTGAGGGACAGGTCCAATCTCAGCTTTCCTAACGAGGCTCTGGGGGAGGACTTGCTATCTAACCTTTAGGCTCCTTTTCTTTGATGTTAATTAACCACTTGGGTTGGCTACTGATAGCCTCATTAAACAGAATCCAGAGGTAAAACTTTGGCTTCTCCTTGGTGAATGAATGGGTACTTGGGAATTAAGCTTGGAACCTCTTAGCACATTAAGTCAGTTTCAAAATAACCATGGCCTCAGCTGATCCCAACACAGTTCCCTGGTACAGAGAAACCAAGATTACTCAGGCATACCCATCCCACTGTCGAGTCAGAGAAACATGTTCTCCCTTGAGAGCAAAGGTATTTATCTCCAGATTAGAACATCGGCTTATCTGGTTTGGAACTCTACGGAAACAGGAGCAAAAAGGGACTCTGGGGGAGGTCACGGCTGTCCTTGGTGACCTGAGCCTCACACAGGTTAAGGTTTGGCCTCAAATATCTCTGCTTTCTCTCCATGGTGTTTGGGTAGGCACCTGGGATTGAGAAATAGTCACGGCAGTTATATTTCCTTTATCGTGATGACCTAGATGACCTAGTGAACATTGGTTGACATCTTTAAATTTGTTAAAATTATGTGATTAAGAAATATGTCCTAGTTCAGTAGGTGGTGAAAATTATTAGAGGGTATTATGGCAAGGGAACTCAAGAAACTTTGGATTCCACTCTGAAATCCAGGTACTTCTTCCCATGAAATTGCTAAGAGAAATGCTGCCCAAGGAATAATGACAAACTGAAGCAAAGTAACATTTTATTGTTATCTGGACTTTGGGCCCTGCATCCCAACACAGAGAATTCTGGAAAGCTACAATGTTTCTGAACTAGTTATATTTATTTTTAATTTTTATCTTCTTAACTTTTATATCTTTAGGGGATACAAGTGAAGATTTCTTACATGTACACTATTGCACAGCGGTGAAGCCTGGGCTTTTAGCGCACCCATCATCTGAATAGTGAACATTGTACCCAATAGGTAATTTTTCAACCTGCACCCCACAGCATCCCCACTTTTGAAGTTCCCAGTATCTATTGTTTCCATCTTTATATACACATGTACCCATTGTTTAGCTCCCACTTATAAATAAGAACATGTGGCATTTGACTTTCTGAGTTATTTCACTTAGGATGATGGCCTCTAGTTCTATCTGTGTTGCTGCAGAAGACATGATTTCATTCTTTTATTATGGTTGAGTAGGACTCCATAGTGTGTGTGTGTATGTGGGTGTGTGTTTGTGTATACACATTATCTATTTATCTGTCTATCCATCTATCCATCTCATATTTTCTTTATTCAATCCTCCACTGTTGGACACTTAGGTGGGTTCCATATCCTTGCTATTGTGAATAGTTCTTCAATAAACATATGAATGCAGGTATCTTTTTGATATAATGGGCCCAGTTTCATTTGTCTGCATATGGCTATCGAATTTTTGCAGCACCGTTTATTTAATAGGGTGTCCTTTCCTCAGTTGTCAACTTTGCCAAAGATCAGTTGGTTGACTGTATGTGGCTTTATTTCTGGGTTTTCTATTCTGCTCCATTGATCTTTGTGTCTATTTTTATACCAGTACCATGCTGTTTTGGTCACTATAGCTTTGTAATATAATTTGAAGTCAGAAAATGTGATGCCTTCAACTTTGCTCTTTTTATTTAGGATTCCTTCAGTTATTCAGGCTCTTTTTTGGTTCTATGTACATTTTAGGATTTTTTCCCTAATTAAAAAAATTACGTTGGTAATTTGATAGAGATTGCATTGAGTCTGTAAATTGCTTTGGGAAGTGTGGTCATTTTCACAATATTGATTCTTCCAATCCATGAGCATAGAATGTTTTTCCATTAGTTTGTATCACCTACGATTTCTTTCATCAGTGTTTTGTAGTTCTACTTATATAGATGTTTTACTTCCTTGGTTAAATATATTCCTAGGTATTTTATTTATTTTTTGTAGCTATTATAAATGGGATTGCCTTCTTTATTTGTTCCTCAGCTAGATCATAATTGGTATATAGAAATGCTACTGATTTCTGTACATTAATTGTATATCCTGAAACTTGACTGAATTCATTAATAAAATCTAAGAGGTTTTTCGGTGGAGTCTTTAGGGTTTTCTAGAGATTAAATCATATCATCAGCAAAAAGGGAAAATATGACTACCTCTTTTCCAATATAAATGCCTTTTTTTTTCTCTTGCCTGATTGCTTTTGCTGAGACCTACAGTACTATATTGAATAAGAGCAGTGAAAGTGGGAATCCTTGTCTTCTTCCAGTTCTTAAGGGGAATTATTTCAACTTTTTCCCATTGATGTTGTCTGTAGGTTTGTTGTATATTGCCTTTATTATGTTGAGGTATGTTACTTTGATGCCTAATTTGTTGAGGATTTTTATCATGAAGTGTTGCTACATTTTATTGAATACTTTTTCTGCATATATTGAGACGATCATATGGTTTTGGTCTTTATTTCTGTTTATGTTGATGTATCACATTTATTGATTTGAATATGTTGAACTACTGTTACATCCCTGGGATAAATCTCACCTGATCATGGTGTATTATCTTTTTAATGTGCTGTTGGATTTGATTTGCTAGTATTTTGTTGAGAATTTTTGTATATATGTTCATCAGGGATATTGGTCTGTAGTTTTACGTTTCCGTTGTGTCCTTGTCTGGTTTTCGTATCAGTGTGTTACTGGTTTTGTAGAATTAGGGAGCATTTCAGGCTCAATTTTTTGAAATAGTTTCAGGAGGACTGGTATTAGTTCTTCTTTGTATGTTTGGTAGGATTTGGCTATGAATTCACCTGATCCTGGGCTTTTTGTTATTGTTGTTGTTAGGAGGTTTTTTGTTACTGACCCAATCTCACCACTCATTATTGGACTGTTCAGGAGTTTCATTTCTTCCTTGTTCATCTCAGGAGGTTGTATTCTTCCAGGAATTCATCAATTTCCTCTATGTTTCCTATGTTGTAAGTGTATAGTTTTTCATAATAGTCTCTGATGATCTTTTGCATTTCTATGATATCAATTGTAATGTTTCTATTTTCATTTCTGATAGTGTTTATTTGGACCTTCTTTTCTTGCTATTGGTCTATCAATTTTCTTTTATATTTTGAAGAGCTTTTAGTTTTGTTGGTCCTTTTTTTTGGTTTTAGTTTCATTTAGTTCTGCTTTGCTCTTTATTATTTCTTTTTTTCTGCTAATTTCGGGTTTGGTTTGTTCTTGTTTTTCTAGTTGCTTGAGGTGCAATGTTAGGTCGTTAATTTGTGATCTTTCTACTTTTTTGTTGTAGTCATTTAATGCTATATACTTCCCTCTTAGCACCACTTTTACTGTACCCAACACGTTTTGGTATGTTGTTTTGATTTTCATTTGTTTCAAAAATATTTTAAATTTCTATCTTAATTTCTTTATTAACCTGGTAATTGTTCAGGAGCATGCTGTTTAATTTTCATGTATTTGTATAGTTTCCAAAGTTCCTCTTGGTACTGATTTCTAGCTTTTATCCACTGTAATCTGAGAAGATGCTTGATATGATTTCACATTTTTAAAATGTGCTAAGACTTATTTTTTGGCCTAATATATGGTCTATCTTGGAGAATGTTCCACATGGTAATCAAAAGAATGTATATTCTGTAGTTGTTGGGTAGAATGTTCTTTAAATGTCAAGTAAATTTGGTCTAAAGTCCAATTTAAATCCAGTGTTTCTTTGTTAATTTTTTGTCTTGATGATCTGTCTAGTGCTATGAGTAGGGTGCTGAAGTCTCCCATTATTATTTTATTGCTATCTATCTCTTTCTTTAGGTCTCGTAATATTTGTCTTGTGAATTTGAGTGCTCCAACATTGTCTACATAAATATTTAGGATTGTTATACCCTCTTGCTGAATGAATAAATCCCTTTATCATCACATAATGTCCTTCTTTGTCTTTTATTGCTTTTTTTTTTTTGTTTACATTTTAGCTGTCATTGTTTATTACTGTTTTGGCTATATTCTCTACAATTTCAGCAGCATTTTAAAGAGACAATGTGTCTATCTACAATGAAAAAACAAAATGGCTTGCAACATCAGAAATACAGTTTAACTGTATTTAAATTAAATACAGTTAAATATTAAATACAGTTAAATATTAAATACAGTTAAATATTAAAGAGAATCCATGGTAAGTATAACCTCCTTTTTCTGCAACATGAACAACTTACATGTAAGTATCAGCATTATTAATGAGACAGCAAAGAAAAAGTCCTTACAGGAGTGAAATACAGCATCCTGAAAAATATTGGTTTCTACCCTACAAGGCAGTTAGAAAATGTTCACATTTTAACAAATTTGAACAAACTACAAGAAACTTATTTATGGGATCATCTTGCTGGTAAGAACTTTCTAGAAATGTAGAATAACCATGAACAATGTATAAATCTAGTATCTATGTGCTCCACAGCCCTATAACCCAATAACTGATTTGAAGAACTCAATATGTCCAACATGGATCATTTTTACATGTCTTGATTGTTAATGAATGTCTGCTAATGATGTATAGTCAACTTGCACCTTCTAGGGGTTCATTTAATTTTTTAGCAAAGAAGTGACATCATTTAGCAGCAATTAGAGCACCTTCAAGAAGACTTTAAAAATACAATATCCAATTAGAAAAGCCACATTTTAAACATTTGTACAAGAATAAGCTGCTGAAACTTAGTGATTGAAATATGACATCTGTACAACACTTTACAATAGAGCTAGAAGGGAATTTATCGTTATCCTGCATAGAACCGGTCTGCATTTGGTACATACTGTCACCTGTTTTGATGCACAAGGCCTGGTAACAAAAGAAAAATACCTGTTATCAATTCTAACGTGTTGAAAACACTGGCAATATTACAATTTAGTGAATTCAACTGATTTCAAAACAAGCAGCTCATTTTGTCAAAAGTGTAAAGTATTTAGGAATAATAGCTCTCCCTTTAATATAACAAGTGAAAGAAAATGGACATGTGATTTCAAGGTGCAACTTGGTAAAAGCCAGAATAGACAAATGACAAAGCCTAACTTTGTCCAAAGATTCTAACTGTCGCATTCTATTACTATAAAACCCAACTGTCACTCTCATTCAGTTCTTACTTTGGCTTCAGCAGATTAACTGCCAAATGCTGAAGAATGTATCCAGGCACTGTAGTTTGTGTGTTAGAAATATGTCTCATATTTTTCCATGTGTTTTTAAATGATGAAAAACTACCCTTCATATTAGAACTCTGGTAACAACCAAATGTATTTAAGTATTATAAATGTTATTGACAGTGTTCCCCCAAATAAAAGACCAAAAATGTTTTTCTTCCATCTTAACATGGTATTCCTGTTTCTTTATAATGGGCAGTCACCCTTCACTGCTCAAAGTTGTAGTCAGAAGTGTGCATTTATTCATTGTCCATGATCCAGTCTCATACAAATGACACTATGAGGAACTTCAGCTCACAAACAGTTTTTAACCATGTCCTGTGTAAAAAAAAGAAAACAAAAAAACACTCAAATGCTCTTAAACTCAAGTGTGCATCTGGAAGCAATTCAAAGATATCATGTCAATCTTGGAGGAAAGTCGGTAAGTAATTATGCTTGAAGAAAGCAGTGTAGGAGATGTTGTCAGCTCAGTCATGTTGTAGGTCTCCTGAAGAATTTGATCTTCGCATGTGTAGGAGAAGGCATGGGTCATGTGCCAGCTGGTGCACATCAAATCAATCTTCTTTTTGATATGCCAAGCAGCATCTTATAAAGGCCTCGGGTTCACTGCTTACAACTGGTTTTACAGGAAACTGGACATCTGTGGCTTTTAATATTGTATTTTCTTGAAGAATATCTTGTTGAGATTGATTGTGACCAAATGGCTTTCTACCATAAAGACACTGAAAGAAGATGACTCCAACTGACCACACATTAATCTTGTTGGAAATCGGAAATCTTTGCTGCCTCTTTTCCAACTACAAAACACTCAGGAGGTAGATTCATTCCATCTGCACCATAGCTATCATCATCCATAATCTTGGACAGACCAAAATCAGTGATTTTGGTTTCACCACATGCTGTTCTGTCTACCAAAAGGATGTTTCCTGGCTTAAGATCATAATGTATAATGGGGGTTGATCTCATTGGGATATCTTAGTGCATTTACAATCTGCATTACAATAGACTCAGCTTCTTTCTCTGACATTAGCTTGTGTTGCTTCAGATAGAAATCCAAGTCATTGCCTTCACAGTATTCTAACACTGTACAAAATATATCTGTATCCAAGGAGAAATAATCATCGAGTTTAACTATTCTGGGGTGATCCAGTTCTTTGTGTATTCTATACTGCAGGCATGTTTGTAGTAGTTTTCTTTTTTCTCATCTCTCCAGCTTTTATTAAGTTGATGTAGCTTCACAGAAGCATAGCTTTGTTCATAAAGGTCAAAAGCCTTATACACTTCACTAAAGCCACCTCTACCAAGCAGATGAAGTAATAAATATCTTTCATTTAACATTGGGTGATCTTTGAATTGTGAATTATCTTCATTGTTTATTCTTCTCAGCTCACGTATGTGAAGATTTCTGACTCTTTCCAAACGTTCAAGTTCTGCTTGGATTTCTGCCTCTTCTTTTCTGAGATGTCCTTGTCTAAGTTTGAACATTTCTTCCTGTTCATAATATTCTGCCAAAGTCAACAGTTGTGGTAAATTTGGTCTAACAAAGGGATCATTTTCTGCTCCATTGACTCCTTTGTTTTTCCTTTGTTTTGGTTCAGAATTGGTAGAGGGTGTCTGAGAATTATTAGCTGTGGGAGGTTTGCATTTGGCTAGAATTTTCCTTTGCCTTTCAATATCTTCCCTTTGCTGATTCACCCATTCTTGTTGCTTCACAAGAGTCTGAAATGCAAAACCATCTATCCATTATTCAGTAAATGAAGTGCCATGTCTAACTGTTGTAAAGTGCCTGAGACGCAATCAATCTTGCATACTCTTCTCTCTGACAGTTTTTCTTGTGTACTCTTTTCAAAAGAAGTTTCTTGCTCATTTATATGCACTTATTTAATCATTCTTTGTATTTTTCAAGTAATTTTTTTTGTTCATCTATTTGCCATCTGAGATCACGGTTAGCCCTGAGCAAATAATCTATACATCCTTCCTTCTTTTCCAGGTCCTGGATTTTATTACTTTCTAATGCTGCTAATTTCAGGATTGTGAGATCAGTCTGAATAATTTTAAAGGATAACTTCTTTGGTTGTACAATAGGGTGGTCCCCAAATGCTAATGCAGTAGGAGAAGGGCTATTTGGTCGAAGAGATGAGGAAGGAGTGGAATGTGAATGTGAATTTTGAGGAGAACTGATTGCAGGAGGTATGCCTCTTACTGGACTTGAGCCATTTCCACCCTGGTATTCAAAATAGTCACTACTTTTGTGGCCACGTCCCCCCAATACTTTTTCCCTGACAATTTTCATTCTGGTTTTCTGCTTTTCTCTATCTTCCCCTGGATGATTCTGATTGTTTCTTCTCTGGCTTCTCAAGGGAACCCACTGCAGATAAAGTCCAGTCACTGTTATAGTCCTTTCAGCTGCCTGCCAGTCGTTTCTCTGATTCTTTGTCACTTAAAGATCCTAAGCTTCCAAAACTGTGATAAGAGCTTTCATTATCTGTTGAGGCTTTAGCTCCAACACTGCAACTGCTGGTACTCCCAGTGTTCCCACTTACAACTCCAATAAATCTAGCTTCCAATAACTCTTGCCTTCTTGGATTCAGACTACAAAGCTCATCCATTGCACCTTCCCTGGGCCTCCTGGATGGTGGTGTGTGTTTCATCAGGGACCTGGCTGCCGCTTGCCGCTGAGCCTGGAGTTGGAGATGTGGAGAGGTGGGACCAAGATGGTGGCCTCTCCAAACTTCCACTCCTACTTTGGACACTCATCAAGCTGCTTTCTGGGAACCTGACTCCCACTCTGCAATGACAGCAGTGACAATGGCACTGGCACCTGCCTCCATCATAGTGGGGGCTTGGCTGAGGGTGAGCAAGAGAGTGAGGGCAGGGAGGGGAGAGTCAAGGGGATGGGGGAGGAAACGAGGGGAGGTGGGGAGGAAAGAGGTGAGGGAAGGAGAGCGGATGGGGAGGAGGGAAAGGGGGAGAAGTAAGGGAGTGGGTGGGCGCACCAGAGAAGAGGCTGAGGGAAGGAGCCCAGTGGCTGAGGTGTGGTGGGGGCACCCACCAGGGCTAGGGTCTGAGTGTGGGCCTATTGCTGTTTTTGATTTAAAGTCTGTTTTATCTAATAGAAATATAGCTACACGTACTTGCTTTTGATTTCCAATTGCATGAACTATCTTTTCCCACTCTTTTACTTTCAGTCTGTGTGTGTCTTTATGGGTAAAGTGAGTTTCTCGTTAGCAGCGTATAGCTGGATCTTGATTTTATTTTATTCATTATGCCGATCTTTATCTTTTAAGTGGAACATTTATTTACATTCAAGATTATTATTGATATGTGAGGCTTTGTTTCTGTCATATTATTAATTTTTACAAATCGTTTTATAATTTTTTTCTTTTTTTTCTCTTTTTATCTTTACGGTTTTAACAAATTATGTCATGTTGCCATTTGATTCTTTTCTCCTCCTCCTTTGTGTGATTATTTTATAAGAATTGTTAGTTTTATTCTTCCATGTGTTTTCATCATAATGAATACTGACCTTTCATTTCCATGTTTAAGACTCCTCTGAACATTTCCTGCATAGCCAGTCTAGAGGTGACAAATTTATTCAGCATTTGATTGTCTGAGAAAGACTTCATTTCTCCTGCATTTATGAAGCTTTTTCTGGTAGAATATAAAATTCTTGGCTGACAGGTTTTCTTTCTAGTGCTTTGAAAATGCCATCCCATTGTCTTCTGACCTATAAGGTTTCTGCTGAAAAGTCTGCTGTTAATCTGATGAGGTTTCCTTTATAGATGACTAGCTGCTTTTCTCTTGCTAATTTTAAAATTCTTTCATTTACTTTGACTTTAGACATTCTGAATAATACATGTTATGTTGAAGTCTTTTTGCAATGTTTTTTCCTGGGGATAGCTGGGCCTCCTATATCTGGATATCAGACTCTCTTGCTAGGCTTGGGAAATTTTCATCAGCTATTTCCTCAAATAGATTTTCTAAACTTTTTGATCACTCTTCCCCCTTGGAATACCAATAATTCATAGGTTTGCTCATCTTATGTAGTCCCAGGTGTCTAGAAGGCTTTGCTCCTTCTTTCTTATTCTTTTTCTTTACTTTTGTCTAACTGTATTATTTCAAAAGACTTGTCTTCTATTTCTGAGATTCTTCCTTCTGCTTTCTAGTCTATTATTGAAGTTTTCAAATGTATGTTTTATTTCCTTCAATGATTTTTGTTTTGAGACAGTATTGCTCTGTTGCCCAGGCTGTAGTGCAGTGGTGTGAACATAGCTCACTGCAGCCTTGAACTCTTGGGCTCAAGTGATCCTCCAGCCTCAGCCTCCCAAGTAACTGGGACTACAGGCATGCACCACTGTGCCTGGGTGATTTTTGTATTTTTTTTTTTTTTTTTGTGGGGATGGGATCTTGTTATGTTGCCCAGGCTGGACTTGAACTCATGACCTCAAGTGATCCTCCTACCTTGGCCTTCCCAAATGCTGGGATTCTAGGCATGAGCCACTGCACTCCACAGTGAATGAATTTTTCATTCCAGAATTTCTGCTTTTTTTTCCCTAAAGATATCTATCTCCTTGGTAATTTTTTAGTCATATCCTAAGTTGATTTTTGGACTTCTTTATATTAGTTTTTAGATTTCTCTTGCATCTCATTGAGCTCCTTTAAAAATCAATATTTTGAATCTTTTACTTGACATTTTGAGGAATTTTTTTTATTGGGATCTGTTGCAGGACAGTTGTGGTCCTTTGGTGGTGTTATATTTCCCCAATTTTTCATGTTTTTTGTGTCCTTTTGATATCTGAGCATCTGGTGAAGCAGTTGCTGGTTCCAATTTTTTTTTGAAATTGCTTTGGTAAGGGAATTTCTTTCCTGAAGATATGTGTATGTTGTTGGTTGAGAAGGATACTTTGGCTAGGATTATGGGTGCCTGCAATAGTGTGATCTTTGCATGAACTCTTTAGCAGTATACAGAGTCAGTGGTATCCGTGATTTCCTCAGTGGCTTAGGGTACAGTTATTAGCTGAGGTTGTGGCAAGATTTTGCTGGGGACTTGGACACTGACTGAGCCAGTCTCCAGGTCCCTGTGGTGGCAGCAGTGGGTTTAATGTGCCTGTTTTTAAGCCCAGAGCAACTTACAGTGACTTTGGTGTTAAAGTGTCCTGGAGGGCTGGTTCTTGGGCCCCAAGTGGCTTGACTAGAAGCTAGTAGTGGGATTGGTAGGCCAGGTGTGTGGGTGGGTTCTCATATCCTGTGACAGCTGGTGTAATGTGGGTGATGGCAGTATCAGTGGTGGAGCAAACCACAGGGACCCGAGTGGTCCATATTGGTGTTCTTGATAGCTGTGATGGGTTGAGCAGGCTAGTCCCCAGTCCCAGAGCCACTGTAGCAGGGTGATGGGTATTACCCTTAGTGTGCTTAGGAGAGCTTTGCCTCCCCTGTCTCTCTCCCAGCTGAGTGGCAGCTGCAGCTGTATTGCCTTGAACTTGGGCCAAGTGTGGGGCACAGCTCAGTGTTAAACTCTCGAAATGAAGCTAGCTGTCAGTTTGTGACCAGAGAGGGGAGGACCCCCTAAGGCAAGCAGTATGGGCAAGAAACTATGGGGAATGGGGTCTGCTCAAGTCTTAGTCTCACAGCAGCCTGTAGCAGGGTAGTGAATATTGTCCTATATATGTGTAGGACAGCTTGGTTTCCTTGTCCCTTTTTGACTGGGTGCTGGCTGCAGCCATGGCAACTCAAACTTGGCCCAAGGGTGAGGCAAATCCCAGGATTAAACTCTTAAAATGGTGTCAGTTGTGGGCTTATTACCAGAGAGCGTGGATCCCCTCTCAGGTGAGCACCATGGGCAAGAAGCTGTGGGAAATGTGGTCTGCTCATATCTCAATCTCAACAGCATTCCACAGCAGAGTGGTAGGGATCCTCCCAGGGGTGCACGGGAGCACCCAGTCTCTCCTATCTCTCCTTGAAGCAGCACAGTGGCAGCAGCTAAGTATGTAGATCGCCAGTATCTGGGCTCTCTAAATGGCACCTGGCTGAGGCTGGTCTAGGCTCGGATGCCTGTGAGATTCCATGTGGGTTCCCTTTCTGGAATGACATCTCTGTGCAATCTTTAGGCAGCTCTGTATGTCAGGCCCAAGGTCTAGAGGGTCAAAGTTTTCTCCCAAAGTCCAGAGAAACCTGGGAGTTTCTCTCTTACTGTTTCCCCATATCTAGGAGCCTCTCTCAGCTCTCAGTTAGTCCCTCACTAGGCAAGGTGTCCTGAACCTTCTCTTTACTTATTTTTGGTGCTTCTTGTATTTTCTCTGGTGAATCCTAGCATTCTCTTCTAGATGGTCTGTTTGAAATGTACCTACTTTCTATTCTGGTTCCTCTCCCTGGAGGAGGAACATACTACCTTCATCTAGTCAGCCTTCTTAATCCCTTTCTTGTCTAAACTGTTCTATTTTCCATTAAATTCATACTCTGGATGAAGCAACTTTAGTTCATCTTCTTAGGATGTTCAAATCAGGTCTTCCATCTTATCACATTAGGTATTATGAAAGGAACAGGTAAGAGAGTGACAGCATCAACAACAACATTGACTAAATGCTTACTATGAACCAGGCACTGGTCTAAGCATTTTATACACATAAAACATTTAATCTTCACAGTAATTCTTGAATGTTGAAACCATTTTATGGATAAAAAACAATGTAACATTTCTGTTACATTAGGATTAGAGACAAGTGTATTCTTGGGGCAAACAGGAAATGGGTTAAACAATACCATATTGCTCACTGAAAATTTTCTAAGAGAATAGATTTTAGGTACTTTTTAGTACACTAGAAAAGCTAACTATGTAAGATGATGGATATGTTCATTTGCTTGACTATAATAATAATTTCACTATGTATACATATATCAGAACATCATGTTGTACACCTTCAATATATACAATACAAAATCTCAAGAAAATTTTTGTGAAATTGATTAACCATTGTTAAATTTTCTCTAGAAAAGAAATTGTTTAAGAATGATCAAAAAAATTAAAAATAACAACGATGGAGGACTTGCCCTAAAAGATTTTTTAAAAGCTCTTAAGTTATAGCAATTAAAGGCAGGAGAATGGTGTGAACCCGGGAGGCAGAGCTTGCAGTGAGCCGAGATCGCGCCACTGCACTCCAGCCTGGGCGACAGAGCAAGATTCCGTCTTAAAAAAAAAAAAATGTACATATTGCTACAGTTTGAATGTGTCACACAAAGTTCATTTGTTAAAAACCTAATCCCCAATGTAACAGTATTGAGAAGTGGGAACTTTAAGAGGTGATTGGGTCATGAGGGCTCTGTCTTCATAAATGGTTCAATGCTGTTATCTCAGGAGTCAGTTAGTTACTGCAGCAGTGGGTCTCTGATAACAGGATGAGTACAATCCGCTTCCTTGCTCTCTCCCTCATGCTCTTTTGCCCTTCCACCTTATACCATGAGGTGGCACAGCAAGAGGACCTTCACCAGATGCAGGCCCCTTGACTTTGGACTTCCCAGTCCCCAGAATGGTAAGAAATAAATTTCTTTTCTTTATGAAGTACCCAGTCATGGGTATGCTATTATAGCAACATAAAGCAGAATAAGACACATATCAGTGAAACAAATAAATAAATGAGATAAATGTATATATGGGCATTTAGCATTTGAAATTAGTGATTATAAATGTTATCAGAGTAATTAAATATATAGATGAAATAGTTATTATATATCTGTCTACAAAATATTTAAAACTAAAGAATAGAATAGAACTGAAGTTAATATAGGAGGCTATTTTTTTTTAGAGGGAAAAGCTTGACAAACTTGACAACATAATAATCAATGGTTTCTATACATTGAAAGTTACCAAAATATTTGAAGGCATTATAGCAGGAAGGCAGATTCTGATTAACACAGAAGCTGTCCAACAGTTGGATAGCTTACCCCATTATGTTGTGGGTTCCCTGGCATTTGAGGCAGTCAAACAAATGCTAAGTGACCACAGAGTATGTCCAGTTTGTAGGAAGAATCAAAGTATAGAAATGGGTATATAATAAGAATGAAAATAACTTTTATAGGAAACTAATCATTAAGTTTAAGGTGAGATTTTGGGGATATCCAGGAACTTAGGGCTGATTGAAACAGAAATGGTGCCCTAGAAACCATCTAGAGATGAAAGAGAAGTTATCTTCTGGTTAAATATTTACAGTGCATGCTCTGAATCTGAAAATCAAGAGTGATTGCTCCTTAAATCTGGATCTGAGCATATGGAAAGATATAGAATTTCTTGGATGGGAAGATTTAATATCATGAAAATGTCAGTTTTATCCAAACCAATGTACAAATTATATACGTTTTCAATTAGAACCCCAATAGGTTTTTGGAAAACATATACAGCAATTAAAACAATTTCCATGTACAACTTTGCCATATATTTATGTAGTTATATGCCTATATGTACAGCATGAGAGTGGTTGAGGCAATCTATTGTCTGTCTGTCTATCATCTATCTATCTATCTATCTATCTATCTATCTATCTATCTATCTATCATCCATCTATCCATCCATCTATTTAAACTATCTTACCTTACAGCTAAGGACACAATTCAAGCCTAATTCATGTTTGACACCACATGTGAACATAGTTGATAAAAAGGTAAAAGAAAGACTTTAGCACTTTTGAGAATTTCACATGAAGAAATAAATGTGTAAGAATTGTCAATAACTTTTTTGAAAAGTAGGATTCAAAGAAGGAAGAGTTACCTTAGTATATATTTTTAAAAACTATGACCATCAAACATTATGGTTTGACACAAATAGAGATGATTGGGTTAGTGAAACAGAATCAAAAGTTCAGAAATAGATTTGAACATATATTGGGATTTACTATGTACTATATATTTACGTGGAGGATTTTAAATTCAGTGTTTAACCACTTCTTGATGGCAAATGGTGACATCTCTACTGGGTCATCACTAGAGAGTATGAGGAGTAATGAAAGCCAGTTGCCAATCCAAAGCAAGCCCTAGTGATCATCCATGGTGACAAATGGATGGAAAAAGGGCGGATGTTAGCAACAGATTCTAGTATAGAACCAAAGTAGACCACACTAAAAAAACCCTGCTCTATATTAGGGACATCAGGAGTAAGCTGCCTAAGTCCTGAGAGTTTAAAGAAAGAGCGTGGAGGGAGCAATGACAGCCAGGAGGGGTATGAAATGAATAAATGGGGCTAAATTATAACAGAAGTCATGGAGAAATTATTGAATTGGGATAAGAGAAACTCAGAATTGGGCCTCAATTGGGCAAAGCAAAAAGTAAAAAAAAAAAACTATACAAATTAAGCTATAGAATGATCTATAAACTTATACAAAAAAGATAACTTGCACATGCATCTTTATAGCAGCACATTGATTTATTTCTACTCATTGAGTTTATATCCACTCACTGAGTGGATAAGAACTTGTGGTGTATATATACACACACACACATATATATATATGATGTTATATATATATATGATGTTATATAGATATGATGTTATATATATAGGATATATATGCATTGGATATGAGTGGATAAAGTATTATATATAATATATATTATATAATATAGTGTTATATATAATATATATTATATAATATATATTATATAATATAGTGTTATATATAATATATATTATATAATATATATTATATAATATAGTGTTATATATAATATATATTATATAATATAGTGTTATATATAATATATATTATATAATATAGTGTTATATATAATATATATTATATAATATAGTGTAATATATAATATAATATAATATAATGTGATATATATGTACATATGGTGGACTACTACTCAGACATAATGCTTTATCCACTCATATCCAATGAGTGGATAAAGAACTTGTGATATATATATATATCACATCATATATATAATCACATCACATACATATATATATAACATCATATATATATACATATATATATATATAAAATGATGGAATACTACTCAGCCATAAAAAGGAACAAATTAATGGCATTCACAGTAACCTGGATGGAACTGAAGACTATTATGTTAAGTGAAGTAACTCAGGAATGGAAAACCAAACATCTTATGTTCTCCCTCATAAGTGGGAGCTAAGCTATGAGGATACAAAGTCATAAGAATGATATAATGGACTTTGGGAACTTGGGGGAAAGGATGGGAGGGGGGTGAGGGATAAAAGACTATAAATTGGGTTCAGTGTACACTGCTTGGGTGATGGGTGCACCAAAATCTCACAAATCACCACTAAATAACTTACTCATGTAACCAAATACCACCTGTTCCTCAAAAACCTATGGAAATAAAGAATTTTAAAAAGTTATGCTATAGAATGAAAGTATGCCCAAGTCTTGAGGCCTGTGGTGACTGTGAAAATTCACTTGTTATATGTACCAGTGCTCCTTTCTCCCATGCCCATTGTAGACATACTCAATCTTCATCGTTCTTCATTCAGCCCAGTGGTAGGCACATAAGTTTTCTCATTAGCAATGCAGGGGTCCGCAGTTGGCACGGAAGTTAAAATTAATTTTGCAATACATGTAATAAAGGAATGAAATAGAACAGTATATCCTTATTTTGATTCTGCCTTACCCTTGGTTAGGGATTAACAAGGGCAGAAACAAAGGTATTTAAAGACTCTTTTAAAAAAGTTTTACTTTATTTTTTGATTGACAAATAATAACTGTATATATTTGTGGAGTACAGTGTGATGTTTTGATACATGTATACATTGTGGAATCATCAAATCAGGCTAACATATCCATCACTTCAAATACATGTTGTTTCTTTGTGGTGAGAACATTTAAAATCCATTCTTCTAGCTAGTTAGGAATATACAATACATTATTATTAACTGTAGTCACCTGCTGTGTAATAGATCCCCAGAACCTTATTCTATCATTTTACACTTTTTAAGATAATCCATCTGCTCATTGTCTAAAATACCATGAGAGATTAATTTGTTTGACTTCGACATTTCCATCTACTAAAATACGAATACTAGAAAGAAAGAGAAACTCATTAAATTGCTGCAATTAAAAAAATATTGTG
This sequence comes from Homo sapiens, assembly GCF_000001405.40. NCBI lineage: Eukaryota > Metazoa > Chordata > Mammalia > Primates > Hominidae > Homo > Homo sapiens. The sequence continues at coordinate 122,677,701 of NC_000009.12, read as the reverse complement.
GGAAATAATTCATCTGACTGCTTTCCTAAGTCATGTAATTTGTTCCCCAACTATATTGAGAGCCTCCTTTGTATCAGGCACTCTGACCCAAGAGACCCTTGCTAGTAGTTTATATTTATTGATATTTTGACTCTGCCTCCAGTGACCATAGGGAACATTTCTGATTACATGGAATAAACCTTTTTTTATTCTGAGCAAAAAAACTAGACAGATAGAGGAGACAGTGGAGATTTTTAAATTCAGTGTTTTATTTAACCACCTAGAGACGCCTAGAAATATATGCATCTCTAGATGGAAGAGCGAACAGGCAAGAAGCCCCAGGAAGAGTCAGGGGATGAATGCCCCTTGGGTATAGGAAAAGAAGAAAGAGTAGAGACTCAAACTCATGTAGAGACGTAGAGTTGTCTTATTAACAGTCAATCAGGCTGGGGGAAGTGGCTCACGCCTGTAATCCCAGCATTTTGGGAGGCTGAGGCGGGCAGATCACTTGAGGTCAGGAGTTCGAGACCAGCCTGGCCAACATGGTGAAACCTCATCTTCACTAAAAATACAAAAATTAGCTGGGCGTGGTGGCAGGCGCCTGTAATCACAGCTACTTGGGAGGCTGAGGGGTGAGAACTGCTTGAACCCAGGAGGCAGACATTGCACTGAGCCAAGATAGCACCACTGCACACTCCAGCCTGGGTGACAGAGCAAGACTCTGTCTCAAAAAAAAAAAAAAAAAAAAAAAGAAAAAGTCAATCAGATAATTGGTAGCAGTTGTTGAGAATCTATGACTCCAGAGTCCAGGACATTCAGTTCTTGTGATAATTTTAAAAAGGGACCATAAAGCTGGGCATGGTAGCTCACGCCTATAATCCCAGTGCTTTGAGAGGCTGAAGCAGGAGGATCACTTGAGGCCAGGAGTCTGAGACCAGCCTGGGTAACATAGCAAGACCTTGTCTCTACAAAAAATTAAAACAATTATCTAGGGGTGGTGGTACACACCTGTAGTACTAGCTACTTGAGCGGCTGAGGGAGGAGGATTGCTTGAGCCCAGGAGTTTGAGGTTATAGTGAGCTATGATAGTGCCACTGCACTCTAACCTGGGTGACAGGGGGGTACGACCCTGTCTCTAAAAAGGTGGAGAGGGGGACCATAGCCTGTAGTCTCATGGGCAGGTGAGACTTGTACATACATACACACATGCCTGCAAAAAATTCCTGACAGCTTTAAATAGAAGAGAGTGACTATGTGTGCATAATATCATTGCACATATTTAAATTTCTACATAGGTATATAGGAAAATTCTCTGATAATTGAAAGACCAAACTTGGATGAATTTATAAACACAAAGAAATATGAGAGGCTCCAAATAAATATGCAAAGAGTAAAGGGAATGTGATTTTCTGGAATTAAGATATATTATGAGGTGAGTCTGTGATTGGGGCATTGATACCAAGACATCCTAATTGTTCAATCATACGATGACAGAGACCACAGGGTGGAAAACCACGAGGTGAAGCTACAAATGGTGAAGATGAAGGAACGTTTTTTCAAGAAAAGAGTGGCATCAGGTGCTAACACACACACACACACACACACACACACCTTGTAATCAGGGTCCACAGATTTTATTGGTCTTTGTAGAGAACCTACTCATTTGAGACTTAATCTTGTTTATCAATTTCTGTAAGCCCCGTTTCATGTCTTTGTTTCTTAAACTGTAGATAAATGGGTTCAACACTGATGTCAACACAGTGTAGTTGATTGTTGCTATTCGGTCCTTGACAGTATAGCTGGACAAAGGCTGCAAATAGACATAGCTAATACTCCCATAAAACAGAATCACCACAGTGAGATGGGAGCTGCAGGTGGAGAAGGCTTTGTGTTTTCCAGCTGCTGAGGGAATCTTGAGAACAGCGATGAGAATTCTTAGATAAGAGATGATGATACAGACAAATGGAGCCATCACAGAGGCCAGCCCTTCTGTCATGGCCACAATTTCATTGACAAAGGTGGAGGAGCAGGACAGTTTCAGCACAGGGTTGACATCACAAAAAAAATGATGGATAACATTTGATGTACAAAAGGTGAGCCGATTCACCAGGAGGACATGTAGGAGAGAGTGGAAATAGGAGAAAGTGATGGGGAATGCTAGTAGCAACACACAGCATCTGCGGTTCATAACAGTGACATAATGGAATGGGTTACAAATGGCTACACAGCGGTTGATGGCCATAGCCGCCAGGAGATAACTATCTATGTTTCCAAAAACCAGGAAGAAATACATCTGTGCCAGACATTCAGCATAGGAAATGGTCTTTTTCTCTGATAAGAAGTTCACGAGCATCTTTGGGACTATGACTGTTGTGTAGCAAATATCAGCAAAGGACAAGATGCTTAGGAAAAAATACATAGGGTTTTGAAGTCGAGGATCAGAGTGGATAGCCAAGATGATGAGCAGATTTCCCATCAAAGTGACCAGGTATATGATAAGAAAGAGGGCAAAGAGTGGCCTCTGGTCTTCAGACCGAGAGGAGAGTCCCAAGAGAATAAATTCAGAGAGTCTTGTCAGGTTGGACATTCCCATGGACTTGTACTCACCTAAAGATAAGCAACACTGTCAATTAATGACATAATTCTTATGTCATCTACAACATGCATCTTTCCACGTTGTTCTTACACTGAGTAGTTATTAATAGAGCATTTACTCTGTAGTTTATTTTTCTTCCTGAGCATGGAGAATCAGAACTGAAAGTGTGTTTTCACTTTTTAAAAGATCTTTGAGGTAGATACCTGTCTTAATCAGTTCAGGTTGCTATAATAAATTACCATAGCCAGGTCAGATGCGGTGGCTCATGCCTGTAATCCCAGCACTTTGGGAGGCTGAGGTGGGTGGATCACTTGAGGTTAGGAGCTCGAGATCAGGCTGGACAACATGGTGAGATCCTGTCTGTACTAAAAATACAAAAAATTAGCCGGGCCTGGTGGTGCATGCCTGTAGTCCCAGCTACTAGGGAGGCTGAGGCAAGAGAATTGCTTGAACCTGGGAGGCAGAGGTTGCAGTGAGCCAAGATTGCACCACTGCACTCCAGCCGGGGTGACAGAGCGAGACTTGGTCTCAAAAAAACAAACAAACAAACAAATCATAGACTAGGTGGCTTAAACAACATTTACTTTTCACAGTTCACGAGGCTGGGAAGTCCAAGATCAAGTTGCCAACAGATCCAGTGTCTGCAGAGGGCTTGTTTCTTGGTTTTCAGAGGGCTGTCTTCTCCTTGTAGTCTTGCATGGCAGAAAGCAGGGGGAGGAAGCAAGCTTTTCTTATAAGGGCATTAATCACATCAGGAGGGCCCCAACCCTCATGACCTAAATTACCTGTCAAATATCCATCTCCAAATGCTATCACATTGGGGATTAAGTGACTTCTGGGGGGACATAAACATTTAACCCATAGCAAGATCTATAGAGAACAGATACAAGGAAAGAGAGAGACAGACAGACAGACAGAGAAAGAGAGAAAGAGATTGGGAGCGAATGGCTGATAAGTTTCTCCTCCTACTTACTCTGTGGCTGGTAATTACAGGAACCACAGATAAAGACTTTGAATCAAGTTCAGGCCATCTTCTGATTAAGGATTCTGAGTGGCTAAACCACATCTAGGTAACAAGATAGTTATCTCACCTAGCTTGTAATTGATGAATACCTTTTCTTTTAAGTCCAGATGTTTCTTTCCACATCATTTACAATGGAAGCAAGAAACTCACTTAGAGAACACTGAGTTGAATGTAAACAGTTACAGGGAAAAGAAACACGGGGAATGAGAGAGTGAGGGGGACAGAATACTTTTGCGAGAAAATTCTCTCCCAAGCTTTCCTACTCTCTGGCTGATAATCCATATTCTGAGGTCAGGGGAATGTAATTCTGGAGTTGGCTAGGGTAAAGGAAGATCAGACTTTAGAGTATAAATACAGATAATCTACACTTAGGGTGAACATAAATTCGCTCTCTTATTTAATGTCCAGTAAGGACTAATTATTTCCCAGAGATCAGGTATTTCCACTTTCTCATCAGGCACTCGCTAGGTTGATTAATTAATTAATTAATTAATCTCTCATGGTATTTTAGACAATGAGCAGATGGATTATCTTAAAGTGTAAAATGATAGAATAAGGTTCTGGGGATCTATTACACAGCAGGTGACTACAGTTAATAAGAGTCAAAGGTACTCTTGGGTCAGAGTACCTTTCCAGGTAAGCCTGGAAAGGACATTAACGTCTGGCCTTATGTATTCATTCCTCTCATTTATGCTCCATGAAATAACTAGTCAGAAAGAAGATAAATCTGTGCCAAGAAACTGCATACAAAAAGGTATCTAATTGTCGAAAATCTCCCAGTGCTTCTTGATTCTGAATGCTCCCTTCCCTGGATTCTTACTGTCATTCACAAGTTGTAGATACTTATAGCCCTTGTTTTCCTCATGGGAGTATCTTCTGAGACTGTGCCACTAGGTCTCTGATGTTTCCTAGGGGAGACAGTAAGAAAACAACCATTCATTAACTTTGTGCAGAATTGTCTCCAGGGATCCAGAGGAATTGCACGTTTTCTCTGCTCCCCCCAGCAAGTGGCCCCACATTCTCCTCTTGGAACCTTCGGAGGTAGTGCAAGATCTGCTTAGCTTGATGTAGGTATCTCAGATGGACGATAATTTTCTTTTCCCAGCTCTTCCAAGCTGAGGGCTTGCCTGGAAGATGTCCCAACTAGCACTGAGAACAGAGTACCTGGCATTTACACCTGGGTCCAATTCCCCCCTTGAACCTATAAAATATCAATTTGGCCTCCTCCTTACTGCCTCCATTTTTTCAAAGGACAACTACCCCAAGTGTACCCCAACATCATTGGTGCCTTCTTTCCAAACCCTTCCAGGATTAGATGCAGCTACTAGTTTAGTAGTGGTGATTTTATGGTTCTATTTTCTAACAAAATGTAGTGTTAAAACCTTTGAACCCAAACATAGGTCACCCTTCTTGTATTAGGCAATCTCCAAGTCTGCTGCTCATATATCGGATTCCTTTCCTTGCTATCACTGCTAGGGAAAGCCACCAGCTTCAAATCTCTTACTCTTCTTGATTCATGTAAGCACACAGAATCCATATATCAGAGTCCCCAAATGCCCTGCCTTTTATATATTGTCCATTCCTGTCGCTTATTGATTTCTGATTACATCTTATATTTCAAGAACCTCACTGTCTTTATTTCTTTTTCTTTTTTTCCCTCTCCTAACTGCATTAAGTTATTGTTAACTTAAAAGATTATACATTTGGAAGAGGAGGGGAGACTTTAATTTTTATGAGGTTACAGCTTACAAGGTGGCCATCCAGAGGCCGGGAAGCATGCCTTCAGCCAAAACCAGAGATAGGCACTTTGAAGGAGGAGGAGTTGAGATAGGAGCTTTTATGCTGAACAGGTTGGCTAAACACATATTCAACAGGTTACAGAAAAAGCTACGAATATTCAAGAAGACAGTCCTGATACATGTGTATTGAACCAACATGCATGTAACATATGACTCATGTTCACTCTGGGATGGAGACTTAACATTTAAATGTATTACAATTAGGGCCTATACATCAAAAGATCTTTTCAGGAAAAGAAAGCACGTAAGTGCACAGTCTCTGTAAACTGGACAGAACCAGTTCATGGTCAGTGATCTTTTTATCAGCAGAAATTTACTAAAATCAGTCTCTTGTCCAATCAAAGCTGTAGTTATGGCTGGTGGAACAAGGGCTGAGGTTCAGTTAGTCGGCATCTGTGGAGCTGAAAATTGTTGTAATATTGCTTATCTTGAGGCCAAGGTTGGGTTAGCTGCTAGAGAAAGAGGAAAGCCTTGTGGCAGTTAGAACACAGTTTATTCTTTAAGTGAAGGGATGTGTGACTTAACCCTTGCCTGGCATGGCCATAGGTCCCATTTATAATTTGGTATCTTATTGCCACTAAGAGTCTGTTCTGTTCATCTTATGATGTCTATTTTAACAATAATGCTGATCAGTTGTTGTGTCTACATCATAAAAGAGAGGGTATATAGTGAAGCCTGTCTAACCTACCATCCTGACATGGCCAGGAACTTGGTTTTAAGGTTTTTCTGGAGTCCCGTTGGCTACCTGGGCATTCATTTAGTTGGTGGGATAGGGGGTGGTTAGGATTTTATTTTAAATTTATATTATAATTGGCAAATAAAAACGGTATACACTCGAGGTATACAATTGATGATTTGATATATACATGCATTGTGAAATGATTGTCAAAATCAAATTAATTAACACATCCATCACCACACATAGTGTGTGTGTGTTTGGTGAGGACACTTGTGATCTACTGTCTTAGTAAATTTCAAGTAAACAATATGATATTATTAACTATGTTCACCATGCTTTACTTCAGATCCCCAGAGCTTATTCACTTTATAACTGAAAGTGCATGACCTTTGACCAACATCTCCCCGTTTCCTCCACCCCCAGTCCCTGGCAACCACCACTGTGCGCTCTGTTTTTATAAGTTCAACTTTTTAAGATTTTACAGATAAGTGAGATTATAAGATATTTGTCTTCTGTATCTGGTTTATTGCACTTAGCATAATGTCTTACAAGTTCATCCATGTTGTTGCAAATGTCAGGATTTCCTTCTTTTTATGGTTGAATAATACACACACACACACACACACACACACACACACACACACACACACACACACGGAATATGCAAAATTTCCTTCTCTCTCTCTCTTTCTCTTTCTTTCTCCCTTTCTCCCTTCCTCCTTTCCTCCTCTCTTTCTCTCTCTCTCTCTCCCTTTCCTTCCTTCCTTCCTTCCTCTCTCTCTCTCTTTCTCTTTCTTTTCTTTTCTTTCTTTGTTTCCTCATCCTGTTGCCCATGCTGGAGTGCAGTGCTGCAGTCATAACTCACTGCTGCCTTCAACTCCTGGGCTCAAGCAATCTTCCCACCTCAACCTGTCAAGTTGCTAGACCTACAGGCATGTGCCACCACATCTAGCTAATTACAGAAATTTTTTTTGCAGAGATGGTGTCTTGCTATGTGGCCCAGGCTAGTCACAAACTCCTGGCCTCAAGCAATCCTCTGGCCTTGGCTTCCTAAAGTGGGGAGATTACAGATGTGAGTCAATGTGCCTAGCCACCTCGTTTTCTTTATCCCTTCATCTGTTGTTAGATACTTAGGTTGATTCTATATCTTGGCTACTGTGAACAATATTGCAATGAACATGAGGTGCAGATATCTCTTTGAAAGACTGATTTAAATTCATTTGGATATATACCCAGAAATGAGATTGCTGAATTCTATGGTAGTTAGATTGAAGGAGTTTCATTGTCTGGGGAAATACCAGACGTTTGTTGTCTCACACTAAGGAGAACAAAGTGGAAAGTTTAATAGGCATAAGAAAGAAGAGAGAGGAAGAGAGAGAAAGAGAGCTTCTTCATGCAGAGGAAGGGGGTGTCCAAGTGGATTTCCAGGTTTGGGGTAAGATGTGGTCGATTTTATAGAGGGGCTTGAGGAGTCAGTGTTTGATTTACATAGGACTCAGGGGTTTGATTTGACCAGGTGTGCCATTTACATAGCCTGTGAAGAAACAGACCGTCCCACTTTATCTTGTATTATGCAAATGGAGCCTTCACCTGGCTGGCGCCATGACACCCACACATATGGCAACAAGGAAAAGGGAAGAGGGAATTGCCATGTTGGATATACGTGGTGTCTGGCATAGCTGCTGGCATTTACCTATGCAAGTTTCCAGCTTGCTTATCTATGCTTGCAACTTGATTTTTCATGCTGCTTTTTATTAGAAAAGAAATGATTTGGGAGCTGCTATTTATTAAAGGAAAATTCCCGCTAAGTATTTTTTCACCCTCACTCACTGCCTAAATAATTTCTTTTTAACCCCTGTATCAATTGTAAGATACAATGAATTTCTCTGAGTTTCTCTTCAAAGATTTAGCCTCCCAACTTCCTTGTCCTTTGTTTTCAAACTCAACTTTCTTGTTCCTCCTTGCCCCTAGTTACTGTAAATAGCCTATCCACTTCCCGTCAGCTCTAATCAATAATGCACATCTATTCCCTTGGTTACCTGCACCCATTGTTCCCCTGAAACTGGACATCTCACATGCTTTACCACTGTACCTCATGTCCCCCTTCCCTTCCGTATTTAGAAAAATATTTGCAAGTAGCCAATTGGGTCAGCTCAGATTGTGCGGCCTGACCCCAGCCCATGGCGGAGTGACACAGAGGTAAGAACGACCATCAGAGATAAAAACTCACTGCTCTCCTTTGTTCCCTGTGCTCTTGCGATCTTGATTGACACAAGTGGCACTCTTCTGCAGAAGTGAATTGCCTTGCTGAGACAACTTTTGCCTAAGTGTTGGTTTCACTTTGTGGCACAAAGCATTTTTTCCTAGAGCATTTTTATATCCAACACAATAATTTCAGTTTTTTGGCTGGGTGCAGTGGCTCACACCTGTAATCCCAGCACTCTTGGGGGGCCAAGGCGGGCAGATCATGAGGTCAGGAGTTAGAGACCAGCCCGGCCAATATGGTGAAACCCCGCCTCTACTAAAAGTACAAAAATCAGCCGAGTGTGATGGTGCACACCTGTAGTCCCAGCTACTTGGCAGGCTGAGGCAGAAGAATTGCTTCAACCAGGGAGGCAGAGTTTGCAGTGAGCCGCCGAGATAGCACCACTGCACTCCAGCCTGGGCGACAGAGTGAGACTCTGTCGCAAAAAATAGTAATAGTAATAATAATTTCAGTTTTTTGAGGAGCCCCCATACTGTTGTCCATAACGGCTGTGTTAATCTACATTCTTACAGTGTGTAACTGTTCCCTTTTCTTTACATCTTTGCAATCGTTATCTTTATACTTTTTGCTAACAGCCATTCTAACAGGTGTGAAGTAATATCTCATTGTGGTTTTAATTTACATTTCTCTGATGATTAGTAATGTTGGGCATTTAAAAATATACCTGTTGGCCATTTGTATATCTTCTTTTGAGAAATGTCTATTCAGGTCCTTTGCTTACCTTAAAACCAAATTATTTGCCTTCATACTATTGAATGTTTGAGTTCCTTATATATTTTGAATATTAACATTAACTGCTTATCAGATATAGCATTTGCAAACATTTTCTCTCATTCTGTGGGTTGTCTCTTCACTTTGCTGATTGTATCCTTTCCTGTGTGGAAGCTTTTTAACTTGATGTGATCCCATTTGTCCACATTTTCTTTGGTTGCCTGTGCTTGTGGGATATTGCTCAAGAAATTTTTGCTCAGACCAATGTCCTGAACATTTTCCCCAATATTTTCTTGAGGTCTTAGATTTAAGTCTTTAATCCATTTAGATTTGATGTTTGTATATGGTGAGAAATAGGGGTCTAGTTTCATTCTTCTGTGTCTTCAATTGGTAATTTCTTGTTGTTGTAGTATCTTTTGATTCCTTACTTTTTTCATTTTTGCATTTACTATAGGTTTCTGTTTTGCAGTTACCATGAAGCTTACTTAAAACATTCTGTAGTTATAACAAGCTATTTTTAGCTGATAACAACTTAAGTTTAGTTACATAAAAAAACTACACTTTCAAGCTCCTGCCCCTTCCATTTTATGTTTTGGATGTCACAATTTACATCTTTTATTTTTTATTGTGTATCCTTTAACAAATTATTGTAACTGTTACTATTTTTAATAGTTTTGTCTTTAAACATTCATACTAAAGTTATGACTGGTTTATGCAAACATTACAGAATTAGACTATTTTGAATTTGACAATGTACTTACTTTTACCTGTGAGTTTTATATTTTCATGTTTTTATGTTACTATTTAGTATCATTTTTTTCCAGCTTGAAGAGCTCTTCTTAGCATTTCTTGTAGTCAGCTCTGGGGATGATTAACTCCATCAGCTTTTACCTTTCTGGGAAAGTATTTATATCTTCTTCATTCTAAAATATAGCTGTGCTGGTCACATATTCTTAGTTGACAGTTTTTTTTCATCACTTTGAGTATGTCATCCCACTCTCTCTTGGCCTGCAAATTTTCTGCTGAGAAGTGTGCTGCTAACCTTATGGGAAATCAGTTAAATGTGATATGCTTCTTTTTCCTTTCTGCTTTTAGGAACCTCTCTTTGTTGTTTTGTTTTATAATTTGATTTCATGTCTTGTGGTAGTCTTATTTGGATTGAATCTGATTAAAGACCTTGGATTTCCATGTACTTGCATATTAATATCTTTTCCCAGATTTGGAAGTTTTAAGCTATTATTCTTTATATAACCTTTCTATCCCTTTCTCTTTCTCTCCACATTATTTAAATTCTATAATGCAGATGAAAGCTATCATTATGTTGTCCTATAAATCCCATACACTTTCTTCATTTCTTTTCATTTTTTTCTCCTCTGAGTGTATATCTTCAAATAAACTGTTTTCAATTTTACAGGGTTTTATGCTGTTCGATTAATTCTGCCATTGACACTGTTTCATTTTTATTCCATTCACTGCATTCTCCATTGTATTTTTATTTCATTCATGTATTCTTCAGCTCTAGAATATCTTATTGATTTTTTAGTATTTCAATATGTAACTTTTTCATTTTTTATTTATTGTTTTCCTGATTTTGTTGAAACTTTTTTCTCTGTCTTCTTTTGAACTTTGCTGAGATTCCTTAAATACAATTATTTTGAATTCTTTGGCAGTTCAGAAATTTCTGTTTCTTTGGGGTCAGCTACTGGGAAATTATTGTATTCTTTTTGTGATGATATGTTTCCCTTGCTTTTCATGTTTCTTGTGGCCTTCTGTTAATGCTTGAATTTGCTTGCAACCAAGACTATACACTCAAAGTTTTCAAGGCAGTGAAATAATCCCCTCTGTCTGTCTGATTTCTGGGATGGTTTTGGTGGGGAAGGATCTTCTTTTATGGGAACATGCAAGGGTGCTGGCTATGTAGGGTGCAGCAATTCTGACTCTGGTGAGGGTGCAGCAGCATAGTCTCTGTACAGCTATGTCATCTGCAGTAAGCGTTGGTAAAGTTTAGAGGGCAGTGATCAATTATGTGAGTGCCTGCAGCAGCAGTGAGGGCTTTTGATGTGTTTGGTGTTTATGGCTGCTAAAAGTTCTCCTGAGATCTTTTTCTTCCACTTGGGAAACCATGACCAAAGGGATGTCTCTTGCCACTGGGTTTGACTCATAGGCCTGCTCACACTGGCAGCAATACTGGTGTCTGATGAACAGTACCTGTGGAGTAGCCAGTGAGCCAAGGCTGAGAGCACAGGCATGTGTGGAAAGACCGTGGCTCTGAGGTCCAGGGCAGCAAACGCACTGGTGCCCAGGGTGCAGGTACCCCTGCTGTTGTGTCGGTAATGTTGTACAAGACATGGGTGTTTATGAAGCAGGCAGGGAATCATGGACTTGTGCAGAGCTATAGCAGCTCCAGGCTCCAGGTCATGTGCTAGCTCTCTATGGTGGCAGGGCTGATATTTGGTGTGTGAATCCATGCAGACAGACCTTAATTCTGGGGTGCAGAGTGTAAACTAACTTGCTATGGTGTTGGCTCTGATATCTGAGGCATGGGTAGATGTAGTACAGCCACAGAGCCAAGGTCTGGAATGCAGGCAGTCATGGAGAAGCTGCAGTTTAGTGGTCAGGAACATATGTCAAGTTGAGAGGAGTGGTGGCTCTGGTTCTGGAGTGGCACAACGCTGGCTACTTCTTGAGGGTGTGTATGTGTGAAGCCAATTCTTCTTCTCTGGGGTTCTCTGGCAGGAATGGCTTTTGGTTACCTTAGTGACAAAAATGCTGAAGTTTTCTGCAGAGCAGGTCACTAGGGACCATGGTGTCTCCCTCAATGTGCCTGATACCAGTGACCTTGGCTTTTCTCTTTGTACCTAGCCATCTCTAGGTATTTCAGGGACACTGATCTCACAAGTCGTCCTTTATGTGCGTACATTCCTCTTCTTCTTTTTATTCTTCTTCTTGCACCACTGTGTTGCTGCAGATTCTTAAATGAGCCCTTGAGCACTCTCTGGGTTATTTTGGTTTGTGTATTGCTGTCTATATTTGTTTTTTGGGTGGTGGGGTTGGGAGATAAAGGCTGGTATCTCCTATTCTGCCATATTGATTATGTCATAGCTGGGAAAGTCTTTTAAACCGTCTGAAACTTGGCTACCTCATCTGTAAAGTGGCCATGATTATAGTGTTACTATCAGATTATAATATTATATCATAGTATTATTCTGATAATTAAAACATGTTTTAATTCTGGCACAATAAAAACTCTCAACAGATATAGCTATCATTGAGGGATTTTCTGCCCCTTGAGGTCTAAGTAAATGTGACTCAATGTTCCCATTTCACAACATGCAGAAGTTCAACTTATTATGGAGAATTTTGCATAGTTTTAGGAAGTTTATGTCCTTGTGGTCATCTGTGCCTCTGGGTTTCTGCTTTTAAGAATGAAAATAAAGTTCCACTTCACTGACCTAGACTTGTTTTTTTTTTTTAAAGAAAATAGTAGGTTGAAGAAATTTGTGTTTATGGACACATAGGTACCTTTAGGGAGGTAGGATAGGGGTTAAGAGCCAAAAATACAATTTTCAGAACAAGTTTAAGTTCTCAGATCTGATGTTAAGAGTAGTTTGATATTCAACAAGTTATTTGTACTTTCTGATTCTCATTGATCACATCTGTTATATGGACATAATAAATTTGTACTTTCATCAAAAGGTTAGTAGAAAGTTAGTATGATAATGTATGTAAAGTGCTGCATTGGAGTGCCTTTTACAGCTCAATGCTTGGTGGCTGTTATTACATAGTGTAAAGATCAGTAGCATCCCTCTGCTGAACGTTCAAGTAAGATTGAATTCAGGAATCTATCAATTGCCTGGTTGGTGGAAGTTTAAGTTCTTTGCCAATGTTTCTGCAAATCCCAGAGGCTTGTAATCTTTTATGATCAATGCCTGCAAGCTTTTGCTTCTGTTATTCTTCATATTGACCCAGATGTGCAACTGAGTCCTTCTCCAGTTACTTAGGTAAGGCAGTCCCTGTGTGGTGTATGGTTTACTAAGGATGTTTGGAGTAGTTTGGCTGTTTATTTTGGGGGGAGTTTATACTTGCATGAAGGGCACATTTGTAACTATTGTAAATATCCTCTGACAAACATGTCTCTGGGAAGTTTCCATGTTTACTTTATCACCATGTAATCTCCAATTCACTCTAGCTGACTCTTCTCTCCCATTTGGAGAGGGTATTGGAGAGAAGCTTCTTATCTTTTGTGTGATTCTCATGACCATGGCCTTCTTGTTTGAACTTCATGTGGAAGGGCATCAAAATGACACGTTCACGAATCTTGCATTTTCCCCTGAGTAGCCTTCCAGAGCCTGAATTACCTTCCAACTCTGTGGGGCCCAACTATGCTTTGGTTCTTATTCCTCTGTGAGATCTGGCTGCACAGCTGAGATTTATGTCTTCTTTTTACCTCATGAATTCTTACAGCAAATTCCTGTGCCAATGTTGAATTTTACCTGAGCCCTGTGCTCCTGGAAAACAGTGACAGTTAAAGAAATCCCTCCACTCTTTTGTGTTCTGGAAAAGAATGAACTTTGTCCCACCCTCAATCTGAGTTAACACATAACCCCTCCTTAATGACCCCTCTGGAGCGTCAACTGATAAAATACATTCTTTGATCAACTCTTCAGTCCTGCTACTGTTACTAGCTCATCCCACTTCTGCATATCTGTTTCTTTCTAGCCTCATTCATGTTCACTTCTCTTTATGAAAGAAAATTCCTTTTCTGTCTGACATTTGACACTTTTGTTGGTCTCACAATTGAGACATTCTCCCTAGTGTAATAGTCTCCCTTGCATTATTGCTATAGACCATTTCCCCACTTTTGCAGTAATATCTCTCCTTACCTAAGACCAGATTGGATTTTTATTTGACATCTGTTACTTAAAAGTATGTGTGTTTCTCTGTACCTTGCAAACCTAAAACAATCCAATTAACAGGAAATTGCCCTCCAAATACTTGTATTGCCTGTGTTATTTTGTTTCCTTAGACCCTGCTGATCTTTGGCCTTCAGATTGTTGACTTAAATCATGTAGTACATTATCTTTGTTTTTAAGTCCAGTAGGCTGGTTCATGGTGTATCAGAAGTAGAAATTTGTTGAAAGAGCAAATGAATTCATAAATCTCTGAGTTGCAAGATAATTCATGGACTAGCAGTGACTAATATTTCTCAGAACTCACAAATGAGCAAAAGTGTTTCTTTCCTACCCAATTTGTTTTTCTGGTTGGAAGACTGTCTTCAAAGTCTGTTAAGGAAGAGAACTGCCCCAGCAGTTGGAGGCATCTGCTACTAAGGTTACTGGGACCTAACACATACCTCCCGGGAAAACAGTGCAGTTGAGTTTGGGTCAAATGAAATTAATGAGAGATTTAAGGTACAGTCAGCTTTGCCAGGTGGGAAGCAGGAAGAATACTGAGATGCCATACTCTTAGGAACCTGACCTGGCACTGATTCACTAAGAGTTATCTAGTGGGATGATTTTATTTGTTGAGACTATGACAACTATAGAAGCCAGGCTTTAATCTTTGAGGAAATGCAGAGGAAGGAGTCACAGTTCTGACATTTATAATGGGAGAAAGAGAGAGACCTCGTTATTGAGGAGCCCCTGGGCTAATATGATGAAGCGACACACACACACATACACACACACATGCACACACGCACGCACACACACACAGAGTAGCTCAAAGACATTCAAGCAGCTTTACATTACTATACAAGAAAACCCAGCTGCATGAATAGGGATACTCAGGAGATTACAGTGATCCAACTTAGTTTGTAGGCATTATATTCAGGAGTAGCTTCAATACATGCAATAAACATTCTTCTGTAAGGAATGAAACACCATCATTGAAGGTACTATCCTTTCAGAATCTAATAATCATTTCAGAATCACATACCCATTAATAACCTATAGTCCAGGGCAAGAGATCTGTGGTATTCTCTTAAGACCTTAGGTCTTTTACTGACATTTCATCCTGTGCATCAACTTTGCCAAACCCTGCTTCATGTCTTTGTTCCTCAGACTATAGATAAATGGATTTAGCATAGGAGTCAGTACGGTGTAGATAATTGTTGCTATTTGATCCTTGACAGTATAGTTGGACAGGGGCTGAAAATAGAGATAGCTAATGCTTCCATAAAACAGGGTCACCACTGTGAGATGAGAGCCACAGGTAGAAAATGCTTTACGCTTTCCAGCAGCTGAAGGAATCTTCAGAACAGTGATGAGGATTCTTAAATAAGAGATGATGATGCATGAAAACGGGGTCATTATGACAGCCAAGCCTTCTGTCATTACTGTGATTTCTTTGACAAAATGGGAGGAACAGGACAATTTTAGCACTGGTTGATCATCGCAGAAAAAGTGATGGATGACATTTGAGGCACAGAAGATGAGCTGATTAGTCAGAAGAATGTGCAGGAGGGAGTGAAAATGTGGAATGCAGAAGGAGAGAACCAGAAGCAGGACACAGCATCTGTGACTCATAATGGTGATGTAGTGGAAGGGATTACATATGGCCACATAGCGGTCAATGGCCATGGCTGCTAGCAGGTAACTGTCTGTGTTTCCAAAGGCTAAGAAAAAGTACATCTGGGTCAGACACTCACTGTAAGAGATGGTCTTTGTCTCTGATAAGAAGTTCACCAGCATCTTAGGGATAATGACTGTCACATAGCAAATGTCAACAAAAGACAGGATGCTTAGAAAGAAGTACATGGGCGTCTGGAGACGAGTGTCTGAGCGGATGGCCAGGATGATAAGCAGGTTTCCTATCACTGTGATAAGGTAGATGGGGAGGAACACAGCAAAGAGCGGCTTCTGATCCTCAGGTCGAGAGGAGAGTCCAAGGAGGATGAATTCAGAGGGTCTTGTTAGGTTATTTCTTCCCATAGTTGTGGGTTCACCTAAAGATAAACTAACACTGTAACAGATTCTTCCAACATCTGATACAATCTGTCCAAAATTTCTCCTTTTATTCTTCTTATCAGCAAAGAAAAAATTTAAAACATTACAATTATCTGGATTGTGGTTTCTTTCCATTAATGTGGGATATTTAGAAATTAATATATATTTTAATCTCAGTTGCCTGCTATAAAGAAACAAATTACAGGGAAACAGAAATGGGAAAAAGAGAAAAGAAGAGATATAGGGCAAGAGGAAGGAGTGAGTGCAAGAGAATTCCCAGAAGGAGAGGAGGGGAATCCTGGAGAAATTATTCTCTTCTTTTTCTGTATATATTTATCGTATTCACGGTTTTCAGTAATTAGTTTATGACAGGTTTAAAAAAGTTTCATCTCTCAATTTCCAGCTGATGGAATAATGATTTCCCTTAGTTCGGATACTTCTGTCTGCATCAGTTATTCTGGAGGCTGGCAATCATGTAAAAAGACATTGAAATATGAGATTACCCAACAGTTACTCCATTTCCCTCATTTTTTAGTGAAACCTTATTTGAGTGAAAGGATAGGTATGAAGAGGCAAAAGATAGACAGAAATAACAGGATAGTAAAAACATTTCTTTTCCTTATTTTTTTTTTTTTGAGACAAGGTCTTGCTTTGTCACCCAGGCTGGAGTGCAGTGGCACAATCTTAGCTCACTGCAACCTCTGCCTCCTGGGTTCAAGCGATTCTCCCCCCTTAGCCTCCTGAGTAGCTGGGATTACAGGCTTGTGCCACCACACCCAGCTAATTTTTGTATTTTTAGTAGAGATGGGGTTTCACCATGTTGGCCAGGCTGGTCACGAACTCCTGATCTCAAGTGATCCGCCCACCTTGGCCTTCCAAAGTGGTGGGATTACAGGCATTAGTCACCGCACCCGGCCAACATTTCTTTTAATGTAACATAAACCTCATTTTTGTTATCCAGCCCCTAAATGCTAAAATCGTCATTGTTAGTGCATGCTTGTCTGTGTTGGTGTAATTCTTTTCCCAATTCCAGTCTCAGTTATATATATGCTTCCCCAAAAAACCACACAGAGAAGGCACCTGATTCTAGACAAGCTTTCAACCCTCATGAAGCTGAAGATTTTCCTCTCTTCCTCCTCTGGGCCTCCCACATGCTGAAGAGATTAAAGACACTCATAGACCCCACCCTCTGTCAAGGGAGCATCCTTTGAGATCATCAAGAAGTCCCTGGAGTTCAGATGGAGAAGACAGCAGAAAACAAGCCAAGAACTATTACGGTTTTGGAGTTTCTTCCCCAAGGAGCCTGGGGAGTGTCAGTGCCTTCTCTCTCTCTCAGAAATCACCCTCCTGACCTAACTCCTTTTGGTGAAAAAGACCCCACCTGTGTGAGGCTGGCTCAAGTGACAGACTTCCTGAGCCTCACCGCTGTGCTGCTTACATTGAAAGACAGAATGTGGGGTTGGAGAACGTTTTCTCGGAATTCGTTGATCATCAAGCTAAAACAACTAGAACATCTTATGCCACTAGTCACTTTCCCATCTCCCAGTGTTAGAAGCAGTCCCTTGCTAGACACTGTTCTTAGAACTTTAAAATATAATAAGCAATAGGGTTAAGACTTTAGACCCTAGGCCTGGAATCTTTACTCTTCTGTCTGAAGCATCCTTAAGTCTACTTATGTATGACCCTTGCTTCTCACTCAGGAAAGCCATCAGGGCATATATATATAGCGTTAGCTATTAATTTTATTACAGTTGTAACACACAAACATTAAGCAAACCAGATCGATATTTTTATTGTTAAAGCAACTTTCAAAAAAAGTGGTTGGGGCCGGGCGCGGTGACTCACGCCTGTAATCCCAGCACTTTGGGGGGCCGAGGTGGGTGGATCACGAGGTCAGGAGATCGAGACCATCCTGGCTAACACGGTGAAACCCCGTCTCTATTAAAAAAATACAAAAAAATTAGCTGGGCATAGTGGCGGGCACCTGTAGTCCCAGCTACTCGGGAGGCTGAGGCAGGAGAATGGCATGAACCTGAGAGGTGGAGCTTGCAGTGAGCCGAGATCACGCCACTGCACTCCAGCCTGGGCAACAGAGTGAGACTCCGTCTCAAAAAAAAAAAAAAAAAAAGAAGTGGTTGGCCACTCTAGTTTATTGTGTGGATCTGTTTGAAAGTAAGAAAGTAATCCTCACTGGAACCATTCTAGAACTCAGATTGTCATGTATTTGAAATGGCTCCTGCTCTCACTACTTGAAATTTAAGGTGATGTTTGTTTTCCTCCTACAAAGAGATGGCTCTAAGCAGGTGGAAGTGATGGGGGAGGGATTCTGACAGATGAGCTGAATGGATGAGAAGGATAAGGCTTCTACTCTCTTATTTCTTCTTTTCTTTTTTCTTTCATTGTGGTAAGAAAACTTAACATGAGATCTACCCTGTTTACAAATTTTTAGTTCACAGTATCATTAATAATAGGAAAAATGTTGCATAGCAGATTTCTAGGACTTATTCATCTTATATAACTGAAAATATATTTTCCCTGAACACCAATTCTCCATTCCTCCTTCCCTCCAGCCACTAGGGACATATATTTTATATTTTATGGCAATCCATATTTCTGGTCATTTGGGACATCTCACTTTGTGTGTATGATATAATTCTCAAATTAGGACTTAAACTTCCCCATATCCCAGTACAACTGCAATCCAAGGTTATCTGATTCCTTCTGACTCATTGCCCCTCACCCATTTAGACTATTGTGTCTTTGCTTATCCTTTCCTTCATCTATTAAACCTAACCTGCAAGGCTCGAATTCAGCCTCTTCCAGGACACTTTGCTTGATGACTACCAGTTGAAATGGCTTTGTCTCTGTCCCCACTTAACACTTTGGACCTCCATTCTATGCAATATCTCAATCTGTTTGTCTTATTGCTTAAACATTAATTTTTAAAAATCCCAGACAGCAACAATTCAGTGAGTGCTTGCTCTGTGCTAGGCACTCAGCTAAACAAATTAGATGTAATATCTCATCTATTTATCTCAACACCTTAATGAGGTAGGTGGTCTGATTTTCTTTACATTAGAGTTGAGAAATCTGAGCTCAGAGAGGTGAAGTGAGCTATCCAATGTAGAACAGCAAGTAAGCGACAGAATCAGTTTTGAAACATCTCATGAGGTTGTTTAACTCCTGTTTAACTCAGTGCTCTTAACCTGCCACTCTATTGCTTTTTTATGATGCTAGCAAAAAGATTTGGATATCATATGCTGAGTAACAATTCCCAAATAAAGCATAGTGCCAAAAATATAAACTATTTCTTGTTGATTCAAAAAAGCATATTAGTTTAAGCTGTCCCTCCAGACTGCATACTCCTTGAGATCAATAACCATGCCTATTAATATCTGATTGCTCTGATCAATTTATTAGTTCATAGGCATTTATTAAAGGCTTATTATGTGATGGGAATTGTGATGGGTACTGGAGAAACAGTGGAATATAAAATAAAGTCAGTTTCCACCCATGAGTGGCTGATCAATGTCTTGTTCAAAGTAGTGGTTACTCAACAAATGAGCTATTTTCTCATTTTTCTATTTGTGGAAATTTGAAATAAAAAATGTAGAAAGGTACAAAGAGGAAAATAGTAATCATTCATGTTACCATCACCCAGAAAGGTTTGCAACAATAGCATTTTGCCCATTTTCTCCAGCCTCTAAAAAATTCATTTATTCACAAACCTTTATAAAATACTTATTATGGGCCATGAACTCTTTTCTATGTGCTTTATAAGTATCGAGTCACTTTTACTGTCCTCGTAACCCTATTAGGTAGGCATTATTCTTACCTCTTATTTGCAAATTGGGAATCCAAGGCACAAAAAATTGAGTAACCTTCTCAAAGTCATCCAGCTAGTAAGTGGATGAGCCAGGATTCAACCAGGCAACCTCACTTCAGAGCACATGGTCTCACTATGTATGCTATGCTTTATGTCTTGCCCCCCAAATAATACATAATTATAGGTGAATATGTTGCCCTTTAAAATGGAACACTACAAATAAAGATTGTCCTTTGATTTCTATCTCAGGTCTGGAGGTTTGCTATGTTTTTGTGTTCCGTGAGTGCAAATATCAATCTGATCTCAAGACTACTATTGCTGGTAAAGCAGAATGGACATTGCAGTAAGTATGTTTTCACTTTCTGTAATCTGTTCTAAAAGCCCTTGATCTACTTCCAGCCAGTCCTTAGCTGGGAAACATTACAACACAGGCAGGAACAACATGGACTGTAGCGTCAGACATCTTGTCTTGAATTCTAGGTCTGCTAATAACCAGTTGTAGTATCTTGGGGTGAGTTACCGAAACTTTCTTTGCCTTGTTTGACTCTATGTAAAAAATAGATAATAGTAGCTGCCTCATAATTGTGGTAAAGATTTAATTATGTAATATGTGTAAAGACACTTCTGGTAAGTTCTATATAACAATTTTCTATTATTTGTATTTTTATTATTTACAGTCTGAGTTGGCCAGAAAGTCTCTGATTTCTCCAAAATGATAAACCTCATACTAAAAGCCTCTTTTGTAGCCTAAAGGTCCAGGAGATTGAGGACACCCCCTGACATTTGGAATAACCTGAGAAAGATCTTCAAACATATTAGTAGTCAAAATCTATATAAAAATGAAAAAAAATTAAACTAGAAATATGTATTGAATCATTTAATGCATTATATTGATAACTTTTAAAGAAAAAAATCAGTTGGACCCCTCAGTTGATTTAAACTATTTTCAATGATGTTACTTAATAAAAAAATGTAGTGCCAATGCTTATAGCTTTTATATAATCATATAACTAAAATATGTTATAAAGTAAATAAAATAAAAGTACCCATTCAATAGAATTTATGTTGTAATTTTTGATTTAGTACTGTTTGGGTTTAGGAATAGAAAGTCATGCCTCAAGTTCTAGTTTTAAATTTAACTTTAGTTTGTAGACTGTGAAATGATACTGTCTTTGTCCATTTTCTGCTGCTGTAATGGAATACCACAGATGGGGCAATTTATAAAGAACAAAAGTTTATTTGGCTCATGGTTTTGGAGGCTAGGAAGTCTGAGGGCATGACACGAGAATTTGGCAAGGGTTATCCCATTGTGGAAGGTATCACATGGTGAGGAAGTGCATATGTGAGATACAGAGAGGAAGTTGGGTCAGACTCATTTTTTTTTTTAATCAGGAACCCACTCCCATGATAATTCCTGCAATAACAGCATTAACCTATTCATAAGAAAGAGCCCTCCAAGGGTTCATGAGAAAAGATACCTAATCTCCTCTTAAAGGCCCATCTCCCAATACGTCGTAGTGGGGATTAAGCTCCCAACACATGGACTTTGGGGGACATCTTAAAACCATAGCAGATAATAATGAGAAAATTGTCTTTGTCTATGTATAATATCTGAAATCAACAAAGCTTCAAGGATTTGTTTCCTATCTTTGGATTAATAAATTTTTTGAAGACACGTGTTGCCAGAATTGTGCCCTGTGCCATCTTCTTCATCAAATAACAACAACAACAACAAAAAATGGATACAACCTATTGAACACAGAGTACATTTCAGGCATGTAGTAGCTACATAAATTCCTAGAGACAGATCCTATTAGTATACCCATTTTGGAAATAAGGAAACTGAGTCTTACTCATAGAGGTAAATGATATTTCCCCATGTAATATTATTGGTAAATGTCAGGGCCAGGATTCAATGCATGTTCTTGACCATTACACTAGGCTACCACTTCAAGGAAGACTTAGGTAAAGTTCTGTCATTCTACGTGTAAAAGCAGAAGAAATTTCACAAAATAGGACTTTTTTTTTTTTTTAATGTTAAGCTCTGGGGTACATGTGCAGGATGTGCAGTTTTGTTACATAGGTAAAGGTGCGCCACGGTGGTTTGCTGCACCTGTCACTTAGGTATTAAGCCCAGAATGCATTAGCTATTTTTTCTAATGCTCTCCCTCCCCCCACCCCAACCCCCAACAGGCCCCAGTATGTGTCATTCCCCTCCCTGTGTCCATGTGTTCTCATTGCCAGCTCCCACTTATAAGTGAGAACATGTGGTGTTTGGTTTTCTGTTGCTGTGTTTGTTTGCTGAGGATCACGGCTTCCAGCTCCATCCATGTCCCTACAAAGGACATGATCTCTCATTCTCATTCCTTTTTATGGCTGCATAGTATTCCATGGCGTGTATGTGCCACATTTTCTTTATCCAATCTATCGTTGATGGGCGTCTGGGTTGATTTAGGTAAGGCTCTGTCATTTTATGTGTAAAAGTAGGAGAAATTTCACAGAATAGGACTTTCAAGGAGCCGGTAATAGGAGGGCTTTGGTCAGGAACAGTCTGGACCCCACTGAGTAGAGAGGACTTGAAGGAAGATAGATCTGTGGGGAAAATTTAACTCCCAAATTAGTTAAAGGTGGATGCTGTATTTTCCTTTTTTCCTTCCTCTTTGACCCCTCATCACACATTCTTTCTTTTGATATTAAAAAGTTGTTTTAGTGCTTTGAAAATAATGTGCCTGGGGGAGCAGGGTGAATGGTGCAGTGAAGGACCTGGAATGATGGAGAATTTTTCTTAAATGTTTATTTTTAGTTGACAAATAATAATTGTGTAATTTATGGAGTACAATGTGATATTTTGATGTATGTTTGCAATGCTGGATGATTAAATCAGGCTAATTAACAAATCCATCACCACAAGTAATTTTCAGTTTTTGCTGAAAACATTTAAAGTCTTTTAGTAATTTTGAAATATACAATGCATAATTATTATAGTCACCATTCTGTGCTATATTATTTAGCCTTACAAAGGGGGGAAATCCTGTTATCTGTGACAACATGGATAAATCTAGAGGACATCATGCAGACTGAAATAAGTAATGCACAGAAAGACAAATACTGCACGATCTCACTTCTATGTGGAATCTAGAAAAGTTGAACTCATTAGAAGTAGAAAGTAGAAAGGTGGTTACCAGAGACTGGTGATGGAGTTGGGTTGGGTGAAGGGGACATGTTGACTGAAGGGTACAAAGTTTCAGTTAGACAGGAAGAATAAGCTTTAGGGATGAAAAGTTTTGATGAAATAAAGAAGGAGTGGTACTTTCTTCTCTGAAACTCTAGGAAAGACAATGGGAAATTTGGTATATCTTCAGAGGTCATTGAAATGAAAAACAAAAATATTGTCAAAACCATAAGAAATGGACCCCATCTGGTTAGAGCAGAAAGAAGGGGAGTATTCTTGATGCAGCAGAGCACTGAGTTCCCACGAAGGAAACAGCTGGGTCTTAGGAGAGCACTGGAATCAGATAGATGCTGTGAGCAAGTCTCGCTCTGGATACCTTCTCCAAGTTGTGGTTCAGGAAAGAACCTACCTCTTTGTATAGTCTCAGTCATGCATCAGGAAAGTAGGGCTAATAAAACTGTCCTCATTTGTAATTGCACTCTTCCCTTTGATTGTTTACATGACACTTGAAGTTATGTCTTATCTTTTATCCTAGCTACAATGGAAGCTCCATTAGGTACATAATTATTTATTTTTTTCATCATTGCATCCTCAATCCCCATTAGAGCCCTTTTCACATAGTTGGTGATCAATTAAAAAATACATAGAGTATGGAAAAGAGTCTCTTTTTCTGGAGCATGTTTACTGTGTTGATCTCTAATTTATTTTTTGAGCATATCTTATGCTCAATATTTGCCTTTTAATACTGGAGAAAATAAGTATTTAATAATATGTTAAAGAGATTTGATGGAAACTAAATTATAAACACTCAAAAAATGCATAAATGCATGAATTGTCTAGTCCAGAATCTTTGTTAGTAGGCTCTCAATTAATAAGAGCTCTTTCTCTACTGTCTGAGGGGATCTTGAGTGTAAGCAGGTTGAATAATATCCTTACCACTTAAAACCCCTCTCTCCTTAACAAGAATAAATTCCTTCAGATATTACCAAGGGAAATATTGTGAAGTTGGAGAAATCTGTTTTTATAACCTCAATTTCAGCCAGGGGGAAGTGCTATGGTGGGTGTTTAAGAACACAGGCTTGGTTTCAGACAGATGAGGAACTCATCTTTCTGAAACTTTTACATGAGACAGTGGAAGATCTCAATTTACCTACTGTTGAAGGATACCAACAGTAATAGAATGTCTTATATTGTATTTACCATGTGTCAATCTGTGTTCTAAGAATTTTATGAAAACTTATTTAATAGTAGCAATATTATGAGACAGGGACTATCTTCCTCATTTACAAGTAAGAAAATTGAGGCATAGACAGGTTAAGATATTTTCCAAAGATCACACAGTTGATGGGTGTTAGAGCTGGGATTACAACTCAGACTTGGTTAGTCTAAACATGAAGCTATACTTCCTTTCATAGTACTAACTCAAAGATGCACTGTGAGCCTGAAATGAACAAAGCATTTAATACGTAGCATGGTGTCTGTCAACATTAATACATAATACATATTACATTAATACATATTAACTAGTGCTTTATCATCAGTACATTCTCATATTCCTCAGAGCCTTTTCTATCTCCAAGGAAAGTGTCCCTTTTCATCTTGGTCAATTTAAAACACTTATGACTGTCTGTTTATCTTGGGCTGATGCCAAGTCCTCAGTCTAGCTGGCCTTAGTCCTGAGTGCCTGGTTACTTTGAGCACAGTAATGCTGGGACTCCAGGTGGATCCCACATTGTGGAAATTACAGCCTAGTGTCACAGGCACCCTTAGCTTGGAGCAGGGGGCTTTGACTTCCCCACTGTGATTATAGGAGAGCTACATTCCGTAAGAGACAAGTTGAAGAACCAAGAGATGAAAGTTATTCCCCTATATCCTTCCAATCCCCAGGGATTTAAGATAGATAATATAATGAGGGTTAATTTTGGATCATTCCTTGATAAATCATCTGGAGCTGAAGTTATCAAACTTGAGCATTATACAGTTACTTTAAGATGAAAAAAAAACAACAACAAACATAGAACCTGAGTTAACCTGTTTTATTTTAAAGTCAGTAGAATATATATGAACAGAAAATTCTAAGCCCTAATGAATGTATCAATATACAGATTTAACTCTAAACCTGTAATAAAGATACAAATTAAATAAAGTATTGCAGACATATTTCAAAATAAGAACACTTATTTATGGAACAGATGATGTGGTTTAAGTGAAACTAAATCAATAACGGTGGAGTTGAAAGTGAGGGTTTTAAATTTAAGTCCAGGTCTGAACCTAATCTCTTCCTGGTTTTTGACTTTGCCGATACTATAATGCACACAAATCTTTAACAAAATGACATTAACTAATTTCAAGATTCTGTTTACTAGTTTCAGATAAAGCCAGATGTTTAGCCCAAACTTTTCTAGCAATCAGTCATATAAAATTAATTTTAATGAATATTAATTGATGACTTTTAGAAGTAGGTAAGTTGTAATATTATATGAATCTTTATTAAATAGTATCTGATACAGTTATTTCTGGAATCAGTAATAGGAAAACAGTATCTCAGTTTTCACTCATGACAGATATTGAAAAATATTTCTAATTTTAATATGGAATTTTCTGGACAATGCTTAAATGAAATAAAATACCAGAAATGATGCATTTTGGGAGGCCAAGGCGACCACTTGAGGCCAGGAGTTGGAGACCAGTCTGAGCAACATAGCAAGACCTTTTTTCTTCAATAAAGAAATTAAAAATTAGCAATGTGTGGTGGCACAGCATACTCAGGAGGCTGTAGTCCCAGCTATTCAGGAGGCTGAGGCAGGAGGGTCATTTGAGCCAAGAGTTTGAGATTACAGTGAGCTATGATAGTGCCACTGCACTCTAGCCTGTGTGATAGAGCAAAAGCCCTGATGTACATATATCTGAAATGATAATTTCAAAAATGAACTCACAACAAATAAAAATTGTTATAATTGGTTTTATTTTTCTGCAAATTGGAATGTACAAACTAGGAAACATCCTTTTCTTTGCTAATAAGCTAGTAAGTCCAGAAAAGTGAAAGTGATGAGTTAATTTCTCACTCTAAATCATTTTCTTAAGGTTGTATCAAAGTTTCTGTGTCTTAAAAAAATCAACAATATTTTGAGGTCTGGTAGTATGATGCCTCCAGCTTTGTCCTAAAAAAAAGTGGATGTCATAGAAATAAAAAGTAGAACAGAGGACACTAGAGGCTGGGAAGGTTAGGGGGAAGGAAGGTAAAGAGATACTTGTTAAAGAAT
Source organism: Homo sapiens (assembly GCF_000001405.40). Taxonomy (NCBI): domain Eukaryota; kingdom Metazoa; phylum Chordata; class Mammalia; order Primates; family Hominidae; genus Homo; species Homo sapiens. Next base: position 122,651,439 of record NC_000009.12, on the reverse strand, counting down.
GCAAAATTACAGCTATATAGGAAGAATAAGTTCAGTGTTCTATAGCACTGCAGGATGATTGTAGTTAACAGTAATACATTACGTAGTTTCGAATAGCTAGAAGGTGGATATTGAATGTTCCCAACACAAATAAATGACAAGTGTTTGAGATGATGGATATGCTAATTACCCTGATCTGATCACTATACATTGTACATATTGATCACAGTATGTACCCCATAAATATGTACAAATATTATGTATCAATTAACAAAACAAAATTAAATTTAGAAAAGTCAACAGTAAAAACATTTTATAAAATATGTTTTAATTTTAAAAATTTAGTCTTTAAACCTAAAATGTTCATCAGATATATTATGAAGAATGTTGGATAATTATTTCATGTTTACTTTGGGACAAACCATTTTTTTTTTTTGAGACGGCGTCTCGCTCTGTCACCTGGGCTGGAGTGCAGTAGCGCGATCTTGGCTCACTGCAAGCTCCACCTCCCGGGTTCACGCCATTCTCCTGCCTCAGCCTCCCGAGTAGCTGGGGCTACAGGGGCCCGCCACCATGCCCAGCTAATTTTTTGTATTTTTTTAGTAGAGATGGGGTTTCACCGTGTTAGCCAGGATGGTCTCGATCTCCTGACCTCGTGATCCGCCCACCTCAGCTTCCCAAAGTGCTGGGATTACAGGCGTGAGCCACCGCGCCCGGCTGGGACAAACCATTTTAATGGTACCTAGAGTTCCTTAATAACCTTAAAATTAGGTGATATCATTTTTATGTTATTCTTTGTTGCAATAGCCATGGTAAGTAAATCATATAAATGCAGGCTCTGGAATTTTATCAGTTATATTTCTAAACATTGAACTCCAGAGGCCAATATAGTTCTTACTGCTGGAGATGACAGCATGAGCCTGAGTCTCTGCCTCCCCCAGATTTAATCTACTGAGCACTGTGTCTGGTCTTACTGATATTGCTAGAATTAAAATACCTTATAAGTGTGTGGGACTATATATAAATATATTATATATATATTTTTTTAATTTTCATTTTTTAATTATACTTTAAGTTCTGGGGTACATGTGCAGGCATTGCAGGTTTGTTACATAGGTATACACGTGCTGTGGTGGTTTACTGAACCCATCAACGTGTCATCTACATTAGGTATTTCTCCTAATGCGAGCCCTCCTCTAGCCCCCCACCCACCGACAGGCCCCGGTGTGTGATGTTCCCCTCCCTATGTTCATTTGTTCTCCTTGTTCAACTCCCACTTATGAGTGAGAACATGCAGTGTTTGGTTTTCTGTTTCTGTGTTAGTTTGCTGAGAATGATGGTTTCCAGCTTCATCCATGTCCCTGCAAAGGACATGAACTCATCCTTTTTTTTATGACTGCATAGGATTCCATGGTGTATATGTGCCACATTTTCTTTATCCAGTCTATTATTGATGGACATTTGGGTTGGTTCCAAGTCTTTGCTATTGTGAACAGTGCTGCAATAAACATACATGTGCATGTGTCTTTAGTAGAATGATTTACAATCCTTTGAGTATATACTCAGTAATGGGGTTGCTGGGTCAAATGGTATTTCTAGTTCTAGATCCTTGAGGAATTGCCACACTGTCTTCCACAATGGTTGAACTAATTTGCATTTCCACCAACAGTGTAAAAGAGTTCCTGTTTCTCCACATCCTCTCCAGCATCTGTTGTTTCCCGACTTTTTAATGATTGCCATTCTAACTGGTGTGAAATGGTATCTCATTGTGGTTTTGATTTGCATTTCTCTAATGACCAGTGATGATGAGCTTTTTTCCAAATGTTTGTGGGCTGCATAAATGTCTTCTTTTGAGAAGTGTCTGCTTATATCCTTTGCCCACTTTTTGATGGGGTTGTTTTTTTCTTGTAAATTTGTTTAAGTTCTTTGTAGATTCTGGATATTAGCCCTTTGTCAGATGGATAGATTGCAAAATTTTTCTCCCATTCTGTAGGTTGCCTGTTCACTCTGATGATAGTTTCTTTTGCTGTGCAGAAACTCTTTAGTTTAATTAGATCCCATTTGTCAATTTTGGCTTTTGTTGCCATTGCTTTTGGTGTTTTAGACATGAAGTCTTTGCCCATGCCTATGTCCTGAATGGTATTGCCTAGGTTTTCTTCTAGGGTTTTTATGGTTTTAGGTCTTACCTTTAAGTCTTTAATCCATCTTGAGTTAATTTTTGTATCAGGTGTAAGGAATGGGTCCAGTTGCAGTTTTCTGCATATGGCTAGCCAGTTTTCCCAACACCATTTATTAAGTAGGGAATCCTTTCCCCCATTGCTTGTTTTTGTCAGGTTTGTCAAAGATCAGATGGTTGTAGATGTGTGGCGTTATTTCTGAGTTCTCTGTTCTGTTCCATTGATTTATATGTCTGTTTTGGTACCAGTACCATGCTGTTTTGGTTACTGTAGTCTTATAATATAGTTTGAAGTCAGGTAGCATAATGCCTCCAGCTTTGTTCTTTTTGCTTAGGATTGTCTTGGCTATATGGGCTCTTTTTTGGTTCCATATGAAATTTAAAGTAGATTTTTCTAATTCTGTGAAGAAAGTCAATGGTAGGTCGATGGGGATAGCATTGAATGTATAAATTACTTTGGGCAGTATAGCCATTTTCATGATATTGATTCTTCCTATCCACGAGCATGGAATGTTTTTCCATTTGTCTGTATCCTCTCTTATTTCCTTGAGCAGTAGTTTGTAGTTCTCCTTGAAGAGGTCCTTCAAATCCCTTGTAAGTTGTATTTCTAGGTATTTTATTCTCTTTGTAGCAATTGTGAATGGGACTTCACTGATGATTTGGCTCTCTGTTTGTCTGTTATTGACGTATAGGAATGTTTGTGATTTTTGCACATTGATTTTGTATCCTGAGACTTCCTTAAAACAATTACTGAATAGGAGTGGTGAGAAAGGGCATCCTTGTCTTGTGCCGGTTTTCAAAGGGAATGTTTCCAGCTTTTGCCCATTCTGTGTGATATTGGCTGTGGGTTTGTCATAAATAGCTCTTATTATTTTGAGATACATTCCATCAATACCATGTTTATTTAGTGTTTTTAGCATGAACGGGTGTTGAATTTTATCGAAGGCTTTTTCTGCATCTTTTGAAATAATCATGTGGTTTTTGTCATTGGTTCTGTTTATGTGATGGATTACATTTATTGATTTGCGTATGTTGAACCAGCCTTGCATCCCAGGGATGAAGCCGACTTGATCATGGTGGATAACCTTTTTAATGTGCTGCTGGATTTATTTTGCCAGTATTTTATTGAGGATTTTCTCATCAATGTTCATCAGGGAAATTGGCCTGAAATTTTCTTTTTTTGTTGTATCTCTGCCAGAACACAATACATTGATCTGTATTTTTTTTAAGGAATAATAGATATTTCATTAGCCTGGTACAGAGCTGGGAGAATGCATTAGCTAACTGATTGTGAAAACAAAGCATATAAGGAGAAAAAAATGGATTGATTTCACACATATTTACTCTTGATATATAAACACTGTTGGAGAATGATAGGAAAAATCGAGCATTTCATTTTGTTAGGGAATTAGGGTTAATGAAATAAAGGTTGTCACCCACTGTCCATTTATTCAGCCATTCTTTCTTGAGTGCTTGCTTTGGGCATCATGCTAGTCAGTGGGTACAGGTGTGAATTTATCACAGCCTCTTCCCTCCTGTAGCACAGAGTCAAATATGGGGATTGAGTTACACACAGTGCATCGTAGCAACAGCTGAAAAACCTGGATTCACTTTGACTGTGTAATATCTACAATTACTGTATCAGTAACAGTGGCAGCAACAAAAACAATTATTTGTTTCATTGATCTTTTGTATTATTTTCTTTATTTCAAGTTCATTTATTTCTGCTCTTATCTTTATTATTTTTTTTCCTCTACTAATTTTGGGTTCAGTTTGCTCTTGCTTTTCTAGTTCTTTAAGATGCATCATTAGGTTATTTATTTAAAGTTTTTCCTCTTTTTTGATGTATGCACATATAGCCATAAAGTTCCCTCTTAGTAATGCTTTCACTGTATCCCATAGGTTTTGGTATGTTGTGTTTCCATTATCATCGACCCACTGGTCATTCAGGAGCATTTTGTTTAATTTCCATGTGTTTGTATAGTTTCCAAAATTCCTCCTGTTATTGATTTCTAGTTTTATTCCATTGTGGCCAGAGAAGATGCTTGATATTATTTCAATTTTTTGAGTGTTTTAAGACTTGTTTTGCAACCTAACATATGGTCTACCCTTGAGAATGATCCATGTGCTGAAGAGAAGAATGTGTCTTCTGCAGCCATTGGATGAAATGTTTTGTAAATATCTATTAGGTCAATTTGTTTTATAGTGCAGATTAAGTCCAGTGTTTCTTAGTTAATTTTCTGTCTGAGAGATCTGTCCAATAACCCATCATTTTAAACTTATGACAACCTAACACTGATTGCATAAACAAACTAACACGCAAAAAGAAAACGAATAAAAACTCTACACTTTAACTTTGTCCTCTCGCTTTTTAACTTTTTGTTGTTTCTCCTTATGTCTTATTGTGCTATGTCCTGAAAAGTTGCTGTAGTTATTATTTTTGATTGGTTCATCATTTAGTCTTTCTACTTAGGAGAAGTTTACACACCACAATTATAGCGGTGTGCTGAAAATAGGGTGTTGAATTCTCCAGCTGTTATTGCAGTGGAATCCCTCTCTTTAGCTCTAATAATATTTGCTTTATATATCTGGGTACTCCAGTTTTGGGTGCATATATATTTATAATTGTTATATCCTCTTGCTGAATTGATCCTTTTATCATTATATAATGACATTCTTTGTCTCTTCTTACAGTTTTTGTCTTGAAGGCTATTTTGTCTGATGTAAGTACAGCTACTCCTGCTCTTTTTTTTTTTGGTCTTCATTGGCATGGAATATCTTTTTCCATTCCTTTATTTTCAGCCTAGGTGTGTCTTTATAGGTGAAGTGTACTTCTTATAGGCAGAAGATTATTGGGTCTTGTGTTTTTTTCATCCATTCAGCCACTTTATGTCTTTTGATTGGAGAGTTTAATCCATTTACACTCAGTGTTATTATTGATATGTGGGGACTTATTTCATTTTAAAATTTGTTTTCTGGCTGTTCTGTGGTCTTCTCTTTCTTTTTTTCCTTCCTTCTTGTCTTCCTTTCAGTGAATGTGATTTTCAGCGGTGGTATGCTTTTATTTTTTGCTCTTCGTTTTTTGTGTATCCATTATATGTTTTTTGATTTGAGGTTACCACGAGGCTTGCAAATACTATCTTATAACCCATCATTTTAAACTGATGACAACTTAACACTGATTGCATAAACAAACACACAAAAAGCAAATGAATAAAAACTCTACACTTTAACTTTTCCCCTCGCTTTTAAACTTTTTGTTGTTTCTCTTTATGTCTTATTGTACTGCCTACTTCCTGAAAAGTTGTTGTTGTTATTATTTTTGATGGTTTCATCAGTCTTTCTCTTAAGAGAAGTTTACATACCACAATTATAGTGTTATACTAATCTGTGTTTTTTCCTAGGTGCTTACTATTACCAGTGAGTTTTGTACCTTCAGATGATTCCTTCTCACTCACTAATATTCTTTTCTTTCAGATTGAAGAACTCCCTTTAGCATTTCTTGTAGGACAGGTCTAGTGTTGATGAAATCTCTCAGCTTTTGTTTGTCTGGGAATATCTTTATTTCTCCTTCATGCTTAATGGATATTTTCACTGGGTATACTATTCTATACTATTCTAGGGTAAATTTTTTTTCCTACAGTACTTTAAAAATATCATGCCACTCTCTCCTGGCCTGTAAGGTTTCCACTGAAAAGTCTTCTGCCAGTTGCATTGGAGCTTCATTATATGTTATTTTTTTCTCTTGTTTCTTTTAGGATCCTTTTTTTATCCTTGGCCTTTGGAAGTTTGATTATTAAATGCCTTGGGGGAGTCTTCTTTGTGTTAAATCTGCTTAGTGTTCTATAACCTTCTTGTACTTGAATGTTGATATTTTTCTCTAGGTTTGTGAAGTTCTCTGTTATTTTCCTTTTGAATAAACTTTCTATCTCTTTCTCTCTTTCTACCTCCTCTTTAAGAGCAAAACTCTGTAACTGGTCCTCTTGAGGCTATTTTCTAGATCTTATAGTATGCTTTATTCTGTTTTTTTTTCTTTTGTCTCCTCTGACTGTATTTTCAAATAGCATATCTTCAAGCTCACCAGTTCTTTGTTCTGCTTGATCAGTTCTGCTATTAAGACACTTTAATACATTCTTCAGCATGTGGATTGTATTTTTCAACTCTAGAATTTCTGCTTGATTATTTTAAATTATTTCAATCTCTTTGTGAAAATTCTTATATGATTCTGAATTCCTTTTCTGTGTTTTCTTGAATTTCTTTGAGTTTCCTCAAAACAGCTATTTTGAATTCTTTGTCTGAAAGTTCATATATCTCTGTTTCTCTGGGACTGGTCCCTGGTGCCTTATTTATGTGGTGAGGTCATGTTTTCTTGGATGACGTTGATGCTTGTAGATGTTCACTGGTGTCTGGGCATTGAAGAATCAGGTAGTTATTGTAGTTTTCACAGTCTGGGCTTGCGTGTGCCTGTCCTTGGGAAAGCTCTCCAGGGAAGGGACCTGAGCCCTAAGGCCAATCATGGTATGGTTTTTACAGACTCATAAAGATATCACCTTGGTGGTCTTGGAAAATAGCTGCAAGAATTCTCTGGATTACCAGGCAGAGACTCTTATTCTTTTCTCTTACTTTTCCCCAAACATATGGACTATCTCTCTTTCTTGCTGAGCCACTTGGAACTGGGGATGTGGTGATGCCAACACCACTGTGGTCACCACCACTGGGATTGTGCCAAGGGCCTTCCCTTCAGGGTGACAAGTTTACCCAGGCCCATGCATGTCTAGATATGCTATCTGGAAGCCAGGGATTAGAGTTCAAAAGCTTAGCAATTTACCTAATGTTCTATTCTACCGTGGCTAAGCTGGCACTCAAACCACTATTCAAAGTCCTTTCTGCCCCTTCCTCCCCTTATGGCAGGCAGAGGAACTTCTTCCTGTGGCCACCACTACCACTGGTCCATGGGGCTTCTGCCAGGCCACTGCCAAGTTTTGCTTAAAGCCCAAGGGCTCTTCTTTCAGCTTGTGGTGAATGCTGCTAGGCCTGAGACTCACCATTCAAGGCTGTGAGCTCCCCACTGGCCCAGAGCAGGTCCAGAAATGTTATCCAAGAACCTAGGCCTGGACCCAGAGACCCCAATAGCCTGATTATTGCTTTACCCTACTGTGGCCGAACTGGTACCTAGAGTGCAAGACAAAGTCCCATTTACTTTTCCCCTCTGATTTTCTCAAACAGGTGGAGCCTTTTTTCACAGCCACCACAGCTGGGAATGTGCTGGGTCTCCTCTGAAGCCAGCATGTCTCAGAGCCCAAGGCCCACAGTGTCCTCCCTGGGTATTGCTGGTGCTTGTTCAGGACCCAAGGGCTCTTTAGTCAGCAGATGATGAATCCTGCCAGGACTAGGTTCTTTCCATCAAGACAGTGGGTTCCCTTTTGGCCAAGGATATGTCATCCCAGAGCTAGGGCCTGGAATGGGGGCCTTACAATTCTGCCCAATGCCCTATCCTGCTGTGGCTGAGTTGGTACCCAAGATGCAAGACAAAGTCCTCTTTACTCTTCATTCTCCTCTCCATAAGCAGAAGGAAGGAGTCACTTTCATTACTACAAACTGCACTGCCTGGGTTTGGAGGAGGTATGGCGCCAGCCTTCCCTTAGCCATGCCAGCTAATGTCTCCCTGGGTCACGTGCCACCCTAGTTCACTGGCTTTAAGCCCAGGCTAGCACTAGGAGTTGCCTAGGAATTGCAGTCCTTGTGTCCTAGACTGCCTTTAAAGTTTACCTAGGACCCGAGAACACTTCAACCCATGGTGGCGAGGCTTGCTGAGTAACTCAGGTTCTCACCACTGGGATGAGTGATTCCCCTCCAGCGAGTGCTGGTCCAAATACTCCATTCCTGTGCAGGTACTAGCTGAGTCCAGCATGGCTTTATTCTCTGCTGTGACAGGGAAGTGCTGAGTTCAGTGTAAAGTCCCTCAGTTGCTGTGCTCTCCCTCCCCACAGTGCACATATTCTCTCTCCTTGCAGCATGGCCACTGTTGGGGGGTCAGGGAGGGGTGGCATCAGAGATTCAAGACTGTCCTGCCCTTCTCAATAGCCTTCCATGATATGGAGTTAAAACCAGGTACTGTGCTTACTCACCTGATTTTTGGTTCTTGTGTCAGTGCTTTTCTCTGTGCAGATGTTAAAATTAGGTGGTCCAGTGAGAGTGGTGGGGGAGGAACAAATGGTATAGGCTTCTATTCTGCCATCTTGCCCCACACCCCCATTCTTTTATCAACAAAAACAATTATTATTTGAGCCTTTTAGTACATGCCAGGCACTATATCCGACACTTCAGGTAAAATATTCTAGTCCTTACAAAAATCTTTTATAAAACATTAGATGTTATTAGCACTTTACATGTAAGTAGACTAGAGGTCAGAGATGTTAAGTAATTGCCAGATTCACAGAATGTATAAGTGTTATAGCCTAGAATTATATTCAATTTCGTCTCCAAAGCCCTGCTTTAGGTGATTACATCATGATTTACTTATTATATCATAGGAAGAAGATAAAGTGATGACTGTGTGAGTGATTAGGGTAATGATACACAAGTGTTTGTCGTCTGGGGTACCTGGGCATTGATTGATTTGTCTTCTCTACCCCAACAGGATCAGTGGCATGGAGACATTGGCAGAGACTCGTGGTACTTAAAAGTACCTTCCCTTGAGAGTATGTCAATGCTTGCCTGATCTGTGAGGTGGCAGGCATTGTACCTGACCTCCCCCCAGGTGGCTCTAGAGGAAAGATCTCTAGGGCCCCACAACTCCTAAATCTCACCTAGCCTCACCAGCCCTGATTTCCTGCTCTGTCTGCTGAGTGTCTGTCCTTCAGCACCATGGCCAGATCTCTGAGGTTTAAGAGGAGGCTGGAGTCACACAATCCAGAGTCACAGCCGTCCTTTCTTGCCAGGTGAATGTGTGGGTGGGGAACTAGCCTTCATTCTCCATCCTGTTTTTCCCTGACAAATTATTGTCTTTCTCTATCAATAACCTGTCTCTCACTCTGGATCTATTCCTGTTGAACACCATCTTTTCTCCTTTATGCCTTCATAGCAATTCCCTTCTCGCTCCTCACTCTACCCTCCTTTTCTATCCTTTCTCCTTTCTGTTCCCATTCTTGATGTTCTATTTTTCATACCTGCCTTCATTTCTCTTTCCTTTACACCACTTCCAACCATCTCTTTTCTGCTTTCCTTCTACTCTGTCCACATTCCTACCCTTCTCTCACTCATCATCTGCACGCCCTTCTTCTTTTCCTGAAAATCTTTATTTCTGCTCATTATCTCTGCCCTAATCATTTTCTTTATTCTAATCCCCAATTATGCTCCTCTGTCTTCTCATTTCAAAGATCTTTTTTAAAAAAATTATATTTTTCATTGACAATTAAAATTTGTATAGATTTATAATATACAACATGATGTTGGAATTTGCATACCTTGTGAAATGGCTACATTGAGCTAATTAACACGTGCATTATCTCACATACTTATATTTTTGTGGTGAGACTACAAAATGTACTCTTAGTGATTTTCAAGGCTATATTGTTGATAACTATAGTCACCATGTTGTATAAAAGGTCTCTTGAACTTATTCTTCCTATTTAAGTGAAATTTTGTATGTTTTGATGACCTCTCCCCAACCCCCACTCCCTGGGAACCAGCATTCTATTCTCTGCTTCCATGGGTCCTTATGCTCTTTGAATTCTCACATTCAGTGTGCATTCTCTTTCCACCCTGCATTTCCATTCTTACTCTTTCCCCACCACTTTGACTGCTTTGTTTTCTACTGCATTTGTCCTTTCCTCCATTGTGTCTTCATTTCTATGTCTCTAACCCTTGCCGTGACTTTCAATTATCTCTTGAAGAAAGTCACAAAATTACTTTTGGAAACATGGAACTTTAGAAAGAAAGGTTTAGAAGAAACACTCAATTAACAGTAAATTCACATTTCAGTAATTATTTTTTGAAAATTTGTCACATATATAGGGCTTATACACACATATACACATACATGCACACACACATTATGTCACATTCACCACTATTGTTCAGAAAGCCAGCTGTTCTTTGAGTAATATGGAGGGAAGTTTTGATATTAGCCCAAAGTGCTTTGATGCACTATACCCTGTTATGATTTTGTTACCTACTGAGGAATATTTTCATGACCTCATTCCATCCCTGACCTCACCTAAGTCTGAAATGGGACCAACTCCAAATAAGATTCACAAGCCCGTTTGCTTATATTTATTATATCACTTATTATACTGTTTTGCATCTAATATTTATTCTTCTTTCTCTCCATGCTATGACTTCTTTATGGCAGGGTCTTTGTATGATGTGTCTTAATGTCCCATCACTGGTAAGAAATAAATATTAGTAGGACGTATGAATTAATCAATAAATGGATGGATAAATAAATGAATTATCTTCTGGATCATGTGACTACCTGATGTACTTAATCTAGCCAAAATTAGTTTCTGGGAACCATAGGCAAATTCAAGTATTCAGAACAATTCTCTCCATGCCTTCTCTTCTCTCTTCTCTTGTATATCCAGAGGCATAGATTCCAGTTGCCAAGCACTGTTTAAAATAACAGTTGTGCTTTGTGAGAAAACAGTCTTTGGCAATTGCTCTTACAAATTGTTTAAAATCTCCAATACGATTGATTCATGGTGACTAAATCTTCATTTCCCGCCCACTCCATATCCCTTCACCAAATTTCCTGCTTTTCCTCTGACTTTTCTTCTGTCTCCTTTTATTTTCCAGTCCCTGTTATTCTCTCTGGATCCTTCGACTATATTATTAGCCCTCCATTATATACTTGGCTTCATTAGGTATTGTATTTTCAACAAGAACTGTAGAATAATCAGCATTAAGTTGATCATGACCAGGATCTAGAACTGGACATGTTCTTCTGGTTTGTTCTTGGGGAGGCTTCATGGTGAGGGGAATGGGAGAGGAAGTAAGGAAAATATATAGAAAAGAGATAACCACTTGGAGGGAGGAGGATAAAATTAATAATTTTATAGTATTATAGAGATTAGACAAAAGCAAATATCTAGAAGGTGGGGGATAGTGGATAATAATAGTAAAGAAGGAAAATGAAGAAGGGTTGGGAGAAGCCATGATCAAGATTTCCAAATCTTCGTGTTAAAATTCCAGTTCTGCCACTGACTAGTTCTACAATAGTAAGCAAGTTGCTTAATTTCTGTATGCTTCAGTTTCCCCATTTGTAAAATCAGAAATGGTACCTGCCTCACAGAACCGCAGGTTTCGTGAAATCATGCATGTGGAGTGCTTCGTACAGTTTGTGGCACATTAAAAGGGCTCAAAAAATGTTAGCTTCTTGTTCTACTACTCCTGTTGTTATAGATCATTGTGTGTGGGTGAAGACTGTTCATTTATAACCTTGGAAGCAAAAATGGAGTAAATTACTTTATATTGAAATTATACTTGAATAATTTCAATATAAATAAATATATATAAATATATATTGAAATTTAATTTGATAGATTCAATATATAAATATATATTGAAATTAAATTTGATAGATTACAAAGTACAAATTATAATTTTTAAACAATAATAGGCATTTTATTTAATTCTTCCAACAACTTTGTGAAAGTAGTTCCCATGTCCACTTTATGGTTGAGGAATCTGAAATTCAAAGACAAGTCAAAAAACTTACTCACATATGAAAGTTAGTAACTTAAAGCACAGAAACATACACTTATATAAGCTTAGACCCATGCTTTGTATAACGGAAATCAGTAAACAACCCAAATATATATCACAGAGAATGTATAAATACATTGTGATATGTTCATGCAAAGGGCTATTATATAGCAGTGAAAAATAAATGAACCAAAGCTATATCCAATAATATCAGTGAAGTAATATGATGCTGAGATCTAAAGATATGTCCACCTCAAGTTACTTAAAGCTTGTTATCCTTTAATACATTTAAGATCGTCTCAAACTTGACAATATTCTTTTTGGAATATCTATAGATGTATCAAAATCATAGACGTATATAATATATAAACATGTTAAGAAGAGTAAGAAGATGATTAACTCAAGATTCTAAAGGTTGGTTACCCTAAGCAGGAGGTAACGGGGAGGTGATGAAAAACGTCTATCTAAGTAGATATGAATTATCATCAATGTTGTTGTTTCTTTGTTGGACAGTACGTTGATGTGTGTTTATAATAATATTTAAAACCAAGTGAGTAAGCAGGCAAGCAGGTTATAATCGAACCACTGTAGTGTAGCATAAACCAAAGCTTATGATTAGTTAAATTTTGGGCTTCTGAGGCTGGGGAAATATAGTCCGTTATGAGCCTTCCATCTCTCAGTCTTGCTGAAGATTTCTCCCTTCTATTCCGGAGCTCTGTGTAAACTTTTCTCCTGCTCTAGATCCCTTCAATCAGCACAAACTAAAAGCTGCTATGAGAAGCTCACTGTAGAACTTGCTATAGTGAGACAGAGAACCAGAAATGATAATTGGAAACATGGGTCCTGCCTGGGGTCAGGGAAAGACCATCTAGGGGAACTTCATGGCTCAATGCACAGGCCTGATGATTATAATTCACAAGTATTGTGACCTTTTCTTTTTCCATAAGGTCTTGGCAAATTGTTTTGGAGATAAATCTCTGATTATCTTAGTTCTCGGATAGATATTACCTAATTCTGGGTTCTCCATAATGTACTAGCTTGAGTATCCTGGTGCTGAATGTGTGATGTGGATATTATTTTGAGTTAGAAAGGTATGCTTAACCTTAGAAGGCATCAATAATAAAAACCACTAGAAAATAAAAGTCTTATATCTCCATTGCTACCCTTGGCTTTATTGTTTATATTTTAATAGGAAAAGCTTCACAGTATAGAAAAATACATAGGAACCAAAACAATGAACTACATATACTAAACACCCAACTTCAACAAAACTTAAATTTGCCCTTTTTTGTTTCAGTTCTTACCTTGAAAAAATTGACTGCTATAGATACAATTAAAGCCCAAACTGCTTCTCTTTCCTCTTTTCCTAAAGAAAACTACTATCCCAAATAAGCTATTCATTATTTTCCTGCATATTTCTAGAATTTCACTATGTATGTTTTATAAAAATGACAGAATTCTCTTGCATGTTTTACAACTTTATATCTGTTGTTATACTTTTCTATCATTTTGCAACGGGCCTTTCCCAGTTAACATTATGTCTTGGAGTTTTACACTCCATGCATGTTGTTTTGATTTCAAATGCTGTATAGTGTGAATGAAACACAAGTTAAAATATTTATGTAGAGTTATAGCACTATATTTAACTGAATTACCTATTCTTCATCACTGAAGAATGCCATCACTGTTATATACCACAATTTCTACAAATCGTGATTTTGTTTTTGGGACTGTCCATTTCTGTATCTGTATATCCATTTTTTAGCCACATATTGGGCTACAAAATGAATCTTAAAAAACTTCAAAGAAGTAACCTCACAGAGATTAAATTCTCTGGCCAGAATGCTATTAAATTAGAAACTGGTAACAAAAAGATAGTTTAAGAAAATGTTTGCAAACTAAGAATGCAGTGTAAAATATTACTTAAGGCCTTAAAGAAAGCTTGAGGGAAGGGCCAAGTGCAACTTCTGCCAGTGCATTGAGAAAGAGAAGACTGCATTTACCAAATTTGTTGGGATAAAAATGTATGAGTTTTCCTTAGACTAACTTTCCTTGGACCCAAGGATGGTACATGAGCTGTGTCATCTTGAAAATCATTCCACCTAAGAGAATTTCTTGCTAGAGTAAGGCAATCCTAGAAGAAGCTTAGAAGGGTGCAGTCAGATGTCCAATGTAAGGGAGGGGGCTCTAAGGGATCAGACAGGGTTTGAATTAGTCTCATCTGGGAAGAATGCAGTAATAGTTACCTATAGGTGGTCTCAAATGGGCCAATATGATGTTCCGCAAGAGAAGAGAGTCAGTATTTGTAACTTCTACCAGCTCTATCTTTCAAAGAGACCTTACCTTTCCGTTTCCCTTCTTCAAATCAACACTGCAATAGCCAGAGACAGAAAAGGATGGATAAGATGGTGCAAAGATGAAGACAGTCGCATCCCTCTTTCCCTAATGCAGGTTTCTGGATGAAAATATAAACCCTGCTGGGGAAGAAAGCACAGTTTAAATTGCTTGAGAATTAAAATTTTTATATTCTAATGTGTTGGAATTTTAGTACCTAAAAATGAGACTTTTCAAAAAGCAGTCGTGTGAAAAAAGTTACTTCCTACTTTACCTCTGCAAAGTTCATTTTCTTCCAAAAATACTCTCTTAACGGAATATGTTCTCCTTTAATCTTCTCTACCTTATGAGAAATTTTGTCACTATTTGACAGATGAGAAAGCATAACTTGCTTAAGATCACATAGTTAATAAATGGCAGATATGGAGTGAAACTCCAGGTAAGTCTGACTCCGAAACCTTTGTATTAACTTCTAGACCACTGCCCTTTAGTAGAAAATCTTTTTTGTTTGGTTAACAAATGTTTAACGAGCACCCACTCATTCCCCAGCTCTGTGTTAGGTATTAGGAAGTCAGTGATGAATGTACATGTGTGTGTTTGTTTGTTTATTTATTTATTTATTTATTTTTGAGACAGAGTTTCATTCTTGTTGCCCAGGCTGGAGTGCAATGGCATGATCTTGGATCACTGCAACCTCTGCCTTCTGGGTTCAAGCATTTCTCCTGCCTCAGCCTCCCAAGTAGCTGGGATTACAGGCACCTGCCACCAGGCTCGGCTAATTTTTTGTATTTTTGGTAGAGACTGGGTTTCACCGTGTTGCCCAGGTGGGTCTTGAACTCCTGACCTCAGGTGATCCACCCGCCTTGGCCTCCCAAATTGTTGGGATTACAGGCGTGAGCCACTGCTCCTGGCCAGTATATATGTGTATGTATGCGTGCATGCATGTGTGTATCTACATGGGTTCATATGTGTATATGTGTGTGTATACACACATGGTAACAGTGTACATTGGGAGATAGGCAAGTCAGTATTTACGAAGTTACTTGAAAAGCAAAAAATGCTCCACTAAAATGACCGTGCAGGGACTTGGTGAAGTCTCCAAGTAGAAACGAAGCCTGACTGAGACCTTCAACATGAGCAGCTTTTTACTTGTTAGCATGTGGTCCTAAGTTTGGGCCCTAACAGGATGGGAGGACATTCCATGAAAGAGAAAACAGTATCCGTAAAAATGCTTTTTTATTTTTTCAATAGTTTAAAGGGATATAGAATTTGAGTTTGGTCATTATTTTCTCTCAGCACTTTGGAAATATTATTTCCTGATTTTCTAGAATCTCTTGTTGCTGATAAATCTTTTGTCAGTCTATTTGTCTTTCTTGTTGCTTTTAATATAACCTCTTCG
The DNA here is from genome assembly GCF_000001405.40 of Homo sapiens. Classification (NCBI taxonomy): domain Eukaryota; kingdom Metazoa; phylum Chordata; class Mammalia; order Primates; family Hominidae; genus Homo; species Homo sapiens. Next base: position 122,635,846 of record NC_000009.12, on the reverse strand, counting down.
AATTTCTATTCAGTGGTTTCCCTAACATAGTGTCTATGTATGGAATTTAAAAAATTTATCTTGTTTGGGAGTTACTGTGATTCTTCAATCTGAGGATTCATTTCCTTCATTAAGTCTGGCAAATTCTTAGTTTGTGTCTCTTCAATATTGCCTCTCCTCTATTTTCTCATATACTTAATCTTGGACTTATTTTTTATTGTGTATATTTAATGTGTACAACATAAGGTTTTAATGTACACATACATAGTGAAATGGTTACAACAGTCAAGCAAATTAACATATCCATTATCTCACATAGTTACCTATTTTTTTGTGGTAAGAACACCTTAAATCTACTCTCTTGGCAAATTTCCATGATAGAAGTATACAATGCAATATTATTAATATGTCTTCTTGCTGTACAGTATACCTCTAGACATCCATCCTACAAAACTGTAACTTTGTATCTTTTGAGCTCTAACTACTCATTTTTTCCCTTCCCCGACTCCTGCTAATCACCCTTCTAGTCACTGTTTCTATGTATTTAGTTTTTAAAACGTAAGGTTCTACATAAAAGTAAAATTATGCAGTATTTTTTTCTGTGCCTGGCTTATCTCACTTAACATAATATCCTCCAGGTTCATTTATGTTATCACAAAAAAGAGCAGAACCTCTTCCTTTTTAAAGGCTAAATAATATTCCACAATTTCTTTAGCCATTCATTCATTAAAAGACACTTAGGTTGTTTCCATATTTTAGCTATTGTGAATAATGCTGCAGTGAACATGGGAGTGCAGATATCTCTATGAGGTGCTGATTTATTTTCCTTCGGGTGTATACCCAGGAGAGGGATTGCTGGGTCACCTGGTTGTTCTATTTTTAAGTTTTTAAAGACCCTCTGTACTGTTTTCCATAATGGATGCACCAATTTACATTCCTTCCAACAATGTGCAAGTGTTCCCTTTCCTTCATATCCTTGCCAACACTTGTTATTTCTTCTTGTTATTCCGCATAATAACCATCCTAGCAGGTGTGAGGTGCTATCTCATTGTGATTTTGATTTTCATTTCCCTGACGATTAGTGATGTTAAGCACACTTTCATATACCTATGGCCATTTGTATATCTTTGGATGCATATTTATTCAGGTTCTGGTATGGTTTGGCCCTGTGTCCCCACCCAAATCTCATCTCCAATTGTAATCACCACATGTCAAGGGAGGGACCTGGTGGGAGGTGATTGGATCATGGGGGTGGTTTCCCCCATGCTGTTCTCGTGATAGTGCATTCTCACGAGATCTTATGGTTTTATAAGGGGCAGTTCCCCCTGCATTTTCTCTCTCCTGTTGCCTTGTGAAGAAGGTACTTGCTTCTCCTTTGCCCTCCACCATGATTGCAAGCTTCCTGAGGGCTCCCCAGCTGTGTGTGGAACTGTGAGTCAATTACACCTCTTTCCTTTATAAATCACCCAGTCTCGGGTATTTCTTTTTTGTTTCTTTTTTCTTCTGTTTTTTCTTTTCTTTTTTTTTTTTTTGAGATGGAGTTCGCTCTTGTTGCCTAGGCTGGAGTGCAATGGCATGATCTCTGCTCACCACAACCTCCACATCCCGGGTTCAAGCGATTCTCCTGCCTCAGCCTCCTGAGTAGCTGGTATTACAGGTATGTGCCACCACGCCTGGCTAATTTTGTACTTTCAGTAAGGACGGGGTTTCTCCACGTTGGTCAGGTTGGTCTCAAACTCCCGACTTCAGGTGATTCACCTGCCTCAGCCTCCCAATGTGCTGGGATTACAGGCATGTGCCACCATGCCTGGCTAATTTTGTATTTTTAGTAGGGACGAGGTTTCTCCATGTTGGTCAGGCTATAGTGTATTTCTTTATAGCAGTGTGAAAATAGACTAATACACGTTCTTTTTGCACCCCCCCACCCCACCCTTTTTTTGAGACATAGTCTCACCCTGTCACCCAAGCTGGAGTGCAGTGGTGTGATCTCAGCTCACAGCAACTTCTGCGTCTGGGTTCAAGAAATTCTCCTGCTTCAGCCTCCCAAGTAGCTGGGACCACAGGCATGTCCCACCATGCCGGGCTAATTTTTGTATTTTTAGTAGAGACGAGGTTTTTCCATGTTGGCCAGGCTGGTCTCAAACTCCTGACCTCAAGTGATCTGCCTGCCTTGGCTTCCCAAAATTCTGGGATTACAGGCATGAGCCACCATGCCTGGCCTCTTTGCCCATTTTGAAACTTGGTTATTATTATTATTATTATTTTGCTATTGAGTATAAGTTTTTAAGCATATTTTGAATATTAACCCCTTATCAGATATATTGTTTGCAAATATTTTCTCCCAGTCTGTTGGCTGCCTTTTCATTCTGTTGATTATTTCCTTTGCTGTGCAAAAGCTTTTTAGTTTGATGTAGTCTCACTTGTTTATGTTTGCTTTTGTTGCCTGAGCATTTGGTGTAATATCCAGAAAATGATTGCCAAAACTAATGTCAAGGAGTCTCCCCCTTGTATTTTCTTCTTGGAATTTTGTGGTTTCAGGTCTTGTGTTTAGGTCTTCAGTCCATTTTGAGTTGATTTAGTGAATGGTGTGAGATAAGGGTCCAATTCCATTCTTTTGTATGTAGTATCCAGTTTTTTTCTTGGACTTATTTGATATATAATGGGTCTTCTTATTTTGTTTCCTGAAATTCTTAACTCTTGATATGGTTTGGCTGTGTCCCCACCCAAATCTCATCTTGAATTCCTATGTGTTCAGGGAGGGACTTGGTGGGAGGTAATTGAATCATGGGTGCAGGTCTGTCCTGTGCTGTTCTCATGATTGTAAATAAGTCTCATGAGATCTGATGGTTTTATAAAGGGGAGTTTCCCTGCAGAAGCTCTCTTGTCTGCCGCCATGTGAGATGTGCCTTTCAACTTCTGCCATGATTGTGAGGTCTCCCCAGCCATGTGGAACTGTAAGTCCTTTTAACCTCTTTATTTTCTAAATTGCCCAGTCTTGGGTATGCCTTTATCAGCAGGGTGAAAACAAACTAATACAACCCCCCTTCATATTATCTTTATCAGCAGGGTGAAAACAAACTAATACAAACCCCCTTCATATTATCTGGGTCACTTTGTACTGTCTCCTGGGTATTTTTCTTAGAATTAGCTGCTTTCCATTATTCTAGGTGAAGTAACTGAGGAATGGAAAACCAAACATTGAATGTTCTCACTCATAAGTAGGAGCTAAGCTATGAGGATGCAAAGGGAAAAGAATGATACAATGGACTTTGGGGACTTGGGGGAAGCGGTGGAAGGGGGGTGAGGGATAAAAGACTACAAATTGGGTGCTGTGTATACTGCTTGGGTGATGGGTGCACCAAAATCTCAGAAATCACCACTAAAGAACTTACTCTTGTAACCAAATACCACCTGTTCTTCCAAAACCTATGGAAATAGAGAAAAATTTTTAAAAGAACTAACTTCTCTCTTCAGCCACTGTCTAACCCATCCATTGAGTTTTTCATTTCAATGTGAATGTTTTTGTTTTCTAGTAATTCTTTTTGGGCCTTTAAAAATATGTTTTTTTTTTGATAACTTCTTTCTTATAATCTTTATTTTCTCTCTTAGACACTAAGTACTTTAAATATAATGTATATTCCTTAACAGATTGGTTAATTTTATGACATTTGGAGGAGGTTATCACATTATTTGTTGATTGATGAGTATCTTCATAATGAATAGACTTTATGTGTGTTTTGTAATTTTGAATTGTGAGCTCATCTTTGGTGGATTTCTGTTTGTGGGATTCCTGTCTAGAGTCTATAAGTCACTGAGAAGTTTTATGTTCACTTCTAAAAGGTACTCCAATGCTTTTACCTGTATGAAGATAATTTTTATGTTGATTTTTTATTTTGAGAGTTCTAGAATTGTATGTATTTTGTAAATTAGCATTATGCACTTCTTATGTGGTACAGATCCATAACTGCATTCCCATGGAAAGCACTTTTCCTTCCATGTAGTCCAGACTGAGCGATCTGAATTTTCATTTGTTCTCACATACCCTGTGTGGGTGTAGGTGTGTGTGTGTGTTTTCCTGTTCGTGTATACCCTTTTGCTGAAAGTTTAGCCTTTTGAGTGTCCTCAATTTATGTGGTGGTCTCTACCTCCTGCCTCATACAGGTTTAAGCTCTTATCTCCTGTTCCACACGGATGTTAATAATCAAACCTGTGGACTATGAAGACTGATGTGATGCCCTTGAACCTACCTGCCACCTGTCACCTGCCATCACTACCTCCATAATCACAGATAGTTTTTAGATATTAATTTTTCATATTCCTCTTTGATTACAGACTCTTGTATTTCCCTTATGTTCTTGAAAGCTTAGTTATGATTTTAAAAGTATGTTATTGGCTGGGCATGGTGGCTCACACCTGTAATCCCAGCACTTTGGGAGGCCGAGGTGGGCGGATCACGAGGTCAGGAGATCGAGACCATCCTGGCTAACACGGTGAAACCCCGTCTCTACTAAAAATACAAAAAAATTAGCCTGGCATGGTGGCGGGCGCCTGTGGTCCCAGCTACTCTGGAGGCTGAGGCAGGAGAATGGCATGAACTTGGAAGGCAGAGCTTGCAGTGAGCCGAGATCGTGCCACTGCACTCCAGCCTGGGCGACAGAACGAGATTCCGTCTCAAAAAAAAAAAAAGTATGATTATTATATTTTCTCTAAGTTTCTGTGTTGAGTGGGCATGTGTGGATGATTGTATTACATACCTCATATTTCAGAAAGCCCAAATTCTCAAAATAATGGGAAGATGTGCAGGGGTGTGAGAGCTTACCATGTTTGAGAATTAAGAAAAAATGTCTAGTTTAAAACACTGGGACCAGGCACGGTGGCTCATGCCTGTAATCCCAGCACTTTGGGAGGCCGAGATGGTTGGATCACGAGATCAGGAGTTCGAGACTAGCCTGGCCAACATGGTGAAACCCTGTCTCTGCTAAAAATACAAAAATGAACTGGGTGTGGTGATGTGTGCCTGCAGTCCCAGCTACTTGGGAGGCTGAAGCAGGAGAATCACTTGACCCTGGGAGGCAGAGGTTGCAGTGAGCCAAGATCAAGCCACTGCACTTCAGCCTGGGTGATAGAGTGAGACTGTCTTAAAAAAACAAAAACAAAAACAAAAACAAAAAAACCCTGGATAGGTGACTCAGTATAATTCTAAGAGAAGTTAGGTACTAATAATGAAAGTTCCATACAAGACAGATTAAGCATTTGGATTTTATTCTGAAGTCCCTGACTATTTAAACAAGGAGTCACATATTGAAAGTTTTATTCCAGTATCAGTATGGAAGACCTATCAGGAGAGTCAAGTAGAGAAACCAGTAATGAGGTTGTAGAAATTAGTATTGGTTAGAGATGCTAAAACTTAAATAGTCATAGTGGACTAACAGCAAAGAATGGATATAAGGGAAAACATAGACGTTAAGGAATGATTGGATGTGGGAGATGATGGAGTAATTCCTTCAGTTTTTTGTTTGTGCATCAGGCTGATGATAATGATAATGCTATTAACTAACACAGGGAATAAAGAGAAAGAAAAAGTAATTTCATGACATTCTAAAGCAGTATCTCATCTAAGAGTTTTTTGGTGGGGTCTTTAGGTTTTTCTAAATATAAGATCACGTTATCAGCAAACATGGATAATTTGGCTTCCTCTTTTCCAATTTGGGTGGCTTTTCTTTCATTGGTCTAATTGCTCTGGCTAGAACTTCTATTACTATGTTGAATAGGAGTGGTAAAAGTGGACATCCTTGTCTTGTTCCAGACCTTAGAGGAAAATGTAAAAAAGTCAGCTATGTCGAAAGAATTGTTTCTTTGTATGGTATGTGTTTTAATGGTATGTTATTTTCCATACAGGTTCAGAGAGAAGACATCATGAGGATTGCAGTTGGGTGAGGTGTGAATGGAAGGTAAGGAACTGGAGACAGTGAATATAGATAATTCTTTCATGAAGTCGGCCACTGGAAAAAGATAAGAAATAGTTGGATGAAAAGACAAGAATGAATGAAGAGTTTTTCACTGTGGGAGGGACTTTAGTAGGGCTTGTGAATTAGATGGAACAAGTCACTAGGGTGGGTGAAAAGGAAGAAATAAAGGAGAAAATAAATACATATTAAGGAAGCGAAATCCTAGACCTTAGGGAGGGAGAGTAGATGGTCAAGTTCGAATCTAGGTCTTTAACGATCTTTAGTAACGTAATATAATTAACTAGAAATGCTATGATCCCTAACATCAGACCCATGACTTTCTTTTTGACTTAAACTGTCTTTCAGGCAGGCTGACTGTCACTCATGATGAGCTTTGCCCCTAATGCTTCACACTCTCCGGTTTTTTTGCTCCTTGGGTTCTCGAGAGCTAACATCTCCTACACTCTCCTCTTCTTCCTGTTCCTGGCTATTTACCTGACCACCATACTGGGGAATGTGACACTGGTGCTGCTCATCTCCTGGGACTCCAGACTGCACTCACCCATGTATTATCTGCTTCGTGGCCTCTCTGTGATAGACATGGGGCTATCCACAGTTACACTGCCCCAGTTGCTGGCCCATTTGGTCTCTCATTACCCAACCATTCCTGCTGCCCGCTGCTTGGCTCAGTTCTTTTTCTTCTATGCATTTGGGGTTACAGATACACTTGTCATTGCTGTCATGGCTCTGGATCGCTATGTGGCCATCTGTGACCCCCTGCACTATGCTTTGGTAATGAATCACCAACGGTGTGCCTGCTTACTAGCCTTGAGCTGGGTGGTGTCCATACTGCACACCATGTTGCGTGTGGGACTCGTCCTGCCTCTTTGCTGGACTGGGGATGCTGGGGGCAACGTTAACCTTCCTCACTTCTTTTGTGACCACCGGCCACTTCTGCGAGCCTCTTGTTCTGACATACATTCTAATGAGCTGGCCATATTCTTTGAGGGTGGCTTCCTTATGCTGGGCCCCTGTGCCCTCATTGTACTCTCTTATGTCCGAATTGGGGCCGCTATTCTACGTTTGCCTTCAGCTGCTGGTCGCCGCCGAGCAGTCTCCACCTGTGGATCCCACCTCACCATGGTTGGTTTCCTCTACGGCACCATCATTTGTGTCTACTTCCAGCCTCCCTTCCAGAACTCTCAGTATCAGGACATGGTGGCTTCAGTAATGTATACTGCCATTACACCTTTGGCCAACCCATTTGTGTATAGCCTCCACAATAAGGATGTCAAGGGTGCACTCTGCAGGCTGCTTGAATGGGTGAAGGTAGACCCCTGATTAGCCTGCTGTGGGCCATATTGAATAGGTGAGAAAAGTCATGGGCATATTCTGAGCAGAGTTGGTTTTGGGGAGATCAGAGGGGTGGAGGGCCTAGATAACTTAAGGAACTCCAGATTTGGCTCTTGTCAATGTTGTGCTTTGATGGAGCCATGAACATTCCACATTCATAGACACATAAGATCAGGGCTCCCTTATCAGCATACCTCTGGGCACCCTCCATCAGGCCTTTTATTTTATCAAAGTGGATGAAAAAGAATTACCAAGTCTGGGTAGTTTTAATTTTAGAGTTCTGAGGGAATATGAGGATAGGATTGTGAAACTATGAACTAAACGAAGAGCAGTAGAGTTAATCATCATCATCACATTTAGGTTGGTGTGTGTTCTTGTGGGAGTGTGTTTGTGTATATCAGAAAGTAAGGGAAGATGACAGTTTAGACAAATAGGGCTAAGTTCGCTACCTGTTCCATTCAATGAGCAAAAATATGTCCCAGAGTGAGTATGAAATGATAATCATGATTCTACTGTTCCATGAGTTAGGATTAAGTTCCATGGGTTTCTTATAGTGTGAGCATCTAACTCTGATGCATTTGAATTCTATTTTATATATTTTAAATTAATTTTTTTTCTTTTAATTATTATTATACTTTAAGTTTTAGGGTACATGTGCACAATGTGCAGGTTAGTTACATATGTATACATGTGCCATGCTGGTGTGCTGCACCCATTAACTCGTCATTTAGCATTAGGTATATCTCCTAATGCTATCCCTCCCGCCTCCCCCCACCCCACAACAGTCCCCAGAGTCTGATGTTCCCCTACCTGTGTCCATGTGTTCTCATTGTTCAATTCCCACCTATGAGTGAGAACATGTGGTGTTTGGTTTTTTGTTCTTGCGATAGTTTACTGAGAATGATGATTTCCAATTTCATCCATGTCCCTACAAAGGACATGAACTCATCATTTTTTATGGCTGCATAGTATTCCATGGTGTATATGTGCCACATTTTCTTAATCCAGTCTATCATTGTTGGACATTTGGGTTGGTTCCAAGTCTTTGCTATTGTGAATAGTGCCGCAATAAACATACGTGTGCATGTGTCTTTATAGCAGCATGATTTATAGTCATTTGGGTATATACCCAGTAATGGGATGGCTGGGTGAAATGGTATTTCTAGTTCTAGATCCCTGAGGAATCGCCACACTGACTTCCACAATGGTTGAACTAGTTTACAGTCCCACCAACAGTGTAAAAGTGTTCCTATTTCTCCACATCCTCTCTAGCACCTGTTGTTTCCTGACTTTTTAATGATTGCCATTCTAACTGGTGTGAGATGGTATCTCATTGTGGTTTTGATTTGCATTTCTCTGATGGCCAGTGATGATGAGCATTTTTTCATGTGTCTTTTGGCTGCATAAATGTCTTCTTTTGAGAAGTGTCTGTTCATATCCTTTGCCCACTTTTTGATGGGGTTGTTTGTTTGTTTTCTTGTAAATTTGTTTGAGTTCATTGTAGATTCTGGATATTAGCCCTTTGTCAGATGAGTAGGTTGCGAAAATTTTCTCCCATTTTGTAGGTTGCCTGTTCACTCTGATGGTGGTAGTTTCTTTTGCTGTGCAGAAGCTCTTTAGTTTAATTAGATGCCATTTGTCAATTTTGGCTTTTGTTGCCATTGCTTTTGGTGTTTTAGACATGAAGTCCTTGCCCATGCCTATGTCCTGAATGGTAATGCCTAGGTTTTCTTCCAAAATTGACCACATAGTTGGAAGTAAAGCTCTCCTCAGCAAATGTAAAAGAACAGAAATTATAACAAACTGTCTCTCAGTCCACAGTGCAATCAAACTAGAACTCAGGATTAAGAAACTCACTCAAAACCGCTCAACTACATGGAAACTGAACAACCTGCTCCTGAATAACTACTGGGTACATAACGAAATGAAAGCAGAAATAAAGATGTTCTTTGAAACCAATGAAAACAAAGACACAACATACCAGAATCTCTGGGACACATTCAAAGCAGTGTGTAGAGGGAAATTTATAGCACTAAATGCCCACAAGAGAAAGCAGGAAAGATCCAAAATTGACACCCTAACATCACAATTAAAAGAACTAGAAAAGGAAGAGCAAACACATTCAAAAGCTAGCAGAAGGCAAGAAATAACTAAAATCAGAGCAGAACTGAAGGAAATAGAGACAAAAAAAAAACCCTTCAAAAAATTAATGAATCCAGGAGCTGGTTTTGTGAAAGAATCAACAAAATTAAATTAATTTTTAATGTGCATTAAAAATAAAATATAGACAGAAAAATGCAAGCTAACTACTTTGTTGCATAAAAGAAGGAACAATGAACTATCTTAACACTGATTAAAACATTGGTACTTTGCTTAGCTTTTTGGCAGCTGGAAAATTGCTCTCCACTTCGGTGCTTCTTAAAATATTAAAATGGTAATTTTGAGGGTACTCGATTTTCACTTTTATGCATTGACTTTTGCCCTTCACCCCACTTGAGATGCAGCTTCACTCAAATAGATTGTAATGTAATTGTAAGCAGGGTTTCCTGTGCTGAGGATTTCCAGGACATCATCTATGGCTTCTAGAGTTGTAAGAACTCTAGAAGGCACCTTGACAATCACACAACACTCTTCTTGGGACACCTTCAGCATTATTGGTCCAGCCAAAATCTGGTCTTCTCTGCTACTTCTCCTTACTGAGTTTGCTGACTTCTGTCTTTATTCCTCTATAAGCCCCTCCACCCACATCCCAAGGTACTACTTCAATCCCTGGGATCTCCCCATTTCAGGTATAATTTCTATATTCCCCTGACTACTTCCACACTGTCCTCTCACCAGCATCTTCTGTTCACTCAATACATTCTACCTTTCTCAAACCATTGGCAACATCCAGTGGTCTTATCTCAATGCTTAATGTACATTGTCTGCCTGTGAGTTTTGACATAGTTTGTTGGGAACCATCACCTCACCCATATGCATGGCTCCCATGACATTGTACCATTGCTGTCCTCTAATGTCTCTCCATCTTTTCTGTACCTTGTGTGACATCTCTTCCTTCTACTTCAAGTCTTCGGCACCTTGCCTATGCTTGTCTCATCCTGTCACAGAACTCATCCACTCTTAATATATCACTTCTCTTTTCAAATTAATATCACCTTACAGTGAAAATCTAGGAAATTAAATCCTCACAGTAGATTCATTTCCACAGCTCTTCATTTATTGCCATTATCACCACTGATATCTAAGGTTCCAATAAGTCAAGCCTAATTCTTCCTCTGTCTATATCGGTGCTTTTCAACTTTCACTGTGCGTTAGAATCACCTGGGAGTTTTAAAAAATTCAGTTTCCTGGGCCTCCACTCTAGAGATTTGGATCCACTTGCTATGAGGTAAAGCTTAGGTGTCAGTATTTTTAAATATTCCCCAAATGATTCTAATACGTAGCTACAGTCAAGACCATTGGCTTAATGTGATGTGTTTTGAAGCTTATCAATTAATCCTCCTAAAATCTCTTGCATCTGAGTAGTAGTAATAGCTTTTATATAGCATTTACTATGTGTCAGACACTGTTTGAGGATCTCTCCACATATTAACTCACTATGTCTCTCAGCAACCTGATGAAGTAATTGCTGTTATTACCCCCATGAGGCACAGAAAGAATAATTTACTTGCTTGGAGTTAACCCTTGATCAGATCATCTGTCTCCAACTAACCTGTGGCTTGTATTCCATATTTCCCCTCCAAATTGAACTATATTCAATTCTCATAACTTTTACCTCATCTAGATCTTTATCACTTCCTATGCAAATTACAAATGGGCCTCCTTGCTGTCAATCTCTTCCATTGTTCATGGTGTTAATCTTACAGAGTGTACTGCATGAATCAGCACATATGCAGCCCATGTGCATTGGATTTGAAGTCATCAGGCTTCATCCACTTTTGTTCAACTCAATCCCATCACTTCCTCATTGTGTCATTTTGATTGAGGTCTTGCATCTGTGAGCCTGGGTTTTCCCAGAGATGATAATACCTGCATTACTTTCTTCACAAGTTAATTATGCTTCTAACATTGTGCATGCAATTTTGCTTTGTAAACTGTTAAGTAACAGAGAAAAGTTGTTATGATTATGGTCCATTTTTCAAGTCCATCAGCATCATTTTTGAAACTGGATTATACTGTTGAAGAGAGAAAAGGCTATGTTATATATTTATTAATTATTTCCCAAAGCAGCTGGTCACAAAGCATGTGCAAATATTCATAAGCACCCATTGACAACTATGTTCTTTTTTGCTGGAAAAGCTCACAGTTTGTACAGCACTGGTGAAAAAGATACCTTTTTAATTTCTTAACAAATTATACATTTTCCTGGAATCCTGCCCCTGCCCCCTCTATTCTCTTCTCTTCTCTGTCTTTCCTTTTCTTCCTCTCCCTCTTCTGTTTCTTCTGCTTCTGCTTCTTTTGACAATTTCCTAGCACAGTGCTTTTCAAACTTTACATGGAACTTTTATTTCTAATAATAATTTTTCATGTAATTCCAATGTTGCTGCTCAGTGGACCACACATTGAGTAAGTAGCAGGGTCTTAGTGTGCTTTATTTGATTAAAAAATTATCCTACCACTAGAATATAAAAATTTTATTCATATGCATATTTTCATAATAACAATTTACATACAGTTTTGCAAAAATGTTTAAAATAATGTCAAAATAATTTTCCATGGTGTTACAGTGTCACTGTTATAAGAATTTTCATGGCTGCTAAATACCTGGTGGTAGGAACCATTTAATTCTTCACCCTCAAGTGTCCATAAAGAGAACCAATCTTACCTCACAGTGCAGAAGTAAACAAACTGGCAGGAAAATTTCTAGTCTAACCCTCACCTACCACTTATACACAGGAAGAGGAGGAATTTTTCTAATTAGTAATCTTTACATTTATTCTGGCTAGCCCTGAGCTTCAATCTTCTGTGTGAGTGGCACAGAACAATCCCACAGCATATCAGAAACATGTGATAGCTCTAAAAGTATACTGATGCCCAGGTCATACTACAGACCAATTAATACAGAATCAGTAGAGGTGGGCCCAGACAGGGATATTTTTGATTCTCTCCAGGTGCAAAGCCAGGATTGGGAACCATGGCTGTATGAACTAATGTGACTGTAAGTAGTCACGCTTCTGCTCTCTCTGTCCAGGTACAGGAAAGGTTAAGGGGAAACTATCCTCAATTGGGAGGAGGAAGAGAAGAGTCACTCTGTTATGAACTGAATGTTTGGGTCCCCCAAAGATCCATATGTTGAAACTTTAACCTCCTAGGTGATAGTGTTAGGAGGTGGGAGCCTTGGGAGATAATCAGGTTGTGAGGGTGGAGGCTTCATGAATGGAATTAGTGCCCTTACAAGAAGAGGTCAGAGAGGGCTTCTTTATCCTGTCTCTCTGGCGCTCCACTGTGTGAGGATACAATGAGAAGATGGCCATCTGAAAACAAGGAAGCCTGCCCTCACCAGACACTAGATCTGCCCGCACCTTGATCTTGGACCTTCCAGCTTCCAGAACTGCAAGGAATAAATATTGTTTAAGCCACCTAGTCTATGTTAATTTGTTATAGCAGCCCTAACTGACAGATTTACTGTTATAATAAAGCTTTGATCCTGATGTGACCCTTTTTGTCTGCTCCGTTGGTTAGAAGCTGAGCGGAACAGGGATGTGATCTCTTAACTTCCTACAATAAACACTGAGTGGGTACACCACTATTTGTTTTCTTCTGTAAATTAATGTTGTCTCCTTTGTGTTGCAATTAATATATACACTTCCTCCATAGTTTGGATTACTTCCAGATGTGGGGTTACTCAGACAGTATATGATCTTATTTTAGCTCATTTTTTCTCATAATTTGTATTGCATTTCACATTTTTTGTTATCTTTACCCCCACTAGATATCTAGAAGCTTATACATCTTACTTTTATTTAACTGCTGGTCATATTTACATTTTTCAAAAACATATCTTTGGATGCCTTCTGACACATACTGTGAGATTTACCATGATTTTTCTGCTATTGCTGCAAATGCATTTGGTTTTTATTTTATTTTTTTAAAATAAGATTAATATTTTAATGTAGCTTTAGGGCTGGGCATGGTGGTTCATTCCTGTAATTCCAGCACTTTTGGAGCCCAAAACAGGAGAATCACTTGAGGCCAGGAGTTCAAGATCAGCCTGGGCAACATAGTGAGACCTCATCTCTATAATAATAAAAAAAAAATTAGCCATGCATGGTGGTGGGCCTCTGTGGGCCCAGCTACTTGGGAAACTGAGGTATGAGGATGGCTTGACCTGGGAGATTGAGGCTGCAGTGAGCTATGATTGTGCCACTGTACTCCAGCCTGGGTGACTGAGTGAGACCCTGTCTCAAAAAATAATAATAAATAAAGTAGCTTTAGGTTCACAGCAAAATTGAGCAAAAAACACAGAGAGCTGCCATATACTTCTTTCTCTCATGTACATAGTCTATTCCACTATCAACATTCCACACCAGAGTAGTGGTATATTTCTTAACATTGATGACCCTACATTGACATACTGTCTCCCTGAATCCATACTTTACATTAGGATTCACTCTTGGTTTAGCACATTCTGTGAGTCTGGACAAATGCGTAGTGGCATTAAAGAATCATACAGAATCATACAGAACAGTTTGACTGCCTTAAAGATTCTCTGTGCTCCCCTATTCATCTCTTCCTTCCCCCTAACCTAGAAGCAGATTATGTAGTCGTTCTGTGTATGAGTTTTTGAGGAACCTCCATACTGTTTTCCATAATGGCTGTACCAATTTATAGTCCCACCAACAGTGAACAAGGTTTCCCTAGTTTTAGCTCTTGCACTTAGGTCTTTGGTCAATTTTGAGTTAATTTTTGTATATGGTATGAGGAAAGAATGAGTCTAACTTCATTCTTTCTTTTACATATAAATAACCAGTTATTCCAGCACTATTTGTTGAAGAGAGTGTTCTTTCCTCCTTGAATGTTCTTTGACCCTTGTAAAAAAAATCGATTGATTTTAGATAGATGGACTTATTTCTAGACTCTCAATTCTATTTCAGTGACCTATATTTCTATACTTTTGCCAGTACGACATGGCTTTTATTGTTGGGAACAGGCCCCCAAATCTGGACATAAACTGGCCTCGAAACTGGCCATAAACAAAATCTCTGCAGCACTGTGACATGTTCATGATGGCCACGACACCCACGCTGGAAGGTTGTGGGTTTACCAGAATGAGGGCAAGGAACACCTGGCCCACCCAGGGTGGAAAACCGCTTAAAGGCTTTCTTAAACCACAAAAATAGCATAAGCGATCTGTGCCTTAAGGACATGTTCCTGCTGCAGATAACTAGCCAGACCCATCCTTTTGTTTTGGCCCATCCCTTTGTTTCCAGTTACAAATACTTTTAGTTAATCTATAATCTATAGAAACAATGTTTATCACTGGCTTGCTGTTAATAAATATGTAGGTAAATCTCTGTTTGAGGCTCTCAGCTCTGAAGGCTGTGAGTCCCCTGATTTCCCACTCCACACAAGATATTTCTGTGTGTGTGTCTTTAATTCCTCTAGTGCCACTGGGTTAGGGTCTCCACGACCGAGCTGGTCTCGGCAAGCAGTGCCCAACATGGAGGCTCAAACTGAGGTCGAAGTGTCGCTGGAGCAACAGTTGGAGAATGTGGAACTAAGCTGGAGGACACCCGAGTACTCTTAAAGCAATCCCTGTCATGAGTAAGAAGGGGAGCTTGGAAGCATCAGGGTAACAGTGGGACAAGTGTGGGCTCTGGTTCGTTCCACCTTGGAACCTTTTCACACTAATGATAAGGAAAAAGGAGAGTATAATGAAGTAACAGAAGAGGTGACAGAGCAGGTTTGTTTGCCAGCTAAAGCTAAAGCGGCAAAGGAGGAAGAGGTTCATCCCTACCCTTCTGCATACCCTCCTTATTTTGAAGAAAAAAAGAGTGGCCTGACCCTCTAGATCTTTCTTTTCTGGAGGACACTGGGAGAAAAGTAGTTGCCCCAGTGACTGTTCGAGCAGCGTCTTGAGTGACCGCTCTCAGTTCTATTCAGGCAGGAGTTCAGCAAGCTAGAAGAGAGGGTGATTTAGAGGCTTGGCAGTTCCCTGTTAGAATACACCCCCCAAGATCAACTGGGAAATATTATAGCTACATTTGAGCCTTTTCCTTTTAAATTCAGGAAAGCACATTTAGTTGATCATATCAAGGCCTGTGATGGTATCGGAGGTAATGTGCATAAGGCTACTCTGCTAGCCCAAGCAATGGCGGGACTGAGAGTGGATAAAGGAAATACTCCGTTTCCTGGAGTTTGTTTTAACTGTGGGAAGCATGGTCATAGTAAAAAAGAATGTAGAAAAAATCAGCGAGTCAGGCTGCCAGATAGGCGAAAAAGGAAAACTACTGAGCCTGAGGAAAACACTGGGCTAATCAGTGTCACTCTAAATTTGATAAAGATGGGAACCCGATTTCAGGAAATGCCATGAGGGGCCCATCCCAGGCCCCGTTCCAAACCAGGGCATTTCTGGCTCAGGCCATTCCCTCACCCCTGTATAATGTCTGTGCCCTGCCACAGCCAGTAGTGCCACAGTAGATTCATGTTGCACAAAAGCTGTGAGCCTTATGCCTGGGGAACTCCCGCAAAAAGTTCCAACAGGGGTCTGTGGACCCTTGCCAGCTAGGATGATAGGATTACTTCTAGGAAGGTCAAGTTTAAATTTAAAAGGGGTACAAGTACAAACGGGAGTCATTGATTCAGATTACAATGCGGAAATTCAAATTGTTTTATCTACTTCTCTTCCCTGGAAAGCAGAGCCAGGAGAGCATATAGGACAGCTCCTGATTGTGCCATATGTGGAAATGGGGAAAAGTGAAATTAAACAGGAGGATTTGGAAGCACAAATAAAGCAAAGCAGCTTATTGGGTGAATCAAATTACTGATAAACGTCCTACCTGTGTTTCACGATATTGATTCTTCCTACGTGCGCGCATGGAATGTTCTTCCATTTGTTTGTATCCTCTTTTATTTCATAACTTTGTAATAATTCTGGAAATAGGAAAGTGTAGGTTCTACAAATTTGTTCATTTTTTTTCCAGATAGTTTTGGCTACTCATTGTTTCTGGCAATTTCATCTGAATTTCAGGATTGGCTTTTCCATTTCTACAAAATAATAAAGATTTTATAGGAATTGCATTGAATCTGTAGATCAATTTATGGATTATTGCCTTTTTAAGAATATTAAGTCTTCCAGTCCATTATATGGATGTCTTTCTATTTATTTAGGTCTCTTAAATTTCTTTCAGCAATGTTTTGTAGTTTTCAGTATACAAGTATTGCATATCCATGGCTAAATTTTTTCCTGTTTCATTCTTTTTGATACTATTATAAATTAAATTTTATTTCTTTTGAAGGTTATTCATTGCTAGTATATGGAAATACAGTTGATTATTGATGTTCATGTTCTATGCTGAAACTTTGCTGGTTTATT
Source organism: Homo sapiens (assembly GCF_000001405.40). Taxonomy (NCBI): domain Eukaryota; kingdom Metazoa; phylum Chordata; class Mammalia; order Primates; family Hominidae; genus Homo; species Homo sapiens. The sequence continues at coordinate 122,619,031 of NC_000009.12, read as the reverse complement.
AGCTCTATTCATTTATTAATTGCAAGAGTTTGTTTTATTTTGTGTGGGTGCATTTTTGAAGATTTCCATTTGGTTCCTTTTTATAATTTCTATCTCTTTATATATACTTTCTCTTTGGTGAGACATTCTTTTTTGGTTTCCTTTTGTTGTTGTTTTTGGAAATAATATAGAAGTTTATTTACATTTAATGTTCAAAAAGTTTGCAGTTGGTCAGTCCAGAGCCACAGAGGCACTCCATGGCATCAGGGATCCAGGTATCTTTAATCTTTTTTTCTGTGTTTATGTTTATTTTATTTTAAAAATTATTATTTTGATTGACACATAATAGTTGTTCATATATATGGAGTATAGTGTGACATGTTGATATATGTACACAATATATAATGATTAAATCAGGATAAATAACATATTCATCATGACAAACATTCATCATTTCTTGGTGTTGGAGATATTCAAAATCCTTTCTTCCAGCTTTTGAATATATACAATAAAGAGCAGTGGTTCTCCCAGCATGGTGTTCAAGCTCTGAGAACAGACAGACTGCCTCCTCAAGAGGGTCCCGGACCTCCGTGTAGCCTGACTGGGAGACAGCTCCCAGTATGGGCCGACAGACAACTCATACAGGCGGGTGCCCCTCTGGGACGAAGCTTCCAGAGGAAGGATCAGGCAGCAATATTTGCTGTTCTGCAATATTTGCTGTTCTGCAGCCTCCAGTGGTGAGACCCAGGAAAACAGGGTCTGGAGTGCACCTCCAGCAAACTCCAACAGACCTGAAGCTGAGGGGTGTGAGTGGTAGAAGGAAAACTAACAAACAGAAAATAATAGCATCAACATCAATGAAAAGGACATCCACACCAAAACCCCATCTGTAGGTCACCAACATCAAAGACCAAAGGTAGATAAAACCACAAAGTTGGGGAAAAAGCAGAGCAGAAAAGCTGAAAATTCCAAAAACCAGAGCACCTCTTCTCCTCCAAAGGATCACAGCTCCTCGCCAGCAAGAGAACAAAACTGGATGGAGAATGAGTTTGACAAGTTGACAGAAGTAAGCTTCAGAAGGTCGGTAATAACAAACTTCTCCGAGCCAAAGGCGCATGTTCTAACCCATCACAAGGATGCTAAAAACCTTGAAAAAAGGTTAGACGAACGGTTAACTAGAATAAACAGTGTACAGAAAACCTTAAATGACCTGATGGAGCTGAAAACCATGGCACGAGAACTTTGTGATGCATGCACAAGCTTCAATAGCTGATTCGATCAAGTGGAAGAAAGGACATAAGTGATTGAAGATCAAATTAATGAAATAAAATGAGAAGACAAGATTAGAGAAAAAAGAGTAAAAAGAAATGAACAAAGCCTCCAAGAAATGTGGGACTATGTGAAAAGACCAAATCTACGTTGGATTGGTGTACCTAAAAGTGATGGGGAGAATGGAACCAAGTTGGAAAACACTCTTCAGGATATTATCCAGGAGAACTTCCCCAACCTAGCAAGGCAGGCCAACCTTGAAATTCAGGAAATACAGAGGATACCACAAAGATACTCCTTGAGAAGAGCAATCCCAAGACACATAATTGTCAGATTCACCAAGGTTGAAATGAAGGAAAAAATGTTAAGGGCAGCCAGAGAAAAAGGCAAGTTACCCACAAAGGGAAGCCCATCAGACTAACAGTGGATCTCTCTGCAGAAACCCTACAAGCCAGAAGAGAGTGGGGGCCAATATTCAACATTCTTAAAAGAATTTTCAACATAGAATTCCCTATCTAGCCAAACTAAGCTTCATAAATGAAGGGGAAATAAAATCCTTTACAGACAAGCAAATGCTGAGAGATTTTATTACCACCAGCCCTGCCTTACAAGAGCTCCTCAAGGAAGCACTAAACATGGAAGGTAACAACCGGTACCAGCCACTGAAAAAACATGCCAAATTGTAAAGACCATCGATGCATGAAGAAACTGCATCAATTAATGTTCAACATAACCAGCTAACATGTAGTTGTTTACTTCTGGGTTCTCTATTCTGTTCCATTGCTCTATGTGTCTGTTTTGGTACCAGTACCATGCTGTTTTGGTTGCTGTAGCCTTGTAGTATAGTTTGAATTTGGATAGTGTGATGCTTCTGGCTTTGTCCCTGTTGCTTAGGATTGCTTTGGCTATTTGGGCTCTTTTTTGGTTCCATGTGGATTTTAGAATAGTTTTTTCTAATTATGTGACAAATGTCATTGGTAGTTTCATAGGAATAGCATTGAATCTATAAATTTCTTTGGGCAGTATGGTCTTTTAATAATATTGAAGAATCAACATTTTAACAGACTCTTGATGCTTGAACCTGTTCTTCATGCCCAGTATTGATTGGTCAGAAGACAAATCAATTTTCACCCACTATTAGACCAGTTCCACATATCAACTACAGAAGAGATCAGGAACATGCTGAGGCAAAATGAGTTTGACTTATCCCTGAGTAGTGCAGGTAAAGCAGGTTAAGAAAAATGCAAATTGGTAAGCATGACAGTGCTTCATTCTGGAGCATATATAACTTCTGACTCCAAATAGTAGACATTATCATTATGTTCCTCTTCTTATATTGGAGTAGTTACCCCATTTCACCTGACTTCTATAAACTTATAGAAAATAAAAGCACCAATATTGCTCTCCTAGTTTTCCTGGCAGCTAGGGGATGTGTTGGTGACCAAATTCTTGACCAGTCAGATGCACCACCTTATTTTGAATCTAGACATAGTAGTGAAAAGAATAAGAAGGGGACAGTTCTTTCTGGAAGTGGTAATAACCAGTTTATAGACCTCCAAGAACTATGCCCAGTGACTACTGCTGGTAGTATAGGAGGAGGTACAAGCTGCAGTGAATAGAGTTTGGTGGCTACAGTAGTGTCCTCATTAGACTAGTTCTGGGATATGATTTTCACTGCAGTTCTGATGATATGACCTTTATTATTCTTGTCCATTTTTCTTGAGTCTAGTTCCCTAGCCTTGGAAATGCATGAGCTCCACATATCTTTTCAAGAAACTCATTTCCTCCATGCATAAGCCAGAATCAGTTTCTATTGCCTACATCTAAGAACTCTGAGAGTTACAACCCTAGTGTTTAATTGCAGAGAACCCTGTTAATTATAGTTAAAGAAACGCTAGTGTTTTACACTAAGTACATGGTGGTTCCTTTTTGTTTTATGTACTTTGGATTTAATAGATTTCTCTGGGCAATATCCAGTGAGAAAACACATGATATATAGCTAATTTAGATATTTCTGGAAAGTTCTAAAGAAAGCAGATCTGTGAGGCACAACATTATTTCTCCAGAACCATAGGTAAACCTCTGAACTGTGTTTGGGGTTTTATCTAAAGAAAAAAGTCTGCATTCTGCTCATCCATTTCATGAAGCCTCCCTTGACATCCCCATTCCTCAGGCTGTAGATGAAGGGGTTCAGCATGGGAGTCACCACTGTGTACACGACTGTTATAATGCGACCCTTGGTCACTGAATAGCTGGAAAGGGGCCGGAAGTAGACCCAACTGAGGGTGCCATAGAATATGGCCACCACAGTGAGGTGGGAGCCGCAGGTAGAAAAGGTTTTCCACCTGCCCTTGGCTGAGGGGATCCGGAGGACCACCAGGATGATGCAGGCATAGGAGGCAGTAATGAAGGCCAGAGCTCCACTGATTACAACAGCACCTTCTGTGTGAATCATAAGGGTGTTGAGGTAGGTGCTGGTGCAGGAGATCTTCATCAGAGCGTAGAGGTCACAGAAGAAGTGGGGGATTCTGTTATCTGCACAGAAGATTAGTTGGCCTATGAGAAAGGTATGCAGCATGGCATGAAGGTGGGAGAGAGCATGGCACATGACCACCATCTTCACACACAGCATTCTAGTCAGGATCATAGTGTAGTGGAAAGGGTGGCAGATGGCAATGTACCTGTCATAGGCCATCACAGCCAGGATGAAGTTTTCCATGACGGCGAAGCAAATGAAGAAATAAGTTTGGGCTAAACAGCCTGTGTAGGAAATTACCTTTGTAGGGGAGAAAATAATCTGCAGCATCTTGGGGACCGTGGTGGAGGTGAAGCAGATGTCTGTCAAGGCCAAGTTACTGAGGAAGATGTACATGGGGATGTGGAGGCGTGGAGCAGAGAGAATCAGTGTGATGATGGCCAAGTTGCCAGAAATATTGATTGCGTACATGAGTGAGAAAACAAGGAAGAGTGGGATTTGCTCTTCTGGGTGGGTGGAAATGCCCAAGAGAACAAAATGGGACACACTGGTCCAGTTGCTGTTGTCCATCTGTTGCCATAAGAACAAAAAGAATTAGTTCTATAGACTTGGACATATAGTCACTGTTGTGCCCCAGTGTAAACTACACACTGTGCTGATAAAGGGATTAAGTGCTTATGACTTTTCCAAGATAATATGGATTTTTCATTAACATCATCATTATTAAAAGTACTGCTAAAAACCACAATTACTTTTGCACCAACCTAATAGCCCCATAGCTAACATTTACAGAACATTTACCTTAAACCAGGGACTTTTCTGTGTTATCACATTTAAATCAATAACTCTATGAGGCTATTATTACTACTACTACTATTATTATTATTATTATTTCACTTTTACAAATTTGAAAACAGGCACGGAAAGTTTAAGTTCATAAAGAGCAAAATATCAATTTAAGTCACATTTATCTGGTGCCAAAGATTATACTATTAGCCACTATATGACATGACTCCCCAGATTAAAACCAAGCCATCTTATTCATGGTAATAAGACCTATTGATGAGCTATATAACCAAGGAATCTGCCTGCTGAAAGGGAGGTCAGAGGTCATTTGGTTCAGTAATTTTCACTTTGGGGGACACATACTCTTGCTGATCTCCAGAGACTTCTCAGTACATAGAATAATGGTTTTAGGAAAATAATTGTCTAGATCCTCAATTTCCACAGTTCTCTTTTCTAAACTCTTCTTATCTTTAAGATGTCACCTAGTGCATAATCTTGTTTCCCATGTAACAAATGAAAACTAAATGGTAATATAATTGATGTTGATTTTGACTTACTTTAGTAATAAGTAATACTCATTTCTAGATATATGAACTAAAAAAGTCCTACTAGATGCCTTTAATTAAAATCTTTTTAGGAATAACAATTATTTTCAAAATTTGTGATATATTACCATATGAAATTACTATTTTTGTAGATCAAAATAGGTGAATGTTGGCAACTTAATATAATTGAAGCTAACAATTACATAGTTTTGGTCAGTTGTTTAAACTGACCAAATTGGTGCCAATTAGTAATAATTGTGATAATAACTCAATGTAGATGATTTTTCATAATTATTTTAACACAAAATTTTGTGGTCATAAGAAATAAAAAAACTTTTATTTTTTATTGTGAAAAGTAATATAGGTGATTATAAGAGACTTTCCAGCATAAACATTTATTACAACAGGATAAAATTTGTATAGGAGAAGAATGGAAATACATGTTTAAATGGAGAAGGAATAATGTAAAACATACACATTTTCAGGATGACTTTGTTCTTGCATTTTAAAAATGAATGATGTGATTATCAAATCACTCTGTGTTTAGATGTCATTGGGTACATTTTAAGAAATAATGTAAAGTTTTGTTTTAAAAGTACAATACTCCATGTATTATATACTTATAGCTATTTAAACATCAAATGGATAATTTTATATGCCTCTTTTTAAAAGCGCATGGGTCTTAATAAAAAAGCATATATAAGCAAAAACTATAAATCATTGAAAACTATAAACTCATTGATTGAGAACTTGACCCAACTTCTCAATCAATGTTCAGTCTCTTTTTATAGGATCCTGGGGAAATAATCATCCTTTCTCCTTTTGAACGCTTTTAGTGGCAGGAAGCTCTAGTTGTCAGATTTTTTTTTTTTTTTTTTTTTTTACAGGAGAAGCTAAAGTATAATTGCCTCTCATTTCTGTCTCGCAGAATGAGGTTGGTCCTCTGGGATCTCACACAACAAGCCTGTTATTCTTCACCATGACAGCCCTTGAGAAATCTAAACGTGCAGCACTGTGCAGTGGTTAAAAGCCCAGCCTTCATTTTCTCATCTGTCAAATGGGGATTTTTATAGTTTATTACACTTAAAGTTGTTACAAGGATTAGATGAAAGTACCTGGTTTCTGTAAAGTATTCAGTAAATGTTGGTGATTTTTTCTTTCATTTTTTTTCAGTCTTGTTAAACATAGCGTCTCCAGGTTTTTCTGCCATCCAGGTCTCTACTGTGACACTGTTCACTTTTCCTCTGTCCTTAAAATGTCATTTCCAGAAACTAAGCAATATTCTATGAGTCTGGTTTTTCATCACAGGCTAGTCACAATGATTTCATCTGGTCGTAAATAATAACCAAATAATCTTTTTGAGGTGGAGATCAGAGTTGGCAGTCCACAAATAAAATGTGTTTATGGCTATAAGAATTCTCAGACTGTGCAATTTGGTTGTTGGGAGGAAAAAGTGCCAGCAGTTAAGAACTGTTCCTATGTAAGGCACTTTACACATATCTCAGATAGTCCTTGTAGCAATCTCAGTATGTGTCTAGCTGTGTGTCCTAGTCACAATCACTTATTATCCTTATTTTATATATGAGAATACCAAGGCTTAGGGAAGTGAAGTGATTCACTCAGTATAACTTAGTAGTAAGTGGTAACGACTTCACACTTACGTCTGGATACCTCTAGTGCTCATACGTGCCTGATGGCCCATTTCACTTATTTAGCTTCTTCTTCACAGAATAGAATTTATCATTCCTGGTCTGTCTGCTTTCATGCCTCAAATTAAAGGATGCCACCATGGTACAGCTCAAGAGAACAAACAGTAGGTTTTTCAACTATAAAAGTGTGGCAATTCCTAATATGATATTGAATATCCTGAATTGATTTCAATGTGGCATGATGATGAATGTGAAATAAAAGTGCACATTTACTGAGCACTTACTATATACCAGGAATTATTCTAAGAGCTGTATATATGTTTTTCATGTGATCACAGCAATTCCATGACATAGGTATCAGCTCCACTTTATAAATGAGGAAATTGGGGCTTGAAAGGGTCCTGTGACATGCATAAGGTCACAGATTTAATAAGTGGTAGTAATGAAATTTGGATTCAGCTCTGCCTGACCTCAAAAGCCTATGCTCTCAACCATGGGGCTATGCTACTTCTTAAGTTTTCTCTCGCTATTCTAGTTTCTATTTTCCTCTTTGTTTCCTTCTTTTCTACTGTGCTATCCTGTGCATTGGACAATGATAAGTACCTATCATTTTTTTGTTTAATTCTCATTATAAAACTAAGCATAGATATTATTATTCCCATACTGAGATCATGAAAACCGAGGACCAGGGAGACTAATTAACTTTCTCAAGGTCAAATAGAGTAGAGTTGGATCCAGCTTGATCTTCAATCTGTCTAACTCGGAAGCAATGCTCTTCCTCTCTGACCTCACCGATTTAACACCCACGTTCCATTCCTTCCCTGTGCTGGTCTTCTCTTATCAATGTGGCATTGTAATTGGATTCTTCAAATGAAGATTCATATCTCTAGCCTGCAGGGCTGGGCATCAGGTGGCCCTGAGTTTATGGTTTGGGAAACGTAAGATTAATCCTTCTTTCCAGATCTTGGGAAAGGCCTATGAGTGGACTGAGCTCTACTTGACAGTCGGTAGCCTGTGCCCAGATGCTACCTGGGCAATATCTATGTAGCTCTTGTGACACAGCTACCCAAGAGGCTAGAGAGAGTCCCAGAAGTGGATGGTGGGGAGCTGCCTAGAAACTTAAGAGTCCTCCTTGTCTTCCTCATGGCTGGCAGAAATCATCTTGCCTGACCTATAGTGCAGCGTATGAGCCCCTTATGGCAGAGGGGAGGAGCGTGGTGTGGACAAGGAGGCAGGAGACTAAGAATAGGGAACTCCTAGAGGAGAACATTACTTTATAAAAGGATGTGGATTTTAAAATAAAACAGTAATGTGGTGTGCAGGAATGGAGCTTGACCCAGGAAATTTCCATTTTCTATCTGGGCTTTGGTCCCGGGTCTGCCATGAAAATGTTCTGAAACATTGGGAAAACCACTTCCTTTCTTGGAAGCCTCAGTTTCTTCCTCTGGGGAATGGGAAGAATAATAACTGCTTTCGATGTAGAAGCTTGATATAAAATATCAGAAGAGACTACAGACATGAAGGCCCTTTAAATGTCCCATGAAACAGTGAGAAGTTGTTTATTTTAAATTTCTGTGGGAACCTGGGTTTCCTATCCTTTGCTATCCCAGAATAGCTTTCTATAACTGCCAGCAATCGGATCCGTAAACTGCCCTTTGTAAATAGAGGAGACACTGGGATAACATGACTTAATAAAGTTTCTGAGTTTCTCTGATTCTTAATCCCCAGAAATGGGAAGAAAATCTGGGTCAGTTGTTAAGAGAAGACACACAGTGAAAAACCATTCCAGCGGATGATTTCTGGGCCACCTAACTCTGATTATTCTTAATACCTCCCTGACGGATTGAAAATCTCTGGAATCTATTAGCTATTTTCTCTGATTCAGGGAAAATTTTACTCTTCACTATGTATTAGTGAATAATTTTCAATTATTTCCATTGAAAATAATGGCAAAAACTGCAATTACTTTTGCACCAACCTATAAATCATTCATACTCTTTTGTGGATAGGTTTTGATAAGGGGAAATGGGAGAGTCCATAAAGACACAGAATGTCTGAGGATGGTGTGAGGAGGAGGCATGACGAGGGGAGGAAAAACACAAGACGATTAGGAAGTCAAAGACAAACTTCACAATACTCAATAGTATTGTACAAAGGATCAGTTTTGAGAAAGATGGTCCTCCCTCCAGAAATTACTGAAAGCCTATACAGGAATTGTCGGAGGTGTCCAGAAACTTCTGTGCTCTGGTGTGCAGGCTCCTAAGAGCAGATATTTACCTTTCAGCTGTACTGGCCCTGGCTCTCCCAATCCGCCTCAGGCAGCATCTGTCATCATGTCTTGTTTTGACAGCAGCGTGGAGCTGACCACTCAGCGAAGACAGAGGAAATTTCCAAGAATAGAAGAAAGAAAAGCATCAGGGAGGGGCTGTAGGGGTAGAGCCACCAGACTCCTGGTGGTGCTTCTGCTCTTCAGGGGCAGGAGGACCTGTCTAGGGAAGGTGCTGGCAGCTGATGTTTTATCACATGCTTCTGCATGGATTCCATGGTTCTCACTAGCATGGAGTCCCAAATGTGTCATTGTCCAACCTCACTGACTTCTCTGGGGAGTGAGGCCCATGAGACAGTGCTCCTGGTGTCAGTATTAGGGACTGTGGCTTGGCAGCTCAGCTGATCCCAGGAGAGCAGCCAGGACCTGGGAGATCAGTCTGGACATGGGGTTGACTACATGTGCTCCAAATTTGGCTTTGAGAAGGAAGCCCACAGAAATTTCGATATGGTCAAGGCAGGGAGGGACTGTCTCCCTGCCCTTAGTTCTTTCTTAGAGATGCAGCGTCTTATTTGCTTTTTTTAGTGGTACATACTTATATTTTTAAAAAATTAGCAGTAAGACATATGTTGAATAAAAACTGAGAGTGTTTCTCACCACTCCCTACCTGATTTCTCTCTAGGAGTAATTGCTATTATTGTGACATGTACCCATTTAGACAATTTCTATGCACATATGAACATGCATATATAAAATTTTGTTTTTATAAAAATAGGATCATTTGTTCTGGAGCTTTCTTTGTTTCTCTCATCAATATATCATGGACCTCCTACAGCACTCTCAGACCTACATCATTATTTTTAAGACATTTCAGAGGATATTAGATGTACCACAAGTTCTAAACATTTCCACATTTCCCCCTCATGCCACTTACTGGAATTCCTTTATAACTTGAGCTAATCAAAAATTTAGGCTTTTGTTTTCATTTTATATGCATACAAGTCCCCCACATGCAGGCATTTGGCAAAAACAAACAACAATTCTGAGAGTGGATAATGAACTAGTCAGGGCATGAACATTTTGTGAAGATGATTAAAGATGACTGATATCACTGGTTCTCTCCTCATCCATTTCAAAATGTAAACATGGCAACAATGAAGTCTTGGGCTGAGAGACGCTATAGTGGTTGGGCTCTCAGGAGACTGATCCACTCCCAGCTCTGAGTCTTGGGGTCAGGATCCTAAGGTCTTGAGTAAGGGTGTTAGGATGTTTTTATTCCAAGCAGTTTTCCCAGTGCCCCCTTCATATCCCTGTTCCTCAGGCTGTAGATGAAGGGGTTCAACATGGGAGTCACCACCGTGTACATGACTGAGAAGACTCTGTCCTTTCCATCTGAGTGGGATGATGGAGGACATAAATAGACACCGATAGCTGTGCTATAGAACAGAGAGACTACAGAGAGGTGGGAAGTGCAGCTGGAGAAGGCCCTTTGCTTACCCCTTGGGGAATCAATTCTCAGGATGGCCAATGCAATGTAAAAGTAGGACATAAGGATGCAGACAAAGGGCGCAATCAGCAGTGTTCCTGCCACAAGGATGAGCACCAGATCATTGACACAAGTACTGGAGCAGGCCAGCTTCAGGAGTGGGACCAGATCACAGAAGAAGTGAGGGATAATATTTGGACCACAGAAGGAAAGCCTGGTCACTAGGAGGGTATGCACTAGGGCATGTAAAATAGTGATCACCCATGACACAGCCACCAACAGGACACAGCGTTGGGAGTTCATGGTTAGGGCATAATGGAGAGGATGGCTGATGGCCACATAGCGGTCAAGGGCCATCACAGCCAGGAGAAAGTTGTTGTCCAGATCTGCAAATAGGCCAGAGAAATAGAGTTGTGTCAGACACTCCCCATAAGAAATCAGCTTAATTCCTGAGCTAATATGATCTAGCATATTGGGAATTATTGTAGAGATAAAGCCAATATCCAAAAAGGACAGGTTGGACAGGAAGAGGTACATGGGGGGTGTGGAGGTGCAGGTCAGAGCCAATGGCCAGGATGATTAGCAGGTTCTCCAACACAGTGACCAAGTACATGACCAGGAAAAGCCCAAACAAAAGAGCCTGCTGCTCCTGGTGTTCAGAGAAGCCCATGAGAAGAAATTCATAGATGCAGGTCTGGTTTCTTCTGTCCATGTCTCAAATTCTGTGTGAAATACATTTTGTTATAAGTAGCAAAAGAGTAAAATAATGCTGTGTTAAAAGTACTTCAAACTCCTGTTTGAAAAAATTCTGTGGTTAAATAATTCTGTTTTGAGAAAGCTTGGATTTATTATTGTGCATGTTAAAAAGTTTGGGTCAGACCATTTGTCAAGTTATCGATTGGTGTCAGTATTTGATAAGATATCTAAGGCTCCTTTGAACTATTTCAGCTGTCCATATGATACATATCAGCCACCAGTAAAAGTGTGCCTTGGATTGTACATGTCCTATCTGTTTACACAAGTACTTTTCTCTTAGTAATAATATAATTAAGTAAAAAATGTAAAATACCAGAACAGTGTGTATACGCATAGTTACAGTTAAGTAAAAATGAAACAGAAATATTTGTGTATGAATAAGAACACAATCTAGAAGAACACACTCAAAAGATGGATAATGTTTGCTTCTAGGGAGTGAGTGTGGGGGGAAGAATGGTGGGTGTCAACTTCTGTATGACACACACCATTTCTTTTACTAGCATGTGTTATTTTTGAAAGTAAAAGATTATTTTTAAGTGTGATGGATGTGATGGGTTGAACTAATTTAAATGGTGGTCCAGAAGCCAATATGGAGATTTTGAGAGACCCAGAATTCTGACAAGTTAACCAGGGTGTCATCTCTAAAAAGCAGCTCTGGCAAGTAAGTAGAACAAAAATCAAATCATTTGACTTTGTGCAAAGAAAAAAAATTGAAGTTATGGAGCAAGACTTTTTCATCATAGTCACTTTACTTAGAGTAATATTTTGGCTTTCCCTAAGAAAAGCTACAGGAAATGCATTGAATTCTGCTCCAGTATCCCCAAGCATGCCTGGGAATGACACATGCTTTCCCTAACACCTCTGATATACCTCACTCGCAGGTACTCCTCACTCATAAGATAGGTGCTCCTCACTCACAGGTGCTTCTTGCAGGTGCTCCTCACTCATAGATGCTCCTCACTCATAGGTGCTCCTCACTCACAGATGATCCTTACTCAGAGGTGCTTCTCACTCATAGGATAGGTGCTCCTCACTCATAGGATAGGTGCTCCTCACTCACAGGTGCTCCACATAGGATAGGTGGTCCTCACAGGTGCTCCTCACAGATGCTCCTCACTCAGAGGTGCTCCTCACTCACAGGTGCTTCTCCAGTCAGTTTGGCTTCTCCTGGCCCCTTGGATTTAAAAACCTAAACTTTAGATGGTCTATTCCAGCTCCTGAACCCTTCCTTGCCTTATTATATTTATTTATGAGATTTATATATTTTACATCTAAATAGAAGGTGTCAAATCCTTCATTTGCCCCCAAAGCCACACCTTAATTTGTCTCTAGTGCCGCTCAAAGAATACCTTGATTTGGGACTTGAAATTCCTTTTTTCCCACAGAAGCCATAGTGAGGATATACCAGGATCTCTTAAATAGATAATACTGGACATTAAGTTTATCCAATCCACAGCCCTTGTTCTGACACTATGAAAAAAGTTGGAGTAATAATCATAGCTAATACTGGCTGAGCACTAGCCATTGCCAGGTTCTGAATTCACTTAAGTGATAGCCCTGTGCACCAGCACTGTGAATATCTTTATTTAAAAATGTAGAAACTGAAGTTCAGGGTGGCGATGCAATTGCTGAAGTCTACAGCAGCAGGTATTGAAGTGAAGTTTGTCTGAGTCAAAAGCTTAAGTTCTAAACCACTGTGCTACACTGCCTTTCAATATTCACCAAGTCATTTTCTGACTCTAGTTCAGTCTCATGCATATTTTCTATAAGGAGGGAATGCACCATCAGGGAATTTAAATATCCATTCAATTTGACAGTTGCAGTTCTCAAAGCAAATGAAGATGTGGATATTTTTGGCTTATGCCTCAATCTTTTGTGAACATGATTGACGTGAGTTAGTCTACTTTGGTCCAATCCAATGTCTGGACAAGATCCAATTTTTACACTTGATTTGTACTCTGAGATGGAGCTATCCTGAAAGCAACAGACTCCTTCCTTCCTGGTATCTGTAGCTCCTCTCCCCCTAATTGCAACCAAGTCCAGATTCAGAAGCTAAGCAGATAGCAGATGTACAGTGATAATTTTTGTCATATTCATTTATTTATATCATCTTTACAGTAAGAGTTAGAAACAAGTAACATTTATTCCAGTTTACACTTTTCTTTCCCAAGGGATACACACCTTCAGGTTGCAAGTTTTTATTAAATAATGAATAAAGGAATTTCATTATTTAATAAAAACATGCAGTCCAATTACATTGACTCCAAATAAAATTTTATTAACATGAATTAATGTTCTCAGAATTATCCAGAAATTCTAAGCAAGTAAACTAATAAAACTTAAAACAATTGACTTTGGGGAAAAGGTATGTCATTCGGTTTCAATTTTATTATGATGATAGATACTGTCACATCCTGGTCAGTGGGTTTAAGCTGAAGGTGTGTCTCACAATCATCTGGGGAGCATTTCATTTTTTTTTTTTTTTTTTTTTGAGATGGAGTTTCGCTCTGTTGCCCAGGCTGGAGTGCAGTGGTGCAATCTCGGCTCACTGCAAACTTTGCCTCCCGAGTTCAAGCAATTCTCTGCCTCAGCCTCCTGAGTAGCTCGGATTACAGGCGCTTTCCACCACGCCCAGCTAATTTTTGTGTTTTTATTAGAGACGGGGTTTCACCATCTTGGCCAGGCTGGTCTTGAACTCCTGGCCTCGTGATCCGCCCGCCTCGGCCTCCCAAAGTGCTGGGATTACAGGCGTGAGCCACCGTGCCCAGCCCGTCTGGGGAGCATTTCTTATCCGCTACTCAAAATCTGAACTCTACTGTATCTATACACTTAAAAACAGTGCATTAGACTCACTTATTTGTTTCTGAAGAGAATATTTAGGTTGAACAGTGTAATGGTAAAAAAAACTTTAGTTTGCACTAAGAAAATCTTAATTAGCCTTCTGCATCAAGCCCAATAATATGGGTTTGAATAATTCATTTATTGTCTCTGAAATCTATTATAGTTTCCCTGCCTGTGAAGAAGGGTAAATGAATCCTTGGTTTCTCTTCTCCTGGCCACTTGGATTTAAAAATCTAAGCTTTAGATGGTCTATTTCAGCTCCTAAACCCTTCTTTGTTCTAAAATGGCCTTATTATATTTGTTAGATTTATATATTCTTAAATACAAACAAGGCATCAAATCTTTCATTTGCCCCCAAAGCTACACCTTAATTTGTCTCTAGCATTGCTCAGAGAAAAGAATACCCTACTTGGGACTTGCATCTATGTTACAGGCTGCTGTAACATAGCCTCTTACTGCCATCAGGAAATTGTTCATGCTATTTCATATCATGACATAATCAGCCCTTCATGATTCTGTCTTCCTCTATCATCCAATGAGAATTCTCCCTCATACCAGGGCACCCCACCTTCTTACCCATGAAGCCACTCACAGTCCCCGAACAACTCATCTTCCTGGCCCCATGATTTGCCATTCCTATTCCCCTTCTTGGGTGCTTCCTCCTCTCCACCAGGCAAGAGGTCAGGTGTCAACTTCTGAGAGTATTTTACATGTTTTCCTGTTGAAGTTCATTGTTTTATGCTCTTGCCCCCCGCAGTCCTTTCTATGGGTCTCTGGTAGAATATTTGACATATTGCTTTATAATTGTCTGCTTATTACCATTAGACTATTTGTCCCTTAGTGCCAGAGACTCATTTTTATTCATCTTGTTTCTTCTTAATATGTACTCGGTAATCATCTATTCAATAAGATAGGAAACAGATCGGTGGTAAAATGATTTTTAAGCTATGACAAAAGTGTATGGTGTAATCATTTAGCTACCGGCATTGCTTTTTACTTACATAGTTAATAAAACAGACTACCCTTAATGAAGATCTTAGATTGCCCAGCATTAGTTTTAGTACATAGAAGGTGTTCAAACTTGTTTGTGAAAAGGAAAAAAAAAGTATTGTTGGATGTTGAATTAGTCTAATCAATCGCATATTTATACAAATACTGAATGCTTGATTTGTTGATCTTTTGCATTTAAACTGAACATTGGTTTGTTTTAATTTAAAAAAGAATGCTGGGAAAATTAATGCTTGGGATTCAGATTTAATATGAACACATCTCCTAGTAGGTCTGAGTCTGCTCCTTTGTGATCCTTCCCAATGCTGATAAATGTTCCCCCAAATCGCTTGTTTTCCTGCATGTGAAAACTCAGGAAACCTGACCTGACATGTTTTGTTCACATGCCAAACCTCTCTCAGGGGTACATGGAAATTTCAGGAAATTATGGTTTCAGGGACTAGGGATATAGATCACAACCTGGTAAAATAGTGCTCTGGATCAAAGCTATCTAGCCACTCTAGCCTTTAGGGACTAAACATGTTAAGCCACCTAATACAACTCCCTTATTTGGTGAATGAGTAAACAGAATCTTAAAGGGCTGCTGAATTCATCCAAGATCAGCACTATGACTGATAGCAACAACAGGGTTCCTGAAACTATTTCCATGGACCATTCTGATTCTCTTGATTGACCAAAAAATGAGAGGTGTGACCAATAACTTACTGTCAGTTCTGGATTGGGCCAAGAAGAGTTCCTCATTTATTCATGCTAAGGTAGAGGTTTCAGTGTTCTGCTTTAGGTTCTCACGTGTCAAGAGTAGAAAAGCTATATTTGAGGATCACATGAAAAGACATCATCTTCCCCTATGTTTAATGCAGAAGGGCCTCCTGGGACACGGAACCCTCTTCTGCTCCAAGGAAGGGGAAATGAGAGCAGCACCATGGATCCTGAATCAGCCAGACTGATTAGAACCCTAGGAAGAGAGGAGTTACCTACATGTAGTTTCTGGCACAATCCCCAGAGCTCCCTGCTGAAAGTGGTAGAGACATCTGGGAATTCCAGTCTCCAACGCATTCATTGTGAGAAAAACCTGTTTTATTGCCAGTCCCAGTCCTCAAACTCTAAATGAACTGCTCTGTTACTTTGTGAAGTTCACTTATCCTCTTTGGACCTCAGTTTCATCAGGTAAATAACTCAGAAAACAAAATATTCTCTCTACAGAAATCTTATAGCTATTTTTGCCATCCTAGAGTGTATGAGCGAACACATGGAACGTTCACGAAGACAGATAATACACTCGGCCACTGAAGGATATGTTTTTATTTTTGTTCATGAAATATATAACAAGAATGATTATATGTTGGGTCATACAAAAGCCTAAAAATCTTCAAAGAATTGTAATAACACCAACATGACATCCTACCTAATCGTGGTTTTAATTTTTATTTCCCCAATAACTAATGATATCGGACTCTTTTCAGGTGCTTATTATTTATATATCTTCTTTTTATTAATTTGTATACCCATTTTATTAGATTGTCTTTTAATAATTTATAAGAATTTTTAATTCATATGTATTGTATATTAATCCATCAGCTATATGTATTGTGAATATTTTCTCCCAGTCTGTGGCTTAATTCTTATTTTTCTAACATTGTCTTTTGATGGACATAAAATTTTAATTTATATAAAGTCCAATTACCCATTATTTCTTGTTTGGGGATTTCAAGAGACTGTGTCTTGTATGAAATATATTTAACTCAAGATTGTGAAGACATTAGCTAACAATCTTTTTCTAGGAGCTTCAAAACTTTAGCTTTCATGTTTAGGTTTTACTTTAGAAAAAAATGTATTTCAATTAACCAGGTAACTGCGTGTATTAGTCCGTTCTCACATTGTCATAAAGAACTACCTGAAACTGGGTAATTTATGAGGCAAAGAGGTTTAATTGGCTCGCTGTTCTGTAGGCTGTACAGGAAGCATGGCTGGAGAGGCCTCAGGAAACTTACAATCATGGTGGAAGGTGAAGGGGAAGTACATCTTCACATGGCCAGCAGGATAGATAACAAAGGGGGAAGGGCTACACACTTTTGAACAACCAAATCTTGTGAGAAGTCGCTCACTACCATGAGAATAGCAAGGGGGAAACCCACCCCTGTGATCCAATCACCTCCCACCGATCCCTCCCCCAACACTGGGGATCACAATTCAACATGAGATTTGGGTGGAAACACAGAGCCAAACCATATCTCTGTGGGTTTGTCTAAACTTTATTTAATCTTTAATTAATCTATTTTCTATCTTCATATAAACACAGTACTATCTTGCATGCTACAAATTTATAGTAAATTTAAAATTGCTTATTATCTTTTTAATGTTTTTATTATCTTTGGTGATATCCTTTGTCATTCCCAAAATTTTGATTTTTGTTTTCTTCTTTTTCTTTGATCAGTCTTGGTAGGAGTTTGTTAATTTTAGTAATCTTTTCAAAAGATCAAATTTTGGTTTGGTCGATTTTTCTGTATTGTGTAACTGCTTGCATTTCATTGCTTTTCACATTTGTTTTTATTGTTTACTTTTTTCTATTTTCTTTCGGAATAAGTTGCTTTTTCCCCCTACCTATTTAATGTTGAAGTAGATACCATTGATTTTTCACCCCTTTTTCTATTGCATGCATTTAGAGCTAGAAATTTTTTTTCACTGTACTAGTCGCATCTCACAAATTTTGATATGTTGTATTTTTGTTACCATCTTTAATATTTTCTAATTTTCATTGATATTTTTTATTTGACTCTCAGGCTGTTTAGAAATGCATGGCATCATTTCCAAATAATTGGTGATTTTCTGATTATTACTAGTATTTTTCTTGCTTAGTTCCATTGTTTTCAAATATCATACTTGGTATTATTTCAATTCTTTGAGGACTTTTAGGCTTTTGTATGACCCAGCATATAGTCATTCTTGTTATATATTTCATGAGCAAAAATAAAAGCATATCCTCCAGTGGTCAAGGGTGTAGTCTGTCTTAATGAATGTTCCAGGTGTGCTTGAAAGAAATGTGTGCTTTGCCGTTCTTGCTTTTAGTGTTCAATAAATGTTGTTGAACCTAAATAACAGTGAGAGAGAGGCTCTTTAAAATGAATGATATTTATTTGGGAATGGGCATTGCAATGAGAATACATGTGCCATAGTAAATGATGTGCATATTCAGGAAGGTAAAAGTTTTTAAAGGAAAGCTGAGAAAAATGAGGATTACTCGATTGTTTGAGATAATTATCCTTGGCTACAGGAATCAATAACAAGGGTGGTGACAGTCTGAGGTGAGACAGGTAGTTGCTGGGCAGATGTTCGCACAGAAGTGTTTTGTGCGTGTGTGTGAGGTTTCAGCGGCCTTTGTGCAGGGTTGTAGTTTCTGCAGTCCTTTGTGATAGTTCTTGTTATGAGGCATTCGTGTGTGAGAACCCTCCCTTTCTGGCCTTCCCTGGCTTCATTTTCCAGGGTTGTTAATACAAGTGATACCATTTTGATTCTGATGACTTTGCCATTAGCCTCTTTTGATGGAGATCGTTCTCCAAAAGCATCACTGATCAGTCATCCTGTTGTTAGGTTTTGACTGCCAGTTGTGACTGGGATAGACCTGTCCCAAGTTGTTGGTCTGGTTACACATTGGAGAGAGTGACTGGTGACAAGAAGTCCATATCAAAATTCTTTTAGCCACATTTGATCAGCAAGTGAGGCCTGGAGTGAGTGGTTTTTAGGCTAAGTCCATTTGTAGTCCACTGTTAAATTCAATTTCGCTTGTTCCATAGGCATTGGCTATCACCAATATTGAATATTGTCAAAATGTTCATATTACCCAAAGCAATCTACAGATTCAGTGTGATCTCTATCAAAATACCAATGACTTTCTTCACAGAAATAGAAAAAACAATCCTAGCTTTTGTATGGATTCGCAAAAGACCCTGAATAACAAAAGCAATCTGAATAAAGCTGGAAACATCACACTATCTGACTTCAAAATATACTACAAAGCTATAGTAACAAAAACAGCATGTTACTGGCATAAAAACAGACATATATAATAAAAAATTATAAGAATAAGAATTGAGAACCCAGAAATAAATCCACATGTTTACAGCCAAATCATTTTGACAAAGATGCCAAGAATATTCATTGGGAAAATTTATTCAATAAATGGTGCTGGGAAAACTAGATATCTATATGCACAAGAATAAAATTGGACCTCCATCTCTCACCATAGACAAAAATCAACTCTAAATGGGTTAAAGATGTAAATATAAGATGTGAAACTATGAATCTACTAGAAAAAAAATTGGGAAAACACTTCAGGACATTGGTCTGGGCAGGGCAGAGATTTTTTGGGTAAGACCTCAAAAGCACAGGCAATAAGAACAAAAAAATAGACAAATGAGATTATATCAAGCTAAATAGTTTCTGTACAACAAAGGAAACAATCAGTAGAATAAAGAAGTTGGCTCAACATCTGAAATTATGTAATGCAATTACTGTAATGCACAATACCAACAGAATAAAAAAAGATCATCTCAATACATGCAGAAAAAGTATTGACAAAATCCATCATTCTTTCAGGATAAAAACACTCAACACACTAAGAACAGAAGGGAGCTTTCTCAACTTGATAAAAGGCATCAAAAAATAACTCACAGCTAACCTCATACTTAGTGGTGAAAGACTGAAAGCTTTCCCCCAGGATTAGGAACAAGACTAGCAGATTCATTCTTGCCACCTCTGTTCAACATTGTTTGTACAGAGATCTGCTGGGGGCACACTCATCTGGGTCATTGGGACAGTCTTCTGGTCTCAGGTCCCTAGCCAGCATTCCCACACAGCCAAGTACCCCCACTTGGGTCTTCCACAGGTTCATCTGGGCTGGAAAGCCATGTCAACCTTGAAGCCCCTCAGGAGACTCATGGCAAGCCTGGGCTTAGAGGATCCTCTAGTGCTGGGATGGCTGAAGTGATTACAGGTTCAGGGAACACAATAGTCATTTTCCTTAGAATCTTTGAAGGTCCTCTGAAGAAAGACAGAAGGAAACAAAGCCAGTCTTTGAAGACTAAAATAAATACCCAGCCCTCACTGCACAGACATTGTTGCCCATCAACAAGCATCAAGAATATTCAGGGAAATACGGCCTCATAAATTTAACAGATTGAAACAATTTTTAAAAATTGAACAGAAATACTGGAGGTGAAAATACGATGAAGGAAATAAAAAATGCAGTAGAGACTCCTATTCAACATACTGTTGGAAGTTCTGGCCAGGGCAATTAGGCAGGAGAAGGAAATAAACGGTATTCAATTAGGAAAAGAGGAAGTCAAATTGTCCCTGTTTGCAGATGACATGATTGTATATTTAGAAAACCCCATTGTCTCAGCCCAAAATCTCCTTAAGCTGATAAGCAACTTCAGCAAAGTCTCAGGATATAAAATCAATGTGCAAAAATCACAAGCATCTTATACATCAATAACAGACTAACAGGAGCCAAATCATGAGTGAACTCCCATTCACAATTGCTTCAAAGAGAATAAAATACCTAGGAATCCAACTTACAAGGGATGTGAAGGACCTCTTCAAGGATAACTATAAACCACTGCTCAACAAAATAAAAGAGGACACAAACAAATGGAAGAACATTCCATGCTCATGGATAGGAAGAATCAATATCGTGAAAATGACCATAGTACCCAAGGTAATTTATAGATTCAATGCCATCCCCATCAAGCTACCAATGACTTTCTTCACAGAATTGGAAGAAACGACTTTAAAGTTCATATGGAAACAAAAAAGAGCCTGCATTGCCAAGACAATCCTAAGCCAAAAGAACAAAGCTGGAGGCATCACGCTACCTGACTTCAAACTATACTACAAGGCTACAGTAACCAAAACAGCATGGTACTGCTACCAAAACAGAGATATAGACCAATGGAACAGAAACAGAGACCTCATAAATAATACCACACATCTACAACCATCTGATCTTTGACAAACCTGACAAAAACAAGCAATGGGGAAAGGATTCCCTATTTAACAAATGGTACTGGGAAAACTGGCTAGCCATATGTAGAAAGCTGAAACTGGATCCCTTCCTTACACCTTATACAAAAATTAATTCAAGACGAATTAAACACTTACATGTTAGACCTGAAACCATAAAAACCCTAGAAGAAAACCTATGTGATACCATTCAGGACATAGGCATGGGCAAGGACTTCATGTCTAAAACACCAAAAGCAATGGCAACAAAAGCCAAAATTGACAAATGGGATCTAATTAAACTAAAGAGCTTCTGCACAGCAAAAGAAACTACCATCAGAGTGAACAGGCAACCTACAAAATGGGAGAAAATTTTTGCAATCTACTCATCTGACAAAGGGCTAATAACGAGAATCTACAAAGAACTCCAACAAATTTACAAGAAAAAAACAAACAACCCCATCAAAAAGTGGGCAAAGGATATGAACAGACACTTCTCAAAAGAAGACATTTATGCAGCCAAAAGACACATGAAAAAATGCTCATCATCACTGGCCATCAGAGAAATGCAAATCAAAACCACAATGAGGTACCATCTCACACCAGTTAGAATGGCAATCATTAAAAAGTCAGGAAACAACAGGTGCTGGAGAGGATGTGGAGAAATAGGAATACTTTTACACTGTTGGTGGGACTGTAGACTAGTTCAACCATTGTGGAAGACAGTGTGGCAATTCCTCAAGGATCTAGAACTAGAAATACCATTTGACCCAGCCATCCCATTACTGGGTATATAGCCAAAGGATTATAAATCATGCTGCTATAAAGACACATGTACATGTATGTTCACTGCGGCACTATTCACAATAGCAAAGACTTGGAACCAACCCAAGTGTCCATCAGTGATAGACTGGATTAAGAAAATGTGGCACATATACACCATGGAATACTATGCAGCAATAAAAAAGGATGAGTTCATGTCCTTTGTAGGGACATGGATGAAGCTGGAAACCATCATTCTCAGCAAACTATCACAAGGACAAAAAACCAAACACCGCATGTTTTCACTCATAGGTGGGAATTGAACAATGAGAACACTTGGTCACAGGAAGGGGAACATCACACACTGGGGCCTGTTGTGGGGTGGGGGTAGGGGGGGAGGGATAGCATTAGGAGATATACCTAATGTAAATGACAAGTTAATGGGTGCAGCACACGAACATGGCACATGTATAAATATGTAACAAACCTGCATGTTGTGCACATGTACCCTAGAGCTTAAAGTATAATAATTACAAAAAATGCAGTAGAGAGCATCAACAGAAGAACTGATCAAGCAGCAGAAAGAATCAGTGAGCTGGAAAGACAAACTTTTAAAATACACAGTCAGAAGACAAAAAAGACAGAGAATGAAAAAAATGAAGAAAGATTATGGGATCTATGAGGCAACATCAAAATAGCAAATAATTGGGTTATTGAAGTTAAAGAGGAAACTGAGAAGGCAAAGGGGAAGAAAGCTTATTTTAAAAAATAATAACAGAAAATTTTCCAAATCTGAGAAACACATAAATATCCAGGTTCAGGAAGGCCAAATGTCACCAACATATTAAACACAAATGAGGATAATCCAAGACATATTAGAGTCAAACTCTCAAAGGGTAAAGACAAGGAGAGAATACTGAAAACAGTGAGAGAAAAGAAGCAAATCACATATAAGGAAGATCTAATACGTCTGGCAGCAGACTTCTCAGCAGAAACTTTGCAGGCCAGGAAGGACTGGGATGACACGTTAAGAGTGCTGAAGAAGGAGGAGCCAAGATGGCAGAATAGGAACAGCTCTGGTCTACAGCTCCCAGTGTGAGCAAGGCAGAAGATGGGTGATTTCTGCATTTCCATCTGAGGTACCAGGTTCATCTCACTAGGGAGTGCCAGACAGTGGGCGCAGGTCAGTGGGTGCGCGCACCGTGTGCGAGCCGAAGCAGGGCGAGGCATTGCCTCACTCAGGAAGCACAAGGCGTCAGGGAGTTCCCTTTCCTAGTCAAAGAAAGTGGTGACAGATGGCACCTGGAAAATCGGGTCACTCCCACCCGAATACTGCGCTTTTCCGACAGCCTTAAAAAACGGCACACCAGGAGATTATATCCCCCACCTGGCTCAGAGGGTCCTACACCCACGGAGTCTCACTGATTGCTAGCACAGCAGTCTGAGATCAAACTGCAAGGCGGCAGCGAGGCTGGGGGAGGGGCGCCCGCCATTGCCCAGGCTTGATTAGGTAAACAAAGCAGCCGGGAAGCTCGAACTGGGTGGAGCCCACCACAGCTCAAGGAGGCCTGCCTGCCTCTGTAGGCTCCACCTCTGGGGGCAGGGCACAGACAAAGAAAAAGACAGCAGTAACCTCTGCAGACTTAAATGTCCCTGTCT